>NC_000013.11:57158106-58408106 GCF_000001405.40 Homo sapiens | reverse complement strand
TGTTCAGCCGGTATAGGCTACAGGATATGTTCACTAAAATGTCAAATGGTGGAGTGGAGATACTGGCTGGGACACTCAGGTCTCCTGGGCACTGGGCAAAGAAGAATTAGAAGGTACTTTGCTGCTGACTGTTCTCCTCTCCTCAGGCTCACTGATGTCCCTAGGACTGGTGCCTCCCTCTCAGGCCCTGATGTCCTCTGAGGAGAATCCCCTTTCTTCCTTTCATATCCAGCCATTGGCAGGATAGCCTGGCTTTCTCTGAATTATCTTCTAAGCTCTTCTTATGACATCATTGTTAATTCCAGCTCCCTTCAGAGATTTTCTTTTTGATTCCCAACGGTGCGTTATGAAGGTCCAATAAGCTAGACATTGCCTGTCTTTCTCCTGAAATTATAACAATCAATTCTCCTAAACCCAGTATGGATACCTCAGTCTAATTAAGAAAATGTTGGGAAGTATGACAAATAAAGACAAATACATAATATTCTTTTAATAATATCTTGCTGTTTCCTTGTTAGTGATTCCTTTTAATCTCCAAGATAATCTTTGTTCTTATCTAGGTGTACTGTTCCCTACACCTTCAATAATAGAGGCCATAATCAATATCTCTCATCTGAATGTGATTGAGAACATGTAATTGTACTTTCCCTGAATCACAGCAGTGACCTGAGGACTCAACTATCTGAGACATTCAAATTTCTGGCTATCATTGGGCATGTTTCCTCAAGTCAAAGGATTTAGAAAAAGAAGTCCTAGGTTGGGGGTGAACATTCTATTCATCATTACAGTTTATTACTATAATCTTTTCTATCTGACAATGACTTGACTTTCCACTTTTCTCCTCAAGAGTAAGGGTCATTGACTTTTATCATATTGGAAGGAAGGCCTTAACTAAATAGAATATGGGATGTGATGTTTTAAAATGTGAGATGCCTTTAAAAATATTAACGTAGTGTGCATGTGTCTGAGTCTTTTTGGACTGCCATAACAAAATACCAGAGGCTGGGAGGCTGATGAAAAACAGAAATTTATTTCTCAATGTTCTGGAGACTGAGAAGTCCGAAATCAAGCCCCTGGCATATTTGGTGTCTGGTGAGGGTTTGTCTCCTGATTCATAGATGGTACCTTCTCATTGTGTCCTCACATAGTGGAAAGAAGCAAATATACTCTCTCAGATCTGATTTTAAAGGGGTATTAATTCAATCCATGAGGGCTCCATCTTCATGACCCAATCACATCCAAGAAGTCTCCACCTCCTAATAGCATCAACTTAGGGGTTAGAATTTCAACATATGAATTTTGGGGGGACACAAACATTGAGATCAAAGTAATGATATTATTCATCGAATTCTGTCATGTAAGCATTTAGGTCAGTTTCTTGAATTTTAACAGATGATGATATTGCATAGCAAAATGTTAGCACATTTTTGAATTCATTTTTTTGGCAGCGATAGAAACTAAATAACAAAACTCCATAAACTAGATATGATGAATTAAATAAGTTATAATGGAGACCTGGATTCCTTTTTTCCACAATTTTAGTGTTAGAATTTGCCTTCTCTGCCCAATCTTTGGGACTATACAACCAATTAGTTTTAAGATTTATCTTAAAAAATCTTACATTCACATTTAAAAAATTATATTTTAGCTGAAAAAAATTTCTTCTTTTATGGTGTCATAAAAACCTACCTATAGATTTATTTTCTTTCACATATGCTGCTTTCTTTCAGTATTTTATCTAAAAAAATTATTGCAAAATAAAAGTTTGGGAAGATTTTCTCCTATGTTTTCTTCTAGGAGTTTTATCATTTGTATTTCACATTTAGGTGTATAAACTATTTAGAGTTAATTTTTTTTTTCAGGGCAGTGACCTTGCTATTGCCACTACATGTCAAATTCATTCCATGGAATTTTAGCAAACTCAGAACTTACTTATGAATGCCAAAGTAAAAATTACACCAGACAATTTTAAATAAGCAGGGAAGGAACACTTTATCCAAGGCTATTACAGTAAGGTATAGAGGCCAGAACTCAGCCTTATCTCAACTTTGCTTAAAGAAAAGGCTGAAGAGTTTTAAGAGCTGGGGCAGTGGTGAGGAGGATTATAGGCCATCTGTGTCTGCTAATCATTTGTACCCAAGGGAAAAGTCAACTTTCTCATATCTTCCTGACAGGAGGTAGCTTTACAACTTAGTCCTACCCTCCTTCAGAATCTAAGAGATATAAACTCCACTTCTTTGATAGTTACATTTCAAACGGATTACTCTCAGAAACACCCAAAAGATATTCTTCCGTGGTAAACTTGTTAAGAAGTGTTTTAAAAATTTACATTTCAAAGGGCAGAGAAAGTAAATGCTCTGAGAAAAGGAAGATCAAGAGCCTGGCACAGTGGCTCATGCCTGTAATCCTAGCACTTTGACAGGCAGAGGCAGGTGGATGGGTTGAGCCCACAAGTTTAAGGACAGCCTGGCAAACATGGTGAAACCTCGTCTCCACAAAATAAAAAAAAAAAGAAAAAAAATTATCCAGGCATGGTGGCACACACCTGTAGTCACAACTACCTGGGAGGCTGAGGCAGCAGTGTGCCTGTAGTTCCAGCTACTTGGAAGCCTGGGAGTGGAGGATCACCTGAGCCTGGGGAGGTCAGGGCTGCAGTGAGCTGTGATCACTCCACTGCACTCCAGCCTGTGTGACAGAATGAGACCTTGTCCCACCCCCATCCCTACCTGAAAATAAAAAAAAAAGAAAGAAGGAAAAGGAAGATCAGGTGTCAGGCAGAGATTCATGAGGAGGAGGCCTGTCTAAAGTCTAGTCAAGCATAGGAGAACAGGAAGGCCACCTTCATCAGGGACAACTTTATCGGTTTTAAGATGCCTAGTACATTAAAGTATTCTTGTTTATGTTTTACCAAAATAATTTTGTAAGTTACTAGGTTTACATTTCAGTGTGTTTTATTTTTTCTAGCAATTCCTGAAAAGAAGTGCTAGAAAATATTGATATTTTAATTGATAGAACTACTGAATTGTACAAATACATTTTTATAACGTTTCTTGAAAAGCCGTCAATATTAGATAGTATTCAGTCTTCAAATCTAACACAAGAAACCACAATTTCCATATTATAAGGAATCTGGAATGTGAAGAATATTGCACAGATACGAAGCCAGCATCACCCTAATACCAAAGCCTGGGAAGGCCACAACAACAACAAAAAAAACTACAGGCCAATTTCCCTGAGGAAAATAGATGCAAAATCTTAACAAAGTACTAATAAACTCAATCCAATAACACACTAAAAAGATAATATACCATGATCAAGTGGGCTTTATTCCAGGGATGCAAAGATGGTTCAATGTAGCCAAATTGATAAATGTGATTCACTACATAAACATAATTACAAAAATAATTATATAATTATTTCAATAGATGTGGAAAAAATATTCAACAAAATCCAGCATTCCTCCATTACAAAAACTCTCGACAAACTAGGCATAAAAGGGACATACCTCAAAATAATAAAAGACATATATGACAACCCCACAGCCAACATCATACTGAATGAGGAAGACTGAAAGTATTTCCTCTAAGAATTGGAACAAGACAAGGAAACTTAACTCTCACCACTACTATTCAACGTAGTATTGGAAGACCTAACTACAGCAATTAGGCAAGAGAAAGAAACAAAAAGCATCCAAATTGGAAAATATGAAGGCAAATTATCTCTGCTTGCTGGTGATATGATCTTATAACTAGAAAACCCTAAAAACTCCTCCAAAAAAATCTCAGATTTTGTAAATTACTTCAGGGTAGTTTCTAGGTACAAAATCAATGTAGAAAAATCAGTAGCATGCTTATATACCAATAATAATCAAACTGAGAATAAAATTATTAATTTAATCCCATTTATAATAGCTACAAAGAAAAAGCTACCTAGAAATCCATTTAATCAAGGAGATGAGAAATCTCTACAGAAATAACTACAAAAAGCTGATGAAAAAATGTAGAGGATACATCAAATGAAAACACATCCCATGCTCATGTATTAGGATAACCAATATCATTAAAATAACCATACGTCCCAAAGTAACCTGCAGATTTAATGCAATTCCCATCAAATTACCAATGTCATTGTTTACAGAATTAGAAGAAACAATTTTAAAATTTATACAGAATCAAAAAACTGCCTGAAGAACCAAAGCAACCCTAAGCAAAAACAATAAAGCTGAAGATGTCACATTATCTGACTGAAAACTATGCTGCAAGGCTATAGTAACCAAAACAGTATGGTACTGGTAAAAAAATAGACATATAGATCAGTGGAACAGAATAGTGACCCCTGAAATAAAGCTACATACCTACAATCAACTAATCTTTGACAATTCGGCAGAAATATACACTGGGTAAAGGACACCATTTTCAATAAATGGTGCTGGAAAAATTAAAGAGCTGTAAGCAGAAGAATGAAAGTAGACCCATACTTCTTGCCATATATAAAAATTAAGTCAAGATAGATTATGACGTAAACATAAGATCTGAAATTACAAAAATTCTAGAAGAATATCTAGAAATAACTCTCCTGGACATTGGCCTCAGCAAATAATTTATGACTAAGTTTTCAAAAGGAAACGCAACAAAAACAAAAATAGACAAATTGAACTTAAACTAAAATGCTTTTGCACAGCAAAATAAATAGTTAACATATTAAATAGACAACCTACAGAATGAGAAAAAATATTTGCAAGTTTTTCATCCAACAAAAGGCCCAGAATCTACAAGGAACTCAAATTAATCAGCAAGAAAAAAACAAATAACCCCATTAAAACAGGTAAAGGATATGAAAAGACATTATTTAAAAGAAGATACACAAGAGGCCAACAAACGTATGATGAAGTGCTCAACATCACTAATCATCAGAGAAATGCAAATTAAAACCATAATGAGATACCACCTTACACCCTTCAGAATGGGTATTACTAAAAAGTCAAAAAGCAACAGATGTTGGCAAGGATTGTAGGAAAAGAAAATGCTTATACACTGTTGGTAGGAATGTAAATTGGTACAGCTTCTATGGAAAACGGTATAAAGACTTCTCAGATAACTAAAACCAGAGCAACTCTTTGATCCAGCAATCCCACTACTGGGTCTCTACTGAAAGGAAAAGAAATAATTATATAAAAAAGACAACTGCCCTTGTATGTTTATAGCAACAGTATTCACAATAACAAAGTCAGGTAGTCAACCTACACATCCATCAGTGGATGACTGGATTAAAAAAAGTGTATACACATATACATACACACATCATGGAATACTACTCTGCCAGAGAAAACAATAAAATCATGTATTTTGCAGGAACATGGATGGAACTGAAGACCATTATCCTAGGGAAATAACTCAGAAACAGAAGCCCCAAAACCATGTGTCTCACTTATAAGTGGGAACTAAACAATGGGTACACATGAACATACAGAGTGGACTAACAGACAGTGGAGACTCCAGATGATAGGAGGGTGGGAGGGTGGTGAGGGATGAAATACTACCTATTGGGTACCATGAACATTATTTGGGTGATGAGTACACTAAAAGCCCAGACTTCACCACTGTGCAATATATCCATGTAACACAATTGTACTTTTATCCCTAAATCTATTAAATAAATAAATACATCACATTCCATATCAACTCTAATTTACCCAGACTGCATCACATAATAGCTCCATATCTTTTCCCACTGAATCATTTTTACTGTCATTTGCCTTTCTTAAATATTATGAATATGTTAGACTTTAACTATCTTCTGGTGTCATTAAATATTGGTGCATCACTAAGGATTAGAATTCTTTGTAACTAACAAAACCATTACAAACGAAAAAGATGTATTTGTAAGTATATTTGGCTGACTAATGGAAACAAAGGTAGAAGTGTATATGGGCTTCAGGAAAAAAATAGCGACAAAGCCTAAAAAACCTTCATGTCTCAAGCAGTTTCCACTCTCGGGTCCCGCTTCTGTGCTACCCTCTCTCTTACTGACTTTGTCCTTCTCTATCTTACTCTCTCCCTGTACCAATTTTCCCTGTATTCCAATCTACATGGTAGAACCATACAATTATACATATCTGTAACCCCCCCAGAGTTGGTTAAGTCCTCTTGTTCCTATAGCACCCATACCTCCCACTTCCCTTGTAGTTATTAATTTATTGTCTAACTTTTCCTATTGTCTCACAGAGGACTTCTGGGTCATCTAATAGTGGTTACTAATTTATCGTCTAACTTTTCCTGTTGTCTCACTGACAACTTCTGGGTCATTTAATATTCAGGGTGGTTCATTTTCCTAGTAGCAATCATAAATTTTAAATCAAAGCCAGGCATATATGATGTGAGATACAATGTGATGATGGGCTATATATTTGAAGTTGAGTGTCCTTGATTTGGTCCCATATTATCTAACCACCAGGGAAGACCAATGAAGTGCTATTTATCCTTCCACCAATCACAGAGCTCTACCTTCACCACACTTTTTTTTCTTGTTTATCTCCTATTTATTTGTTAGGTCTCAGCTTAAGCAATCTATTCCAAATTTTGTGTTCCTAAAATGCCACTGAATGTTGAATTTGCCCTCCCCTTCTATATTGCTATTTGTTATTGTATTCTGCCTCTGTCCTGAGGCTGGTGGGGACCATTTCCTTTTAGTTACTTACTACTGTGCTGAGTGCATCATTAGCTTTTAATAAATTAAAACAATAATGATACAGATCATCATAATTATCTTTATTCCCTTAGGCAGATCCAACAGGGAATGAGAAAACTCAGATGCTGCTCTGTTTTCTATAAATGCCCTCTAGCATGTCTGAGGACATAAAAGGAGTCTTTCACTCCACTTACTTAAAAAAAAAAAAAGTAACAGTGGTGATCATTGAGGTCGAACTCCTTGAGGTTTACAGGAAAATAAGATAACATGGCCTGGTTTCTGCTTCCACTCCTGAAGCACATATTGTCTTTACCATTTATGTAACATGTCACATTATTCTTCCACCTTACTTACAAATGAATTATTATGCCCTTAAGCCAAAAGGAATACAGTTTGATCCCACTTCATATACCAATGGCTGCCATTAGCAGATTCTCAGTAAACAATCATTGTAAATTATGGATAAAAATTATGGTAGAGTTGATGTGTATTAATTCATTTATATGGACAACCATTTCCATTTATGAGATCTGATAAACCATGAGCTCCTAGTAGTCTGTCAGCTCCACAAGTCTACATTTGCTTAATCACCTATATATCTATGGCAAATAACACATGAACTGATACAAAGTGCACACTCAATAGGGTTTTAAACTAAAAGCAACAAAAATTGAGATTTTTATTGTAATGTTGAAATTGCATTTAGATTTGTGCAATTTGTCCTATTTTCAAACTGAAATGACTCCTTAACCCTAAATATCTCTGGTCAGAGTTTTTAGTTATTGCTGTTGTTCATTTTTGTTTGTTTGTTCCAGTATCTTTCCTATCCCTGGAGTTCCACTTCCATGCTTCCTAAGTGACTTTATCACTATCAATGACTGCTCTGGTGGACCATAAACACTTTGCACATAACTTACTATCTTCTTTTCCATTTCCAGCTGTGACATCATTTGGGGTCACGTAATAACTATGTGGAGAACCTCTCTCTAACATCTTGGCTTAAAAAGCAACTTGAGCCACCAAATTCCAGTAATTTTCACTCAAGTATATTTTAGCCACTGACTCTTCATAGCCACAGCCTGTGGGTTAACATGTTTCTCCACCTCAGATGGATAAAATGCGAATATCACTTCCTGATGTAATTGCTTATCCCTTCCATCTCATACCTTCGGTTCATTAACAGTTGTTCTTTAACCTCCTCAAAATCTCCAGTTTGTTGATAATTCCCTTCCCACAAGGCCAAAGGTTTTCTTCTCCTGGCTTTATTCCCCTACTTCAGCATCATAGACAAAGATCATCAGAACTGCTTCATTACCTTGCACATTAGTTTTCATTCCTCTTTTACCCAAAATACCTAATCCTAGAATTATCTACAATCAATCTTCTTCTCCGGTATATCTAATCCTTGAAATTACTCAGCTTTGTGAGTGGGTGATATTCTAAATTGATATTTCTAACCTTAGATTGAACTTCAGTGCTGCATATCATTTTTTTGCCTGTTATCTATAATTCTTTCTTACAACTATTCTCATAGTCTTAGCCACCCCCTATTTTTACATTCAGAAAGTTGTTTTGCTTTCTATATTAAGAAATACAATATCTATATTATATACTGAGAAATAGCCCACCTATTGCCTTATCTGTATCACCCCCAGCCATAATTTCTTCCCTCCAGGCTAAGTAAATAAGACTGCCACACCTTTACTTTCAATACTATAGGCTCTCATCTCTTAACACCTTGTTTCATAATGTAGCTCTTTACCAATGTCTTATATATTTTAGTCTTTATTTTTAATACTGGAAACTGCTTTTCAATTTCTATACAGAAATACAAGAAAATAAAATTTCTGAATATTACATTCCCCTCTGGCTATAGCTCAATTTCTTTTCTTTTCAGCTCAGTTTCTGGTAAGAATTGTGATGTATCAGTCAATCTCTGTCTACCTGTCAACACACAGTTATTGAAAACCTTCTTTATGTCAGGTTCTGTGCAATGCCTGGGGATACTAGGAAAAACAAGATAGACCTGGTCCTGTATTTGTGGCACTTCAAGCTCCATTTTCTCACTTCCCATTCAGTCTTCAACCTACTGTAGTTGTGTTTCTACCCTTAACAACTCCAGTGAATCAGTTTCACTCTTGACCTCTTCATCAACAAATCAACTAGACTTTGCAGCATTTATTTTCTCATCTATGTCTTTTGCATTTTATGTATTAACCTCACCTTGTAACATTCTACTCTTTAAGTTTATACAACCAAAAATTTACGTTGTTCCATTTCTGACTTTGCCTTCTCAGTGTCTTTAAATAAACCACTCTTTCTCAATTCACAACTTAAAATATGACATTCCTCAAGTTGCTGGTACTATCTACACACCAGTTCTCTTTTCATAATTTTATAGCTCCAACTAATAATTTACATGAAATTCCTACACTGAAAATGTGATAATTGTCTACCCTTAGGTATCTTCAGATCATCTCAAATTCCAAATGCCTTCAAATAAACTCATTATATTTTCTCCTCTTCTTGATCTTGATAGTGGCAGGAGGCAAACAAATCCCTAAACAGACCAGGGAGGGTCCCTGGTGAAACCCCACCTTCAAACCAAAGACAGTTTAAAGCTTGAAAGCCATGCAACAAGTCTCAGATACATCCATGGACCAGATTGAGAACCTCTTTTCCCATTTGGCATGTTTTCCTCTGATTGATCCCCATACTTCACCTATTTTACATTTACCTACCCTTTCCTAATTGGTTTCTTTGCACTGTAGTATCCACCTTTGAGCGGAGCCTTTGATTTAGCCTTTTTTGCATACTCCCAAACCAATCAGCACACACACCTCCATTCTGAGCCCATAAAAGCCCTGGACTCATCCACACTGGGGGACTACCTTCTTTCAGGTGGTGGGGACTACCCACCTTTAGGTGGGGGACCACCAACTTTGAGCTCCCTCTACACTGAGCTGTTCCATCACTTAATACAAATTTTCTCTGCCCTTTTTACCCTTCAATTGTCAGAATAACCTCATTCTTCTTGGATGTGGGACAAGAACTTGGGAACCAATGAATGTAGTTACAAAAAAGGCTGTAACACTATGGCCCTCCACCCTCTGTCAGCACCAGGCAGCCCTCCCAAAATGACAGGAAACAGCGGCAGGGCTGAGCCAGCTACAGAGTCACAGGCCAGAGTGTGGCAGCAGGAACTAATAAGCTGTAACACAGTCAGGTTGGGGCATGCCTGACCCAGCTGGAGGCTGAGCCTGGATCCCAGGGCAAACATAAGATCCAGGTTAGAGCACAAGCCAAGAGCAGGCCCAGTGGGCTGAGAAGGCTGGACACATTCTACTGCAAGCCTGTGCCCGAATGACGCCTGGGTGTGCGTGTTGCTGGCTGCAGAGGACTCTGGCTGGCAAACAGGCACTGAAAATATCCTGCGTCAATCTCATTTGGTGACACCTCCATTCTATTTATCGACACTTATTTGCTTTGATTTCTAATTATGACTTGTGTATTCCTTTTCTCTACACTTAGTGAAAACATCCTAGACTAAGAGCTATTTGAGTTGTCTCTTAACTGGGATAGCTTTGGCACCAGAACATCCTAATCAAGACATATTTGCTCACAACAGATGTACTGTCTAAAAGTTTCAACAGTTATTACATCACTTTTTGTCTAAGTATCAAATTTTAAGCATGGTAGAAAAGCCCTGCATTACCTACCCCACTCAACTATTTTTATCTCTATAATTTTATCTTACTTGAGTCCTTGCCATTTTATTTATTCTTCTTCAGTCTTTTACTTATTGTAGTTTTTAATATTCAGTATCTTATACCTCCAGTGAGTATCTCTATATGCTCTTTTTGTGTGTGTTGGAAATGCCTTTGGTTCACTTAAAAAAAGTTTTGCCATATTAACAATTTTTTATCTCAAATATTTGGAGAAAAACGTACTTCTTTGGGAGATGATTTTAGGACCCCCACAATAAATAAAACACTCCTATTCTGTGCTTTTACAGCACCAAGTACATATATCTGTCATAAGATGTGTCACATTCTATCTGTATGATCAATATTTGTATTTCTCCTCTGTTGGAGTATGAATTACTTAAAGGATAGGATTATGTTTTATTCATGTTTATATTTCCAGGATCTAGAATAATTTGTCCTATATGTGACCAAAGAGTATCCATTCCTTTATTCCAATTATATAAATAAACAATCTTTGACACTTTGCTTAATGTTCTTATACTATAAAATATCTTGAGATACAAAATTAATCAAATATACTATATTTTAGATCACAGTTTGTATCAAATCTCATGAAGACATTTCTAAGAGCCATCTAAGAAAAAAAAATACAAAGGATGACAAAGAGCTTGATATAAAATATAGTGATATGTAAATACAACATGCTGTCTCTTTTGGCATTCCTCTGAAGTCAAATGAAAATCAGATTAGACACACTATGACATTTGAACTTACCTTGGAAACATGACGGCCTTCATCTATTGTGCATGGACAAAAACCTTGACTTCATTCTGAACAAAAAGTAAGTTGATTTCTGTAACTATGTTGTGAAGTAAGCTCATATACTTTCCTTATTGCCTGGAGTAATTATTATATTCTAACTAAATTAAATGACTTTTAAGTTCTTTATCACTCTAAGATTCAGTGGCTCTGTGGAGCCAAAGGTAACTTCTAAGACTTACTGATAATATGGATGTTATGAACATGAAATTACCAATTCAGAAGAAAATATTACCTCATTGAATTTTTAAATTTTATTTCAGGAAAAAGACTCAAGTAGGAAAGCATTAACAATTCTCTATAACCAGAATATTTAAACAAGTTATATAGTTCTGTTAACTCAAAAATAGACAAATGAATAATGTTAATAGTCTAGAATATCCACCATAAAAATAATGTCTTGAATTTAAAATGTCTGTCTGCAGTGAATTTTTGTGGCCAAGTTACAAAACAATCTAGGGGCTTAAAATGGAAATGCAGAAAGAACTTTAAATATAAGGGCAAGAAGAGATACAGCTGTAATACAAAAGGAATCCTTTTCTAACAAAAGGCTGAATATATAAATCATTGTTATGAAAAATACTTTTCTTCTTTGTTATATTCAATCTGCAAATCATAAACTCATTCTTGCTAGCAAAAAGTGACTTAGATTTGATTTTAATGTTGATTTTTTTCATGCTTCCCCTCATTCTACATCTATTCTGACTCTTCCTTTCAATCATTTCCTTTGTGATTGCTTAGCTTCATGATTCCTATATTTTGTTAGACTAAAATGTAATGTACTCAAGGTTTATATTGGCAGGCCCATGCAGATAGTCAGCTCTGAAGCTAGCTTTCATCTCAAATGGGCAAGGCAGGGGAGGGTTTTAGAGGAGAGAAGGCAGGAAGCAGAAAATGGAGGCAGAGAGGAAAAAAAAAAAGCATTTATATTTCTGAAGTGGCTAACGTTCCTTGTTACACAAGTTATTCTAGAAGAGAATACCCCTCTTCAGATAAGTACTAGCAGCTGTGCCATCTGCAGAGCAAGATACCTGTTTCAAAACATGCCACTTGGATTATTTTTAATGGTGTGATACCTGTCTCTTGTTTACTTACATTCTGTAAAGTATTCTCATGTCTGCTGGCTTCATTAGCTCCCATTTATGCTGTTTTTTTTTGCTCACCTTGTGTTCTGCTGTCGACAAGTAACTAACGGGCATTGGGGAGGCATCTGGTCAGAATATCTTTTATATTTGAAGCTCTTTAAGTGTGCCAAGTTGTTTGGTCATCATATTAGCCAATAAGGGGGAAAAGGATTAGATTTTACCCTACAGTTTTATTTTTAATATGAAAGATTCATAATAAAATAGAACATAATACAAATGACTCTGTATGTACACAGAGAAAAGATTTTATTTTTATTCCTCCAATTAAGAACATCCTTGAATTTCCAGGAATTGCCTGAGCAATAAAATAGCAAATTCTACCTGTTTATGTGAGCAGTAATTATATATTCTGGGTGGCAGAAAGCACTCAGCAGGGCTCTGAGGAAGTCTGTTAGTCATTTCATCATTCTATGCAGCATTGATCTTGCTGACTGCACAGAGCACTAATAGAACAAGTTAATGGAGTTTATTCTGTCACAAATGCTACCAGTTAAAAAAGATGATTGCCATGTATGGAAAACCAGGCTTTCTAGCTTCTTCCTAAAGATATATGGAAATATTAAATCTGTTATCTGCCACAGAGGGAATCCATAAATATTGCCTTCCTAATATGAGTACAGGTGGAGTTTATTATTACAAAATGGAAATTGCAAAAGTTTTTGGCAAACTATGGTTGCAGAATCTGTAGTGAATATAGCTGCTTATTTTTAACTAATGAATTATACAATATCAACATTATAGTGTTTTCCCCTGAAAGGCAATTATCTTAAATAGAGAAATGAGAAACTTATATTTTATGAGCTGAATATAAACCAAATTGTGCTGTTTAATAAGTAACTTGCAGCCTTGGGTTGATGTTGATAAAGATGTAAAAACCAAATGTTTTTTCCCAAGCTGCAAAATTGCATGTTATTCATGCTAAAATATGAAGCTGATTATAAGATTCAATGGTAATCAGACCGAATTAATAGTAGCCCTGTAACAAACCTTCATTTTCTCAATAGTCCTTACAATTCAAGTAAATAAAAATTGAGAGGATGCACCAGTTCAGAAAATAAATTCAGCATCTTACTTAGTGCCTAAAATATTTCTCCGATTGATCAATAAAACTACCTAATTAAAATGTTCTTTTATAGACTTGAAGGTTTTTGAAAGGATACAGATTATTATTTATATAGTCTAAATATTAGATGAAACTAATCAAGAACAAAAGATATACGTAGTTTTTTGTTGTCAGTATAGAACAATGAGAGTAATTGTGATTTAGATGATATATCGCTGTTTTAATTTAACATCCTGTGTAAGACTAGAGCTTTTGGCTTTTTTTCCAGGATGCCAAAATCTAGTAGAATTTATCTCCTGTAGACCAGGTCTCAAGTTCACAATAATTTTTAAGTGTTTTATCTTATAGCAATTTTTAAATGTTTTTCTACACAAACTGATAATAGTTTTTTTGAAAAAAATAAGTACAAAACCTAAAAATGTTTTTTCTCTTTTCCTAATAAATTATATAGATGCAGTCCCTTACAGATGAAGTCTATGTATTATAATACATGTATAACTTTAAAGATTAAAATTGAATCATTATACAATTTGTTGATGAAAACCCTGCTTTAGAACTGGACCTATTTAAGATTTAGAAGCAATAATCATCTAAGGGAAGACAGTAATTTTATGACCACAGCTTTGGTGTTTTCTAATAACATCATCCCTCAACAAACTAATTTGTGGGCCATACTCCTCCTGTCTCCAACTCAGTATAGATTAAATTTTAGATTCATCAATTTAGAGACCAACATTTAAATAATTCATCTCTTAAATGAGGTATACATTAAAGATGATGATAATGGATTTGCATTTGGAGGATATATAACTTGTTAATACAGCTAAAGAATAAACATCTCACTTTCGTTTCTGAATATGATAGAGCATTTCATCAGAATAATCATCCTAACTAAAAACAACCTTAAACCAATCTTTTATAAAGTTATTCTTCAAACAGCACTGGAAAGCAACAAAAATAGCCAAAGATTGAAGAAATAAGGGATCAAATCTCAGCGTGAAAGGGAGCATATTGAAATGAGTTTGACATTATCCATTGTTGATCTTCAGAAGGTATTGTTGAGTCCTATGTTAAATAGTATTAGAAGATGATAAAGTAACCAGAAAGCAATAGCTAAGAGACGAGAAAGAGATCAATAGACCACTTACCAGTCGCAGAAATGGAGAGTTAAATTTTGGAATTAAAGTTGAGACTCCTAAAATGCTATAAACTAGAAAGAGAAAAAACTAATACAGGAGTATTCACAAAAATTCAAACCTAGTCTTAAATGATCTTCTTACCTAATTTTATTAAGGCAACATGACACTTCTCTACTACCTCTTAGAAATCACATCCTCTATGAAGCAAAGTGACATCAAAGTACCTCAAAATAGATTTTAATAAATAATGTCTGAATATCAATTAAATATAAATAGGCATACCAATAAACAAGAATAAATGATTGAAAACCTAGGAGAAAAAAGAGATTTAAAAGACTGAAACAGAGATGCTCGTGATACTGAAGATATCAGATATGTATTTTGAAAAAAATTCTTCATAAGTATAGAAAAATAAGTTAAATGGGGGAGAATGTTATCAAAAAATTTTACCAAGTATTTGAAATTTATGGAAAATAATTAGATGGAAATTCTAAAATTGAAAATATAACTGAAATCAAGAAGTAAAGTGAATTTAAAACATTTTACTTTTGGATTTCAATTATAATATAGGAAATTTTAGTTATAATTTTTTTTAGGAAGAAAGCATATGTTAGAGATGAAAGGATTATTGAATTGGTAGTTAAAGCAGTAGCTAACATATAGCATATTCATTGAGATGAACCGAGAACATGATGATGAGGTATTATGGTTAGTGTAATGAAACTGTTGAGGGAAAAGAGAGAGAGAAATGAGGAAATGTTTCAAGAGATGTCAGGTAATAACTTTTCAAATTGATGGAAAGACATCAATTCACAGATGAAGATGCTTAGCAAATCTAAAAATCTTTAAATGAAAGAAAACCAAAGATAGAAAGAATATCTTGAAAGTAGTCAGAAGAAAAATGAAAAAAGACACAGTACCTTTAAAGGAGCAATAATAAGATTGGCATCTGACTTTTCCACAGAAATAATATTAAACAAAAGAAAACTGAATGACATTAGTAGGGATCCTACATTAAAACATTGCCAATACCCAGAAATCAATAGCCTGCTAAAATATGCCTCCAAAACATGTGTGAAAAGAAATAAAAATAACTTCAGAAGAAAATAAACCCTGACAAAACTTATCAAATTTTCACTAAGAGTCATCTTAAAATATTGCTTTAGGTATAAGATGGAAGCACAATAAGAAAGAAATAACAAAGAAGAGCACATTAAAGAATGAACATCTTTTTCAATGTAAAAAATGATCACCTGTGTAAAACAACAGTTATATGTAGTGGGATTTATATTATGTGTAATATCAAAATACATCATAATCAAAACACAGAATGTGGGTAAACATCAAGTGGAGACAGTGTTCTAAGCTATTTTCATTACATGAGAAATGGTAGGACTAATAACTGACTCAAAAACTCAGGAATACAAGTCTTCATCTTTAATGTAGCTGACACAATGATAAACAGTGTAAAATAGTCTACTAATGGGGAAAACATCATAATACAATATACTTAATGAATTTCTCCTTCTGCCATATAGTGTAACTCTGCCAGGTTAGTCTTACAGGCATAAACAGCTAGAAAATTGGAAAATCTATATGAAATCACCGTATCCAACAGTAGAAAAAGGCAATATAAAACTGTAATCCCTGAGAGAAGGCAGATTAATGGCATATGCCCTAGAGATCCTACTCCATTCTCCCCGTAGGAAGTTTCTATAACACAACTTAGAAAATACGAACTCAAGTATAGCCAAGTGGTTTCACTGAGATGTAAGATTGGATGTGGCAAAACTGAGGTGTCTGGAATTTTGGGGGCTAAGTACCCAAAATGATGGACCTAAGCAGAAAAAGAGCTCCAGAAACATGCATAAGTCTCCTTGAAATTTTGACTAAATAATAAATCTGATTTATATAGATTAAGACCCCTTGAGGCCAGGAAAGAACAACTGGCAAGTAACAAAACAACAGATAATCTATAAATTGAATAATTACCAGACAGAGAAACATGTGAGCCCTGACTAGTCAGAGAGGAGAGACTTTGTCAAACACCTCAAGCATTCGATAGAGACCGCAGAAAGTTATAAATAGCCAGATTGTCAACAGGAAAGTAACCTTCTTTGTTAACTTTTCCATTTAAAATAAGTGAATCAAATACATCAATTGAATGCTGAAATTGTCAGAGTAGATTTTTAAAAAATCAACTATATGCTTTTTTCAATAAATTAACATTAAATAAAAAGACACAGAGAGGTACAGAGTAAATATATAAGGAAAAGTATAAAATGCCAATACAAAGAAAACTGGTGTAGCTATATTAACATCAGGCAACACACTCTTGATTAAAAACAAAAATCAGGCTGGGTGCAGTGACTCATACCTGTAATCCCAGCACTTTGGGAGTCCAAGGCAGGGTATCACTTGAGGTCAGGAGTTCAAGACCAGCCTGGCCAACACGCTGAAACCCTGTCTCTACTAAAAATACAAAAATTAGCTGGGCATGGTGGCTCAAGCCTGTAGTTCCAGCTACTCGGGAGGGTGAGGCAGGAGAATCGCTTGAAACCGGGAGGTGAAGGTTGCAGTGACCTGAGATACGCCACTGCACTCCAGCCTGGGTGACACAGTGAGACCCTGTCTCAAAAAAAAAAAAACAAACAAACAAACAAAAAAAAAACCCTTGGGGAAACTGCGTAATAGAAACACAGTTGACAGTCATTTTCTCATAAAGACACATGGTTCTTCTATTGTTTGTTTTTAGCTGAGTGAGGTAGGATTGGCAAAAATTGTACATATTTAGTGTGTACAACTTGATATTTTGATATAAATATACCTTGCAATATGATCACCACAATCAAGCTAATTAAAGCATGCATCACCTCACATAGTTACCATTCTCCGTATGTGGTGAGAACACCTGAGATCTACCCTTTTAGCAAATTTCAAGTGTACAAATTCTTGTGTTAACTATAGCCACATGCTGTACATTAGATCTCTAGAACTTAATAATCTTGCATAACTGAAACTTTGTACCCTTTGACCAACAGCTCCCCATTTTCTGCTTCCTCCAGCCTTTGGAGGCCACCATTCTACCCTCTGCTTATGCGAGTTTGATTATTTTAGATTTCACATATACGCAAGGTTATGTGGTATTTGCCTTTATGTCCCTGGTTTATTATGTCCCTGGTTTATTTCACTTATCCTAATGCCCTTCAGGTTTGTCCACACCATTCCAAATTGCAGAATTTCCCAAACACACTGTTCTATATGTGCCTGTAAATAACAACACAGCTTTGAAACACATGAAGCAAAATGTGAAAGCAAAGATGAGAAATAGACCACAAATAGAGTTAGAGACTTCAACACTTCTCTTGGAGTAATTGAAAGAGAAAAGAATCAGAAAATCAATAATGACATAAGACATTTAGACAAGACTGCCAATTAATTTCATCTCATTGATATTTATGGAATACTACTCCTTCTAAGTGTGAAATGCACAATCATTTTCAAATGCACATGAACTATTTACTAATCGAGCCTGAATTTAGGACCATAGAAAATATAAATCAAACGCTATGTTTTTAAATAACCTGTGGATCCAAGAAGAAATTACAAGATAAATTACAAAATATTTTACACAAAATGGTAATTAAAGTGCTAGACATTGAAATTTGTAGGGAGCAGCCAGGCAGATTGAGGATGTAAATATAGAGCTTGAGATGGTTACAATAGAAAAAGAAGAAAGCTCAAAAATCAGAAAACCCCATAGCTCAAAGCCTTAAAAACAGCACAAATTAAAGCCAAAATAAGTAGAAAGAAGGGAATAAGAAAAATAATGGCAGACATATGTAGAATAGGAAAATAAAGCAGAAAATAGTTGAAATCAATATATTCCATAACTTAGAGAAAATGTGATTTTTTTGAAATCCAGTACTACCAAATCTAGAACACAGAGACAAAAACAAATTGAATTCATAATTAATAAATTCCGCTCAAGCAAAACTCCAGAAGCAGATGACTTCATTGGTGAATTCTATTAATAATGTAAGTAGAAATAATCCTAATTTAACACAAACTCTTGCAAAAATATGAAATGAATTAACATATCCACACTCATTTTAGAAAGCCAAGATTTTCTCCATACTGAAACCTAACAAACAAATAACAAGAAAAAGGAAATGAAACTGAAAAAGAAGTAAAAATTACAGAATAATATCCATCATGAACATGAACATGGATGTAAAAATTCTTAAAATATTAGCAAATCATATTCATCTCAGCAACATACAAAATGATAGTATATTAATATCTACAGGGATTTGTACCTTATATTTAATTATTTGAAGACTGATCAATGTAATTCACAAGATGACCAGAATACATGAAAAAATGCATATGATAATCTCAGAAGATGTAGAAAAATCATTGCCAGAATACAAAAGCCATTCACAAAATAGTCTTATCAAAGTAGGAATACATAGTATCTTCCTCAACCTGATGAAGAACAATTATAAAAACACCTTTACTAAGGTAATTCTTAATTTGAAATATTGAATGTTTACTCTTTAAAAATGAGACTATAATGAATGTGTTTATTCTCACTGTTCAAAAACATGCTGTAATTCCTGGACATTGCAATAAGACAATAATAACAACAAAGCATAGGGATTTGAAAGTAAGAATTAGCATTTTCCTTACTTGAGGATGACACTACAGTGTATTCACAAAATCTTTAAAAATTATAAGAAAAAGTCCAGAGGTGGTGGCTCATGCCTCTAATCTCAACACTTTGATAGGCCGGGGAAGGCAGGAAGATTGCTTGAGCCCAAGAGTTTGAGACTAGCCTGGGTGACACAGTGAGACCTCATCTCTACAAAAAATTAAAAAACAGCCGAGTGTGGTGGGCGCCTGTAGTCCCAGCTATTCAGGAGGAAGTAGATGGGAGGATCATGAACCCAAGAGGTCAGGTGGAGGCTGCAGTGAGCTGTGATTGTACCACTGCACAACAGCCTGGGCGACCAGTCATCTAATAATAATAATAATGAAGAAGAAGAAGAAATAGAACTAATAAGCAACAACTTTAAAATCATATAATGCAAGATCTACATAAAATCCATAGCATTTATTATATATTAGCAAGAAAATTTGGAAAATAAAATTTCTAAAATACAGCAAAAATATAAAATATTAAAGGACAGACTTAATCTAGTTTATACAAATCCATACACCTAAACTATACAATAATATTGAGAGAACTTTTAAAAGATCTAAGTAAATAGAAAAACTATGTTCCTGGATTGAAAATATCAATATTGTTATAGGATCAATCAAATTTCAGGAGGCTTCTTCATACTATTTGACACACTGTTAGACAAAATTACTTAAAAAATAAAATTTTTTAAAGTAGACAAAATTATTTTTAAAAAGCAAATTAGATAACATTACACTGCATAGTTAAGATTTACTGTATAGTTACAATAATCAAAATAATGAACAGTTGGCATAAGGTCAAAATTGTAGGGTAATGGAACAGGAAACATTTGTCCAGAAATAGACACTCCCTTATATAGAATAGAATATACACAATAGGCCGGGCGCAGTGGCTCACGCCTGTAATCCCAGCACTTTGGGAGGCCAAAGCAGGTGGATCACTGAAGTCAGGGTTTCAAGACCAGCCTGGCCAACATGGTGAAACCCTGTCTCTACTAAAAATACAAAAATTAGCTGGCCTGATGGCAGGTTCCTGTAATCCCAGCTACTCAGGAGGCTGAGACAGGAGAATCACTTGAACCTGGGAGGCAGAGGTTGCAGTGAGCCCAGATTGCACCATTACACTCCAGCCTGGGCAATAGAGGGGGACTCTGTCTTAAAAAAAAAAAAAAAGAATATACATATATATAAATAATTATATATACTAATGACTATAGAAAGACACACTCAAACAAATATATAAAGACTTCTTACACAAAACAAATATATCAATAAGAAAAAATACTCAACATACTAAAAGACTTTATTAATGAAAAGTAATTCATAGAATAGTGAAAAATTATATAATTATATAATATATACCCTAAGTTATATTGCTTCCGTGTGTGTATATATATATATACATATATATTTAAACATTTTTTAAAGCCATTTATTTCACCTGATATTCTAGCTTCAGAGAAGAGAGCCGATTATCCGATCACTGCCAGTTCTGTTCCAGAGTTAGCATTGCTTGTACTCGCCATTGTTCTGTGTTATTGCTAGAGATGAACTGCGGCGCACCATTGTTCTGTGTTATTGCTGGAGATGAACTGCAGCAGCAGAACCCATTCTTTCTTTCAGTTTGGACCCAAATATGTCAGCGTTCTTAGTTATTTGTCAGCATATCGAAACATTTTCTGAAATAAAGCAGAACTTCTTGGTTGTGTCTTTCCATTTGTACTTAAGCACAGTAATATAAAGTAATAGTTAGAAAAATATATATTACACACCTAACAAAGGGCTTATTTTTAGAATATATAAACATCTTGGAGATCTCAATATTAAAATGAGAAACTAAAATGGGTAAATATTTATTTTTTAAAAATCTTAATGAACAAGTAACAATTGTACATATATTTATGGTGCACAACATGATGTTTTGATGTACATATACATTGTGAAATGGCTAAATCAAGTTACTTAATATATGCATTACTTTACATACTTAGCATTTTTGTGTGTGGTAAGAACACTTAAAATCTACTCTGTTAGCAGTTTTCAAATATACAATATATTGTTTTTAACTGTAGTCACCATGAAGTATGACAGATCTCTTGAACTTATTCCTCTTAACTGAAATTTTGTGTTCTTTGACAAATATCTCCCCACATGCCCCAACCCAAGCCTCTGGCAAACATCATTGTACTCTCTGTTCTTATGAGTTTGTGAGGGTGCAGATATCTCTTCCACGTACTGATTTTATTTCCTTTGCATATATACCCAGTAGTGAGATTGGTGGATCATATAGTAATTCTATTTTTAATGCTTTGAGGAATCTCCATACTGTTTTCTATCACGGCCACACTAATTTACATGCCCAGTAACAGAGTACAAGTGTTCCCTTTTCTCCACATCCTGACAAACTCTTATCATTTGCCTTTTTGTTCACGGTCATTCTAACAGGTGAGAGGTGATATTTCTTTGTGGTTTCAATTTGTATTTCCCTGATAGCTAGTATGTTGAACTTTTTTTTTCATAAACTTGTTCATTTGTATGTCTTACTTTGAGAAACGTCTATTCAAGCCCTTTGCTCAATTGTTATTTGGATTATTTGTTTTCTTACTATTGTTTGAGTTTCTTATATATTTGGATATTAATCCCTTATTAGATATATGGTTTGCAAATATATTCTCTCATTCCATAGATTGTCTCTTTTATTTGTTGTTGCCTTTGCTACGTAGAAGCTTTTTAGTCGAGTGTCATACAAAATGGGTAAATATTTAAATATCTAGTTCAAAAATAATAGAAAAAAAATTAAAAGGAGATTCTTTAAAGAGACTGATATAATATAAATCCAAAATGAATGTCAAAAGTTACTAAAACCAGGAAGATATATAAATGCCAAATATGTTTCTAATGCTATAGATTAAAATACATAAAGCAAATAAAATAAAATGAAACATTGACAAACTTTCATAATGAAAAAATGTAAGTTTACTCTTAACAGCTAATAGAACAAGATCAAAAAATCATTAAGAATTACAAGTTTTGCATGATACCATGAATACACTTGATCTAATTGACTTATATGGAACACTGCACACAATTGCAAAATAAACATTCTTTTCAAGTGCACAAAAAACATTTATCAAAGTTGACCAGATGCTGGTTCATGAAGCAAGTCTCAAACATTTTTTTTTTGTTTTTTTTTTAGACGGAGTATCTCTTTAACACTTTTTTTGTTTGTTTGTTTGTTTGTTTGTTTGTTTGAGACGGAGTCTCACTTTGCTGCCCAGGGTGGGGTGCAGCGGCGCCATCTCGGCTCCCTGCAACCTCCGCCTCCCGGGTTCAAGCGATTATTCTGCCTCAGCCTCGCGAGTAGCTGGGACTACAGACGCACACCACCACGCCCAGCTAATTTTTGTATTTAGTAGAGACGGGGGTTTCACCATGTTGGCCAGACTGGTCTCGAACTTCAGACCTCGTGATCCACCCGCCTCGGTCTCCCAAAGTGCTCGGATTATAGTCGTGAGCCACTGCACTTGGCCTCAAACACTTTAATAGTAAGAAGTCTTGCAATGTAAATTTTCAAACTTCACAGAAATTACATTAAGAAACATATGACAGAAGTTAAGTAGAATAGTCCCAAATGTTTAGCAACAATACATTTCTTTGTAACATATCTGCCAAAGAAAATAAAAATCACAGTAAAAATTAGAAAAATGTTTTGAACTGATTAATAGAGAATATCAAAACTTGTGGAATAAAAACAAATTTATACTTAAAGAAATAGTATAGCTTTAAATGTATATGTTAGAAAAGAAAAACAATTATAAAAATAATATCCAATATAAGAATCCATTACATTATAAAACTAATGAAAAATAGGAAAGAATATATGAAATAATAAAAAAATAGATTTTAGACACTAGAAAAAATGTTAGAAAGCAGATTCTTTTAGAAAGATGTATAAAAGTGATAAACTGCTAGCAAAATTCTACAAGATTGAAGGTAATAAATTACCAGAAATAAGAAAAAAAGGAAGACCACTACAGATCTTACAACATTCAATATTTTAAGATATTATAAAAGCATTTTCTAATAAATATAAAAATTTTAAAAAGTCATAACTCTTCAAAAGCAAACTTACCAATTTCAATTAGAAATTAATAGACAAATGTATTATTTAGATGCATTAAATATATTTATGTAAATAAAAAACTCTACAAATTGGTGAGTTATTTCAAATATTTGAGGCAATAAAGAAAAAATATATACAAAAATTTCAACAGATTTTTAAAAGGCATTGACAAAATTCAGACAGTTTTAAATAAAAAATACAAAAACTCTCACCAAACTAATAATTGAAGAAAATTTTCTCATCCTAACAAATGGTATCATAATATGCCTGAAGCCAACTTCATAGTTAATGTTGAAATATTTGCAGATATTTTCCTAGATATCAGCAATGGATTAGAGTTGTAGTCTATTTCCACCTTTAAACATTCTACTATTAGCTAGTAAAAAATGTAAATAAAATAAATAACAGTAAAAATTGACAATGCATAAAGACAACTGTTATTGTTCACAAATAATGTTATTTTAACAAAGTATAGATACAATCTACAGAAAAACCATTAAGTGTGAGGTTGTTAGAATCAAGGACAATAAAAAATTAACATTTTAAAATGTTAACACATACTATGGTGTGTGAAGATTACTAAAATAGTGTGTTGTTCGCAGAAGATTAGACGAATAGACCAATGGAAGAGAATCATTTGTACAGAAATTCTCAGTCATGTACAATCTTCTGAATTGTGACCAGGATGACACAACTGTATGTATAGTGGATAAAGCACCATTTAATGAATGCTGTTGTGATAAATAATTGGAAATTTCTATTGGAATAAAAGAAAAAACAAGAAAATTGGAAAAAATAAACATTTACTCTACAATTATGCCTATTAAAGATTGATTGTAAACCAGAACTAGAAAGTTAAAACAATAAAGCTTCCGCAGCACATAGAATGTATCTTTGTTACTTTGAGATATTAAAGATTTATTAACTGTGACCAAAAGCACTAAATAAAAGACTTATACATTAGAATGTATTAAAAATAAAACTTTGGTTCATAGGTTCTCCTGGAAGAGTCAAAAGGAAAGCCAGAGTGGCAGAGTAGATCTGTAATATGTATATTCAATAAAATAATTCTATTAAGAATATATAAATAATTCTGAACATCAATAACAAAAAGAACAGTCCAATTAAAAATACCAAAAATACTTAAAAATCAATTCACATGGGAGAATGTCCAAATGGTCAATAAACCTTTGAAATTCAGAGTAATATTAAACTAAACACCCACTGGAATAACTAAAATTTAAGACATAAAAAAGAAAAATCCTGACAATTCTTAGGATTGAAGAGGATGTGGTACAACAAAAACACTCCTATATTGCTCGCAGATGTGTCAATTGCTATATAAATTGACTTTATAGATAGAATACTGTACTGAAGACTATTCATTTATACATGCCTTTGAAGAAGTGGGGAGGAGTAGAAAGATAGGGAATAAAAACCACCGAGGGTCCACTATACTAACAACACTTTGGTGTCAGAGGTATCGTGGATATTCTAAAATATAATAACATATCTTGACTTCAGAAAATCTATGACCTGGCAGGGAATTAAGAAAAGATAGGGATAGTTTTTTCTTGAACATATTCTCACACCATAAATTCACTGCCATTTTATGCTTCACTAAAGTTTTATCTCTCAATAAGAACTTAGGCAATGGCTGAAGTATTTTTGAAATATGTTTATAGGTTTTTTTCCTGTAGATCATGGTATTACATAACAAAATAGATATGCAAACTTTACCTTTTACACATTTTTAAATACTATTACCTCACTTTGATAGAAAGATGCCAGAAATACTCAGGTGCGTTCTAGAACATTAATAGGGTTAGCTGTATTTAATAGTGTGTTAAGAAGAGACTGAGAAAGAAATTGTTTGGAATACTAAACATCTATTAATAACTGTTAATTTGATGGCTATCATTTTGGAGACTAGAGAACATAAAAGGAATTTTCTAATATGAAAACTTTATGTCCTTTGCATTCCCTATACCCATGATGGCAAGAGGTCAAAAAATGTTCCTAGGAGTCTGCGTGTCAGGTTATCTCTGTCATTTCTAGGGTATCCAGGGATCACAGGGTAACTAAGAGGACAAATAGCACTGATTCCTATCACCAGTATATTATAAGAAAAGAAAAATATGAAAACTATGTAGAGAAGTTGATGCTGAACCTTAAATGAATCTGACGTACTTGCTAAATGACTCACTTTTGGATACCTACCTAACTGCAGGTAATTCAAATGTGTGCTTAACAAAATTATAAATTACAATATATCATCATCTTTCACTGTTGCTTGAACATGGTCTAATCTTAAAGGTTAAAATTTCAAACTCCAAGAAACAGTCGCCTGTGAATATCACTTAACCTAGAATTTCATTTCTTTCCCATTTATTAAAAATAGCTTTTCTTACCTGAGATCATTTAAATGACAAAATAAAACAAGAAGATGAGAAATTCCAGAATGGAAGCTAATGCACTGCAATGATTACAGTTTTAGGATTGCTGAGTGTATTTGGAAGGGTTGAATATTAATAATATGTAATTTATGATATTTGATTATGATGAAAAACAATATTTGAATACTAGTATTGATTTCAAAATCATGAGTGAGAAAGAGGAAAATTTTACATAGGTACTTCCTAGGACTTTTATTTTTACATAGTACTAGATATATGCTCTACAATATGTTTCCTAGGATGGGATTAGAGGAGCAAAAGATAATAAATTCTCAACCACATTGAGTGTGAAGAAGCTGTACTGCTTTGCCAGGAAGTTTAAAAAAAAATCACTAAATGTCATTTACGTACTTTTCTCTTAGATAAAAATAGTATATTGATGATAACAAAGGAAAATTTCAGAGTTGAAAAGTAAGAGTATTCAATCTGTTATATGTACTTACTATCTCATTGTATTTAAATAAAATTTACTCTATTTAAATAAAATTTATTAAAATTTAAATAAAATGTATCCTCGTTAATGGGGAGAAGAGACAAAACAGTAGAGTGAGAAAATTTCATGTCGCATTTCACAGAAAGGGATTTTCCCTTTTTTTTTTTTTACAACTGATATTTTTATGGTGAAATCAATTTCTTACAAAAAAACCTAACCATCTTGTATCGCGATGGCTTTCAGGTGATGTAAATAACACTCTGTATAATGGCCACTGCCAAGGAGACTTTTTGTCTCTTTTAAAAGTAGCAATCATTCAGCAACAGGGCCAGGTTTCATCCATTAAGGAAATGGTTGGCCTTCTTTATTTTCACAGTTGAATATTTTAAGAAGTTAATTTATCCACATATGAAAAACCACATTTTGCTGAATAACCGAGAATAAGTAGCATATTTTGTTCTAACAAAAAATGTTAATGTTTTTGACGATATTATAGTTATATTGACTATAATTTTTAGTGTCACTTAATGCTTGAAAAGAAGTGACCATCTACTTCTAACATACCACAACCCGCAATTATTTATTTTTTTCCTTAGGCTAAATGGCCTTACGTATTTTAACATAAAAAGCATGTAAATGGCTACCTAATCTAAAAACAAAAATAAATATATATTTTAAAATACTTTATAGATCCATCATTTTAAAACAGGAGACAAATTCACTCCTAGTGACTATGATATATATCAGACTTTGTATTGCTATAGTTAATACAATTGCTGGGAGTGTGCAAGGTTATGACTTTAGCTCATTATTGAACTGCAGTAAAACTGGGTTCCACCACACATGATTTATTATTTTATCTAGTCTGTTAATGATTCTGAAGGGAATTACATCTCAATTTATGCATGTGATGCAAAGTAATGTCACTACAAGTTTGCTAAAGTTAGTTACTCTCCAGTTATTCTCCATTTTATTGTCAATTTAATATAGAGAAGGAAGCTCCCTTTTAAGGAGAAAAGCACAGTAAACTATTTTACAAGATTTATATTCTTCCTTAAATGCTTCTACAAAAATTATTCTTAAGGAAGTAACTACCTTTTTTTTAACTAAAATGCAGAACTTAGTGTAATGTCAGTTACTGTGACTGATGGAAAGGTCTTATAGATAAAAGCAAAGGAAAGGAACATCTTTAATATACATAAAACATGTAAGACTTAAACTATATGAAGACATTTGCACAGATAAGGAGGCCCAGCAGTATTTTCCCCATTGCAGGAGTAAACATCCTTTCATTGCGTCAAGTCCTAACAAATGTGCTTTACTTCCAATAGCTGTCCAGGGTGAGGGCCACGTGTGGACCATCGTACTTTTCATTTTTAATCTTCTAAAGGGAAGAAAGCTATTTTTAATCCTCTGTGGCCATTCCCAGCTCTGTTGTGAAGATTGGAATTTTTGTAAGCTATCTGCTGGACTTTTGTGTAGTGCCGCCAGGCATATAGCAGGAGTCTGCTGTAAAATGGACACGACTCTTGCCCTGTAAAATGGACACGACTCTTGCCCTGACACCATTCACATCCATTGTCTTCTGCATTTGTCAGGTAGCAGGCCAGTAACTGCACATTGCTGTGAAAGCACAGTGAGTTCTTTTACCAGATGGCATTTCTAGGCATCTCCAACTTCTGACTAGCCCAGGTCAAATGAAGTTTCAGGACATCCCAAAGTCTTATTTCTGTACCTATTTTCAGAGGTCTTTAACTCCTAGAGATGTGGCTATTTCTTCAACATAAAATCTCAGAAAAAAAGAAGTAAAATCTTTTAGCAGTTTCTTTTGATTTTATTTAAGCAACACATTTCAAATGGCTTATTTCTATACATGTATAGATACTAAGAAAAAAAGATTTTAAAAGTTGGCAATTTTTTTCAAAATGGTCTAAAGCAGATTTTTTAAGAAACTGATAATTGCATTACATGCAAATCATTATCTTGTAATCACTCGTTTGTAAAGTAGCTTCTCTTGGCCTTCCTGCTATTGAACCACAGAGTTAGACAGTCTTATTCAACCAGCAGTAATGGAATGACTGGGAAATCTTCACTTCTTCCTTTCACAGCCAGAAGCTACTCTGGACAAGCACAGAAGGCTTCCCTACAGATAGCCTCTCTCAAGAAGAACGAAAAAACAAAAGGCTTAGTGTTCTACATGACAAGTTTTTTCTTCCAAACTCACTAATCACATGTCATTCTTCTTTTCAGGGAGGGGTTATTGGATGGATGAAGAAGAACTGAGAATGTTATACTAATGGATGTGTCCCTACTTGAAGGGAAAAAGAAACGGGGAGGAAGAGTGCTGACTCCCATGCCAACAATCTGACCAGTATTTTTCCATTGGTAATTATTTACATGGGAGTGTAGAGCACCATTAATCCCTTCTGGTTTTAAATAACCTAAAGGCTTTTAATCACCAGAGCAACTCAGACTCATGGAGCAAAAAATGTCTAAGGTGGAATGTGTGGAGCCCATATTGATTTTGGTTATATACCAGCATGATGCAACCTTGGTCATCTAGAAAATAGAGATTTTAAGAGATGAGGAGAAAGAATGTTGTATAGTTCTTGCTTGATGTAGCAGGTAGAGGTGGTGATGGATTGGAGAATGTGCCTAGGAAGAGATTTTAGGTACTCAGGTATGTGAAGTAGTGATGTGTGTTTAATATTGTTTTAGTTTCAATATCTGTAGAAAAGTTTGAGTTAAAACAGAAAAAAGTAGCCTGCTGTTTAGTTTTATTTCTATCTTTCTTCCAGAACAGCCTCTGAAAAGTCTGGTTCTAACAACTTCTGTGAATATGTGGATATAAGTAATTTTAAATTCAAATATAAATCAAATATATTCAAATATATAATCAAAATTTAAATATAAATTTGACATAAATCATTTCTAAACAAATGATAATTATGAACTTTTGGAAAGTTCTTTTAAGATAATACAGAATAACAGAATATTAGCATATTAGAGATGAAAGAAATACGCTGATATTTTTGAAGACTAAAATGAAAGCATTTTTCTTTAAATGATATGTGATCATTATAAGAACTCAGAAAAATACAAAGAATAGAAATACTATCATAAAATATCTGACTTCCTAGGCAAACATCTGCTAAGCATAATTTTTAATATTTCTTATAAACATATACATATAGAAAAAGAGATTGCTGTGATAATATAAAATTTGGACTATATTTTACACACCATTTTATAAAAAGCACTAATTTCAATAAAACTCAACTACCACCAATGAGGTATAAGGAAAGGCATTGTTGAATTTAAATGTTTACCCATCCATACACACACCCAATATTATACTTAAAAATGTCCCTCTAAAATTAAGAAAACTACTGAAAGTGGTGCCAATGTTACCATGTATCTTTTAACTACATATTTCATCTTGTAGTTATTGATTTCTGGCTTTAGAAACTAGAAAAATTCTCACAGTCACATTTTATCACACTGCTCCTCCTTTGTTAATTTACATTCTATTCTATTAAACATACTTCCAATCAATCATGTTAAGCTCCACTTTATAATTGAATTGCTTCCGTGGGTCATTTTATGAGTCCTTTAAACACAGCTTCTCCATTTCTGGATTATTTTATTTAAATAATCTCTTTAGGTGCTGAAGTTTTTTAGTTATTCCCCCATTCCACTTCTGAAAGTTTTCTTCCTTCAACATTCCTACACTTCTCCAACCCTCATAGGTTTTTATTTCTTATGTGTATTATTCCTGGTGTTTTTTTTTTAATGTTTCAGTAAACTTTATTGTATAGAACAAAAAAAAATCATGATTTTATAATGATTTTCTCTCTTAAGAGAGCATGGGTGAAAACCAGTAACTTACTTATAAAAATATTTTATTTAGAACTCTAATAAGACAATAAGTACATTCATATTTTGTCTTCTGAGTATTTAAATTAAAAGAGGTTCACCTGAAAAAAGTTATACCCAGGAAATTCAGTTTCTTGGCTCAACTGACCCATTAAAAAAGTCCACCTATATCATATAGCAACTTTCTGCCAATCTCTCGAAGATTTCTTTTCTTTGATCTAATGTCCATGTGTTCAGAAGCTTCTAAAATGTTCGCCAAAATTAAAGGTGGCTGGATAGTTTTTGCCTTAACCGGTATCCTTCCATTCATCCCAAATTCTATCTCCAGTAGATAAGGTTTTCCCACTTCTTACATGATGTCATAATCTGGAGTTAGTAGCTTTCTAATTAAGCCCTAAGACATTTTAAAAAGCAGATCATCCTGTGTAATGACACCCATTCCAATTTATGCATATTGAGAAAGTTTCCTTTCTTTTCCTTTGTTTCTGAGCACAAAAGAATTCATTTTTTAAATCTACAAACTACTGAGATATATCTCCAGTATATTCTGCTACTGATTATCTCTATGAGAGAATCTAATGTCATTCTTAATTTCTACCCATTTCTACCAGAATTTAATTTTTTTTTACCTTCTCTACTCTTGAAATTCAATAGCTTCACCTGAATAATCTTAATTATTTCATTATAAGATTTCTCCTTGGGGAATTGTTTCCCTTTTTAATTAGAAAATTTAAGCTTTTTCTTTTTCAAATTTCAGGTAAGATGAATACTTTATACACTGAATTTACTTTAATTTTGTTATATGTTCCTGTCAGGATCGTTGATCCCTATTTTACTTTCATGATCCCTATTTTTCCGTCCTCTCTTCTAACTTGCCTGATAACCATGATGTTCCCTCATGGCTATAATCTCCTCACGTTGATTCACCTTTCCTTGTCCGTGTTGTCATTTTCTGTACTTTTGTGGCATTGAATGATGCTTTCATTTCTGTAAAATCTTTAGTTTCATCTTTCTGTTTTGGTTTCAGTAGTTGCAGATTGATTTCACCTCCTTTTGTCTTAAAATTACTTCCTTAAACCTCCTTTTCTCGTCTCTGAGCTATGAGCTTACTTTAAAAGGTCATATTTTCTGTAATTGTTTTTAGCCTAAGGAGCACTATTTCATTGAACACTCCCATTATAACTTCTCTTATACTTTCAAATAATTTGTTAGTTTTCAATTTTTACTCTTTTCAAAGGTTTTGTGCTTAAGATCCTTTTCTCATTTTTTTTATTATCTATATATGTCTCATTCGTGGTTGATTTTTAAAGCAGAATGTGAACTGATGAAGGGTAGAATGGGAAATGAACCTGTGTCCCATTGTAGCTTTGATTTGGGTTTGTTGTCTTGGAGACCTTTGCTGTTTGCCCAGGGGACATGGGTCCAATCAGTTTTTGCAACAAAAGTGTAAATGTGGCTCCTAATGACACTTTTGGGTTTACTGCCCTAGATGTTGAACTCTGTTGGGTTTTTTCAGCTACAAGGCAACATTATAGGAAAGTAAAACATTTCAGCATATTTCTTTCAGATCCTTTTCTACTATACTGTGGCAATGGGCTGGACCATTACAAAGATAACATTCAAACCCAGGTCTGCCTGACTCATGTCACATGCTTTTTCATCCTCTATGCTATTTTTTTCTTTAGACACCAAAATTCTATGAAAGCAAATCACATAGCAAATCTCAGTTAACTAAGATATTTGAGAAATGGAATATTGTGGTCAATTAGATTTCAGTTTAACTGAGACAAACAGGAAACCCTTTGATTTCAAAATGTATTATTGAAAACTCTTTTAAAATGTATTAGCCAACTTCCTCAACCTTCATAGTACATTATGCAAAAGGTAATTGATTCTTGCCATGTTTGAAGGTTGTTTAGGATTTCAATGTTAATATTATAAGCTGTGCCTCTCAATATTGTGTAAAGTAAGTATCTGTGACCATATATTAGAACACATTCTATATTCTAAAAGTTTTCAATAACATAGCACTGATTTATAATATCACTCTCTTTTTGAGAGTGAGGTGCTTTTTATGGAAATAGGGAAACAATATATAAATAGGTATGAGCTATTAAAAGAAGACACATATCATCTATGCCGTGTATTATGACTAATGCATCCTATGAAATATCTAAAATTTGTTTGTACAAAGAATTTCAAGGCTTTTTTTTTTTTTGAGACAGTTTTGCTTTTGTTACCCAGGCTGGAGTGCAATGGCGTGATCTCACTGCAGCCTCTGCCTCCCAGGTTGAAGCGATTTTCCTGCCTTAGCCTCCCGAGTAGCTGGGATTACAGGCGCCCGCCACCATGCTCAGCTAATTTTTGTATTTTTAGTAGAGACGGGGTTGCACCATGTTGGCCAGGCTGGTCTTGTACTCCTGACCTTGTGATCTGCCCGCCTCAGCCTCCCAAAGTGCTAGGATTACAGGCGTGAGCCACCACGCCCAGGTGGCTTTTTTTTTTTTAAACACAAAATCCATCTGGATAAATTGTGAAAATTGAATAAGTTGGGGTATAGTTTTTACAGCTAGCTATTAAGAAATTTCTGAAAATTTGGCTCCACTTCTAATTTTTACTTCACATGTTTGGCAACTTGTAAACACAAAGGCACTCTGATAAACAGTAGTTTGCCTGTGTTTTGACGGTATTTCAACTGACGGCTTTCAAATTCTATTTCTTGATAAGAAGCTTTCATTGCCATATACATTTTAGGTTATTTAATAGCTCAAAGAAAAAAAAAAGACTAGTAAAAATATCTAAAAACTCCCTCAGGCTCTTATCTTTCAAAATGGAAAGCATGTGCTGAGTAGATGAATTAAAAGGAGATAGGGAAGCCTAGACTGCAGTTCAACAGAAGCCATTGATCTTTACAAATTAGACTGACAACAGAGATCCATTAAAGTCCACAGTATAGTGAAAAAAATTCATTTTCTTTGGCCTTTCTTTTATCTCCACTTTTCCTAAATCTGATTCCTCTCTTCCATACTCTCCTGTCCTTCAGAAGAGACGCTAAATGCTGATGAGGTAATGGTCGTTACAAACCTCTTTCAATCTCATTTGAGAAATGACTCTGATTCCAAACATTAATTTTTGGTACCTATCTGAATAACAATAAGCTTGCTATATCATCGATTATGCAGCAGAGGAGAATCAAAACAGTAAAAGTGGGAGTTGCTCACTTTAATACAGCCTTTCAGTTCAATGAAAACTATTGTGACTTAAAACAGGACACTCACTTCTATTTCTTGTGCCACTTTCACATACTTATGACATTTATCACTTTCTGCATTTCATTGTTTTTATTCGTTTGCTTATATTTTGCTCTTAAGTTTCTTAAGGTTAGTAACTAGATTGCAGGCTTTCCCTTCTCAAACAAAACCAAGCCATAGTCCCACCCATTTGCTTAGTCATTCAAGGCTTATTTATTAGATGCTTGCAAGATGGCAAGAATGCTTACTGGTGTAGCTGTTTAAATGAATGGATTACTTGGATATGCAAGTAATAAAAATAGAGTGATAAATGTGATTGATTGTGATATAAGTAACAACATGGAGGAAATATCTGCTGTGCAAAAACACCTCTTCATTCTCCAATTTCTACAGACAAGAGGAGGAAATCATTCTATCCTTGTACACCCAAATATTGTTTTTTCATCTCTCTGTCACTGCACTTGCCCAATTGTGTTGCAATCCATCTTGTCTTCAAGCTAAACCATAGGCTCTTAGAGACAGGAATTCTGTGTTAATCATATTTATATGCTTATTTTAGTGCTTACCAAGAGTAAATGGTCAGTTACATATGTGTCTGTGCATGTGTATGTGTGTGTAGGTATATATGTATATGGACTTATTTACTTAGGCAGCAAAAATTACATACAAAAAGCTATTTGGGAAAGATAATATAGCAGGATTATAGGCCAGGAACCTTTTGTCACTTGGCCGTATAACAACAAAGGAAATCTATTTCCAAGAGTCAGGAGAGGTTCTGTTTCTGGCCTATGTGGCTGGTACCATGCTTAGCATCTTCTATACAGTATCACATTTATATAAAGCCATTTAGGCAGGCAGCATCACATAACACAAAAAAGCGTATAAGTAAATGCAACCTTGATTTGTCTGTTGAATCTTTTGCTTATGAGCTGAAATAATTTGAGAAAGAAATTTAATCCCTCATTCTTGATTTTCCCTACATACTAATGGGAATTATAAAACCTACTCCTAAAAGTGTAAAGTAGATCTTAGTCAGAAAATGTACATTAAACAGTTTATATACTATCTAGTATATATAAACATTCAGTTAATAGTAGCTTCCGCTGCTGCCAGGCTGACCTGAGTAGAGAGATTGCAATTCAGGAGTGAGAAAAGGGTAGCTGACCTTGTAATTACGGAAAGGAGAATTGTTTTAGGGACTAAGGCAGGCAGTATAGGCAGTACTTCCTTTTCCTTTCAGGAAGTGATGATTCTAATAATCTAGAACTGCTGAGCTTTCCCCAGGAACATAATCCTACAGATTTGCCCAGGAATTAGAACATACAATCCTACAGATTGCCCAGGAGAACTGGGTGATACACTTTTGCCTTTTGAAACTTAGCCTGAAAAATAATTTAATTTTGGCCTTATACTTGTCTTTTTCTGAAAATTTTAGGATATGATTGGACTATATCAAGACACAAATGCCTTGGGTCTAATAGTATAAGAAATCTGTATCACATTAATAACTTTTTTTTTTTTTGAGATGGAGTCTCGCTCTGTTGCCCAGGCTGGAGTGCAGTGGCGCAATCTTGGTTCACTGCAAGCTCCGCCTCCTGGGTTCACGCCATTCTCCTGCCTCAGCCTCCCGAGTAGCTGGGACTACAGGCACCTACCACCATGCCCGGCTAATTTTTGTATTTTCAGTAGAGACGGGGTTTCACCTTGTTAGCCAGGATGGTCTCGATCTCCTGACCTCGTGATCCGCCCGCCTTGGCCTCCCAAAGTGCTGGGATTACAGGCGTAACCCACCGCGCCCAGCCACATTTATAAATTTTATAGCCATTGATGACATTTATTTATTGTACAGAAGAAAACACAAGTATGTTACAGATTTTGCCTTCTTTGTATTTCTTTCTGTTTTCATTGTAAGCCTAGTAGGTACTGTACTGACTCTTCTCTCATGTTTCTACAACGTTTTTCAGATATTCTCACCTCTACTTTCTCCTTGAGACTGCACTGTTGGAAATTTTCAAGTATTTCTTCAACAATACAACTTCCTATAGAGCATTTAATGAACAATCTCTTCCAATCTCTGAGCAGACTGTTAATAAAGCAGTGAATAATCAATATAAAATCTTGACCAAAGGTTCATGATGAAAATTCAACTGGTTGTGTAGGGATATTTAAACATAATTCTTTTCTCATGATGTAAAATACTAAAGTGCTCCCTTGAATTTTGCCATTTTGTCTCTTTGTTATCCTTGAGGGGAGAAAAATGCTAATGTATTGATTCAGTGTGAAGCATCTGAACACAAATTGGAAATTAGCTATAAATACAGATATTTCTGCAATGACATATTTTTAATTTCTTCTTTCAATTTTCCAATTTAGTATTATGTAGAAAAACGTGAAACAAGTTAAGTTTTTCTTGCAAATTTAGCACAAATTAAAATGTATGCAGTTAGTTGGGATTTTTGTATCACTGAGGGGAAGGATCTAGCTGGATATCATCAATGCAGAGGTTAAAGCAGTGACTGCATTTGCGGCCAGTACTTACGCTTTATCTACCAAAAACTAAGTATTGAGATGATTTTTAAAATGCCAGTGTGTAATTAGTTTCTAAATATTCTCTTCCTAATACTCTGTGGGGCAAATCAGAGTCTGTATTATCATTTTTTCAAGCAATTTCTGCATAATAGTGTTGTGCAGACAGCTTCAAGGAGAAAAGTACTGGAACACCTGTAATAGGATGTTACAGTGGTATTCTTCCTCTCTCACTTTTGGCTCAGACATGAGGACAATAGAAGTTAATTCCAGAGCAGTGTACCCTATAAAAATTTAAACGTTGGAGGCTGAAAACTAATAAGGTGACTCTTAAAACTTTCACTGAAATCCAGGGTATAAAAAAATTACCCAGAGGGTGGAGATTGGGGCATATTTGGAGATAGAAAATTTCTTAAAGATATAGTGTGATGTTCATTCTCCCAGCCACCTCCAGCTTCTCACTAAGTGGGAAGGGGATGAGATTTATGTCACTTGTCTTTTCAAGTTAAGAGTAGGGCTTCAAGAAAATACTTGGGGAACTTAATATGTGTCTCTTGATCTTTGAGATGAGTGGTGATGCAATGAATAGTGGTTTAAATCAAACCTGAGAAACTAGAAGTGTGGCACAGATACTGGAATGCTGCTAAGGACATGCTGAGGAAAGGTGGCTGCTCTGCAAGCCGCCTGCACTATCAGAGTTAGTAAAGGCAAAAAATGAGTGCATGTTTCCACTGGCCACGTTTGTGTCAAAAGCACCAAAAAGTCTGAATGAGCTTCACCTTGTGACTTTACAAAGAAAGGCTACAGAAATTTCTGGCCCCACAGGAGCAACAGAAAAGGTATGAATTGTACTAGAAGAGTGTGTGCATCAAATGCATCAAGAGACTGAAAGCAAATGGCAGATCAGCTTTAAACATCTATGAGGCCCCAAATCCAATGCTTTCCTGTTCCCTTTATTTCTCTTCCCTGCTCTTCACTCCAAAAACAAAGGGGCCAAGAAGAAATGGAGTTAACAACCTGAGGGAGAAGCAGTGGAGAAGGATGTCAACCAAGCCCCATCCCTGGCCTTAGGTTTCCTGCATGAAGCAGACTCTAGCTGAGGGAGTTGGGGGGGAAATAAAACTAAACTGGACCGGACATTGCAATTTCTAAGTAGCAGAGCTTGTTTGCTGACTTAATGTGATCACAGAACGCTCTATTACCTATGTGTGAATAGCATATATATGGGCCTATCTGTGTTATGATCCGGGGGCAGGGGGAAAAGTATACCCCTGAATAAACAAGGAAGACAAGTAAGTCCTACTTATACAATCTACTGTTTAAACTCTCCATTGCGTTAACCGAAATAAATTGTGTACTACCCTTAAGATTATTTATTTTTAAACTGTTGTATAATGACTGCCAATCTGCTAGGTCACACCAGGGGTTTGGTAAACACATCTAATACATGTCAGATTTCCTTTCCACTACAATTTCAAAATACTTGGAAGTAAAATATATGCCAAATTGTCCCATCCACTGGCATTAACTAATCTGACAGTTTACCAAACTGAATATGTACTGTTTCTGTTAGTTTCAAGGAAAATCACAGGATAGAAATGCTATAACTAAAGAAACCTTTTATAAGGGTACAATTTCAACATTATTATATGAAAATTTGAACGACACATAATAAAGCTTGGATGATTTTTTATTTAGAAGTAATTACTGAGTATTGTTCTTCAGATTTCCTTCACCATCTGGCCAGTATTTCTGGACAACATGGTTTTTATATAACTGCTGGAGACTAGGCATTTTTTTATACACAGTTACATATAAAATGTATGCCATACGTGTTTTATTCTCATTCCAAGCACATTTTTTTAACAAGTTGGTAACCATTTTAATTTGGTCTTTGTATGTTGTCTTTCCATTGAGATACCTTTTCATTCTACAGAGAGTTTACGAGTTGGACATGTTATTTTTAGGAATAGAAAAAACATCTCTCCAAGGTAATGGGACACCATGAGGTGTGCTCTTGCATATTACTTCCTTTACTAATTAAACGGAATGCGAGAGTGAAAGTAAGTTGGCATTGTTAAAGTAAATGACCCAATGCTTTAGTAATGAAGACACATCTAAGCCGAAGTTTATTGTTTTAATTTTAATCTTGAGCAATTTTAGCCCCACAGACTAGGTTGCTCTGTGTCCTGCAGTGCATTGTTTCCATTGCACTACCGTGCTGCCCACTGACTCTATGAAAACTATTTGGAATGAAGTGTTTTATTTCTATGCAAGGTGAATTGATATTGGGCATTTATTAAATCTGGTTTTTAACGGGCTATTATAAGTGGGGTTCTTCAGAGGGCAGAGATATTGGGAGACTAAAAGTTGCTTAAATTATGCCCCATAAAAATATAGATGAGGCTCAGATGCCTTTGGATTAAATATTCATTACTGAATATTTACATAATGCATGTGAAAGTGCTTTTAAAATAAAAACTCTCTTTATATAAATGGAAGCTATGGCCAGATTTTCCCCATTACCTAGTAGCACACTTCAAAGCATTCTCTGGAGTCTTAGAGTGGAGAAATTTCTTCCTTTCTACAAAGGAAGTAGAAGACTGATTATTCTACACTATCCAAATCTATCCTTCTTAAATTCTTTGGGCAATCTAAAATTGTTCAACTTTTAGCAGGTATCATTTTTTGTATGATTTATAAATATATGATTCTTAAAAAGGGAATGTATATATTTTTAACTTCTGTTAAAAATGCTGTATGATCAACAGGGCCTTCTCAACAAATTATGCAGATCGTTTGAATGTCAGGAAACAAGCATAGACATATCTGGCTTCATATCCCACATCCACAATTTACTAGTTGCATGACCTTGGACAAATACTTTTAACTCTGTGCTTTATTGTTCATCTTTCCTTATGAGATTGCAATATCTACCTTGAAGGGTTACTTGAAAATTAAATGACAGTGCAGGCAACATTCCCAGGAACTGACACATTGAAAAAGCTGAAAACCACTTAATTTCCTCCTATGTAAATACATTATTATTGCCAAATTGAAAGCGGCCAAGTCTCAATTACCCATATTAATATATGAAAATTCCTATGCAGATAAATAAAAATAATGTGAACATAATTTTCACACAGTTTTGTGATCTACATTTATATTTGATAATGTTCTAATATTTCACTGTAAAATTTAGACATGAAAGGAAGATATTAGGAATTGAGTGGTTGAACCCTCCCATTTTACAGATGAGAATAAAATTCAGACACAGATAATAAATACAATTATTAATGTAATATAGCTAGTAAGTGGTAGAATTAGGATTGAAGATCAAATCTTTTTTGTCTGTTTTGTGATTTTACAGTACTTCAAATAATCAAACACTCAAAATGAATTATGAAAACATATTCAAAATGATCTCAATTTGCAGTAGCTGAAAAAGTGCCTCCTTTCACTAACTACCTTGCTGTTTATTACTTCCTTTCTGAGAATTTCATTCTGTATGTACCATAATTGTTTACACTAGTTCAAACCAGCATACAGTGTTATAATTCATGAGTAACTCCAGTCAAAATTTTGAGTAAGTTTATTCTAAACTTTCCACAACTTAGGACTGTTGTAAATTTTGTAAAAAATCACTGTTCTATCTATTCTGAAATATACAACATTAGAATTTTAAACAAACAAAAAAAATCACTGACCAAGTCTTTAAATAGTGATTGGATCACTTTACCGCATTAACAGACTATTGTTTATTTCAGAGGTTACAGACAGAGTAGAGGTGAGGACTATTTTTGAGGCTGAGCACATAGGCACCATCTTAGCTTAGTATCTTAGCTCATAACATCCCCAGAGGCAAAGAAGTAATTAAATCCTTTGTTGTAAAAGTCCTTCTACTATGACTCCAAAGCAGGTAAAACTAGCATATGATAAGAGTGAGCGGAGTTGCTGATAATGACATAAGTAATGATAAAGTAAGAAGAGCTAGTAATAATTTCTACAAGAACTGGAAATTGAGATTTGCTTTGGAATATTCACATAACTGATAATCTTCCAGGGAAAAAGACTCATTTCCCATTGCACACTATCTGTGCTTCTCTAATGGCATGTATTTTCTAACTGGCACTGCAGTTATCTATGCAAGTGTCCTATCTCTTTGATTATACCATGAACAGCTTGGGGAACAAACCTCTTTCAGTCTCATTTTTATAGTTTGCAAGACACCTACTTAGTATACCCTGTCCATAGCAGGCATTTACCAAGTATAGGTTACATGAATTAATATATTTATTTCATGACAGTATTGGAATTACATTTCATAGGGTAGAATGGGAAAATAATAATATAGTAGTTGCAGTTCTTCCTGGAGGAAAAAGAAATATTCTGATATTCTCTTTCAATAAAAGTAGTAAATTGCAACACTTCCTTCAAGGGTCTTGAATAAGAGAAAAAGAAAGAAGTAAGAATGTTTTAAAATATACTTACTTCACTGTACCTTGTTTTATAATCTATAATTTATTTGAATTCTTTTCAATGAGATATTCATAAGTATGAACTGAACACTGGAAAAAAGGTCAAGTTCTTCTGTTCATGGCTAACTCTTACTTCATGATTTCTAAACCTACCTACACATAGCAGACGCCTTTGGCTCTCATGCAATATCTATTTCATCCTCTTTCTTTCTAAAAGGACCTTAAACTTGTCCAGGAATCCACTGAAGTCTCATGAACTCCAAGAGCCTCAGGAGAAGCTGAGTTAATTTGCCGCTCCAGGGAAAGATTCTTATCTGATGGTCCCTTCCAATTATGGTTGGCCATCATTCTCACCAGTGACTGGTTAGAATATCTGATTGAGCTAATCAGTACAGGATTCCTGATCTACCACCTGAAAGTTACTGGCCCAAAGTGATTTTTGAGAGTGCCTCTCTTGTTGTCATGCTCTCCCTCTCCCTGTGTCTCCCCTTCCTTCTCTTTCCCTTCTGTCCGCCCGCCTCTCTCTTTTCTCTTTTCTGCAACCCTTCTCTTCTCTTTCTCAGCCTTTCTCCATCTCCACACCTTACTTCCTCCCTCTCTTGCTGAATATGAGAAAGGCAACAAGCGGCCAAGCAGCTTTGCTTGGCCACCTTTTTACTCCCACTAAGATAACCAGCCCTGAACAAAATGGATACTGAAGGTGACAGAACTGGAAGACAAAGGACAAGTCTAGATCCATGATGTCACCCATGAGACACTACAGCGATCCACCCTGAATCCCACACTCTCTATGGACTTTCACTTTCTTAAAATGATAAATCATGTACTTACTGTTTGAGCCAGTTTGTTCCAATATTGCTACAAACTAATTTTGATGCACTCCTTAACCCCAATCCTCTGCTGCATTTTAAAATTTTCTTCCTTGCCCACTTATTTTTCTATACGTGCCATTATTATTCTTATGTAGAGAAACATGTCTAGCTTTATGATACTAAATGATTACCATTAAATACTGACAATAGCAAGGGAAAATAGTACAAACTCAAATGAAATGCTAATAGCTAAAAGGCCGATTTTATAATGTGCATTTGTAGCGGCCATTTGAGTGAGTCTACATAATGGTTTTAAAGGACTTTCAATAATGTTTCCTGCAGCTGTGCAGACTTTTAACTTTTAACTCTTCATTTAAAAAATACATCTAAATATAAATCAAGCACTACACACTTCCAATTTAGCTGTTTGAATGGAAAGAGAAAGTTGAAAGCTGGAGCAGTCATGAGTAAGTGCTATAGAAAGCTGCAGTCGACAGTTGCAATTTAAAACCAATCAAGTGGGCAGGAGAAGGGGAACACAGAACCTGAAAATAACTGGTAAGCTTAGAAATAGTTTTAAAGCAATAGCCACACTAATAATGATTATGGTTAATTAGTGATCCAAGGGTACCACTCTCTCAGCCAGGGCAGTTTTGAAGGTAAGAAGTAGTTTAAGCAATCTGTCAATTTCCACTAGCAATATTTATCTGAACTAATATGGAGTGTTTTGCCTAACTTCAACGTGCAAAGAGTATGAGGGGATAGTTACATGACATGTGTCCACATTCCAAGATTCTTTGAATCAGTCAAGCATGAGACTGGAAAAGTAAGACTTTTTAATGGCAATGACATGCATAACATGAGAAAAGGTATTGAGATAGCCTCTCAAGAGTATTCGTTCTTGGGATTATGCATCTAGAATATGTAAACATATTGCCTTTTATGCTTTCACCCCTGGCCATTACATCTTGAACAAAGGGGAAAACAAGCTATTTTAGGTCTAAAATAATCCTTTCTTCTTTAGTACAATTAGAATGTCTTGGTTTTTTAGGTTTTACCTACTGTAACTACTGGGCAAGCAATTTAAGGTCTTTTCCTTCTTCTGAAGACAAAGAAGGTTAACCCCGCATTACTTTTCTTTTGATGCAATTTCTGAAAGAAAAAATTGCATACATGTATAAAACTATTTTCTACATAAGAAAAGTACTATATAGATGCTAATAGCTGGTATCCTTTTTAGGATAAGATTATCAATTTCAGGCTACAAAGAAATTAGAAGATATGTTACATATATTAAATTTATTGTATAAGTCATGAGAGTGATCACTGGTCAATGACACAAAAACTTTTGAAAACAATAAACAAAAATTTAAAAAACCTTAAAGTGATATTAGATGACTCAGAATAATGAAAAAGTAGGTTAGTACATTTGTCTTTGGTATTTTTTGCATATATTTATTCTCCAAAATATTTACAAAGTTTTTTCTGAGATACCTCAATAGAAACTATCAAGGTCAAGCTTACATATTGTACTTAGTTCCTGAATCTTCTGCATTTGGAACCTTCCTTCCTTCCCTTCCCTAAAGATTGAGGTGGAGGTAGATAGGTGTGAAATAATACCTCAGATGCTTTGGAAACGTTTGGGTCAATGGTTATAAGGAAACTGATGCTGATTCTAGCAGCAGTACAATACAAAAATATTATGGGAGAAAATTAGAGAGTGACATTCAGTTGTTGCAAGAGCTTTTTTCTTGGTCCTGAGCTTTTTTTTGCTTGTTTTTCTTTTCCTGTAGCTTAAAGAGGAGAAGGAAGCATCTGCTGTTTTCTTTTATCTTTTTTTTTTATTAAAAAGGTAATTCATGGTCATTATCTTTGAATGTATATGCTAAAATAAAAATAAAATATATTTCAAAGCATGAATTCCACCTACAAAAGAAAAACAATGTTAACATGTTGCTGTGTATAGTTTATGCATGAAGAACATAAAAAATCCTTGGACACATTGCATTTTTCAAAATTGCACATCAATATTTCTGGTCTCCCATGCTCCTCTGGAACCTTGCCCCCTTCCAATCCAGATGAGGAATCCATTTGCCCTTTCTGTGAACTTGGATGAGACTTGTGGCTGCCTCACCCACAAGCACATAGTGGGCAGATGCTATGTGCTTTCTGAGGCTGGAGCACACATGGTATTGTGGTTCCTCCTGCTCCTGTCTGGATATTCACCTTTGCATTCAGCCACCATGCTGGGAAGAAGCTACGAGAAACTACAGAGACAGACCTCTTGGAAGGCCTGCAAGCATGGAGAAGAACTAAGGTCCCCAGCCAGCATAAGCCACCAGACATGTGAGTCCTCAAATGATTGCAGCCCCACACAGGGCTTCACATCAGACATCTGACTCCTAGTCATCATGGAGAAGAGATAAGTGATCCCTGCTTGCCTTGTCTGAACTGCTGACTTACAGAAACCAAGAGAGGTAAGAAATTGCATTTTTAAAAATCCATTGTGATGTATTATGCATCAGATAACTGTAACAGATCCATACAGTATCAAGACAAATTTTATCTCCAATTGCATGTACTGTTTTGGATACCATTTAAACCTTTGAACATATAACACTAATACGTGTAAAACCTTTTGTATCGTGCAGGTTTGGAAAATAGCATAAACATTTTGAGATTAGAGAGCTTTTTCTTTTCTACTCCATGGACTAATTTTCATGGAACTTTAGCAATCAAGGGGCAGAAATACATGTATTAAAATTTATGCTTAGCTCTTTTTTGAGGGATGGAACAAAATATGTTTCATTCTGCCACCTCTTAAAGTAATAAGTGTTGTTGAACCATAATAGTGAAGGAAAAGAAACAGAAAAGATATCTAGGTGTTAGAGAGAGAAGAAATGAAACAAAGAATTGTAGATAGGGAGGGAGAACAAGAAGGAGGGAACAAGGTGGAGGACAGAAAAAGAAAACAGAGACTCACTTAGTAGATTCTCAGATGACTTTCCTAGAACAAGACATGTGAGGATGCTTAATACGCCAACCCTGTGTTTTTATTGTCCTTTGAAACTTGGAGATATTACATAGGGTCCAAAACTTTGCAATATCCAAATGTTCAGTTGTCTCTTTAGCAAGTAGCCACAGCAACCTACTAGTGAGGAAATTATTTCTAAGGCTGGGTGCTATTGCCTTATAAAGCTAGAAGTTCCTGGGCTGGTAGAATTAATCCAAGAGCCAAATCTGGCATAGAGATGGAAGCATTATATCCCTGAATTAACAGTAAGAAAAGAAACATTTTAATTCAGTAACGAGTAAGACAAATATTTTAGGCAATCTAATTTTCAGTCATGGGATTAAAATATACTTGTTACAAAACAAACCATATTTGTTCAAAATAAACACATGCAATATTTACTTTTCTCTTTTCTAATAGAAATTCAAGCATAGAGTTTTACAGTAATGTGTCTTTCTTTGAAATAATTTAGCAGTCTGTTTTGGAAGAGAGGCTCTGCCATCACATCACCTAGGCTGAGATCTCAGCTCTATTGCTCACCAGCTGAGGGACATCAGCCAAGTTACTGAACTGCAGAGACTCTTAACACCCCTGTAAAATGAAAAGAATTATAGAATCTGCATTATAAATTTGTTTGGAAGATTTAGTGAGAGACTGTATGTCATGCACTTAAAAAATCCCCAGAAGAGAATAGCATTCAATGGTGTTAGCTCTTTTATTATTATTATTATTATTATTATTATTAATTACTATTATTTCTTTTCAAGCAGCCTAGTTCCTGCTTTTAGCCGATCATCCTATGAGTTTTTGATTTCTACTCATGGTTCTTTGCAATACAAATTTTTTTATGGAGTCCTAAATTATTCTTTTAAAAGTAAAATGATTAGGTGGCAAAAAAAAAAGAAACACACAAAAGACAATGTACTAAAGTAGGACATCATTTCAAACACTCTATAGCATTTTAAAACCTTAATAGAATTACTAGTATTTGATGAAAAATATTACTAGTATTTGATTAAAAAATTGATGAAAATTAAATATATCAGGCTAAATGAAAGCTCTTCCTCTTTTTTAGGAATCCCTCAGGATTATAGGCCTGATTGGGCTAAATGCAAGTTACAGGTGCCAGCAAAAGCATCTATTTTTGGCCACCACCATCTCCCTTTAGGATCTGCACAATTAAATATATTATTGATAGGAAAGGAGCTGAACTTTTATATGCCAAAGTATTTTTTTCTTTTAATCATTTTAAGAGCAAAAAATTAAGCCCACTTACAAGGGCATGCATATAGAATAGTGTATAATGTCTACATTGGAATGATTATAATGAATAGCCTTCAATTTAATAATAATTAGTTGCTTGTTTTACTGTACGTTCCACAAATGTTTCAAGGGCAAAAGGGAATGAGGATAAGACAGATCCCTTTACGAATGGTATTTCAAACTTTCAGATGCTATTTTTTATTTTTTTGCTGAAAGTAATGTATAAAGAGAGAGCTTTTATGCAAAGCATTTTGTGAGTACTGGAATTTGGGGGTGTTGGTGGGGAAGCTGATAATCTAACATTAAAAAGACAATCTTTGCTCTTAATGAAATTTAAAATTTAGCAAGGGAGAAATCATGTAAGACATAACATCAGGAACTGAATAAAGAGGAGTTGGACAAAAGTATGAGTTAGATATAAAAATACCCAGCTGACAGAACTTAAATAAAACATTTAACTAAAATTTCTCTAGGTAAACTGGAACATTGAAGTCGTTAAAGCTCCTGGATATCATTTCCATTTTTAAATTGAAAATAATTCTGGGTAAGTAACTTTTAAATTCCATACTTAAGTTACTGTAAGCATTATAATTACTGCAAAACACGAAGAAAAACATACAAGATAGAATTCATTGGAGCACTTGTATTTTTCCTGGTGTCACTTTTGTTAAAATATCAAGCAATAAAGAAATTTTTTATATTAAGGTTTTTAAAGATTTGTCTTCCCTATTCTTAGATCTGTATTTCTTCTACTTGAGATTTTATCTACCATTGTGAAACCCTGCAAATAAGGTATTGGAAACAAAAATACTTTTTTGAAGCTATATTATTTGACTATGAATATGATGAAAACCTATTTTGATAAAACAGTAAGAGCGAAAAATGTGTAAATATGTTTGAGGACTACAAAAAGCTGTGGCATAAGTACATATTTTTATAGATGCTAAGGACCTCCCACATTAGAAATCAAGTCTTCAATTCATTATCTCATTTGGCCAAAAGTATCCTGTGCCTGTCACCTCATCAGTCAATGTGAGCAAAAGACTAGACATTCAAAGAGAAGACTTGTTGGAACTGGCCACATTTTGGGAGTTACTGGATTCAGGGGAGATTTCAGTGGTCTTGCTCCTCTTTCCTAACGAGCAATACTCCTCAAGCCAAGGAAAGGGGCCTATGAGGGAGTCCCTCATAGGCTCTGAGGTCAAGCAGTACAGCAGATGTTGCTGGTGCCCCATCCATATGCCCTTCCCATTATTACTTTAGAGGGCACCAAATAGATGTGTTATTTCTAGCACCTGCATTCCTTTGTCTGAGACCTTTTTCTTACTCTTACCTTGCTTCATCACTTGTGTAGCCAGCCAGTCACAAGGATCTGGGAATGAACACACCCGGGCAATGAACTGTGCTCAACAATAATGGACAGGAATTGCTCTATACATTCACATACGTCCCTGGCATCAACTAGGTCTGAGGTAAGGGTTTCCACTGGCTCCTAGAGTATCCCCTGTGTGAGGGACTATGGCTCATTGACCACAGTAGCGACTGGCTTGATAAACCACCCCTGTGACCTGCTTCCCTTCACTGTGTCACAACTCATTGCCATGCCTTCACCTCCTTCATGATCTATTTGCCCCCAAATCCCTATTTAAGGGCTTCTTATAAAGTAATTCAAACAAAAAAAAGTAGGCAGCAAACTATATTTACCCTTATCTTATTTAAGCAAGGGGGAAAACAAGTTCCTAAGAGAAAGTAGACTTGTGGAGAGAGGGTCAGCACTGGGACAGGCTACATCAGGCAGTATTCATTGTGGCAAGTCTGTCCTCTGTGGAACAAAAACTGTGGGCCAGAAAAGTTAGCAGGCTTGAACAATCCTGGCAAGACAATTCAAAGGGACTGACCATCAGAGAAGAGAAAACATGCAGAAGTATGTTGAATTGCATAAAAACTTAGTGATTTTTGACTGGAACTACTTTTCTTTCCAACTTTTATTTTAGGTACAGGGGGTACATGTGCCACTTTGTTACATGAGCAAATTTCTTGTCACGGGGGTCTGATGTACAGATTATTTTGTAACCAGGTAATAAGCATAGTACCCGATAGTTTTTTCTTGACTTTCTTCCTACCCTCTATCCTCAAGTAGGCCCTAGTGTCTGTTGTTCCCTTCTTTATGTCCATGTGTGCTCAATGTTTAGCTCCCACTTACGAGTGAGAGCGTATGGTATTTGTTTTTCTCTCCCTGTGTTAATTTGCTCAGGATATTGGCTTCCAGCTCCATCCATGTTACTGTAAAGGATAGGATTCCATTCTTTCCTTAAGGCTACGTAGTATCCCATGGTGCGTATGTACCACATTTCCTTTAACCAGGCCATCATTGGTGGGCATCTAGGATGATTCCATGTTTTTGCTATTGTGAATAGTGCTGCAATAAACATATGTGTGCATGTGTCTTTATGGTAGAAAAATTTGTATTCCTTTGGGCATATACCCAGTAATGGGATTGCCCAGTTGAATGGTAGTTCTGTTTTAAATTCTTTGAAAAATCTCCAAACTGCTTTCCACAAGGGCTGACCTAATTTACATTCCCACCAGCAGTATATAAGCACTTCCTTTTCTCTTTTTTAAAATCAGAATGAGAACAAAATCTCAAAGTTCTTATAATGGAAAGTTACTGGAAAGCTCTAAGATTTACTTAGATGTCTGTAAGAGTAGGGAAGGGAAAATTGATATGGAATGGTTAAAGGCAATGATGGGGAGAAAATAAAACAATTTCATGCTCGTCCCTGCCTAATTCAGGCTTTTGAATAAACTAATTGATTAGCCATGGTGCAAATTCCTTCTCCATCCCTCTTTTGGAAGAGATTGCTAATGAAACATATTACTAAGCTCACACTGGTGCTCAGAAGGCCTCTCAACAGCACAGTCTGTGCAGTCACTATCAATCAATCAGAGTTGGCATGCAAATCTCAATCCTTTCTCAATCCCTAATCTTGGCTGAAACATCTTAATTCCTTAGCATCATATTCAAAGCTTTTTCCTCCTTCCCAAATTAACTCTCTAGGCTTAAGTTTCACCGGACTTCCACATACTGTAAAATTAAGTCATAAAACCATGTTTAGAGGTCTTCAAAATAATCATTGACTCATGATCCCCTAATTTACAATATTTTTATCATCCATTTTGTCTTGGAAAACTTTATACACAACCTTTAGCACAATTCAAATTCCACCCTAAACTCTAACTATTTCCTTAGTTAGAAATGATTTTTTTTGATAGAACTTTCATGAATTTCTTAAACTCTGTTATTCTACTTAATTCACTTCACTTTATGTTTGCTGTCTTTCTTGTGCATTATAGTTTACTTATGGAAACAATTATATTTTATTTATTGTTTACTCCTCATGGCACCTGGCACAAACTTTCTATATTTTATCAAATCAAATCAAACTGATTTAAAAGTAACTTATTTTAGTCATCAATTGGACATTCTCAATATCTCTTCTTACAAGGTAGCCTGCTCTACTCTGTCCTGTCTAGTTTTGTGGTTCTTGACTTGCATAAGAAACTAACGATGGTATTAGTAGACCCAAAAGGAGTACCAAATACAGATTTATCATTAAACTGTGAGATATTAGTAGAGATGTTTAAGATATCTAGATTAGAAGTTAATGTTAGCTCCACTAGCCTGTGATTTGTATAATTCATAACACACACACACATTAAAAAGTTATATGTAGAGAAACATATTTCAAAAGGTATTCTGAAGAGCAAAGTAGAAGTTGCCTTGATTTGTTGTTAGTACCTATATTTTTTAATTTAAGATTTCAGAGACTTTATTTAAAGGCTTTTATAAAATCAGTAAGCTCCAAGAATGGCCTATATTGAATTTTATTAGCAATTCTGAGCTCACATGGATTTCTGTTTATTTCTGAGTGGTTAGGCCTTTACATTTTCTATGATCTAGGGCAAATCAAGACACTTCTCAAAATCTTAATTTTTTCATACATAAATACAGAGTTATAATAATCCATATCATCTTACCTACCTATGCCAGAGAGCTACTTTGGGGATTGAAAAAGAAAGTAGTAAATGCACACACACACAAACACACACATGCAAATTTCAAAAGTACAGTCTTATATACTAATACATATATATACATTATATAATAGTATGCTCATATATATTGTGCTCAATATTATTACTCTGAGGCAATTAAAATTATAAGTTCTAAAATGAGATTTTATGTAACTGAACACAGGATTAAACCATGAAATTTTCAGAGATTATACCTGGCCACAGTGATGGGGCAGTGTACCAAATAAAACATTTCTTAATCACTTGGGTAAAAATATCTTTGCAAAACAGTTAGAAATGCTGCCAAATTGCTTGATACTAGACAAATATTTTGTGGATCATAAATTCTCTTAGAAGTCTTTGGGCAAACTTAATTAGATTTAAAAAACCCATCTCTACTATGATTAGTTGATGCTTTAATTAGGGAGATACAAAATTAAAAGTTTAGTTTTATTAGATTTATCAAATTATAACCTGAAATATTTCTTCTTTCTTGATATCATAAAAAGAAGCCTAGTACTAAGGGATTAGCTCCTCTAAGAGGCTAGGCAAATATTCATACTTGGAGAGTTTGAATCTTTGCTTCTCTAAGATTTTTTTTTTCCTTTCAGAACATTACCTCAAATTGTTGTGCTAAATTTGCCCATTGGCTCTTGAAAATAGTCTGAACTTGTTTATTCAGTAAATCAAGAAAAAAAAATGTAACCTGGATAAGGGTGGAGGGAGTGGAGATGGATGGAAATGAAATCATGTAAAACATATTTGGGTGATAAAAATCAATACAACTTGGAGTTGGATTTGACATAGTGGAGAGAGATGTCAAGAGTGACTTTCAGGCTGGGCCCGAAGGTGGCTCATGCCTGTAATCCCAGCACTTTGGGAGGCCGAGGCAGGCGGATCATGAGGTCAGGAGATTGAGACCATCCTGGCTAACATGGTGAAACCCTGTCTCTACTAAAAATACAAAAAAATTAGCCGGGCATGGTGGCAAGTGCCTGTAGTCCCAGCTACTCGGGAGGCTGAGGCAGGAGAATGGCATGAACCCGGGAGGTGGAGTTTGCAGTGAGCCGAGATCGTGCCACTGCAATCCAGCTTGGGCGACAGAGTGAAACTCTGTCTCAAAAAAAAAGAGTGACTTTCAGATGTCTACTTTATATAACAGGAAGGGTAATGATAACCATTTACTGCACTGGGAAACAGGAACTTTAGCAGAGTTGCAGGTAGACCAGCACCAGGAGAGAGAACAGGTTCATTCTAGAATAACTTTTGATATCTATCCTAAAGTATCTAAATCCCACTAATGAAAAAATCATTCCCATATATGGTAAATTTAATCTCTCTCTCTCTCTTCTCCTAAGGGGAACCCTTAGAAAGTGAAAATACCACAGAGTGACCTTAATATCTTAGGATGTATAAATGAATTCATCAAATTTTTCCTTTAGCATGACTGTACAGGACTTGTGAGAAATAAGAAAAAGACAATAAAGTCAAAAGAAGATAGGTAAAAAAAAAATACCTACTTAATTTTTTGTTTTCTTTAATAGGTAACTTTTAAAAAAAATTATACTTGAAGTTCTGAGATACATGTGCAGAACGTGCAGGTCTGTTACATAGGTATACACGTGCCATGGTGGTTTGCTGCACCCATCAAACCGTCATCTACATTAGGTATTTCACCTGATGCTATTCCTCTCCTAGGCCCTCACTCCTTGACAGGCCCCAGTGTGTGATGTTCCCCTCCCTGTGTCCATGTGTTCTCACTGTTCAACTCCCACTTAGGAGTGAGAAAAATGCACTGTTTGGTTTTCTGTTCTTGTGTTAGTTTGCTGAGAATGATGGTTTCCAGCTTCATCCATGTCCCTGCAAAGGACATGGATCATCTTTTTTTATGGCTGCATAGTATTCCATGATGTATATGTGCCACATTTTCTTATCCAGTCTATCATTGATGGGCATTAGGGTTGGTTCCAAGTCTTTGCTATTGTGAACAGTGCTACAATAAACATACGTGTGCATGTGTCTTTATAGGAGAATGATTTATAATCCTTTGGGTATATACCCAGTAATGGGATTGCTGGGTCAAATGGTATTTTTGGTTCTAGATCCTTGAGAAATTGCCACACTGTCTTCCACAATGGTGGAACTAATTAACACTCCCACCAACAGTGTAAAAGCGTTCCTATTTCTCCACACCCTCCCCAGCATCTATTGTTTCCTAACTTTTTAATGATCACCATTCTAACTGGTGTGAGATGGTATCTCATTGTGGTTTTGATTTGCATTTCTCTAATGACCAGCAATGATAAACTTTTTTTCAGATGTTTGTTGGCCACATAATTGTCTTCTTTTGAGAAGTGTCTGTTCATATCTTTTGCCCACTTTTTGATTTTTTTTTTGTAAATTTGTTTAACTTTCTTGTAGATTCTGGATATTAGCCCTTTGTCAGATGGATAGATTGCAAAAATTTTCTCCCATTCTGTAGATTTCCTGTTCACTCTGATGATAGTTTCTTTTATTGTACAGAAGCTCTTTAGTTTAATTAGACCCCATTTGTCAATTTTGGCTTTTGCTGCCATTGCTTTTGGTGTTTTAGTTATGAAGTCTTAACTTTTGGTGTTTTAGTCATTAAGTCTTTGCCCATGCCTATGTTCCTTAATGGTATTGCCTGTTTTCTTCTAGGGTTTTATGTTTTTAGGTCTTATGTTTAAGTCTTTAATCCATCTTGAGTTAATTTGTATATAAGACGTAAGGAAGGGGTCCAGTTTCAGTTTTCTGCATATGGCTAGCCAGTTTTCCCAACACCATTTATTAAATAGGGAATCCTTTCCCCATTGCTTGTTTTTGTCAGGTTTGTCAAAGATCAGATGGTTGTATATGTGTGGCATTATTTCTGAGGCCTCTGTTCTGTTCCATTGATATATATATCGGAATTACCTACTTTTTAATGTTGACCAAGACTATTCTAATAAAATTGCTAGGATTGGGTAATTTTCACATTTCTTGAAATTGGACTCATTAGAATGTAAACATTTTTCATAAATTTAACAGCTTTTCAAGGTGAGTGATTAAAGAGTCTTTATCTTAGATTTCTTTTCTGGTCTACATACCATAAACTTTCTTGTTCACTATGTTCAAACAATCAAGTGGAGCTAGTCATTAGCAAATTAACTGAGCCTTATAATGTGTGTATTTCCCTCTTGTGTTTTTGATTTTGAATGAAGACCAATTTTTTTTCTCACATCCGCTACACAAATCATAAGCTTCAGCCTGTCAAGATGCACTTGCACAGGGTTTATATATTTATGAAAGCAGAATTTTAGGATTGAACTGCTTATTTTAACTGAATGCTGTTTCAATAATCACTGCCACCTGTGTTAGTCCATTTTATGTTGCTATAAAGACCTGAGACTGGGTAATTTGTACAGGAAAGAGGTTTATTTGGCTCACCATTCTGCAGAATGTATGAGAACGATAGTGCTAACATCTGCTTCTGGTGAGGGCCTCAGGAAGCTTACAATCATGATGAAAGGCAAAGGATGAGAAGGCATGTCATGTAGTGAAAGAAGGTACAAGAGAGAAGGAAGGAGGTATCAGGTTCTTTAAACAACCAGTTCTCACATGAACTGATAGTGTGAGTGCTCACTTATTACCATGAGGAGAGCACCAAGCCATTCATGAGAGATCCACCCTCATGACCCTATCATCTCCCACCAGGCCCCACTTCCAACATTAGAAGCATATTTCAACATGAGATTTGTAGGAAACAAATATCCAAACTATAGCAGCACCCATCAAATGTTTCCTTTATTATTAGCAAGAAAAGCTGGAAGCCATCATCCTCGGCAAACACACACAGGAACAGAAAACCAAACACCGCATGTTCTCATTCATAAGTGGGAGCTGAACAATGAGAATACATGGACACAAGGAGGGGAACAACAAACACCAGGGTCTGTTGGGGGTCAGGGTGAGGGGAGGGAGAGCATAAGGATAAATAGCTAATGCTAAACCTAGGTGAGGGGTTGATAGGTGCAGTAAACCACCATGGCACATGTATACCTATGTAACAAACCTGCACGTTCTGCATAGGCCGAACTTAAAGTAAAATAAAAAAAAAAGGATAAAAAACGGATAACATTTTTTCCAAGTATTTTGACAAAGTTATTTTCAAGAGAAGATTTTTTATTCCTGAATTAAGATTTTACAGAGTATGTTTATTTGAGGGGGCAGGGGATTTAAGATATTGTAATCCTAACCTGAAACATACAGCAAAGAGTACTGTCAAAAAAATTAGAAGAATGCATGATACTGCAATGAAATAACTCTTGTAAATAAATTATCCTGATAGACATAATTAAAGTAATAAACTACATAAAAGTGAAAACTTTTAATCATATAAAATATTATAAAATAAGTTGCAAAACACAATGTGAAATTTCAAAGTACACACATTTTCATTATTACAACTAAACATTCTTTTTATTTACCACACAACCTTTGGAATTATAAATACTTTCAATCTTCCTTAAAGTGATAAATTAAAGGCAGGCGGATCATTTGAGGTCATGAATTCAAAACCAGGTGGGCCAACATAGTGAAACCCCGTCTCTACTAAAACTGCAAAAATTAGCCAGGCATGGTGGCATACTCCTGTAATCCCAGCAACTCAGGAGGCTGAGGAAGAATTGCTTGAACCCGGGAGGCAGAGATTACAGTGAGCTGAGATCGTGGCACTGCACTCCAGCCTGGATGATAGAGTGAGACTCCATCTCATAGATAAATAAATACATAAATAAGTAAATAAAATGTTAAAGTTGCTTTCCTTTTTTATTGGTGATTTTGAACTCTTGATGTTTCTGTGCCATTTCTTCTATGAATCTCCATTTGATGTCTGTTATATATTGATTGTTGTTAGTTCTTATATGTGAAAAACAACTCTTTAGCTGTCACTATATTTTAACCATATTTTTTCCAGTTTGCTATTTTCTGGTGGATTTTGTATTTTTTTTTTATTATTATACTTTAAGTTTTAGGGTACATGTGCACAACGTGCAGGTTTGTTACATATGTATACATGTGCCATGTTGGTGTGCTACACCCATTAACTCGTCATTTAGCATTAGGTATATCTCCTAATGCTATCCCTCCCCCTCCCCCCACCCCACAACAGGCCCCGGTGTGTGATGTTCCCCTTCCTGTGTCCATGTGTTCTCATTGTTCAACTCCCACCTGTGAGTGAGAACATGCGGTGTTTGTTTTTTTGTCCTTGCGACAGTTTGCTGAGAATGATGGTTTCAAGCTTCATCCATGTCCCTACAAAGGACATGAACTCATCATTTTTTATGGCTGCATAGTATTCCATAGTGTATATGTGCCACATTTTCTTAATCCAGTCTATCATTGTTGGACATTTGTGTTGGTTCCAAGTCTTTGCTATTGTGAATAGTGCCGCAATAAACATATGTTTGCATGTGTCTTTATAGCAGCATGATTTATAATCCTTTGGGTATATACCCAGTAATGGGATGGCTGGGTCAAATGGTATTTCTAGTTCTAGATACCTGAGGAATCACCACACCGACTTCCACAATGGTTGAATTAGTTTACAGTCCCACCAACAGTGTAAAAGTGTTCCTATTTCTCCCCATCCTCTCCAGCACCTGTTGTTTCCTGACTTTTTAATGATCTCCATTCTAACTGGTGCGAGATGTTATCTCATTGTGGTTTTGATTTGCATTTCTCTGATGGCCAGTGATGATGAGCATTTTTTCATGTGTTTTTTGGCTGCATAAATGTCTTCTTTTGAGAAGTGTCTGTTCATATCCTTTGCCCACTTTTTGAGCCAACATGGCTGAATAGGAACAGCTCCAGTCTACAGCTCCCAGCATGAGCGACGCAGAAGACGGGTGATTTCTGCATTTCTAACTGAGGTACCGGGTTCATCTCACGGGGGAGTGCCGGACAGTGGGTGCAGGACAATGGGTGCGGCACACTGTGCATGAGCCGAAGTAGGGCAAGGCATTGCCTCACCCAGGAAGTGCAAGGGGTTAGGGAATTCCCTTTCCTAGTCAAAGAAAGGGGTGACAGACGGCACCTGGAAAATCACGTCACTCCCACCCTAATACTGTGCTTTTCCAACAGGCTTATCAAATGGCACACCAGGAGATTATATCCCACACATGGCTCGGAGGGTCCTACGCCCATGCAGCCTCGTTCATTGCTAGCACAGCAGTCTGAGATCAAACTGCAAGGTGGCAGCAAGGCTTGGGGAGGGGCACCCGCCATTGCTCAGGCTTGAGTAGGTAAACAAAGCGGCCAGGAAGCTCGAACTGGGTGGAGCCCAGCACAGCTGAAGGAGGCCTGCCCGCTTCTGTAGGCTCCACCTCTGGGGGCAGGGCACAGACAAACAAAAGACAGCAATAACCTCTGCAGACTTAAATGTCCCTGTCTGACAGCTTTGAAGAGAGTAGTGGTTCTCCCACCATGCAGCTTGAGATCTGAGAACAGGCAGACTGCCTCCTCAAGTGGGTCCCTGACCCCCGAGTAGCCTATCTGGGAGGCACCCCCCAGTAGGGGCAGACTGACACCTCACACGGCCAGGTACTCCTCTGAGACAAAACCTCCAGAGGAACGATCAGGCAGCAGCATTTGCGGTTCACCAATATCCGCTGTTCTGCAGCCACCGCTGCTGATACCCAGGCAAACAGGGTCTGGAGTGGACCTCCAGTAAACTCCAACAGACCTGCAGCTGAGGGTCCTGACTGTTAGAAGGAAAACTAACAAACAGAAAGGACATCAGTACCAAAAACCCATCTGTACGTCACCATCATCAAAGACCAAAGGTAGATAAAATCACAAAGATGGGGAAAAAACAGAGCAGAAAAACCGGAAACTCTAAAAATCAGAGCGCCTTTCCTCCTCCAAAGGAATGCAGCTCCTCACCAGCAACGGAACAAAGCTGGACGGAGAATGACTTTGACGAGTTGAGAGAGGAAGGCTTTGGAAGATCAAACTACTCCGAGCTAAAGGAGGAAGTTCGAACAAATGGCAAAGAAGTTAAAAACTCTGAAAAAAAATTAGACGAATGGATAACTAGAATAACCAATGCAGATAAGTCCTTAAAGGACCTGATGGAGCTGAAAACCATGGCAGGAGAACTACGTGACGAATGCACAAGCCTCAGTAACTGATGTGACCAACTGGAAGAAAGGTTATCAGTGATGGAAGACGAAATGGATGAAATGAAGCGTGAAGAGAAGTTTAGAGAAAAAAGAATAAAAAGAAACGAACAAAGCCTCCAAGAAATATGGGACTATATGAAAAGACCAAATCTACGTCTAATTGGTGTACCTGAAAGTGACGGGGAGAATGGAACCAAGTTGGAAAACACTCTGCAGGATATTATCCAGGAGAACTTCCCCAATCTAGCAAGGCAGGCCAACATTCAAATTCAGGAAATCCAGAGAATGTCACAAAGATACTCCTCGAAAGAGCAACTCCAAGACACATAATTGTCAGATTCACTAAAGTTGAAATGAAGGAAAAAACGTTAAGGGCAGCCAGAGAGAAAGGTCAGGTTACCCACAAAGGGAAGCCCATTAGACTAACAGCTGATTTCTCGGCAGAAACTCTACAAGCCAGAAGAGAGTGGGGGCCAATATTCAACATTCTTAAAGAAAAGAATTTTCAACCCAGAATTTCATATCCAGCCAAACTAAGCTTCATAAATGAAGGAGAAATAAAATACTTTACAGACAAGCAAATGCTGAGAGATTTTGTCACCACCAGGCCTGCCCTAAAAGAGCTCCTGAAGGAAGCACTAAACTTGGAAAGGAACAACCGGTACCAGCCACTGCAAAAACATGCTAAATTGTAAAGACCATCAAGGCTAGGAAGAAACTGCATCAACTAACGAGCAAAATCACCAGCTAACATCATAATGACAGGATCAAATTCACACATAACAATACTAACCTTAAATGTAAATGGGCTAAATGCTCCAATTAAAAGGCACAGACTGGCAAATTGGATAAAGAGTCAAGACCCATCAGTGTGCTGTATTCAGGAAACTCATCTCATGTGCAGAGACACACATAGACTCAAAATAAAGGGATGGAGGAAGATCTACCAAGCAAATGTATTTTTTTAATCAGAAATTTTTTCTTAATGAGGACAGATTTACCAAACTTCCTTGTTAAGAAAAGATGAGTAATGGGTTATAGTCTTTAAAAATATTTAGAAACACTTTAAAAATATGTTAAGTTTACTGACTTGAGAGCCTGTTTATTCTGTTAATATTCTTATCTTGTGCTTTATATGATAGTTGAAATTATTTCTTCTGACCTACTGGGGAAGGAATTTACCAGGTATGACATTTGTTATTCAGTTAAGTAGTTTGTTGAACTTTCATCCATTTAGTTTCCTCTCATGGGTTCAGCCATCACCCTGCACAGGCACTTTGGTGTTTTCCCACTGCCTATTCAATTTATATTTTAAGCAAGGCTATCAGGCACCATTCGGGTCATAGCTTAATACACAGTGCCACCAATTTGTCCATGCCTTGCCCATTTTTACTCACAAGAAATTATAACCTAGCACATTTTGTTCATGATGTCCTGGTCTTCCTTGCCTTGCCATTCTTATAACTCTGAATATCTCTTATAATGGAAGCAAGCCTTTTAAAAAATTTTCCAGATGATTTTCTCTAAATTACAAAGAATCAAACATCATGCCCACTTTGAGCTTCAAAGAAGGTTAAAATGTGTCATAGCTAAAATTATGTAAGTAAAAAACACAGCACCAAAAAAATGTGGTGATGGTATTTATATGTGCATTGATTCTGATTAAAACTTGGAATGAGATTCCTGGAACTGGTTTTGGAATACAAGTTCTGATAATTGTCATAGATACATAGAAACAGAGTAATACAGAGAATGTGCAAAGAAAAGAAAGATCCAGCCTTCTTCACACAAAGGAAATGTAGGGCTCCACATACCCAACCTAAAACTGGAAGAAATTTTACAAAGTAGAATTTGAAATAGGATACAGGCACAAATATATTATTTGGAAATAGTTGCCTCTTTTCTTAACCCTACCTTTTTCTTCTCTTTCATATTTTTCTTCAGTAGTGCCAAATTCATTTACTTATCCCAGGCAATTCATCTCTAATCCTTGCCAAGCCAGTTAGGTCAGTTTTATAGTATCTTCCAACACTCTTTCAAAATATTTTCTTCATACTCCATATGAACTGAATCAGAACATTTCATATAATGCAGTTTTTCCTCCATTGTGATATCCATTACTTCACTTTTCAAAGTATGCTCAAACTATTTTTTAGGGATAGTTTAAAAATTCATAACAAAAACAAGTAGATTACATATTCTAAAGGTTACAGGAAAATTCTTTATTGCAGAAAGGTGAATTCTAGAGAATAATAACTGTGAACAATAGTAACAGTAAAGCTTGAAGTCTTATTCTAATGTAATGGTCACAAGTTAGGAACACCTGGAGAGGTTTTTCTTAACACATTCATTCCTCTGGCCTCATCCCAGACCATTTATATGAAGTTGAGGCATCTGTAAGAACTCCCCAAATGATTCCAATGAGCAATGAGGTTTGAAACCTACTATTTAATTGATTATAGAGGAAAGGAAGTAAAGTATATCAGTGACAACAATATTTTTGAAAGTTTAGTGTCTACTTATATATTTATTTCCTGACTCTAAAATATAGACAGTAAATTATAGGTAGTTTTGCAATAGTAGTACTCAAAAATTGAAGAAAAAACTCAAATAGGGGAAAGTGTACCAAAAATGCCATTAAATAAATCTCACCCAATTGGGTGTTCTCTACATAAAAAGTTAAAACTCAAACTATTTAGGATCCATTACACTGTAGTAATGGGAAATTAATGCCATACATTTATTTATATTGTTTGCAAAATATTCTACTTGTTAGTACACACTGATATTATGTTCAGCTGTCCTCTAACTCCTTTGGAAAGAATTTCCAATGATTCTTGCAAAATTTCATTATATTCTCTAAAGAAAAAAATATAGAAAAAGAAAATTTCACAATAATAATCCTTAATATCATAACAAAGCTACTTTGCAGTTTGGCTATTAAGTACTTATACACATATAATACCTACAAATCACCACAGAATTGCAGGCAAAAATGTGTGTGTATACATATTATATATACATATATAGAGTTCCTTTTCAAATTTCTCCAATAAATTATATCCTCCTTTATATGAGAATCCTCATATAAATTCCCCAAACCGATGAGCATGCTAATTTTCATATTACATTCAGAAGCTGAATTCTCCCATTGTTTATAATTCCGAAAATGCTCACACATAAATTCAGAAGATTTAGAGAGAAGCAGCAATGACTTTAAGTTTTCCTTTAATTCCAAATGGAGCACCCTGTTTTCTATCACCTTTAGCCATGTAATCCTTTGACATATTTGGAAAAAAAAATATATTACAATTATGTCCCAATACTTCCTTATACCTATGCAGAAACACACAGGAATAAACTCCAATTTATTTACCCTTACCTCAAGACAAAATTAATTAGCCCTGAAGGCAATTATACCATGAAGATTTTAATTAAGTACTTCTTTATGCCATTCTGCCCCCACTTCACTTTTCCTTCCTTTTGCATTCTGGTATCCAGCACCGTGTTTTTCAGACTCTAAAGGTCATTAAATTTATATTTTAATGGATTTGTGAATATTTCCTACACTGAATATTTTGAAAGGAAATGGGAATAAGTATCACTTGTTGAACTTGCATGAATGTGAGGGTTGCAATAGTATTCAAACATCAGCTTTTCTACAATATTGCATTGTAACTTGTTGCTGGATGATATATCATGTGCACCAGTTTCCATTTGACTTTTTGGCATAAAACATTCAAATTCGGGCATGAAAAAGCCGAGTATAAAATAATATCAAAGATTTTATTTTACCCAATTTAAGGTATTTCTCATCCCCCAAAAGAGCCCAATATAATATTCTGCAGGTTAGCAGTGCAAAATGGAAGCTAGTCTGAGCTTTTACCATCTGAGCTCCACCTACCACCTCTGTTCTAGAGAGCTTCTGGATTCTTGATGGTTAGGGAAAGAGATTAGGGTGGTTATACAAAAACAAACAAACAAAAAAACCCAACAATTTCCTTTTTGACCCATTCACCTGGTCACCTTGAGTGGTGCAGTACCTGGTTCTGCAGAGAGCATAAGGAGGCAGGCTCAATTTTCCTTGGAAGCAACTCATAATTTCTATTTGAAAATGTAGTAGAATTTTGCATGAAACTCCCAAGGTTGAACTCTCTGCCCAACAGCAGAGCTAGCTAGAGAAGATCCAGGGGTGAAGCACTGGGGTTGCCAAGCAGGAAGCAGAAATGTACGCAGGTAGTGTGACAGCTTCTGTACGCTACCCTGGTTTCTTAGCTTCATCACGCCACCATGGAATTCTTCTCATAATCATATTCATATGGTGCTTTAAAACAACATAAACATATCTATAACTGGCTGTGCAGGATGTCACTCAATCAGTTTGGATTTGCTTATATATATATATATATATATATATATATATATATATATATGAATCCTGTACATTGCAGTGGGTGCGAAGATAGTATTTTAATATTTGTACATTTAAATTAATTTTCATTGTTCTTTGTGTATAACTGCATTTTGAAGTAATAATTAAAAAATTGTAAAAAAAAAAAAAAGTGCCTCCAGCTTGTTAAGTGTTCAGCAGCTCATACTCCTCACTCCCATTTAATGTGATCATTTTGTGGGTCCTTTGGAGGTTCCCTTCTCTCCCAAGGCTGAGAAACATTCCTCGCATCTTCCCGTGGGGCAAAAGATGGGCATACACTGTATCTCCAGTGTGCGCCTCAGCTCTGCTGTATGCAATCCCACCGGCCTCAGTGGGTGGATACCCCAGCAGGCAGGACTCTTGGACTGCTCTTGTCAAGAAGACTTGAGCACAGCTACCTCCTAGGCATACCTTCCAGATGACAGAAAAGTTTATCAAACCTGGAAACATAGATAGCTACTGTTCTAGCCCTTTCTCTTCAATCTGTTATGCTAGCTTGCTACAAGCCTACCATTCTTTTTTGACTTTTTTTTATGTAGAGTCACAAACTTCTCTCTGTGCCCTTATCACAAAACACCAAGGGGCACTAATTAACTTTGCCTAACAAATTTTTCCATTCCCTGTTCTAGTCTAATGAATGCACTGAATCTGTATAGCCACATTTTTTTTTGTTAATAGTGGGACAGAAAATTTATAGTTATGCAAAACCTCTTTTAAAAGACAGATGGATTACAAAACCATTTTGGGCAAGTCCTACATCAGTGAGTCAGGAAACCTTATGTGGAATATATGGATACTTCTTGATTTCTTTTTAGTTAATTTTTAAAACACTTTGGATTATCCATAAGACACTGAAATAACAGAAAATGTACATTTAAGATTACTTCCAAGATAGAAATGAATACTTAAAAATAAATTCCAATTCATAATATTATTAATTATTTTAGTGACACTGTGTTTTATAGCCTTAAAATTTTAAAACTGTCTTGTTAGAAGTGAGAGGGCTTGCATGATTAAACAGATATCAATATAAACATGACATTTTGTGAATACACAATAATGTTTATAAAGACATGCATAACCCCAATGCAAACTGAGCCCTAATCTGTGAGCACTATCTACTAAATAACATCAGCCTATTTGTTGTTTTCCACAATAACACAAATCATGTCTGTTTTGTTTTATTTTGTGTTATTTTTGAGGAATCAGGAGTTCACAATACATAGTTGGTAGTGTTTCCTATGTATACAAAATACTTACTAGACCTTATCTTCTCCCTAGTCTTTCCTGTGTCCTGACATCTAACTGCTCCGTCGTCATCCCCACTACCCCAGAGGAAACTCTATAAAACCACTTTGGTTCCTATTTCCTATTTTCAAGATTCCATAGGCACCTGAAATTTTTAAAGCCATCACACACTCTCTTGGTTCCAGCAAAAAACCAAACCAAACCAAAACAAACAAAAAAAAAACATGGTTGTTACTTACAGAGTTGATTTTTCTTACAAAGGAGTTTGAGGATTATCAATAACCTATATTTTATAATAGATTTAAATCCTATTAAAATTTTTATAAGATCTTTTTTTCCTAGTTTCTTAACGTATTTTTGTTGTTTAGAGAAGGTGCCGATTCTTTAGACATTTAAAACACACCTAAATAATTATCATTACAATCCGAGTTAGTCCCCTGAGACAAATTCTGTGTCAGGTAAATGTTAATTCTTGCCTCAAAATCAAAAGCTACAATAAAATAAGAATTTAAGTAAAAGAGTGATCCTAAATTGACTACACTGCTAACCTGAGAATATGTTTTTAAATGTGAAATAAGGATTCTTGGCTTAGATATAACTTATCATGAGGAAAATTCTAATAATATTCTGTAACAGAAAGTTCAAAAAATCAGCAAAACCTAAGAGGTGTTTGAAGGAAGGAAGAGGAGAGGTGATGGAAAAGTGCAGCTATTCTATTCTGAGATTCTTTCTCACTGGGGGTGGGGAGGGCAAGGACAGAGTGGGGAAGCTATCTGGAATTAGAGTGTCCTGGTGAGGGAAATTGTTTTAGTGCAGTAGCTCATGTTGGAACTCTGGTTATGTGGTTATATGACCTTTTTTTTTTTTAATACAGCTCTTTGGGACCTAATGAACTATCTATCTATTTTTTACTGTACATTGACTAGTAATTGCCAAACATCCCTGTGGGTAAAAATATTTGGTTTTTACTCTAACCATGATAACTATTTTATTAATAACTTTTTTATTTTCTCTGACAATTAAATATTGCTGCTGGCCTCTGTTGCCCCAGCATCTCAACAGCCGCAGTAAAATGAAAGAGGCTTGTTTGAGGGCTGAGTTTCCTACTTGCATTCAAGGCCCTCGGAGGACCATCCTTTCAGAATTTTTCAAGTTAGTGAGTACCGTTTTTACAGATGTATGGATTTCCCACTTACTTCGGGAAGAGGCTATCCCACAGGTATTCTCAAATTCATGGATAGGGACAAGTAGACAGATTACACAAAGTCTTCCACTCCAACATTCCTTTCTCTGTCTTTTGAGTCCTCTCTTTACATAATAACACATAATGCTCAGAATTGTGAGCATCTCAACTTCATTTAATTTAGAACACCATTGAGAATGTGTCACTTTACAAGGACAGCAGAAATTAGAACCATTTGTAGCTACTCAAAATTACTTACTGAATCCAGAGACTCTGGCAAGTGTACAGGTAGTAGAAAATTTAGACCAATCTATAGTCCTGATTCTTTCTTCCTGGTTCTGAATTCATTGTATTCATTCTCATGTATATTTCCAAGGTCAGGGCAGATATAAATAAAAACATGCTTGTAATTCTATTTGACATATAAGTCTTGTTCAAGGTTTCATCATGTAATTGGCCCCCAGGAGCTAAAGGAAATGAGGACTAGAAAAAAAATGGCATATGAGAATTGACTTTTCCTTGTAAGATATCTGCCTTAGGGAAAGTCATTATAGGGATTCAAAGGCAAAACAGCCTCACAAAATAGAAGAGGAGAGGCCTAAGGGATTTGGGAATTATTTGAGTCATCTACTTTCTCACTTGGCCAGATTCCAAACTTATGCCCCAGTTTTTCACAGAAAAAAACCCTAATTTTTATATAGAGACCTCATGAAATTCTGGATTCAACTACCACAGATCAGCAACACACAGGTTCCTACAATGGATTCAATTTTTAGTTGCATTATCTCTACAATTACAAGATGTAAAAAGCTATTTTAAGCCAGTCTGACCATTTTGAAAACACAAAGTTCAAACTCTGAGCTCATTTATTTTAAGCTCCTCAGCACTATTTGGAGCATTTGTTCAATTCAGTGGTTCATATGTATATCTTGTCTTCTTCACAATGGTCTGTGTTACTAGCTATTCAGTAAGCCAAAACCATGGTTTTCATAAGCAAGGTAAAAATTTACTGAATGCCTACTGCAGTCAAAGACTACTATGTTCCCATGCCCTGGTATAAATTGGATCCTTACGGCTTCCAATCCAAACCATTTCAGAAAAATCAATCCCCATTTCACATATTCTTCAGAGTTGTCTGCAGCCTGTGTTGTGACCAAGCATACTGCACAGTTTGGGGTGTGTGAGCAACAACATCCTTTCTGGCTAGTTTAAACAGGAAACAGATTTATTAAGAATGAGTCGTAGTTTGGCTATCTCTGGAAAAGAGAGAGCCAGAGCACAAAGCCTACCTACCAGGAATCATGTTAACCACTGAGAAGTCTTTTTAACAGAAAACTACACTGCCACTGCTTCTAAGCATCTATGAAATTCAGAATTGTCAGAAGCACTTCCCCTGCCAGAACTGACAAAACCGAGCCATTGCATTTCTAAGATCAGTTTCCCTGCAAGGAGGCATTACTTCATATTAACCACTTCTAAATTTTTTTCTTATAAAGGTGCTTCTGATTGCTAGACTCCAAGTTACCTTTTTGGTTACAGCTGCAAGGGAAGCTGAGAAAGAATCTACTTAAATAGAATTAAGCCTGTTCTCTGAAAAATACAGTAAAAAATCATTGTAATTAGAAAAATCAATAAAAACATGTTAATTAAATATAAGGAGATGGACAGAGACATATTCTTGATATTATACTTTAATTTTAATTCAGCTATAATAAAATTAGAATTTCATCTGATATAAAACAAGTTTCAAATTGATTGCAATAAAAGTCAAGTTCAATATGAAAAGAAAATGAAAGACTTTGTAGAAACATTGAAAAGGAAAATATGTAATGTTTTAGTTTTTTTAATTGCAGATGTCATGATAGTATACCAAGAAAACTCAAAAGATACAAGTAAAAATTACAATTAACAATAAAATGTGTTGAAGTATACAAGGATACAAGCCAATTTTGTATAAAGTAAAGACTTTAGTTCATTTCTAGTAGCAAAAGAAGTATAAGATATATAGGATATATAGGTATAAGTTTAATAAGAAATATAAACTATAGAATAATATATGTAATATTATAGAGAATTAAAAATAAGATGTAAACAATGACAATAAATCTCTATTCTCAGAAGGGTTATTTTCATATAATAGAAATATTAGTTATGACTAAGAAATGTTTAAGCTTGTGATAATTCCAACAGATACATAAAAAGGGAGAAAATAGGGGATTGCTTTGCTATGTATCATACAAAACTATAGAGCCACTCTAATAAAATTGATTTAGTTATTGCATAGGAATAAATATGTAGATTAATGAAATAGAGGGATCACAAATAGAAAAGAAAATGTGAGAATCGAATAAATAATAGAGGCAATATTTCAGCTGAATGGCAAAGAATGCATGATTTATTCAATAAATTCTTGTGGTGATATTCTGGAAGAAAAAAGTTTGGTAAACCATTGCATGCAAAATACTGAGTTAAGTTGCAAATAGATTATAGATTGAAAACATGTTAATAAAAATATCCTAGAATTGACTTTGGAAGACTGCATGAAATCAAAAGATGGTAGAACTTTTCAACCGAATTAAGAAACTGAAAGTTATAAAATTAATTTTATAAGTAAACAATTCAAGGAAAATAGTTTATGTGTTTGAGGTAATTTAAGCTTATTTTTATTTGAAATAAATGAAATGATTTGGCAGAAAGAATCACAGTAATGGTACACAAAAGAGAAAAATATACTTAAACACACCCACCCAAAGAAGGGCATGCCTTTGGAACACATTAGTAAGTAAACAGGTAGAGATTTCTTTCTGCTAGATAAAAGTATAAAAGAAGAGTGAAGATAAGACAACATTATGTGTGATTAGGAAATGTTAGAGTAGAGGTAGTTACATGACTACTGCTTGACTTTCTGCCTTCTTCCCTTAAAGTACAACCTAAAGTAAATGTTTTGCTCATTGTCTAGTGACTAAGATATTGGAGATATTGATTGGCAACTATGATTCTTTAACTGTGGCCTTAACCTTTGACTGCCTACTTGAACACTTGCAGGGTCAACAATAGACTGATACTTTAGAATTAATACTTCTTATCACTGAACTCGCATAACAATGCCAGTGATAAAAACAAATCATGTCATCATTCAAATTTCTTGTAATATCTGATGAATATCCATTTCAAATATAGGTAAGGATTCATGGTAGAGTAAAAAATAACCTTTCAGTGTGCACTGTATATTGAAATTCTATCAGTCATTGAGGTATAAATGTATATTTCATAATAGAGCAGTAAAATGTTGCAATAATTAATTATTGGAGTAGAAGGTTTATTCAAAGGGATAATAACAGAGAACTTCCCAAACCCAGAGGAAGAAACCAATATCAAAGTACACAAAGGTTATACAACACCAAGCATGTTTACCCCAAAGAAGACAAACTCAAGCCATTTAATAATTAAACTCCCAAAGGTCAAGGGTAAAGAAAGAATTCTTTACTTATTTGCCATTAAAAGTAATGGCAAAAACTGCAATTACTTTTTCACCAACCTAAAGCAGCACAAGAAAAGAAGGAAATAACACATGATAGAGCTCAAATACATCTGGTAGACCTTTCAGTGGAAACCTTACAGGCCAGGAGAAAGTGGTGTGACATATTTAAAGTGCTAAAGAAAAAAAATTTACCCTAGAATAGTATATCCAATGAAAATATCCTTCAAACATGAAGGAGAAATAGAGAATTTTCCAGTGAACAAAAGCTGAGGGATTTTATCAGTATCAGTCCTGTCCTACAAGAAATACTAAAGGAAATACTTCAATCCGAAAGAAAAGAACATTAATAAGCAATAAATAATCACCCAAAGGTACAAAACTCACTGGTAATGGTAAGTACACAGAAAGAAACAGAATATTATAATACTGTAAATTTGGTGTGTAAACTACTATCATCCCAAATAGAAAGACTAAACAATAAACCAATAAAAAATAATAAGTACAAGAAATGTTCATGATAGTATAATAAGATATAAATAGAAACAACAAAAAGTTAAAAAGCAGTGGCACCGAGTTATGGCATAGAGTTTTTATTGGCTTTCTTTTTGCTTGTTTATTTATGCAAATAGTGTTAAGCTGTTATTATGGTAAAATAATGTGTTATAAGATAGCACTTGCAAGCCTCATAGTAATCTCAAACCAAACAACATTAAATGGATAAGCACACACACAAAGCAAGGACCTAGGTCATGTCACCAGAGAAAATCGCCTTCACTTGAGCAAGACGGGAAGGAAAGAAATAAAAGAAGACCACAAAACAAGAAAACAAATAACAAAATGATAGGAGTAAGTTCTTACTAACCAATAATAACATGGAAAGTAAATACACTAAACTCTCCAATCAAGACACACTGGTTGAATGGATGATAAAATGAGACCCATTGATCTGTTGCCTACAAGGAACATGCTACACCTTTAAAGACACACATAAACTGAAAATAAAGGGATGGAAAAAGATATTCCATGCCAATGGAAACCAAAAAAGAGCAGGAATCACTATACTTACATCAGACAAAACAGATTTTAAGACAAAAACTGTAAGAAGAAACAAAGGTCACTATATAATGATAAAGGAGTCAATTCAGCAAGAGGATTTAACAATTTTAAATAAATACGCACACAACACTGGAGCACCCAGATTTATAAAGCAAATATTATTGGAGCTAAGGAGAGAGATAGGCCCCAAGACAATAGTAGCTGGAGACTTCAACCCTTTACTTTCAGCATTGAGCAGATCTTCCAGACAGAAAATCAACAAAGAAACATCAGACTTAATCTGCACTGTAGACCAAATGTATCAAATAGATATTTATAGGACATTTCATCCAAGAGCTGCAGAATACACATTTTTTTTCTCAGACCATGGATTATTCTCAAGGACAGACCATATATTAGGTCACAAAACAAGACTTACAACATTCAAAAAAAATATTATCAAGCATATTTTCTAACCACAATGAAATAAAACTAGAAATCAGTAACAACAGGAACTTTGGAAACTATATAAATAATGCAAATGAAACAACATGCTCCTGAATGACCTGTGGGTCAATGAAGAAATTAATAAAATTTAAAAATTTCTTGAAACAAATTATAATGGAAATACAACATCCCAAAACCTATGAGATATGGCAAAAGCATTATTAAGAAAGAAGTTTATAGCTGTAGTGCCTATATCAAAATAGAGGAAATATTTCAAATAAGCAATCTAATGATGCATCTTAAAGAATTAGAAAAGCAAGAGCAAATCAAACCCAAAATTAGTAGAAGAAAAGAAATGCTAAAGATCAGAGCAGAAATAAATGAAATTGAAATGAAAAAAATACAAAAGATCAGTGAAACAAAAGGTTGTTTTCAGAAGTTAAACAAAATTGACTAAATTTTACCTAGAATAACTAAGAAAAAAAAAACAAAATCAGAAATGAAAAAGGAGATGCCACAAGTGATACTTCAGAAATTCAAAGGATCATTAGCAGCTACCATGACAACTATGTGCCAATAAGTTGGAAAATCTAGAGGAAATGGACAAATTCCTCAACACATACAACTTACCAAGATCGAACCAGGAAGAAATCCAAAACCTGAACAGACCAATATTAAGTAATGAGATGGACGCTGTAATAAAAAGTCTCCCAGTAAAGAAAAGCCTGGGACCTGATGGTTTCACTGCTGAATTTTACCAAATATTTAAAGAACTAATACCAATCCTACTCAAACTACTCTGAAAAATAGAGCAGGAGGGAATACTTCCAAACTCATTGTATGAGGCCAGTATTACCCTGACACCAAAACCAGACAAAGACACATCAAAAAAGGAAAACTCCAGGCCAATATCGCTGATGAATATTGATACAAAAATCCTGAAGAAAATATTAGCAAATTGAATTCAACAAATACATTAAAAAGATCATTCTTCATGACCAGTGGGATTTATCCATAGGATGCAAGGTGGTTCACCATATGCAAATCAATTAATATGATATATGATATCAATAGAATAAAGGATACAAAGCATATAATTATATTTCAATTGATGCTGAAAAAGCATAAAATTCAACATCTCTTCATGACAAAAACCCTTAAAAAACTGGGGATAGAAAGAACATACCTCAACATAAAGGCCACATACGACAGATCCACAGGTAGTATCATACTGAATGGGGAAAAACTGAAACCCTTTCCTCTGAGATTTGGAAAACAGGAAGGATGCCCACTGTCATCACTGTTATTCAGCATAGTACTGGAAGTCCTAGCTAGAGGAATCAGACAAGAAAAAGATATAAAGGGCATCTAAATTGAAGAGGAAGAAATCAAATGATCCTTGTTTGAAAACAATATGATCTTATATTAGGAAAAGCCTTAAGACTTCATAAGAAAACAATTAGAACTGATCAACAAACTCAGGAAAGTTGCAGGATACAAAATCAACATAAAAAATCAGTAGCATTTCAATATGCCAATAGTGAACAATCTGATAAAGAAATAAAATAAGAAATCCCATTTACAATAGCCACACAAAAAATTAAATACCTAGGAATTAACCAAATAAGTGCAAGATTTCCATAATGAAAACTATAAGATACTGATGAAAGAAATTGAAGAGGACACCAAAAAATGGAAAAATATTCCATGTTCATGGACTGGAAGAATCAATATTGATAAATATCCATACTGCCCAAAGCAATCTACAGATTCAATGCAATCCCTATCAAGATACCAACAAAATTCTTCAGAGACATAGAAACAGCAATCCTAAAATTTATATGGAACCACAAAAGACCTAGAATAACCAAAGCTATCTTAAGCAAAAAGAACAAATTACTTGGAAGTAATTTGGAAGAATCAAATTACTTGAAAGTAATTTGGAAGAATCAAATTACTTGACTTCAATTATACTACTGAGCTACAGTAGTATAATTGACTTCAATTATACTACTTAACTTGACTTCAATACTTGACTTCAATTCTACTACTGAGCTACAGTAACCAAAATAGTATGGTACTGGCATAAAAAAAGACACATAGACCAATGTAACAGAATAGAGAATCCAGAAACAAATCCACACATCTGCAGCAAACTCATTTTTTACAAAGGTGCCAAGAACATACACTGGGGAAAAGACAGTCTCTTCTATAAATGGTGCTGGAAAAATTGAATATCCATATGAAGAATGAAACTAGACCCCTATTTCTTGCCACATACAGAAATCAACTCAAAATTTATTAAAAACTTAAATCTGAGACCTCCAACCATAAAAGTACTACAAGAAAACATTGTGGAAAATCTCCAGGCCATCGGTCTGGGCAAATATTTCTTGAGCAATACCCCATTAGACAGACAACCAAAGCAAAAATGGATGAATGGGATCACTTCAAGTTAAAAAACTTCTGTACAGCAAAAGATACAATCAACAAAGTAAGAGACAACCCACAGAAGGGGATAAAATATTTGCAAACTACCCATGTGACCAGGGATTAATAACCAGATAATATAAGGAGCTCAAACAACTCTACAGGAAAACATCTAATAATCTGATCAAACAAGGGGCAAAAGATTTGAATAGACATATCTCAGAAGTAGACACACAAAGGGCAAATGGGCATATTGAAAAGGTACTCAACATCACTGATCATCAGAGAAATGCAGATCAAAACTACAATGAGATATCATCTCACCCCAGTTAAAATGGTTTATATCCAAAAGGCAGGCAATAACAAATGCTGGCAAGGATGTGGAGAAAAGGAAAGCCTTATACACTGTTGTTTGGGAATATAACTGATTACCACCACTATGGAGAAGAGTTTGGAGGTTCCTCAAAAAAACGAAAATTGAGCTACCATAGGATCCAGCAATCCCACTGCTGAGTATATACCTGAAAGAAAGGAAATCAGTATATTGAAGAGATAACTGCATTCCTATGTTTGTTGCAGCACTGTTTACAATAGCTAAGATTTGGAGGCAACTTTAATGTCTATCAACAGATGAGTGAATCAAGAAAATGTAGTACATATACACAATGGTGTACTATTCAGTCCCTGAAAAGAATGAGATGCACTCATTTGCAACAATGCGGATGGAACTGGATATCATTATGTTAAGTGAAATAAGCCAGGCACAGAAAGACAAACATTGCATGTTTTCACTTATTTGTGGAGTCTAAAAATCAAAACAATAAAACTCATGGACATAGATAGTAGAAAGAGGGTTGCCAGAGACTGGGAAGGTTAGTGGAGGGCTGGAACAGAGGTAGGGATGCTTAATGGATAGAAAAAAATAGAAAGAATGAATAAAACCTATACTATTTGGTAGCACGACATGGTGACTATAGTCAATAATAACTTAATTTACTTTTTAAAATAAAGAGTATAATTGTATTTTTTGTAACTCAAAGAGCAAATGCTTGAGGGGATGGATACCCTGCATTCTCCATGATGGGTTTATTTCACATTGCATGCCTGCCTCAAAACACCTCATGAACTCCATATATACCTACTATATACCCACAAAATTAAAAAATAAAAAGCAACGACAAAACAAAAAACATTGACAAGTTAGGTGAATGAATGGTGGATAAAAACTGTTACCTGCATTTTCTTTTCAAAATTCCTCCTATTTCTGGGAAGGAGAATTAGGAGAGAGAAGTAAGAGTTGTCACGAATATGAATAGGAACTTGTACAGAGAAGAAATTTCAAAGGCTATTCCAGGGAGGTTAGAATATATTTTTAAATATTGATAAAAGGATGTTAACCAACTTGAAACAACAAATACAGCTAGCCATCCTTAGCTGGTATTTTCATGTATGCACTGTTCATGAATATGTAATAAGCAGATAATCAAAAAATGATTTTGTTGATAAAATAATCTGCTTGTCTGTGTTAGGTTATATATGCACGTGTAAAAAAGGTATAAAGGTCACACTATAGATTTTCTAGGCAGGTTTAAAACAACTGTATTTTTGGTAAAGTTTATAAAAAGTGGGTACGTTTCAGTTGCTTTAAGAATTTTCTGCTGGACTTGGTGGCTCATGCCTGTAATCCTAGCACTTTGGAAGGCTGAGGCGGGTGGATTGCCTGAGCTCAGGAGTTCAAGACCACCCTGGGCAGCATGGTGAAACCCCGTCTCTCCCAAAAATGCAAAAATCAGCCAGGTGTGGTGGCAAGCACCTGTAATCCCAGCTACTCGGGAGGCTGAGGCTTGAACCCGGGAGGAGAAGACTGCAGTGAGCCGAGATCACACCACTGCACTCCAGCCTCAAAATAGAGCGAGACTCTATCTCCAAAAAGAAAAAGAAAAAATGGAATTTTCACTAGAGGTACTGTGTGTCTATGTTTCCTGTGTTGATTAAAACATGTCTGTATTTCCAGTGCTGATTAAAACAAATAGCACATTTCTTTCTGCATCCATTTTCCTTTACTTTCATTTCTACTTTAGATGCATAGTGTGAGTATGTGTATTGCATTTTTTACTAGTAACCATAGAGGGCTGCTCTATGTTTTCAAGATGGCACCTTGTTGCTGCATCCTCCAGAGGGGAGAAATACATGGTGAAAGTGACAGAAGGGCAAAGAGAAGGGAATGAATGTTGTGTTCCCTTCATTAAGGCAGAAGAGAAGCAGAGAGCAAACCCACTCTCAAGTCCTTTTATAAGGGCCCTAATCTCATATAGAAGGGCTCTGCCATCTTGACTTAATAGCATCCTAAAGGCCCAACCCCATAATACTATCACATTGGTGATTAAGTTTCAACATATACATATTAAGTTTTATAATTAACATCATTCCTTTTTTTATAACTCATATTTTAGTTTAATTCTATATTTCTAGATATCCTAGGGTTATATTTAGAATTAAAAATGAATATGCTCCACCTTCCTACCAATGAATGGGGATGAACTGTGCATTTCATATTCTCAAGATTTTTAAACTTCATTTACAATTTGCATCATTCTGGTGAGATATCTGATAATCCTATACATTACCATATACATTGTGCGTATGTGTTAAGAAGTAGGCAAGAGTTTATTTGAACGGTTGATTCTCACTGTTATTTTTCCAGTTGCAAACTATCAAGAAGATGCCAAACAGTTATCCTAAGAATAAATAAATATTATAATACAAATATTTTACTATATTTCATAGTAATATGCTTTCAACTTATGTTGTCATTTGACTGTTGGGGAAGTTAGGCATATGGCTTTAATTATTCATTTATTTACTCAGTAAAACTGTGTGCTACTTTCCATAGAGTCAAGGATAAATATTACATCCTTGATCTTCAAGGATGACACTGAAATGAGGAAGCAATAATAATAATAGTTTCAATCACAATGATAGTGGCTTATACTGGTGTGTAGCGAATGCTATAATAACCTTGCAAGTCATAGTGTCCTAGGACTCTGGGAAGGATTATGGGAGGAAGTGACAGTTCTGTCAAATATGAATAAATATCTTCTAAATGAAGGAGGAAGAAATAAATTTTTTTTATATAGATGGAACAGTATGTGTAAAGGCATTGACAGAGAAACAATATGAGATATTCCAATACATGCGGAGAGTTTGCATGGACAAAACTGAATCAACATTGGAGACAGACTGAAATAGACTAGTAACAGGCAAAAGGGAAACCAGGAAAACACTTGTGTGCTCATGCAAAAAGCTAGAACTTCAGAGCACTTTATAGTCTAAACCCTTCTTCAAAACTCTGATAAACATGTATGTAAACAAATACAATCTAATAAATGATCAAATATTTAAATAATGACAATTAGACGAAACTGTTTCATACAGCCATAATAACATTTCCACCAGATAAATTAAATTATAAAGCCTATTTTGCTCTCAGTTTGTCTGAAATTTCCCCATTAAGTAGTTCACTTTAATCTTGGGTGAAGTAAAAGTTAATTCTTCTGGTTCAGAACTTCATACTAACTTCTCTCTCCCTTTAAAGGAGAATATTTCTTGTTTCTCTATTGGAGAGCATTATTTTGCTTTGATCTCAAAACAGTTACTTTAAAAAAAGGTGTAGTTCTGTGTATCTTAATTCCAAATCTTCCTTGAATTACAAATGGTCACAAACAAATAAATTATTACTTTTCTTATGAAAGCTAGTGAACTTTTATTGTAGTGTGCTTACATGACTTAAGGATAGGAACAAGATAAATATTTCACAGGAAGCACAGATGTCATCACGAAGAAATTATATTGAATATCTCAATTTTCTAGTCATTAGAATTTTAATATTTTTATCATAGAATGAATATTGAAACATATTTCATTCCAATTTTGTTTTAATTTTTTTCAAATCATCTTGGTTTTATTAGAAACTCACATGCTGCCCAGTAATCTTTATGGACTAATAGAGATCACAGCTTTTAGCACAGCTTTCAGTATGAAAGTAATGTTGCCATCTACTCTAATTAAGATGTCCTGTGTTGATTAAGAAACTAGAAATTGCCTTGTAAAAGAAAAATACTTCATTCAAAAGTTTTTCTTTCCCATTAGTAGAAAGAAACAGGTATGATTAGATTTTTATGTTTAGGATGAAATTAGATATAATGTAGAAAAATCAAAGTATGCATTAAAAATAATTGGAAACAAAAGAGGAGCGAAAGACACCAAACATTTTTTCACCAAAAAATGTTTAGATCAATTGTTTGAATCTAATTTAATTATCATAAAATGAGTCAAATGGGATAGCAAGTTTTAATCTAATGCTGAGCAAGGCCTTTATAATTGCTATTACACAATTGTTTTGACTTTTATTTCCTAGTGATAGGAAATATCTCTGACCCTGATAAAATCCCTTGCTATTAGATTATTTTGTTTCTTTATATACAATTTTATTTTATTTTTTGAGACAGAGTTTTGCTCTGTCGCCCAGGCCGGAGTGCAATGGCACCATCTTGGCTCACTGCAGCCTCCACTTCCTGGGTTCAAGTGATTCTCCAGCTCCAGCCTCCCAAGTAGCTGGGATTACAGGTGTGCAGCACTGCACCCAGCTAATTTTTTTTTCATATTTTTATATAGAGACAAGGTTTCACCATGTTGGCCAGGCTGGTCTTGAACTTCTGATCTCAGGTGATCCGCCCACCCTGGCCCCCCAAAGTACTGGGATTAAGGGCATGAGCCACCTCACCCAGCCTGTTTATTTACATACAATTTTACTTCATATTTTTCCATTACATTCATCATATTCTCAGGTAACATGACAATACTATTGAAAATATGGGACCCAGATAAAAGAAATATATACATTTAATTTGTATTATAAAAGGGAATGTCTGAGCCTTTCTCCAGATATATTAATGTTTGCAAGTTACCAACAGCATGCAGTTTCACTTTTATTACTACAAAAAGTTCTAAATTGATTGCCGGAAACTGATTGGCCCTGTACCAGGTAGCAAATGCATTGAAAGAGAATTTGTACCATCACAGACAAGGGGCAGTTCCTTCTCATTAAGTGGCAACCTTTGAACATTTTCCAACTGATCCCTCTAACATCTTGCTTTTTAATATTCTTGGTCAGTGACATACCATCCCTGATGTGTCAAGTAATAGTGTTCAGTCTGATTTTCAATCATTCTGTACACTACAATCCACATATCTACCCTATTGCTTCACTGTGCACTTTTTTCCTCAAAATTTGTATTCTATCTGAGTACTTTCCCCAATTCCTAAAGCTTAATGAGTCACAGATTGCCTCCTGCCTGCTGTCTTGGCTCCTTCCTCACTGGAACCTTGCTATGCTTTTTCTCCATTTACTCCTAATAGTGCCCTCACATGTTTCTTCTCTAATTCGTCTGTTTTGATAACTTACCTCTTCTGTATCCTGTTTACTTGCTTCCCCTAATATGATACAACATTAGGCTATCTATAGTCTAGACTACTTGCTTTAATATTATTTGCTCAACTACTTTGGACTACAAATTGACAGGAAGAAGATAGTAAATCTTGAAGCTCAAGGCAATTGAGAGAAATAATGTGAAACTACCCCTATTACTTTCAGCCTGACTCATCAAACAGCAGAAGAGGGCATTAGAAGAACTAAAATTAATGAGCATGCTCTTGCTTCTGTTGGAAGACACCTGAAAAGTCTCCAACTGTTATGTATTACAAGTAAAATCTTCAAAGCTAAATTTCTGGCTGCTTAGCAGGAGGCTGAATGTTTAATAGTAAGGTTAAAGATACATTAAATAATTTTTGTGATGGTTGACATCTGTGAAGTCCTCTGGGTCACTATATTCTTTAAGTTGAACATCCATACAACAGTTGGTAAAGTTTCACTCTCTTGGGGGTAACTCAGAAGTGTCTGTGAGAAAATCCCATACATTATTCATACCAGGTCGGAACCCTCAGGAGGGTCTACTGGTCCACATTCTTGTCCCAGCTATCATATCCAGGTGAGTCGGTAACCCTGCTGACACTTTGACCTTACTCAACCCTCTCAGCAGCTCCCTTGTCACCCGGCCTATGCATGGTTGGAAAAAATTAGAGGGAACACTTACCATAGTGACCTGGCAGGATCTCTGTGAGGCAAAGAGCATACTAAAATATCAATGCAGCTCCAAGATATGAATAAATTAGAAAGAGTTCAGAGGACAGACACAAAAATGATGAAGCACTTTAAACACAGATTTATATAGAAAAACTTAAGGGATTTAAGTTTTTATTTAGTCTTGAGGAGTGAAGGCAGAGGATAAATAGAATAACTATCTTCAAATAGTGAAGCAAGTGTACTTTTACTTCCATTGCAAAGAAGAGTACATAATTTTATCATCAGAAATGAATTAGAAAATTTGGTTGTACAATATCCTCACTTGGAAAGAAGTACCTGACTTAGACTCTTTAAATGTGCTCTTTTGTAGTATCTGAAATTTAGATAAAAATATGGTTTTCCCCAAGCTATCCCAGTTACATATTCCAGAAGTTGAAACAGATTAAGTTTGATTTTCCAAAGCGCATGCGTATGGCTACACTGGGAACTGTAGACTCCTAAAACACTGGCCTTATCACATGTGGGTATGAATTGCTAGGGAACATCAATTTACACATTTTAAAAGGTTATCTCTACAGTTAGAGACATGGACCAATCCTTCAAGTCATCTAGAAGCAGTAACTAGATGACTATTTTTTAATCAGTTTTTTAAAATGTAGTTATTTTAAAAAATGAAATAGAAAACGATAACCATTATAACTGTTTTTAGTTACACAAAAACATATTGAGATCTGTTATTTAAATGTGTAAAGCAAATATCCGAAGTGCAGGTGAAACCCACAATCTGCTCTCATTTGAGGGAACATATGCTTTTGGGTGGACCAGTGTTATCAAGGCTAATGGCTCCTTGTTATTGCTCTTTGTTCCAGCTTTGCTTTTCACTTCTAACTTGTAGGACAGCTTAAATGGTTGACTTGTTTAAAGTGCTTAATTACTCACGTGGTGGCTATTACCAATACAAACTGTCTACAGAATACACAGACAGCTATTGTGTCCCAGCTGACGTTACAATACTAAATGGGACCTGATTACTGTACATTGCTTTTCAATGCTGTTAATTTGCATGTTTGAATAAGTCTATTGGGACTCCATTTTACAGCTATTGCTCCACGTACACTGCTTGGGATCGCTTTGGGAAACGGCATGTGATTGGCTTTTTCTATTCATCAGAATAGAGGGTTTGGAGCTGCTGACACTATGGTCATTATGCATTGTACCTATGGGTTTTGTGGCCCATTACGTATTGGATTGCTACACTTGCTTTTTCTTTTTCCCTCTTTTTTTTCCCTTAGTACTCAGTTTCTGTTTATTATTGAATATTCCTGTTGAATGTGGAGTCTATCATTAGTACATGACTGTTCATTAGGTGTGCAGAAGGGTCTTAAGACAAAAAAAATCCCAAAATATTCATCAGGTGGGTTGACAGATTTCTAGAATTAATTTTATACATGTTAATGGTGATTAATTTCTCTTTTCTTAAAACTAGATAATCAAATATTTTTTGCTTATCTAGTTTGCTTGTCTAGTTTTAAGTGACTATTCAGTTCAACTCAGTGACTATTCAGTTCATTCAGACTGTATAAGAAGTTGACAACTTAGTCCCTACAATAAATATTTTAAACTTTGTTTTTCTATTACATGTGTTCTTCAATTTAAAGAAAAAATGAAACTGTTGACTTGGCAACATACAAACCTATTGTAAATGTAATAATTGCCTAATGTATTGAATGTATGATGTACATTAACTGTTCAGATAAAACCAACTTCCAGCATTTTCGATGCTAGAGAACCTCCTGACACTTACTTATATGTGAGAGATTTTAAAATACTTGTGAACAAATTAGCACAGTGCTTTGGACATGTTAAAATTTCAATCATTGATACTTAAAAAGCTTTTTTAACTTCTAATTTTCTTCTCAATTGGCGTTACCTTGATTTTCTGTCAGAAGGATAATGACAAGGTGATTTCAACTTCTATAACAATCTTTGTAGTATTGGAGTGCAGGAGAAGATTTAGAGACTTTGCCTGGGCTCATTGGAAAAGAGCTAAATTGGTGCTATGGGTACCAAAAGAGAGAGTTCAATATTCGTAACTCATTATTTTATGTCTCATTCCTTGAACTTGTAAAGAGATTGCTTTGACTTTTTTTTTCACTTTCATGTTAGTCACTGATGATCCAATTTACAGAAAACAATATGGGTATAGAAAGTTTGTTGGAGAATAAGAAAGACTACATTGCCTAAGAAAACATCAATATTTATGCATAAAATCTCTAAAAAAATTTAATTGTTAATAGAAAGTTCGAGAGAATGCATTTACCTGAGTTGAACATTTCTGAAGCCATTCAAGTTAGCCTCTCTCTGCTTGTCTCATGCACTCTGCAAGGATTGGAAGACATGACCTACAGGACTGTTCTGTACATTCACTGTTATGCATATTTGACCAGGTCACAATACTACTAATTAATACTGAACTGTAGGGCTATGCAATAACAAAATGGATGAAGCCTAGTTCAGCAGATTAAGAAAGCTGTTACTTTCCCTGGAAATGTTTATGTTAAAAGTCAACAAGTAATCATAGAAGAAAGAACATTTACCTAATGGGATAGAATGTTAGAATAGTAATCACACACACACACACACACACACACACACACACACACACACACACACACCCCTCATCTGCCAGATCACATTCTTGGTAATGGTTTTTAATTGTAATCATCTGTAGCAGTGGTTCCCAACCTTTTTGACACTAGGGACCTGGTTCTTGGAATACAATTTTTCCGGAGGTTTGGGGATGAAACTGTTCCACCTCAGATCATCAGGTATTAGTTAGAATCTCATAAGGAGTGTGCAGCCTAGATCCTTTGCATGCGCAGTTCATAATAGGGTTCACGCTCCTTTGAGAATCTAATGCCACCACTGATCTGACAGGAGGGGGATCTCCCTCAGCCACTGCTCACCTCCTGCTGTGTGGCCTGGTTCTGAACAGACCACCACTGATCAGACAGGAGGCAGAGCTAGCTGGACCACTGCTCACCTCCTGCTGTGTGGCCTGGTTCTGAACAGGCCACCACTGATCAGACAGGAGGCAGAGCTAGCTGGACCACTGCTCACCTCCTGCTGTGTGGCCTGGTTCTGAACAGGCCACCACTGATCAGACAGGAGGCAGAGCTAGCTGGACCACTGCTCACCTCCTGCTGTGTGGGCTGGTTCCTAACAGGCCATGGGCCGGGGGTTGGAGACCCTTGATCTATAGGTATTTATTAAAATAGAAGTTTCAGAAAAAACTTAGAAAAGTCTCACCTTTAAAAATAATTGATTCATTTGGTTTTGGGTAGGGCACAGAATCTACATTTCTTTACAAATCTCTATGGGATTCTGATGATCAAACAAGTTTGCATATCCCTAGTCCAGAGGAACAAGTAGTTCAATACTGCAACTACATAGATGGGTTGCAGTATTCAATTGTTCCTGCATTTTACAGATAAACCAAATAGAATTAGGAAGAGAAATGGAAAAAGGAATAACAAAAGCAGCAGAAATGCAGTTATTGCATTCCTGCCAAGGCAAAATGTGTGCTGCTTAAGAATACTTCAGATATTAGGAAGTAATCAGATCAGGTAAGCCAGCCCGGGCTACAGAGGCACATATCCAAGGGAGACCAGAAGCCCTACCACAAATGAGAAGGTCTGAAGCAACAGCCATCATTATCGGTGCACATAAATGATGCCTCTGATGATTGCATTGATATGTTTTTCACTCACTAGGTTGATCAAATTGGCTCAATCATTATGTAAACACCATCACTGACTCTATTTTTTATCATATATGTATAAGTATAGCAATGCAGAAACTATATATTAGTATTTGGGCATGTGTTAGAAGAAATTGATTTTTTAAAAATAAATATATATGACCTTTCTTGATAATATATTCTTGGTTATTGAAAATACTGCTTTTAAAAACTAATCAGAGGATAGCTTTTTTTTTCCCTAGGTCAAATTCCTAATAATTGACTTATTTTCCTCCAGCTTTACTGTCATAATTGACAAATAAAATTATATATATTTACAGTATACATGTTTTGACATATGCATGCGTTATGAAATTATTAAATCAGGCAAATAAACATATAGGTTATAATTTTTATATGAAAAAATTATAATGCATTTAACACTAAGAAAGATCATTTAAGAATTCAAATGAAGTTAAGTATTTTTCACTCTCTTGTTAAAAAATAATGTCAAAAACTAGTGGTAGGCTGAGGTGAGTGGATCACCAGATCAGGAGATCAAGACCATCTTGGCGAACACCGTGAAACCCCGTCTCTACTAAAAATACAAAAAAAAAAAAAAAATTAGCTGGGCATGGTGGTGGGCGCCTGTAGTCCCAGCTACTCGGGAGGCTGAGGCAGGAGAATGGCGGGAACCCGGGAGGCGGAGCTTGCAGTGAGCCGAGATTGCGCCACTGCCCTCCAGCCTGGGCAACAGAGTGAGACTCCACCTCAAATAAATAAATAAATAAATAAATAATAATAGTAAAAAAAACTAGTGGTGACACATTGGTTTATTAAAATATGTAGCAATGTATGGTGAAAATAATATTCATGATATTTTATTTTCTTAAAACAGAATATTGCAGATTTTAGTGATAGATTTTATTTTTTAGGGTGGTTTTAGGTTTCAGAGAAATAGAGAAAAAGATACAGGGTGCCCATTTACCTCCTCCCCTCCTGCACACAGTTTTCCCATTATTAATTTCTTACATTAATGTGGTATATTTTTGACAACTGATGTACCAATATTGATACATCATTATTAGCTAAAGTCCATAGTTTAAGTTAGGGTTCACATCTTGTGTTGCTCATTCCTTGAGTTTTGACAAATGTACAATATTGCATTTTCACGATTAACATTTCTATTTTATCACTGCATAAAATCTGAAAAGTAGTAAAATCCAGAAATATGCTTATGAATAAAATTTTTTTAATTGTTTCAAAAAGTATTTACCACATTGTATTACACTGAAAAGCCAAACAATCCATCACGTTGCTCAAATTGTTATAGAATGAACTTTAAAATGTAAAAATGTCATTTTTTTCCTCATTTCTTATGGTGTCCCAAAGAAGCACTTGTCCTGAGACCTATACTTAAAGACTAGTCAAAGCAAGTCAGGTAAGTTACTTTTTAAAAATAAAAGTACAATCTTTAAAAAGCAGTTATAGCAGAAAAAAGGATCAAATTATAGATAATCTGAAAAATCATTGTAAAGCTTAATCTCAGCTATATTCAAACATCTAACATTAAAATGTTTTATTTTAGATGTATCCTGAATGTATATAAAATATATTTGATTTCCTAGTCCTCAGCATACATTAAACATAATTATGCAAGGAAAATTGATTTTTTTCAAGCAAAACAATGGGAAGAGCAAACTACCTTGATAGTTATTCTAACTATTTGTATTATTTCCACATCATGCTATTTGGATGAAATCATCCTAAATGAATCCTAATTTTAGGTACAAAATATATAACTGATTATTTATCTGGGATACCTTGTTAAAAGTTCTTTTAAATGAATATTACACTCCAATAGTTCAGCATTTTGTGGGCTTTTTGTATTAGTTTTCTATGCAGGCATGTTGAGTAAATCAGTCACCCTTGAGTCTTAACAGAAAAATATAAATTTCACGAAAATGCTTTTCTATCTCCCCCATTGCATTTGTTCTTAAACTGTGGTACTATTCTGGTTTATCTTTGACACCAGTACCAAGATTATAGTCATATGAGTCAGAGTAAAAACTGAATCAGTTACAGATGTAAAGTGATGCATGGCTTTACAAAAAAAAAAAAAAAGAAACTACCTATAAGGTTAGCCTTACTTGTTTTGTGTGGGTTTTCAGAATCTCACCATGAGAATTCTAGGTCTATTTGGGACAAGTGACAGTAAGAAGCAAACAGAATACAGTGAACTAGGGGATGAGGGGGCATTTGTTCTATCTCAGATTCTGTCAGTCTGCACTCCTAAACTTTGTGCAAGTAATCATTTTTTACATGAAACTGCAAACCTGTATATAATAATTATTAGAGTTCTAATAGGCTACATATGCTCTTGCTTGAATCATCTGCTTTAGCAAGTATTTATTACATTCTTTATTGTCTTTGTACTTCTTACAATTTCTTTTTCTTAAGAAAAAAATTCTACAGCTCTACTTCAGAAGCTTTTTCAATACAACATAATCACTTCTGAGATAAACTTCAATGGTTTCTATTTTGCTGCTGCACAAAATTAGCTTTCTCTAAATTAGAAAGACAAACAAATATTTTGGATCATTCTGAACTATTTGTAGAAATATAAACACACTCTCACAAAAATGCAATCTTGGATGTTACTAAGACTTTTGAATCTCTGTGTAGTTGTCAGCTGTGTAATGGAATTATCATTGATTGAGTGCAATTTCAACAGACCACACCATAATCTTCTCTATAGACAAGTTTTCTAGTGAACAAGGCAATACAAAAAGGTTTAAGATGAATTATTCACTGTTTAGTATCTCTTTGTGCTCACTGTGCAGCAAAGTGAATTATACAGTAGGTGGCATTTGTCAATAACATTCTGTCAGAGAGAAGCACTAAGAATATGACAAATAGGTGTATTGAGTAATCATGGTTTAAATGTTGAAATCAGTGCTACTAGTCCCTAAAGCATATGTTGAAATAACAGAGGAACTTTCTGGACACAAGTGGGTATATTTAAGACAATCTAAGAGTTAAGTTGCTATTTTTCAATAAAATGAATAAAAATTGATAATCTGAGAATAACAGGTGGTATTTGACACCACATCTATTCATGTTAGTGGAAAAGTTGCATTGTCTGTCATATTCTCCCTCTTTGATTTCAGTAGTCATGCCAGAAACAGAGAAGTCTATGGCAAAGCAATTAAGTAATACCTAAGATGTACTTCATATTAACACAACTCTTTCCTGTAGACCATGGATAAAAACATATAACATAGAGCCACTGAGAGTGGAATGAGGTGGCCAGATAGGTGGCTTTAAGTGAACATCATTTGATCTCTTTGCAGAGTAAAAGGCTATAATATAGAATATCAGAATCGCTGGATGAAACTGGTAATTTAAATCAATAAAGTTAGAAATAAATGCATTAGAGGGATGAGTGTAAGTCAAATATATTAATAAAGAAAATAAATAGATAACAATACATGTAAAATGGCTGATAACCTTAAATATGTGTTTAACTGGGGTTTTGAAAAATATTTTAAAATATTTTAAATATTTTAAAAATAGTTCTATTCTTTTGCATATCTAAACGTTCGTGATAGCACCCTACACTTTCTGTGTTTAAAATTTCAATTATTGGATAGCCTTTCCTAATGTCAATGGCATTTATTTTATCCTTTTAAAAATTTAATTCAGATGACCTTTCTTTCAATCCTGAAGTGAGTGAAGAGGAAAACAAAACCTAGATGTGTATTTGTAGATGGAATATTTGTGAGAAGCTGCAATATGGTTTTACCATGAAATCTAAATCTCTGTTCTATAATTGACTATTGTTGTGTATGTATCTTCTCCTCAAGTTCCTTGCCCTCAGGGATTGCCCATATTTCTTATAAGCAACTAAAATGCTGAAAAAAATACTATCTCATCTTTTTAGAAAAATATTTATGTTTCATAACTGGTACTTAAATAAAATTGTTTTTTAGAATGTGTGTGATAGGCAAATGATGCTATTCTCCCTCAAAAGAATATTTTACATGTATATTTTATCTACATACACACATATGTACATATGCGTATATATGGATGTATATACACTTTCTTTTGCAAAGATATTATGTTTTTGAGATAATGACATGCCACTAAAAATAGGAAATATAAAAAATTCACAGTGTTTAAAAGTAAGTTGTATGGGTTTAAATGAATAAAAATTTTGTAGTACAAGCATGCATTAAAACATATATTAGGTGCTAACATAGGGTGTTTAAAGTAAAAAAAAGCTCAAATTAGGCTGTGTTTTATAAGACTTGAAAGCAATTGTTTGAAAAGACAATAGTTCAGTCAATTGAAGGTTTGTAGTAGTTGATGAAAAAGTAGCTTGACATTTTTTGTTTATTTGAGTGAATCAACTCATTGTTTACATCATATTGATAAAACAATGAATCATATTGATGTCATTAATCACATTGATGTCAACCATGAAACAACAAATTCTCTATTCACAGTGACGCTTAGTATGGAGTGATCATCAACTTACTGGATCAATTTCATGTCAAATGAACATGACAAGACTCTTGAGCACATTAGATGGCTTATGCCATACTTAATTATTCCAATTACATAGAACATGTTAAAATAAATATACTGATGGGGAAAAGATGATGTAACCAATTATTATGTTAAAACCTAAAAGCAATTATCATATACATTATTTTATTTTCCATATATAATTGGTTATAAAAACTAGAAGTAGTAACAGAAAGTTGTAATGTAGATTTTTTTAATGTACAAAGAAGTAAACAGGATAGGATGGGATTTATCTAAGTAGAAACATTTATATGATGCTGAATTCATTATTTGTGATGGTGACAACTTGTGTGTCTCATTCCAGATTTTTCAGCCTTGTTTTCTTTATCTGGATATAGACAAAATATAATAGAGCAAGCCATTTGCTTGCCAGGACTATTTGGTGATCCTATGAGTTAAAGCACATAAAATGACTTTATTAAATTAAATCAGAGTATAAATATGATAATGATTATTGAGTATGTGTTGTTATGTTGATACGGATATGGCTCCACTGCCTTATTTTTAAAAAATGAATGTTGAATATTCCTAAAGATTTGTTAAAAGTGCACAGTACTGCTGTGATAGAATGAAACAAGCTTGGCAACCTATGCTACAAAATTGTTGTATGTTTGAAGCAATGTTTAAACAACATGTAACAATGGCAGTGGCATAGACTATTAGGTAAATTAGTCTAATAGAGGAATCAGATTACTACATAATAGGATTATGTGAAAATCAAGTGTACAGGAGGCTGAAAAGTTTGAGCATTCATAAACAATGCTTATTTATCTATCATCACTCCATGTTTAGAAATGCAAAAAATGAAAAGTTACATTTGTTTTAAAAAATCTGTCTTTTAGAATGTAGTAGTATATTTACATTTATTATTAGAAATGTGTAGCTATTTTTAGTTTTTCTTGTCTTTTTTTGTAAATTTTATTTTACTTTTTATGGCTTATTTTTTCAGATAACTGCCAGTTTTATTTCATCTTTCACAAATAAAAGGCACATTTAAAAATATCAAAGCATAATGTCTTTTTGCTTTTATTATTTATTAATCATCCTCATTAGAAAATATAACTGAATCCTTAGACATTTTATTTCATGCAGAGTGCATCTATTCATTTGAATCCATGAGTAATGTTCTACCATCCTGACTGTCATTTAAAATCCTATACAAAAGCAAGAGAGGTGGAATAAAAGAAGGGTATTTCAAGAAAACCAGAGGAACCTGGAGAATGGTGTATTTGTCAAGGCTATGTCATTGAAAGCCACAGCCGCTATCCTCATTGAATTTACAAACTATACTTGGAGGTAAACACATAATTCTATTCTTCATTTGAATAAAATATATTGAGATGATGTAAAGCTGGAGGTTTTATCCATATATGTAAGAATAACATGATGATATCCCAGTCAAAACATAAAAAATTATATGTATCTTTGTAATGATGAGGAACAGGAGGTCCTATCATAGAATAGACAATGGGATTTAAATCTCAGAAATAGTAAACATTTCAGGAGGGTTATTTGGCACTGTGTACCAACAGACTTTCAAAACTACCTCTCAGGAATTTATCCTAAAGAAATGATCCGGCAAACATACAAAGATACATGTAGTAGGATGGTCTTTGAAGCTTTATATGTGAGGAAAAATTTTTGAAACAACCAAAATGTCTAACAATACAAGACTAGCTACATAAATTGTTATACGTGGAATGCAGCTGTGCAACACTAAAAACGTGTGTGGGCGGGAGTTGTAGGGCAGTATGGAGTATAGAGGAAGACCGGAATAAATAGTCATTATATTTTTCAAGTAAAATAAGCACATGAAAAGTATATATTCTAATCAACTTTGATTTCATAATTCATCATCTTAATGCTTTGAGTTTACTGGATGCATCATGCTTTTTAAAAGATGGTTCCTAATTATTTTATTAAATTTTATCACACAAATTTATATTACACTAAATCTATTATTTGAAAATGTAATGTTTAAAAAAATCAGCCATAATTCTGTCATTCAGAGAAAACTAGATTTACTATTTTGGTATTTAATCTTGCAGGTATTTACTAGGTGTATGAAAATATAGAGAAAATATCTGATTTCTTTACATTTTGCAGTTGATACACTATATAAAAAGTCACTGTGTTTTCAAATACCAACATAATTCAATGTGAATATCAGACTTTAAATACAAACAGAAGTGCAAATGTCAGGATCCTTGCACTTTAAAAGCAGGTGGTGTTTACCGCCTCATGCTTTTTAAACGTCTTTCTATCTTTACTAACAACAAGGTGGGTGGTACTGCAAGCTGCTATATATTTAACACTACTCTTTAACCTTAGAGAGCTTATAATATGTATTTTTTGATGACTAATTCCTAAGGTGAATCACTCCCAACTGCATAGAAACATTCAGTCTTATTTTGAAGAGAAAAAAAAAACCTGCTGGTTTAATCAAGATTATATTGTTGGCGGGGAACTAAAGCCAAAAACAGATTTTTGTTTTATTTTCAAAAGAAGGCATTGGTAGGATGACAATTTAACAAGTATGCAGCTGTAGGTGTAGTGACACCACCTTTGAAGCGTGTCTTCGTAGTACAGTTGACTTAACTAGTTTGATTCAAACCACTTAGATAAGGTAAGCAGCTACATGCTCTAGGCAGAGGATGAGAAAATATTATTTATATTATCGTTTATAGGTATAGATTAATAATAATAGCTGTTTTATTAATAATACTAAAAACTATATAATTTACATAATTAGCGAATTCTGACATTTACCTTTAAACAAGATTTCTCAACCTTAGCACTATTAGCATTTTGGACCAGATACTTGGTTGTTGAATGTAGGGGATTATTCTATGCATTGTAAAATATTTAATATCAACTTTTTTTGGCAGCTACCTGCATCATCCCAGTTGTGACAATCAAAAATGTCTCCAGGTGTTGCCAAATGTCCTTCCAGGGGGCAAAATTACCCCCAGCTGAAGCCCATTGCCTTAGATTCTACCACATAATTTTCTTTTTATACTGTGATAGGGCTAGGTAATAAGAAGGAATAGGGACTTTTTCTATATTTAAGGAAGAGGTGGCATCTCCATATTCTTTAGAAAAACAATGCCTTAGGTCTGCCTGTCTAGCCAAAAAATATGTTTGCTGGGTCACAGTGAAGAAGTTTCTATGAGGATGGTTGGTCTAAAGCAGCAGTCCCCAACCTCGCACCAGGGACCAGTTTCATGTAAGACAATTTATCCACAGAACCGGGGGCAGTGGGGGATGGTTTCTGGATGATTCAAGCACATTACATTTACTGTGCACTTTATTTCTTTATTATTACATTGTAATATATAATTAAATAATTATAAAACTCACCATAATGTAGTATCAGTGGAAGCCCTGAGCTTGTTTTCCTTCAACCAGATGGTCCCATCTGGGCGTGATGAGAGACAATGACAGATCATCAGGCATTCGAGTCTCATAAGGAGCAGATAACCTAGACTCTTCACACTCGTAGTTCACAATAGGGTTTGTGCTCCTACTGAGAGGTGACAGCGTGCTGGCAGCCTCGTAGCCCTGGCTCGCTCTCGGCGCCTCCTCGGCCTTGGCACCCACTCTGGCCGTGTTTGAGGGGCCCTCCAGCCCCCCGCTGCACTGTGGGAGCCCGTCTCTGGGCTGGCACAGGCCGGAGCCGGCTCCCTCAGTTTGCCGGGAGGTGTGGAGGGAGAGGCACCGGCGGGAACCGGAACTGCGCGCGGCGCTTGCGGGCCGGCGCGAGTTGCCGGTGGGCGTGGGCTCGGCGGGTCCCGCACTGGGAACGGCCGCTGGCACCGCCGGCCCCAGGCAGTGAGGGGCTTAGCACCCAAGCCAGCAGCTGCAGAGGGTGCACCGGGTCCCCCAGCAATGCTGGCCCACTGGCGCTGCACTGGAATTCTCGCCAGGCTTCAGCTGCCTCCCCGCGGGGCAGGGCTCCGGACCTGCAGCCCGCCATGCCTGAGCCGCCCCACCCCTGCCATGGGCTCCTGCGCAGCGGGAGCCTCCATGATGAGCGCTGCCCCCTGCTCCACGGAGCCCGGTCCCATCGACCGCCCAAGGGCTGAGGAGTGCTGGCGCCCAGCAAGGGACTGGCGGGCAGCTCCAGCTGCAGCCCCAGTGGGGGATCCACTAGGTGAAGCCAGCTGGGCTCCTGAGTCTAGTGGGGACTTGGAGAACCTTTATGTCTAGCTAAGGCATTGTAAATACACCAGTCAGCACTGTGTGTCTAGCTCAAGGTTTGTAAACACACCGATCAGAACCCTGTGTCTAGCTCAAGGTTTGTAAATGCACCAATCAGTGCTCCGTGGGGACTTGGAGAACTTTTGTGTCTAGCTAAGGGGTTGTAAACACATCAATCAGCTCCCTGTTAAAACAGACCAATCAGCTCTCTGTAAAATGGACCAATCAGCAGGATGTGGGTGGGGCCAGATAAGAGAATAAAAGCAGGATGCCCCAGCCAGCCATGGCAACCTGCTCGGGTCCCCTTCCACACTGTGGCTGGTTTGTTCTTTTGCTCTTTGCAATAAATCTTGCTGCTGCTCACTCTTTGGGTCCACACTGCCTTTATGAGCTGTAACACTCACCACAAAGGTCTGCAGCTTCACTCCTGAGCCAGTGAGACCACGAACCCACCAGAAGGAAGAAACTCTGAACACATTCAAACATCAGAAGGAGCGAGCATCAGAAGGAACAAACTCCAGACACGCCACCTTAAGAGCTGTTAACACTCACTGTGAGGGTCCGCGGCTTCATTCTTGAAGTCAGTGAGACCAAGAACCCACCAATTCCGGACACACTATGAGAATCTAATGTCACTGCTGATGTGATAGGAAGTGGAGCTCAGGTGATAATGTGAGCAATGGAGAGCAGCTGTAAATACAGATGAAACTTCGCTCACTTGCCTGCCCCTCACCTCTTGCTGTCCAGCTTGGCAGGTCCGTGGACTGGGGGTTGAGGACCTCTGGTCTAAAGCACTCACCCAAATATTTATTTGCCTGACTTTTTGCTCTGTAGATTATCCATGGAGTAGTTTTTTTTTTCAGGACATGATCTGGATATGTAGTATTGAAAGCAACCCAATAGTCCCATTGGTAGAAGTTTTTTTTTTTTTTTTTAAATAAACATAGAAATTGATCCTCCTAGTCTTAAAGCTTGAAACTTGTATTTGTTTTATCTGAGTTTCTACCTCAGGAGATGACCTTCAGACCTCTCAAAGTATCAAATAACTGAAATTCACCAGATCATGGCATGCAGACAAGGAGATGCCAGACCCCTCATTCATCATGATTGTTCCTTGCCCCTCCCTAGTTTCAGTTTTCTTACACACTGTGAAATTTCTTCCCTGCTATATAAACCCCTAGCTTTAGTGCTCAGGGAAATGGATTTGAAACTGAGCTCCCATCTCCTGGGCTGCACTGCAGCACCTGATTAAAGCTTTCTTCCTTGGCAGTATTCATGGTCTCAGTCATTGGGAGCAGCAGGACCTAGACCAAACCCCTGATGTTTTGGTAACAGTATCCTTAGAGTTCATAAATAACATAGTGCCAAAGGAACATGATTACTAATAACAAAATTTTACTAACTGTTCATGTAAAATTTAAGAGATTCATTAGCTTCTTTATGTAATGCTTGTCCTCTGATTTTTCATTTTCATTTAATCTCTTTTGTCTACAAATTCTCAAAATATCAACTTCAGTTTTATCTGCTTGTCACATCTTTTATGCTTTCGACATCTTCATGAAAATCACCTCTAAGCTAGCTGTTGGAAATAAATTGAAAATACATTTATTAAAAATAAAAGATTCAATAATCTACCCCTAGTACACTAAATAAGTAATGTTGATGTATTTGGTTGTTTGTGGTAAAGATGATTCTCATCACTCATTTATTTGATAAATATCTTCTCTTTTTGTTTTTTGTTTGTTTTGTTTTGTGATAGAGCCTCACTCTGTCACTCAGGCTGGAGTGAAGTGGTTCCATCTCGGCTCACTGCAACCTCCGCCTCCTGGGTTCAAATGATTTCTAGGTCTCAGTCTCCTCAGTATCTAGGATTACAGCCACACACCACCATGCCCAGCTAAGTTTTGTATTTTTTTTTTAAGTAGAGACGGAGTTTCACTATGTTGGCCAGGCTGATCTCAAACTCCTGACCAAGAGTGATCCACCCTCCTCAACCTCCCAAAGTGCTGAGATTACAGGTGTGAGCCACCGTGCCCAGCCAACAAATATTTTCAATGATGCCTCTTATTTGTCAAATATGGTCATTAGTACTGGGGATATAGTACTGAACCTTTTCTGCACTCAAGAACCTGCAATGAGAAGAGAGAAAATCATATTATAGTGATAATAGGTGTAAATAATTACAAGATGCTATATGAAACCACTTCAGAGGGACAGTTCATCCAGCACTGGGAGTTTCTTGAAGGAATGTAATAATCCTTTCCTTACAATTCTGTATTCAAATTTGAATTCTTAAATATAAGAAGCACTAAATAAATTTACTTCCCAGATTCTGGACTTCCCGCATACTATTATATAAAAGACAACTCACAGTTTATTTATTCTCAGGAAAATTTTACTGACAGGTTAAACCCCATTCTTCCTGTTGTTTGTGTGTGTGTTTGTTTGTTTTGGAGACTTCTAATGTGAATATAATTCCCAATGGATATTACAAAAAATAAATATTTCTTCCCAGATAATATATGTACACTGGAATTGTCAGTCTTGTGTTATCATTAGCCTCTCTTATGACATCCATTAAGATTCTTTTTATGAAAACTATTTGCTGGGACATTTTAATAAGTAATTGCCTATTCAGCAGGTTTGCTAGCTTGAGTTTTTCCAACAGTGGTGCCTGGTCTAAGAAGAGCAATTCCTCCATTAGAACTTGTTTGAATTACAGACGATCAGTATGAGAAAAATATATTTGGAGCAAACATGAACAGTAAAAAAGGAACTCTTTAGATCAGGAAACAGTGTTTTCAATTTTTGCTACTGGATATTGGCTAACTTCTAATTAAAGGGACTAAAAATTGAGGCACTTAAAATTGATCAAAGAAAATTTAGTATATGCATCAAGTGTCTCAAATTTGCCTCAGCTGTATAATATGAATTCTTTTCTATCTTAGAATATTTTATAGTGTTTTATGGGGAAAGATTGAAGCTAAAAATTAAATTCGTGTCTTTATTGCTGTTTTTTCTCTTATAGATTCATTTGATCGTATTTTATTTGTCTGGTTGGTTTTTCTGTTTTTAATTTTTTTTTTGCACTGATGTTAGATATTGCTGAGGATGACTTAAAGCTGTACTCTAGTACCAGGGTAGCAAGAATACTTTATCATAGAGAGGGATAGCAAATTGTAATTTTCTAGTGCTACATACATTAGTATACCAAGAATCTATAAAAATAAAAATAATATTCTGAGATGAACTGTTGGAGAGAAACATCAAAAGAACCTTCATACCAACATGTGAATGATGTCATCTGTTATACACACACACACACACACACACGCACACACACACACACAATCTCGACAATGAGGAGATATTAATGTAATGCAATATAAACATATTTGGAAAATCATTGAATAAAGTTTTCTCTTGGTATCTGGACCTTATGCTTTACTTTGGGAAATTGGAACCTGACTCTTAAAAGAAGTTGACCATTCTAGGTATTTCAAAATAGAATGGTTTATATATTGACTAGTTACCCTTAGATACCTAGAAAGACTTAACTTCTAAAAGCTAAAAGTCACGCTTTATAATATTTTTCCAGAAAAAAAATTATCCTCATTACCTATCTGATAAGACTTGCTATCTGATTTGGTGATTTGATGATATACAGTTATAGTGGAAAAACATCATTTTTACTTATTTCAAGTCCCTTGCTAGTTTGGCTTTCATGTGATAATTCATCACTTGGTGATAATTAAAAACAAACAAACATCTTATAAAAGGGAGAAGAAAGTTAAGAGAAAACCTGTAGAAACTGCCATTGCACGCAAACACACAATATTTTAAAAAGTGGACTCATTGGCTTTAAATAGACTTATTCTCTGCCAGATATTATGTTTCGTTATACAGAGAATTATCAAGTAATCCACCAAACATCCTGGGGGTGTCTTGAGAAATCATGGAACATGGGAGAGATGCTAGAAAGTTGAAAGTGATCAGGCATGAAGGTGCATTTCTGAATTGATTGCCACAGATGTTTTATAACAAAAAGCAATAATTGGTTTAGTAGAAATGTTTTATGATATCTTTGAGCCAAAGCTAAAAGACAACCCGGTGAACGTATTATTTGTAAATATGAGCAATATTTTAAGTGCCACATGCTGTCTTTTTAAAAATGAAGATGATGGGCCAGGCATGGTGGCTCACACCTGTAATCCCAGCATTTTGGGAGGACGAGGCGTGTGAATCACCTGAGGTCAGGAGTTCGAGACCAGCCTAGCCAACATGGTGAAAGCCTGTGTCTACTAAAAATACAAAAATTATCCTGGCATGGTGGTGTGCACCTGTAATCCCAGCTACTCGGGAGGCCGAGGCAGGAGAATCACTTGAACCCAGGAGGCGGAGGTTGCAGTGAGCCAAGATTGCACTCCATCCTGGGTGACAGAGCAAAACTCTGTCTCAAAAAAAAAAAAAAAATTAAGATAATGAAGTTATGTGGGGTAAGTTTATAAATGATAGTGATAAATGTTGCACCATGCATTATCATCAACTTACAGACCTTGATTAGTACCGTGTCACAGGGTCATGTTTAGGTATATCTCAAGAGTTTTATTTGTAGCTTGGATAATAATATACAAAGTATAATTATAAAATGTGCAAGTAATGTGTTATGAAGGAAATAAAATAGGTTAAGGATATGAATCAAATAAACGTCTCAATAGCCTTGTAAAAATACTTGCAAAGGAAAAATAGAGTGTTTTAGTTGTGTACATAAAAATAAGTTGTACCAATTCAACATCATTGTGGTAATAGTTTTAAAATTATAAGCACAAATTCTTTGATACTCACCTATTTAAGTAGTAAAGCTTAATTCCCCTCCTCGTGAGTGTCTTAGTCTTAATGACTTTCCTCTAATCACTATAAGATGACAGCAGTGATGGTAAGCCACTTCTGTTATTAAGCTTTTTAAAAATAGGAAGTCCAGTTTTGGGTGCTGGTTTTTTCTTGCATCACTTACTCTGGAGGAAGCCAGCTGCCATGTCATGAGGCAGCCCTGTAGGAAGGCCCACATGACAAAAACTGAAGTCACTTGGAGGATCCTGATCTTCAGAAATTGTGAGATATAGTCAATATTTTTGTCATTACATAAAAATGTTTTTAAAACAAATGTTTCTAGCTGCTTAGTTTTAGGAGTAATTTGGCACGCAGCAATCCCTAACTAATATAGTCAACATTTTATTTAGTAGCAGGATGTATGTAAAAATTATAAAATGGGGTTATGAGTACCTTAAAATTAATATACCTTTCCACTGCTTTAGTAGACAGATAATACATACAATGAGAATCACACCTTACTCCGTGCTGAGTTTTGAGTGACACACTGATAAAGGAAAAGGGTGATGTGGACTAAGTGCAACTAAGTGTTACTAGGAAGAGTTTGGGAAGTTTAGCCTTGTGAGGAAAATGTGGTTAGGCACAGTGGAACAATGAACATTGTTCATTGTTTTATATACATGAAATATCAACATATGAAAAAGCAAAAATATTTTTATTGGTCAACATGGAATATATGCCTTAATTTTTGCTCAAAATAAGGATTTTTTATTCCAGCTTACAGAGAATGGGCTGCTTGAGCAGTAATTTTTCTATCGTTAGAGATATTCAAATATATGCTGAGTCTGTGTTATTGAGAAATTTAGAGGATACAATTTTTAAAGACACTTTCAGGGCTGAAATTCTATGAAATAATTATATGCTTGTGGATTATTTTACCTTGGCTATATGGTGGTAATATTTAAGGAGGGTAAAAAAATACATATGCCAAATTTGTCCTCAGACCAACTGAATCAGACTATATGGTGACAGGGCCTGGTCATCAGTCCTTTTTTAAGCTCTCCTTTTGACTCTGAAGTGCAGTCAGTGTAAAATGATATTGATATATTCATTTTTTGGATTTTAACTTATAAAAGTAATATTTTATACAAGTCATCTTGTATATGATAGACTTTCACTATGAAATGTTATTACATATTTAGAAAACAAAAGCTTATCAAAAGTAACTAATTTGACTATTTAAATGCCTAGTATATTTTTGTAGTCATCAAATTCATTAAAAATGGCATTAAAAATGGCATTCATTAAAAAATGTGAAACAATAATTTTCAATAGTTTGTTTGTTAGCTAGTCCGAAAATAAATTTAGGAATTAAGCCAGGATAGCAACAGTAATTAAAAATTACAGCAAATATTTACTGAACAGTTACTGTGTGATCAACACTATACTGAGGATTAACAAACAATTACTTATCTAAGTTGTATAATAGTCATGAATTAGATACTGTTATTATATTCATCATTGTTATATTTAATTCATATCAACTAATGACTAATGACATATATTAATATATCATTAAATTAATTACATTTGTTTTGCCCATATTCATTATATTATATTCATTCATTCAATTACTAAATTAAATTTATATATGCACACATATACACAAAAAACTGTACAGTATTAAAAATGTGTTCAAGGTTGTTCAAAGTGTAATTTTTGGAGCAACTACTTGGACCTAGGCATTCCAGGCCCCAGAATGCTCACTCTTGACCATTATATTAAAGTTATTCATGCGGAACATAGCAATATCATTTAGCATAAAGGTTTCCTGTCTTTTTTTTTTATCCCATCTGCCAAAGACAAATCTGCATTTGTCCGATAACTTCCTCTGAATTTTTACTTTTTGAAAAAGAAGGAGTATTGCTTCCTAAGAGAGCAGCTGCTGTCAATTTGAGGAATAAAAAAGATGTAAGTAAGATAAGAGAGAAAACAAAAGAGGACAGGAGTCCATGTCTGGACAGTGATGACTCCAGGGTAGCCTTGAGGTGTAAACAAATTTTAGGAGAAAGGGAAGAGGTGTTACAAAATGTTTCAGGTTATAAATGGGGCCTCTATGATGGAAAGGGTTCAAATATGCTGTGCATCTGAATGATTTTATACTCCTCTCTCTTTCTCTTGACTATAAGCTTCTTGGCAATGTCTTTTTCATCTTTGCTTCTGCCAAAGACTCAGAGAATGCATATAACTTTCGTGACAGCTCAGGTTGTCAATATATTTAGAACAATATAGTGACCACTGTATCACTGATTCATTAAAAGGATTTGAGGCTATCACCTATGCATAATGGGCAGTAAAAGTAAAGAAAATCATATGCAGTTAAGCTAGAAGAAATACAGAATGAAATATTTTCTTTTAGCATATCATTATCATATTAATGCTATTTTCAATAGCAGTTAAGTCCCCAATTCCAAAGTGTGAAAATTCAATTTTTAATGCATTGCACTTGAGTATAAAACTAATTTTTAGTTTTGGCCTTTTCTTATATGAATTAAAAGAAGTAAAAAAACCTCTAAACCCAATTTTAAAAATTAAGATTGAGGTCATTTTAAAAAGTAGTTCATTATTCATTAACTTGTGAACACAGCACTGGTATTGTTATATGATTACGGTACACTTATATAGCATTTTTTATTAGCAGACTAAATTAACATGTATTTTACAAGTATTTATTAGCTATTCTGATAATTGGATGAGTCATTTTAAGTTGCAAAGAATAAACCAAAGCCATTATTGCTATTGTTTCATTGGATGGTAGTGCTATTATTACTATCATGAATAATAATGATTCATAGAGCATTGCACATGTTTCCATCTCAAAATGAGAGCTTTTAACCGTGTGTGATCATCAAGATATAGTCTATGCCTCTTTGTAAACAGCTTTAGAAATAGCTGTGTCTGAAAGATTCATTTGTGGTTTATGTGATTGGCAGAACTCTTGAAATACAAGCCGTATTACTTGTAGGGCATTTTTGACAGGCTGCCACGACCTGAATACACTGAATCTGATGGTCAATTCCAATTCTACTTAGGTTGTATAGATATGGATGTAAAGGGATGTTAGGTCACTGTGGCTGGCATGAAGCATAAAAAAGCAGAGTCCTCAAGGAGTTATTCTCAATTGAAAGTGGGATACAATAATAAGAAAACAATTCTAGACAAAATGAATAGAAACAGCAAGAGAAACAGAAAAAAGGAGGAAAAGAAAGAAAAAATAATATTTAATAGTAATTTTTTGGGGAGTGGAGAGGCTTATTCTTGTACGTGTGTGGAGGAGGGAGGACTAGAAAAGAGTTTCCTAGAATTACTGAGAAGTTAAGATATGAATCTATCAATTTCTGATAGATATTTCAGCAATCACAACACAAATGCATAATGGATATCATCAATATTTTTGTTAATTCATTGTAGTCATTAAGACTATAAATTAAAAAAGAAAAGCAATTAAGGCCTTTGCTGTACAATTTGCAAGATATTCAGAATTAGATCAGATTAGATTAGATAGAATGAGACAAGTTCTATAGAACTTGTGCAAGCATACACATGGATATAAATTTTCTTTATAAAGGCTTAGGTTGATGTAAGCATGTCCATAAGTTCAGCTTTAAAATGTAAATTTCCTTGGTCTGATAAATAATGTCTATGTTCCGTGTGGATTTGAGAAGCATTGTCTAGAAAATATTATTTACAAGACTAGAGTGATGGGATTTCTGGGACATATTATGGTTTTTCAGATTAGACACAGTTAGTCAGAAACCATAGTTTTTTTAATCGAAATCTAAGATTTGGGGGCCCTCTAGCCAACAGGTACAGTGTTTCTACAGGATTAGACTCTTAATTAAGTTGATGCCACGTTGTTAGCACTCTATTCCTTCTAAAGTATGTCAATATAAACTTCTAGACCAGAAACATATGCCTAGACCTAACAAATTTTGTCCTGAGAAACTGTCAGTCTTAGTCTCATTGCTCAGCTTCCTTCAGCAATTGTGAGGTTCCAACTTGCATGTCAATTGTGTTTTTCGGATGACTCCTTGGGATTACTAACAAGGGTTGTTTAAGGATGAGTCTTGATGACAGGCCTAACAAGTTTCTTAGTTTTGAAGACTAAACCATAAGCTTAATTATAACTCAGTCCTTGTAAGATAATAACAAAATTTCAGCAGCCCTGTTACTTCTAAATACTGATTGATTATAAACCAGTGATCACAGCTTAAATTGTACACATCAATATAACAGGTAAAAAAAAATCATGTCATTATAATAACCTCATTCACTTTTTCTAACATGCCAGGAAGGCACATTTATTTGGCTATTTATTATTTGTTTTTATTTTTTCTGGTCCTTTTTCTGTATGCATGTTACCTCATCTTTCATCTGAACACAACTCCTTTCCATCATATGGTTCTCTTCAGCCTGTTTTAGCAAGCATCTTTTAGTCTAAAGAAGTGGAAGCACACTTCAATCTAGATTAAGATATGCCACTATTCACAGGTTTCAAAAAGAGCCAGTCTCCCAAGGGTTTGGTACCAGAAATTATAGATTCCTTAGGACCCAGGCAGGGATTTCTTTCCTTTGCTCAGCTCTGCTCATATCTATAGACTCAATTCAATTCTTTCTTTTCCTCTCCTACTCTTCTCTCCTATCTCTCCTCCCTCTCTCAACTTTCAACCACCTAAACTGTTTTTAGTAGTCTACTATGCACATGATCAAGATGGGCCAGATTTAAATTTTCTAAGTTTTAAAAACTCTATTCCAGCCTCTGATAAATTAACTAGCTGCCTCTTATTCCTACTTCAAATTTCTCCAGGGAGATCATCTGTCTCAGCTTGGATCAAGTATGTCCCTTGGCCAAATCAACAGCAATTAGGAGACAATGCCATGGAATAAAATCACATCTGCAAAGGTAACACACAAGTTAATGGGAGATCAATTCTTGGCAGAAACCCTAACACCTTTGTGTCTGTAACTGTCTCTTCTTTTTCTATTGCCATTGAGTCCATTTCTTGGTCTAAAAACTAGTTTAGTTAATTTTTCTACGATATCATAATGCTAGTATTATATTTTGAAATATATATAATTTATAATTTATTTTACATTTAAAAAGTAATTTTTTATAATCTCTTAGTGCAGCATATGCATTTCCAACAGAGTTCCTTGTCTGCTTCTGTCAATTTTTATATTAGTTTATTCTGGTGTTACAACTTCCATTATTGGCATTTTACAGGACTATTTTATCTTCTGAGATTTTATTAGGAGAAATTCTTACAGAATATATCTTTTATGTTAGTCAGTGCTATCTAGAGAAACAGAACCAATAGAAGAAAGAAGGAGAGGCTCTTTTAAGGATTTCACTCACATGATTGCGAAGCCTGGCAAGTCCAAATCTGTAGAGTGGGCTGGTAGGCTGGAGACCAGGGTGGAGTTGACGCTGCAGCTTCAATGCAAAGGCAGTGTGCTGATGGAATTCCTTCTTGCTCTGGGGAATCAGTCTTCTTTTGCTTAAGGCTTTCAACTGATTTAATGAGGTGCACACATTTTATGGAGGAAAATCTGCTTTCCTTAAAGTCTACTGATTTAAATATTGATCTCATTTAAAAATACTTTCACAGAAATATCCAGAATACTGTCTAACTGAATATCTGCTTTGTTCTAATTAAGCTGACACAAGAAATAAACCATCACACTTCTGTTACAGATATTTTGATAATTACATTTATTATAATTACTGAAAGTTGAAGAATAATATTGAGATGATGGGAGAAACAAAAAAATGTAAAAATATATTTGCTTAGAATGTTACCTAAAATTAATTTCGATCAGAATTTTTTTTATCAACAAAATAAAGTCTAAATATTGTCTTGAAATAATAATTACAGAGGTTAAAGATCAAGTTTCAAGCCACAAGCATGAGATAAACATGGTAAAAGGAGGAGAAAATAGGAAAAATACTAATTCTTTGGTTGATATTTTTCTCAATTATAATAGTAATGAAGTTAGATTACATGGGCTCAAATTCTTTCCTTTCTTCTCAAGCCTTTATTTAAATCTATTTTCAATCTTGCCTGGTCTGACTAACCTATTTAAAATTTAACTCATCCTTACTATTCTCTGGCATTCTTCATCCCTCCTCCATCCTCTGCTTTTTCTTTTCTCCCTAGTACTTCCAATCTCTTTACATATCCTGTAATTTACTTATCTTTAGCTTATTGTTTATTGTGCATATTCCCACCACTATAATGCAAATGCAGACAGGGCAGATATATTTACACATTTTTTTTGCTGATGTATCCTCAGTATCTAAAACAGTGTCTGGTGCATAGAAGATGCTCAATACAAATTTGTTGAATAAATGAATGCACACATTCTCCGAACAACAACGAGTCAATCAGAACATGTCACTTTCCAGTTTTCTAATTGCAAAATAAAATAACTTTTTTTCTTAGACTTACAAAGCCATGCATGAATTGCTTCCACTTTCTTCAGGCATTTCATCTCCTTGACGTAAACGGACTTTCCTGTTGCTTCTTAAATATGCCAAAATTTGTTGTTACCTTGGGGCCTTTGTACCATTCCTTGAAATATTCTCCAATTGATTTTTATCAATGCGATTTTATTATTCAGATCTAGCCAGAAATATTACCCTTTTAATGAAATCTTTAAATTGGCTCACCAATCTGAAAGAGCTATGAGTTACTTGATACAACATCACCCTATTTTACTTATTTACATAGAGCTTAACTGACTTTCTTTTTAGTTTGTCTTTGTTTTATTTTCTGTTCTTGCTATATGCAATAAATCACAATGAAATATTGCTAAATAAGAAAGCTACACAAAATTAAATCAAAAATTATGGAAGTCATCTGAATGTTGAATAATAGGTGAAATTTGAAAAGTACATTGAATAATGAAAATAAATTGAATGTGTTTATTTGGAGAAACTATGTCCCTAAAGGGTCATATTGTTGAGTTTATTAAGAAAATTAAAAGAAAATAGAAAAAAGATATTGTGGAAAACGAAAGATTTAAAAAAAACTGTATACAATTCTAATTAACAGTAGACAAATCTGACAGGTAGCCATTTAGGCAAATAACTAAGATGACAAAAAAAAAAAAAAGAAAAGAAAAAAAAAAGAAGATGACCTTATAACAGTAAATAAATTTAATGATCTGTGATAAATATATTTTTAGTGAAACAGTCATGCACTGGATAACAACATTTCAGTGATTGATGGGCTGTGTATATGACAGTGGTCCCATAAGATTGTAACAGAGCTGAAAAATTCCCATCGCCTGGTTATGTCATAGCCACCATAATGTCATGTCATAGCACAAGGCATCACTCACATGTTTGTGGTAACACTGGTGTAAACAAACCTACTATGCTGCTAGTCATATAAAAGTATAGCACATACAATTATGTATAGGGCATAATACTTGATAATGATAATAAACTACTATGTTACTGGTTTATGTATTTATTGCACTACACTTTTAAACATTATTTCAGAGTGCACTCCTTCTGCTTATTAAACATAAAAATTGACTGTAAAATAGCCTCAAACAGGTTCTGCAGGAGGTATTCCAGAAGCAGGCATTGTATCATAGGAGACAGTGCCATCCCTGTTATTGCCCCTCAAGACCTTCCAGTGGGATAAGATGTGGAGGTGGAAGACAGGGATAGTGATGATCCTGACCCTATGTAGGCCTAGACTAAGGTGTGTGTTTGTGTTTTAATTTTTAACAATGAACAGGTTTTAAAAATTAAAAAAATATATTTATAAATAATAACATAATAATGGGTTCATGTTTTAAGCTAAACGTTATTACACAAAAGTCAAAAAGTTAAAAAAATAGCAAGTTTATAAAGTAACAAAGTTACAGTAAACTAAGGCTAACTTCTTATTAAAGAAAGAAAATTTTAAAAATAAATTTAATGTAGGCTAAGTGTATAATATTTATGAAGTCTACAGTAGTGTACAGGAACGTCTGAGGCCTTCACATTCACTTACAGCTCACTCACTGACTCACCCAGAGAAACTCTACTAGTGAAAGCTCCATTCATGGTAAGTGTCTTATAGAGGTGTCTCCTTTTATTTTTATACTGCACTTTTAGTGTACCTTTTCTTTCTTTTTTTTTTTTTTTTTTTTTTTTGAGACTGAGTCTTGCTCTGTTGCCGGACTGGAGTGCAGTGGCGTGATCTCAGCTCACTGCAACCTCTGCCCCCTGGATTCAAGCGATTCTCCTGCCTCAGCCTCCTGAGTAGCTGGGACTACAGTCACACACCACCACGCCCAGCTAATTTTTTGTATTCTTAGTAGAGACAGGGTTTCACCATGTTGGCCGGGATGGTCTCGATCTCCTGACCTCATGATCCACCCGCCTTGGCCTCCCAAAGTGCTGGGATTACAGGCATAAGCCACCATGCTCTGCCTAGTGTACCTTTTCTATGTTTAGATATGTTTAGATATACAAATACTGTTGTGTTAGTTACCTACAGTGCTCAGTACTGTACTTGCTGTACAGGTTTGTAACCTAGAAGTAATGGCCTAGACCATATAACCTAGATGCGTGGTAGGTTATTCCATCTAGTTGTGTGTAAGTCCACTCTTTGATGTTTGCACAAGGATAAAATTGCCTAATAATGCATTTCTCAGAACATACCATTGCCATTAAGCAAAAACATGATTAGATTTTCTTTTCAAAACACATTTAAATGATAAAAACTGAGCCTCATTTTTTCTTAAACTTGATTGTACTTCCCATCTCTAATAATAGATTGTAATTCTCATCTCTTATAATAGAAAACAAAGTAACTTCTAATACGGAGTATGAGTTATTTACCTCTCCTAACTCTTATGAAAGCAAACAAACACACACTACACTTACTTTAGTGTCACCATTAAGATTTTAACTTTCCCTCTTAAAGAACTTTAAAATAAGACTTTGAGTGTATTTCAATAAAGAATGGTTATTGATCTACCAAAGTTTACGCCAAAATTAGAAATCACAATTATTATTCCCTGATACTATGAGCATAGCTCATTTTCTCTTTTTCCTCCACAAATGTTTCTTTGCTTGATCTTCTAAAGAAAAAGTCCATTTGAATGTTAATTCTGCTAATATGACATGTGAATTTCTTAAATAATAGATGATATAAATGGGTGTAGAAATATAGCATAACCACAGCAATATGAAAAAAATGCATAAATGTGCACAGTGCTCATGAAAAATAACAAATAACATGTTTAAAATGTTATCTAAAACAATTAATAGCCTAACTCTGCTTCTTTTTTTTTGAGATGGATTCTTGCTCTGTTACCCAAGCTGGAGTCCAGTGGCGCAATCTTGGCTCACTGCAACCTTCTGCCTTCTGGGTTCAAGCAATTCTCCTGCCTCAGCCTCCTGAGTAGCTGGGGTTATAGGCATGCACCACCACGCCCGGCTAATTTTTGTGTATATATATATATATACAACACATGTTGATCAGGCTGGGTCTCGAACTCCTGACCTCATGATTCACCCACCTCAGCCTCCCAAAGTGCTGGGATTACAGGCGCGAGCCACCGCACCCGGCCAACTCTGCTTCTTGACTAAGAGAATACCCAGATATAATCCCACAAAGAGATTTCATGATTTTACTTAACTGGAGTTCTAAGAAATAAATATGAGAATCAGGTTGAATGTGGCAAAGCTATAGATTGTGAGAAAGGAGTACTTGGATCAAGGATGTTTGAAGTATTTGCTTTATAAGAACACAATGATGCCTAACTAACTAGATTGAAACATCTACAATGGAACCATCTACAAATGAGCTGGCTGACAGCAAAAACCGAGTGTCAAGTTTCTTTTTGTTGTAGTTTTGTTTTGTTTTCTTTGAGACAGAGTCTGACTCTGTCACCCCGGCTGGAGTGCAGTGGTGCCATCTCAGCTCACTACAACCTCCACCTCCCGGGTTCAAGGGATTCTCCTGCCTCAGCCTCTTGAGTGGCTGGGATTACAGGTGCCTGCCACTACACCCAGCTAGCATCAAATTTAAGAGAGGTCCCTGATATGATTTGGGAAGTACAATGTCTTGTTTAGATTGCCTATCAATTCATGTGTAGGAGGAAAGGGCCAGCTAGGGGACTCAACGTTGACTTTGATATCCATCTTCATTCATTCATTCATAAATATTTATTCCAAGGCTTTGGCATATGCTGAACAAAGCATAAAGAAATTAGCACTCTTATGAAACACATATCTTAACGGGGTAGAAAGACAATGAACATGGTAAGTAAAAAAATGGTAGATTACTTAATAATGGGTATTAAAGGAAAAAGAATACAAAAAAAGGGAAAACAATACAAAAGAATACAAAATGCAAATAATACAAAATGCAGGTATAAAAGAATACAAAATGCAGAGTAAATATGAAAAGTTTGAGTAGGTGGTCAGGGAAAGCCTCACTTGAAAGGGAGACTTTTGGGTAAAGACATGAAGGAAATGAACAAACTAGCTATGTAGATATGTGCAGGAAGAGCATCATAGGCAGAGAAAAAAGCAATTACATATTTTTTTGTTGGCTGATCTTGCCTGGCACATATAAGGAACGGAAAGGAGACAAATGTGACTGAAGTACATTGAATGAGGAGAAATGTAAAAGATGGGGTCATGGAGGAAATGAGTAGCCAGATCAAGTATGTCTTTATAGGTTGTGATAGTTTGAACGATTATTTCTAATTCCTTATTACTTCTTCTTTCCACATCCTTTGCCAGTACAGTCATATGAGCTGGTCAATACAATGTGAGCAGAAATGACATTATATATCTTCAAGTTTAAGCTTTAATATGCATTACATGATTTTGTTCTCATTCTCGTGCTTCTGCCATCATCATAAAAAGAACATGGTTTATGTAGAACGCTTGTCACAGAAAGAGGAGAGATATGTCAAGTAGATGTGAACAAATCTGGGGCCTGGAGCCAAGTCTGATGAAGTCCAGCCAAGATCAATAGAGAAATTTGACTCCCAATCACCTGCCCCCTCCACCACCACACACAGTCAAAGCACAGATAAGCAAGTAAAAACAAGAAATAAATACTTATTTTAATCCACCAAGGTCATTGTAAGGATAGTGGCTTTTTCTCTGGATGATATTAAAAGCCCCTGCAAGGTTTTGAGTAAAGAAGTGAAAAGATAAACTTATATTTAAAAATATCTCTTCATCCTGTTGTATTGAAAATAGTGTCCAGGTAAAGAAGCCAGGAGTCTGGTTGGAAGCTATTTTGCTAATCCATGTGAAAAATAATGATGGCCTAGAAAAGTAGGGGAATGAGGGGTGCAAAGTATAAAAATTGGGTGTATAGTGTACAATAGGATGTGTTGATAAATGTATTGAAGAAAGCAATAGAGAAGACATCGATAGAAATAAAGAATACAGAGAGACAGAGATATAGAGACAAAGACAGGGATGAGAAAGAGTCGGGGAGGGAGGGAGAGGTTATGGACAGAACAAAGGGTTTGGACTTGAAAAACTAGAAATGTTCAGCTACCTTCTAGAGAAGTGGAGAAAGCTGCAAGAAACCACTGATTTGAAGAAATGGGGACAGTATCTGTAGTATTCTGTTAGTTGTGGTGAATTAGAGATGTTTTAGAAATCCAAATAGTTATGTCTAGTACATAGACATTTGTGTCTGGAGGAGAAAGAAGAGTTCCAAGCTGGAGATGTGAGTCATGGGCTTTCTCTTCGAGGATTTTGCATGGGGCCAGGAAAGAAGACATATCAATAGTGAAAGAAATTTATTTGTTTGACAGCTTCAGTTTCTATTGCACTTTCTATCTGGCATAACCTAACATTGTTTGATAAAGCTATAAAATCATGCTTTACTATACTTTCATCCAAGAAAAGCTCAGTTGGTTTCTCATAGTTAGTTGCTCAAACCTCCTTTAACACATCTCTTTGTATTATTATTGTTGGTTCTCTGTAATATATTTCTCACACTTTCTTTTCTCTCCTGAAGCAGCCATTCATATCTCCACTTCTGTTTCTCTCAATCTATGATCTCATTTCAAATAGAAAAGATGAGTTTGAGCAAGGAAGAAACTAGTAAGTGGTTAGAGTATTGATGGCTTCATGTGGTATTAGGGGAAAGGACATAAAAATTCCCTAATTATTGCTATTGTGTATATAACACACAAAGAATGACAAATGAATACCAATATATTAACAGTTAGACTTGTGTCTAATTTTCAATTCCATAGAATATTGGTAAAGTTACTTTGAAGTACTTAGCTAAGGGCAGGAGTCTAAGACAGGCCATCCCTTCCCCATAAAGGCCCTAACCAAACTTTCTGACATTTCTGTCTTCTTGCCCTACACTGCCTCAGCTGGTAGAAAGGAAACAGAAAAGAAAAAGCTAAAAGAGCCTGTATGTGACAGGCTGAGAGGCTATGTACCACTTGCTTCATGCGGGGCAACAAATACAAGAAATTGCATATGGAAATTAATTTATTTTTAATGCCCCATAATACTGCCTGTTAGTAAATGTGACTGAATCAATAACTCAGGCCCTGATCAGGGAAATGGATAATCTTTCTTTGGGGAGATGAATAAATCAGAGGTTTCAGCAGAGTCTTTAGTAGATGGATGGCCATTATCCCTCTCTTACAGTTTGTTCTTTCCTTAAACTGTTTCTATATCTTTATCCTTTTAACTAAATCCAGTGTCATTATTTGTGTTTCAAATGTCAAGCTCTATGTGTCCTTGAATTACCTCTAGTGGTATGTACTATTTTCTTTGTGCTTACATCTATCTGGCATGCACCATTCATGTAATCATTACAACAAACCTGTGTTTTAGATATTGCTCTTTTATACATTTTACAGATGAGGAAATTTAGGCATAGAGAAATAAGTAAGCTTCCTAAAGCCAAACAGCTAGTGAATGACATAACTAGGGTCTGAACCCAGGCAAATTGTGACTTTATAGTTTTGAACAATGTGTAAACAGCCTTATTTCTAGTTTCTTTAATTGTATGCTCTTTTTTCTTTTTTCTTCCTAAACTTTAGCTGAGATCACATTATTACATGACATGTTTCCCTTTGATTTTCCTACACTCTCAAGTTTCCACCCTTTAAGTGTGTTTTCTTTATTACTCATAAAGTATTATGACCTTATTCCTGTTTTGGGGATGTAGGCTTTCTGTTTTGTGTGTAGCTTGCCACCACACCTTCTAAATTTAGCACTTCTTTGAAATTTGATTTGTGTTCTCTGAAAGATACACAACACTTTCCCAAACATCAAATTCAGTGGGATTTTTTGATTCTTCATCTTTCTTGATCTTATTAAAGTAATAACTAAGAGAACATGGCTCCTGGCATTAAAAATGTCTAACTCTGAAACATGAATCCATCATTTTCAAGCTAGGAGAAAAAATGGCAATGTCTAATACTCCACTATATCTCTACCACTGACATTCCTCATAGTAATTGGTTTAGTAATATTACCCTTGCATGGTTCTTACGATCATTTAATAAAGGCTAGCAAATATGCATATGAAGAATTACCATTTTTTCTTAACATTAAAAAAAATTCTGACATACGCTTATAAAGTTCTTCACTGAAATAGCTGTCACCTTTTCTGCTTCTTCTTTTGACACTGCCTACACATGAATCTTGGCAAAAGCTTTGTCATTGGACTGCTTTTTTTCTTTCTGTAAAAATTTTACTCTCTGTGATATCATTCACTTTCAAAGCACCGTCACCTTTATGCAGAAGACTTCCAAATCCACTCTTGTCGCAAGTGTTCTCTCTGAAGTGTCAAGTCCATATTCTCCATTGTCCCCTAAAATTTTTCACTTGAGTTTTCTGTCAGAACATAAAAATCACAGTATACACATAAAGAGGGAAAAAATCAAGAGATTTCCTTCTAAATCAATTCTTGCACTTCAGATTTTATTTTAATTTTATTTTTATTTAGATGGAGCTTTGCTCTGTCACCGAGGCTGGAGTGCAGTGGAGCGATCTCGGCTCACAGCAACCTCTGCCACCTGGATTCAAGTGATTCTCCTGCCTCAGCCTTCTGATTAGCTGGGATTACAGGTGGATGCCAACACATCCGACTAATTTTTTTTTTTTTTTTTTTTTTTTTTTTTTTTAGTAGAGACGGGGTTTTGTTATTTTGGACAGGTTGGTCTCAAACTCCTGACCTCAAGTGACCCACCCACCTCGACCTCCCAAAGTGCTGGGATTACAGGCATGAGGCACCATGCTGGTCAGATTTTATATTTTTAATGTTACTTTTCTCTCTGCCACTGAAGATTGATGCCATCATTCACCTGCCACCCCCCATCAGCCACCTAATCTAATCATAAACATATAATATTAAAACTGAAAAGAACTGAGAGTTTGTTAGCCCACTGCTTATCACAGATGAGTAAACATAGAACTAGATATGCAGCTACATGTGGGGAGTCAGAACGAGAACCAAGTTTCCCAAACGCCAAGGCTGTAGTTATTTCCTGTATAAAAACCTGAATCTGTTACTATTCTAAATAAAGTTACTTAGAATAGTTAGAATACATGTGTACTGTAGTGTATATTTATGCTGAGTCCACTGTTTGTAAGACAGACTCACTTCTTTCATTTGTGTGTTGTGACACTATTACCTGGAATACCTTCCTTGTCATTCACATACATTGCCCTTCAAAATTTACTGGATTTTGAGTGTCATCGAGATTAATAGACAACTAACCCTTTTGGACTTTAAGCTCTTTGTGGTCATAGCCTATTCATCTTTCACCCACCAAAACATGGGAGGCTAGTGCTTGACCCACAAGTATTTGCAAACAAACTATTAAATATGCAGTGTCAACTTTAGGCATAGGTCGATGTGGAAACCCAACTGATAATCCTGACTTTCTCTGGGAGAAACTCTTTGAAGAAAAGAAGAAAACATAAACAAAAAGCAGAATATTGTGATTTACCTGAGGCATGCAAGGTCAAATACACATCAGTATGGCATAACTATCAATAATATTACTTGAGCACCTGCTGGATACTAAGTGCTGTGAGCTATAGATGGCAACAGAGAGAAGCTATAGTTCTTACTCTTGCTAAGCTCCATAGTATGATATAAATAAAAGACACACACAACCAGATAGATCAACCAATACAAGGTTAAATGCTGAAATTATGTATAGAGTAAGAAAAGTTGTGGCTTCCTTTGGCCGCATATGGCTCCCCAGAGCTATTTACTTTCCAAGGCAGGTGAGAGTTCTTATGGCTATAGAATTTCTTAGCCTAGATATTACATTATGTCCCTCTCATATGTTATGATTTATTAATAACTAAAACCTATCCTTCAAGAAACTCTGACACTTGCATAAACAACTACACTCTGCTTCATATTTATAGATGCAAGCTTGAAAGTTTAGGTGTAGCAGTATGAGAATTGGTTATTTTATCTTTTCAGTTACGTTTAATTATATGTGCCCTTACCTTTCAAAATATTATTTATTGGCTTCCTCAAGTACAATGGTCTTCTAGAAGTTAATACATCAAATTGTTATATATCCTCTTAATTATTCCTCTCTGATTTAGTTAGAGGCTGCCACATATTGTAATGCTACTTCAGGATAAGAGAATGTGTTCTTTTCTATTAGTAACAAAAGCAATTACTCAAAGGGAAACACAGTGTCTTCATTCTGCCTATGTTCTGTTATCCAAATTACAGTTCCACTTTTATGAGAAACAGCTGGTCTCAAAATTGCTAGCTTGTTGTAGTTGCCCAGTGATTCACTTCATTTCTGAAGTTAAACCTGTTTGATTATGCATAATTGTTATTTATGTAGGTTTATGAATTTCAGTTATTTCAAGACTGTAAGAACTTGGTTCATATGTTTTGAAGGAGGAGCCAAGCTGTTTATATTCTCTGAACTCTATGAGTTTAAGAAAATCCTCACTCTGCCTCCAGCACTGGTTGTCAGATATTGTATTTTTAGACTTTTATTTTCACCATGTATCCCTGTTCTTAGAACACAACCGTGGTGGAGATATTCAGCCTTTCATCGAGAACCTGAGGAAACATGTATTTTCCTGATCCCGAGTCATTTTGTCTCTTTTGTATATGTACTTTACCATTGTAGATTCACAAAATGAAACTGGTTACTTTAGGGATGATTTCTTTTATGTCTCCTTCTGACACTGACTCCTTGAGGAAAGTGACCATGCCTGCCTTATTACTTTGTACAATTGGATGAATGAATGAATAGATTAATAAATGAATGAAGCTTTTGGTAGTTTTTCAGCACTGCCTTATTGCTTTTCACTGCCGTTGTCCAGCCAATTCCTTCTGCTTCTTTTAATCAATGTCGTAACTCTCATTACCCCATGCCTTTTCCAAGGCATCAGTCACACTCAAGTATATACGCTGTCATGGTCAGAACAGGAGTTAGCTTTTTCCATTCTTTTTTTTTTCCCTTTGCACAAATGAGGAAGAGTATTGTCACTCTTTAATAAAAAAAATTACAGACAGCAAAGTTTTTCATTGAAATGTCATATATCACCATTATCCACTCTCTTCACCCTTTTTGCAAGTCAGAAGTCTTTTAACAAAGCTTCCTTTCTACCTTTTTTCTCCCTCCATTCCTGCCTTCTTTCTTATCTACTTCCACTTTCTTTTTATTTTCATCTTTCTTTTTCTCTTCGTTTATTATACCATTATGTAAAACTGTTCATTTACAGAAGGTAAGACCCTTTATGACATATATAGATAAGCACAACTATGTGTATATAGCCCAGCTCTCTGATGTTTATGTGCCTGCTAAAGTATAGTCTTCTCCATAATCCTTTTTCTTGGCTCAATTTATGCACTTGGGATGCTGTTTGCTTTCAGAATAGGTTTTAGGCTCTTTGTTAAGAGTTTTGCCTAGGAAGTAGGACTTCCTGCTTGTTTTCTAGTCATTTGTGTTAGTCATACTGCAAAGTGGAACAATGAACAAGAACCATAGAAATGCTCCCCAAATTATATTTTATATAAACTTCAGATTATTCCTGCAAAAACTCTACCTGCAAATTGCTACGGCCTTGAATATCAGCACTCATCTGCGTTCAGTATATTCTTTAATATGGAGATTTGGTGATACTTCTTGGGAGCATTCTGGGTGATGCAGTAAAACCCATTCCCAGCTTCCTACACTTTCTTTTGAGTTCTGTCATCTTATCTCACTGGCCCTCCCACTTTATAATAACATATAGTAATTATATATTTTTTATTTTAAGTCTTATATTTGTTTAAAAAACAGCCTACGTGCCTTAGAATAAAATTCTGATTGAATCAGGAAAGCAGAAGAATAATCAATATTTTGCTTTTGCAGGAGCCAAATAGGGACAGGGTAAGGGAGCTAGTGGAGTCACATTCACAGCATGTAGTTAGGAAACTATTGTCATCATTAAGATATAGAATATCCTGGTCAAGAGAAACACAGCCATTTACTAGTTCAAGGTTCTTATCATTTACTGTATTCTGTGATGATTAAAATTTATGTCCAATAGTGATGCATATTCTTCATGTCGCAGGTATAACAAAATAAGAAGAATTAAAAAACAAAAAAATTCAGTATTATGAATTATTATTTTTGCAAACAGCCTACTAGTATGCTTCATTATAATGGAGTAAAATTATATAGTAACTGATTCAAATTTATTTTATTGTAGACTTTATCAAACAGCAGTAGTAAACACTCACTGCATGCTCAGGCTTCTAGTTTGCTCTAAACCTGTCATGGCTGTATGCTCATGTGGAACAGTTCACTGGCCATCATGTAACTTTATTAGAAATATTATTTCTGGCCGGGTGCAGTGGCTCATGCTTGTAATCCCAGCACTTTGGGAGGCCGAGGCAGGTGTATCACTTGAGGTCAGGAGTTCAAGACCAGCCTGGCCAACATAGTGAAACCCTGTCTCTACTAACAATACAAAAATTAGCCGAGTGTGGTGACGCATGCCTGTAGTCTCAGCTACTTGGGAGGCTGAGGCAGGAGAATCGTTTGAACCCAGGAGGCGGAGGTTGCAGTGAGCCAGGATCCCAACACTGCATTCCAGTCTGGGCAACAGAGTGAGACCCCGTCTCAAGAAAAAAAAAAAAAAAAGGAAAAGAAAGAAATATTATGTCTGAATTATTTATTGAATTACATATGATTCTGGTATCTATATATAAACTTTTCAAGCAATATTCTTATTTCACTCTTGTTCTCCTTGCTTTGTAAAATTTAACTATTAAAATTATAAATGACATAGTCAATATCTGGGCCCATATCATGTTATCAATGTTATTACCATGGTAAATAGATAATTGCATTATCATGTTCTAAAAATTGTATTTAAATGACATAGTGATATTGAATAAAACAATATTTACTTTATTCATGAAAATTTAAGAAGAAAACATAACAAACATGGAGAATGAATGGCAGAAAAAATTTAGACTAGACTATTTCCTAACTGATCTTCTAAAATCTTCTAAACTTATGATAAAAGTACTGGCACTATTCAGTTCTTTTGAATATAATCATAATTGCTTCTTTTCTGAATATTGCCATTTATGGCAGTTAACTTAGAATTTGCTGTCAAACAGGAAAAAAAATTGTATTACATTGTAGCTGGAAATTGCAGTAAGATATTCCTAAAAGAAGTAATACTTGCGTGAATTCTCAAAAAGAAAATAGGATATACCCAGGATAAATAAAAGTTTCTAAGATTCTGTGATGATGGGAAGCACATACATACATCTCAAAAGTAAAGAAGTGCAGGTATTTGGCTCCAGCATTATAATTAAAATGAAAAATGAGATTGGAGATTTAGGTAGAGGCTAAATTATAAAAACATTTTGAAGTGTAGTTTAAAAGATTGGAATTTATCTCAAAGGTAATTGTAGTATTTCAGTCTAAAATTTAAGAAGTATTTTAAGCAAAGGAAAGGCATGCTTAGATTTCTATTTTAAGAAGGGTCATCTGTCAGGAAAATGGTAGACAGGCTAGACTAAGGGAGTAATCAGACAGCTATCACAGTGTTGCAGGTTCTAAGCCTCTGTGGTGGCAACGGAAGTAGGAGATACACCTAAGGGATGGAATGTGGGGAGCTAGGTGAAAACAAAGCACTTTTCAAGGTTATTTTCCAGAAGATAAATTGAACAACCAGTTTTTTAGTTGCTATTCATTGGGCAAGATACAATTGGGATAGGTGGTTTTGGAGAGAAAAAAGGGCATTATGAGTTCAGCTCTAAAAATTTCAGGTTTTCTAACTGGAATTCTGTAACTGTAAGCTAATTCTCTACTTAAACATTAATTATACAAATACCGTATGTTTACAAAATGCTTCCTGCAGCTGCTTCTTAATGTTTGGGGAATACTGTGTTCCTCTGCAGGTCTGGTGAAAAGCTCTTTTAATTTTTAGCAGAAAGAGAACAGCATTTAGGTAAACTACTACCTGAGAGCGTCTCTGTTCCTGCTCAAAAATGCTTGGTTATATTGTCATATTCTACATTTTTCTGTAGAAGAGCAGTTAAGAGTGCAAGCTCTGGATCCAGATTGCGTTAGTTCATGATCCTAATTAGATTTGGAAGCTGTATTACCTATGCTTAGTCTTATATTTTCTTTACTTCACTTTACCCATCTGTATTAGTCGATTCTCATTCTGCTAATGAAAACATTCCCAAGACTGAGTAGTTTATAAAGGAAAGAGGTTTAATTGATTCACAGTTTCATATGACTGGAGAGGCCTCACAATCATATTGGAAGGGGAATGAGAAGCAAACTCATGTCTTGCATGGAAACAGGCAAAAGAGAGTGTGTGCAGGGGACTCCCTTTATTAAACCATCAGGTCTTGTGAGACTTATTCACTATCACGAGACCAGCATGGGAAAAACCTGCCCTCATGATTCAATTACCTCCCACAAGGTCCCTTCCACTACATGTGGAGATTATGGGAGCTACAATTCAAGATGAGATTTGGGTGAGGACACAGACAAACCTTATCATTCCACCTCTGGCCCCTCCCAAATCTCACATCATCACATTTCAAAACCAATAATGCTTTCAAAACAGTCCCCCAAAATCTTAACTCATTTTAGCATTAACTCAAAAGTTCACAGTCCAAAGTCTCATATGAAATAAGACAAGTCTATTCCACCTATAAGCCTATAAAATCAAAAGCAAGTTAGTTACTTCCTAGATACAATGGGGGTATAGACATTGGGTAAATATACCCATTCCATGTAGGAGAATTTGGCCGAAACAAAGGGGCTACAGACCCATGCAAATCCAAAATCCGAAAGGACAGTCAAATCTTAAAGCTCCAAAATGATCTCCTTTGGCCTCATGTCTCATATCCAGGGCATGCTGATGCAAGAGGTGGATTTCCATGGTCTTGAACAGCTCCAGATCTGTGGCTTTGCAGGGTACAGCCGCCTTCCTGTCTGCTTTCATGGGCTGGCATTGAGTGTGTGGCTTTTCCAGATGCACATTGCAAGCTGGCGGCAGATCTACCATTCTGGGGGCTGGAGGATGGTGGCCTCCCCTCGCAGCTCCAATAGGGAGTGCCCCAGTAGGACTCTGTGTGTGGGCTCCCACCACACATTTCCCTTCCACACTGCCCTAGCAGAGGTTTTTCATGAGGGCTTTACCCATGCAGAAAACTGCCTGAACATCCAGACATTTGCATACATCCTCTGAAATCCAGATACAGGTTCCCAAACCTCAATTCTTGACTTCTGTGTAGCTGCAGGCTCAACACCACATGGAAGCTGTCAAGACTTGGGGCTTGCACTCTCTGAAGCCATGGCCTGAGTTGCACCTTGGCCCCCTTTAGCCATTGCTAGAGCCCCAGTCCTTACGCTGCACACAGCAGGGGGGCCCTGAACCCTACACATGAAACCACTTTTCCCTCCTTGGCCTTTGGGCCTGTGATGGGAGGGGCTGTTGTGAAGGTCTGTAACATGCCCTGGAGACATTTTTTCCCATTTTATTGGTGATTAACATTCTGGTCCTTGTTACTTTTGCAAATTTCAACTGTTGGCTTGAATTTTTCCCCAGAAAATGGGTTTTTCTTTTCTACTGCATCATCAGGCTGCAAATTTTTCAAACTTTTATGCTCTGGTTCCTCTTGAATTCTTTGTTGCTTAGAAATTTCTTCTGCCAGATACTCTAAGTCATCTCTCTTAAGTTCAAAGTTTCACAGATTTCTAGGGCAGTGGCAAAATACCACCAGTCCCTTTGCATAACAAGAGTGAACGTTGATCCAGTTCCCAACAAGTTTCTCATCTCCATCTGAGACCACCTCAACCTGTACTTTATTTTCATATCACTATCAGCATTTAGTCAAAGCCATTCAACAAGTCTTTAGGAAGTTCTGAAATTTCCCACATCTTCTTGTCTTCTGACCCATATCCAATCTTTTTCTCAGCCTTCCTAACTGTTTCAACCTCTGTCTGTTACCCAGTTTCAAAGTTACTTCTACATTTTTGGTTATCTTTACAGCAGCACCCCAGTGCCTGGTACCAATTTACTGTATTAATTTGTTCTCATGCTGCTAATAAAGACATTCCTGAGACTGGGTAATTTATAGAGGAAAGAGGTTTACTTGACTCATAGTTCCACATGTCTGGGGCCTCATGTTCCAATCATGGTGGAAGGGAAATGATAAGCAAACTCATGTCTTACGTGGCATCTGGCAAAAGAGACAGTGTGCAGGGGATCTTCCCTTTATCACACCATCAGATCTCATGAGACTTATTTACTATCACAAGGACTGTGTGGGAAAAATCCATCCCCATGATTCATTTACCTCCCACAAGGTCCCTCCCACTGCATGTGGGGATTCTGGGAGCTACAATTCAAGATGAGATTTGGGTGGGGACACAGCCAAACCATATCACCATCTCCTAAAATAAATACATACAATGAAAAAAATAATAGTAATAATTCCCACCTTATAAAATTGAGTGATGCACAATGTGAGTTCTCAACAAAAGTTAGGTAGAAATGTCAATGTCTGTGATTAAAATTTTCTACTTGCTCTCTTCCTTGGATTTTGAAATTTAGCTATTCAATCCCCAATACAGCTGTTTACAGACACACTAGTAAATTAAGATCTTCCGATTACCTTGCTAAATTGTAAGAACGTGTTAAATCAATTGTTGAATTTTGAAATGGAACCTTCAGGCATGATTCTGTAGTAAAGATAAGAAGATTCAAAAAATTAAAGAAGGGTGAAGAAGAAATTAATCTCTGTCACCTATGGGGTTAGTTTTTAAACTTCTAGCAATTCTATTTGAGTAAATGTAGAAAATAAATTAGTAGTTGAAGATTTGTCCACAGATTTCATATATTGTCACTGCTGCTGGAATTCTAATGTGTCTCTAAGTTAGTAGTTCTTGATTCTGCCAGCTAATTGGAAACTGAGTCTGATTTCATTAGTGCAAGGTATGCCCTGGAATCTGATTCTGATTTAATTCCTTTGAGATGTGACCTAGGCGTTGAGCTTTTTTAAAGTCCTCATAGATTCTAATGACAGCCACTTTTGAGAACACTACTCTACAGGAATCTATTATTTCACATTCTCCCACTCTGAATTCCTGCCATGGAGTTTTACAGTCAGTTATAAAAACAGAAAATACAGGGTTTCATTCTTTTATTATTATTTATATTATAGATTTTTTCAAATAACATCGGCAAATATAAATCTTGAGTCATGAGATATGTTTATTGTGCTTTATTCAAATTGCTACAAAGGATTAGAAAACAATAGTAGGCATCTAAGGTATTCTAATCCTGCTATTTTTAATTAAAATCAAATTTCTAAATATTTGAAGTTCCAACACTAAATAACAGTAGCACTTTTATTATATGCTATATACTAATGTCACATTTATATATTATACATTCTTCCCATGTCACACTAAAATCTTTAGGAATTTTCTTTTCTCTAGCAACTATCCTTGCTCTCTGGGTTTCTAGATATTCTAGAAGTGTAGCTTTAGTACATGCATTTGTCTTTAGATTGTGAGTGCTAGAACTGATAAGCACTGCATAAAGTGTTTACCTCAAGTGTATATGAAAATTGTATTAAACAGAAAAGAAAACCTGCGCATAGAAAAATATTATATGGCATATTATCAAAGCATTTTGTAATACCATTGTTTGTAAATATGTGCATTTATTTGCTTGTAGGTTGGCTGTCATTTAACACATTTTTACTGGAAATCTGCTGTAGATAGTGGCTGGGTGTGGTGGCTTATGCCTGTAATCCCAGCACTTTGGGAGGCCCGGGAGGGTGGATCGCTTGAGGTCAGGAGTTCGAGACCAGCCTGGCCAACATGGTGAAACCCCATCTCTACTAATAATACAAAAAGTAGCCGGGCATGGTGGCAGGTGGCCTGTAATCACAGCTACTTGGGAGGCTGAGGCAGGAGAATAGCTTGAACCCGGAAGGTGGAGTTTGCAGTGAGCCGAGATTGCACCATTGCACTCCCGCAACAGAGTGAGAATCCGTCTCAAAAAAAAAAAAATTGCTTTCGGCACTGAGGGATACGTTATGTAGAAAAATGTTGTGCTTCTTGTTTGCTTACATATAAGAAGTAATTTATCTGCCCCAAAGAACATTGTTGTTATTTTTACTTATATTTTATACATTTGTATATGACACATTAGTCCAAAATAGTTTTAAGTATCTGCTGTGGGCAGATTAATGGGCCTCCAAAGATGTCTACATCCAAATTCCCAGAACCAGTGAATAGGTTATGTTGCAAGGCAAAGGGGAATTAAAGCTGCAGATAGAATTAAGTTTTCTAATCATCTGATCTTGAGATAGGGTAATCATCCTGGATTGCCTGATGGCACTAATATAATCACGGGGCCCTTATAAAGTGAAAGGGGAGGGGCAGAAGAGCCAGAGTCAGAGTGAGAAAGATTGGACTAATCATTACTGGCTTTGGAAATGGCAAGGGGCTAGTTGCCAAGGAATGAGGGCACCTTTTGGAAGCTAGAAAAAAGCAAGAGGATGGATTCTCCCATGGAATCATCAGAAAAAATATATATACACTGCTGACACCTTCATATTAGTCCTGTGAGACCCATTTCAGATTTCTGTCCTCCAGAATGATAAGGTCATAAATTTGTGTTGTCTTAGGCCAGCAAGTCTGTTCTAAGTAACAGCAGCAATAGGAAATTAATTCAGTAGTTTAAAGTAACTTAGGGCATATACCAAGATAAAATAAATTGAAAATATGTAGCAAGCATGACATAGTAGGAAATAAAAGTAAAATAATAATGTGGTATTAGGAATAAGGTTGCAACAATAATGGCAAGCTAAAAATGAAAAAAAATGCAGGGAAGGGAAAATGTTCAGCTACAAAATTAAAATGCCTATAAGGTAAAAAACAAAAGGATAATTTGGGCCACAGATACATGTTATAAAACTGTCATAGTCAAGTGTTTTTCCACAATGTGTTTGTCAGAATGCCAGTTCCATTAGATGCTTTGTACAACATGGGTTCTCTGATCCATGCTCCATTCTATCTAACCCTGCTGGAAGCACTGTTGAAATGAAACTTTTTCAATGAATTTCTGCCAGTGTTTCCAAACATAATTAGACATTTACTAGTAATATTTGTTACCTCATAAAAGTAGTATTATACTGTGAATATATTTTAGGAAATGAGTTAGAGATCATTGGATCTATGGTTGCTCAGAAGAAAGGAAGATTATTTTCACGTCTCATCACGGAAGTCTTTGCAGCATAAACATGCTATGTGCTGGAGCTTGATGAGATGAGGGGAAGGAATGGAGCATAGAGAACAGCAGTTTAGAGAGGGAATCAATGTGAGCAGAAATGTTCAAATGGAAAAGTGCAATGTGTGCTACAGGGATAGTAAGTAGACTTGCTTAGGGTAACCAAGAGAAATGTAGAGGTGGATGACCTGGAAAGATAGTGTGCGCCCACACCTAGAGGGAGCCTGAATAGAAAGATAAGGAGTCTGGAAATTATTCTGATACAGGAGTTGGGAAATTGACGCTGCTTGAGCAGGGTAGTAAATTGTCCAAATCCTTGCCTTCAGAAGGCTAGCCTGGCACTTTTATGCAAGATGAGGATTCAAACTTGATAAAATCCAGAGATGAGGAGACCCCTGAGCAAACTTTTAATGGTATGGAATAATAAGACTCTTCACTAGAGTAGGAGAGGAAATAGTTGGCAAAATTGAGAGATATTTTAAAGGAATAAAAATAACAGCTATTTTTAATTAATTAGGTAAAACCCAACTATTTGGGGGGAAAGATTTGGCACAGTGGCTAAACTATATGTTCTCTGATTCTCTATTACCTAGAATAGAGATAGCATTCATGTCTCTTTATAGAAATAGTATTTATATGATGCTTCTGTTCAGGACCACAAAATGATATGCAATTTTTCATTATTTCATTCAATCAGTGTATTCATTCATTAATTTATTCATGTAGCAAGTACCTCTTGAACTTATTGTGGCCCACACACTATGATAAGCCTGAGGATACAATAAGGAACATAAAGATTAACTGCATGCGCTATGTATTACATTATTTATTATCATTAGGAAAGGAACTTGTCAGTTGTTCAGTCTTGTGATATATTTCAATCTAAAAGGAAAATAACTTTGTGAGGAGCAGGGCAATGTTTGCAATATCCATAACTATACAGCTTCGTCTTCTTCATTTTTCCCTTTAATCAATTCATTTCTTAAAGTACTAAGTCTTGAACACTTGCTGTTTGCCATGGATATGTAGATTATGATGGCCCATTGTGTGTGCTTGTGCATGTGGGTATGTGCACGTGAACTGCACATATGAGTGTTGCTTGTGTGTGTTGCATTTGTATTGCTTCCTTGGTGCTTGTGTGTTGTTTCTGTGAGTGTTGTGTGAGAGTGAGTGTGTGATCCTGTGAGTGTATAACCTGAAGATGGAGGTCGGTATTGTTTCTTCTGTGTGCTTGTTATGGCTCCAGGACTGTTCATGCTATGGATCAGTGAAGCAGGCCCTTTTTCTTGTTCACAAATTGCTAGTTGTCATATGGTTTCTCCTCCCGTTCAAGCATTGCTTCCCCCAAATAAATGCATAGTAATGAAAAGAAGAATGTTTAACATTTAATAAATCATCTTTATAGCAGAAATTTTATGGTCTTTGTGCTTCCCATTTCTGACAAATAGAAATATGATCAACATTTCCAGCTGAACCAGCATGTAGGGTAAGGATGGTTTAGATAACTAGCTTCTGAAAGTTTCTTATAGAAAATTCATTGAGAAACCCTAGAATACCCCTTTCCCACGATACTTGCAGTTCATTTATAAAACATACAACTTAAAATGTCACTTAAGAGAATCTTATGTCATCATTATAATTTTTATATTGTCTGAATAATAATTTTTAATTTTTATATATAGTCTGTCACACTAACATCAGCACATAGGCTTCTATCAGGAAATTTCTGCAGGTTAGAAAAGAGGAATATTTGTTAAGTATTCACTAAGAAAAGCAGTCAAAATGCTATCATTAATAATACAACTGCCGGGCGCGGTGGCTCGCGCCTGTAATTGCAGCACTTTGGGAGGTCGAGGCGGGCAGATCACAAGGTCAAGAGATTGAGACCATCCTGGCCAACGTGGTGAAACCCTGTCTCCACTAAAAATACAAAAATTAGCTGGGTGTGGTGGCACGTGCCTGTAGTCCCAGCTACTCAGGAGGCTGAGGCAGAAGAATCGCTTGAACCCGGGAAGCAGAGGTTGCAGTGAGCCGAGATCACGCCATTGCACTCCGGCCTGGTGACAGAGCAAGATTTCATCTTAATAATAATAATAATAATAATAATAGTAATATTAATAATAATACAACTAACTGCATTTAAATTTCAAGCTCTTAGTTACAATATATAAAGAGGTTTCTTAGTTGCTGTCTGGGTAAGTCATGGTAGTGTGGATGTATGTGTGTGCATATGTCTGTGCATGTGTGTAAATGTTCTCTTCACCTTTATCAAGGATACACCCATGCTACTTGATCAAACTGAATGTGTATGCTTTTATTATGGTGCACTTGATTTTTGGATCATAAAAATGAAAAGAAGGGCTGTTTCTGAGTTTTATAATTAGGTTTAGGACTATGTTTGTTCATCCCATGGTAAAATAGAGGAGATTTCTGGAGATTTATTTTGAGTATTTTCCTATGTAAAGTAGAAGTAACTAATACAACACCTAAAACATAATTTCAAATGGCATTAAGTATTATTACAATTCAAGAATACTATAACTTTGTTACATTATTCAATGCATCTTTACTTGTTATATAAATATTCTTATTTTTAGTGAAAAACATATGCAACCAGGGCAACTAATTGATTTTGCATGTCCATCATGACTGGTTTAGCCTGTTTGGTTTCTATTTGACTGTCGTATTAATCTACCAAATGTAGGCACAGTCTCAGATTCAAGGTGGGGATTTAACAACAGCATTGGAACAAGAACAGTCAAAGAAACCTCATTGATTCCTATTTTTGCTAGGTTGGGAAACTAATGTGAATTAATGGTTTTCTCACCCAAAATCAATTCAAGAATTCTAAAGACACACTGACTTAAAAAATCCATTTTATTGTGATAAATTAAGTGTTGAATTTTTCTTCTAATTAAATGTAATACTTTGAGTGTACAGTTTAATGACTCTTTTCTCCAAGTGTATAAACCATTATCATCCTAATCATGATATTAAATATTTCTGCAGAAAATCCCCTCATAGTTCTTTGCAGGTAATCACACACCACCTTCTACGCATGTCCAAAGCAACCACTGATTTGATTTCTTTTACTATAGATTTACCTGTTACACAATTTCAATATATAGAACCATACATGTGCATATCGTTCTGTCTAGCTTCTTTCACTCAGCATGTTTTGGGAATTCATCCATGATTTTGTATTTATCAGTAGTTTATTCTTTTGTTTTGGTGAATAGTATTTCATTAAATAAATATAATATATAATATAATGTGTTTATCAATAACCATTTGATGGACATTTGTTTTATTTCTTGTTTTGACTCACCAGTAAAGTTGTTTTGAGCATTCCTGGTATAGACAAGTATTTTCTGTTTTTGTGTAAAGACCTAAAAATGAAAGTGCTGGGCCATACTGTAAACAATGCTTAAATTTATAAGAAATAACCTAACTATCTGCAAAAGTAGTTACATCATTTTACAATACCACTAATTGCTCTACATTTTCACTGACATTTGGTATTGTCAGTCTTTTATTTTCTTAGCCATTCTAGTGGGAGTGAAATAATATCTATCTCATTGTTATTTTATTTTATGTTATTTTTTTTCTTTTGAAACAAAGTCTCACTCTGTCATCCAGGCTGAAGTGCAGTTGGTCAATCATAGCTCACTACAACTTCCATCTCCTAGGGTCAAGCAGTCTTCCCACCTCAGCCTCTCAAGTAACTGGGATTATAGGTGTGCACCACCATGCCTGGCTAATGCTTTGCTTTTCTTTCTTTCTTTTCTTTTTCTTTCTTTCTTTCTTTTCTTTTTCTTTCTTTCTTTCTTTCTTTCTTTCTTTCTTTCTTTCTTTCTTTCTTTCTTTCTTTCTCTCTTTCTCTCTCTCTTTCTTTCTTTCTCTTTCTTTCTGTCTTTCTTTCCTTCTTTCCTTGCTTCCTTCTTTTTTTCTTTTCTTTCTGTTTCTTTCTCTCTCTCTTTCTTTCTTCCCTCCCTCCCTCCCTCCCTCCCTCCCTTCCTTCCTTCCATCCTTCCTTCCTTCCTTCCTTCCTTCTTTCCCTCCCTGCCTCCCTTCCTCCCTTCCTTCCTTCTCTCTCTCCTCTTCTCTCCTCTCCCCTCCTCTCCTCTCCCTTCTTCTTTCAAGATGGGGTCTCCCTGTGTTGCCCAGGCTGGTCTCAATCTCCTGGGCTCAAATGATCCTTCTACCTCTGCTTCCCAAGGTATTAGGATTACAGGCTTGAGCCACCACACCTGGCTCTCATTGTTAATTTAATTGGTCCTCCCTGATAATTAACAATGTTGAGTGTCTTCATAGGCATGTTAGCCATTTGTATGTCTTCTTTTGTTAAATGCCTGTTCAAAGCTTTGCCCATTTTATTGGGTCATCTTATAATTTTGAGTTATTCTTTATGCATTCTAAATACTACTACTTGTCATATATTTGCATTGCAAATATTTTCTCCATTTTATCTTGCCCTTGCTCTTTTGTCTCCTATTTTATCTTTCCCTAGAAGAGAAGGTTTTAATTTAGTTAGGCCCAACGTATCTTTTTTTTTTTTTTTTTTTTAGCATTTTTTTGTGTCTTGTCTGAAAAAATCATTAATTTTCCAAAGTCACATAAATTTTATTTTATACGTTCTTCTAAAATTTTATAGTTTTAGCTTCTATGTTTACGTCCATGGTCTATTTGAAGTTATAGTTTGAGGTAAGAGTCAAAGTTCACTTCTTTTGCATATGGATATCCAGCTGTTCCTGCACAATTTGCTGAAAAGACTGTGCTTTCTACATTGCATCACCCTGGTAATTTTGTGAAAAATCAGTTAAATACATATATGTGCATATACGCCTATTGATACTCTTTTTTCTTGAGTTGATTTGTATATGTCCTTATACCAATACCACACTAGCTAGATTAATGTAGATTTATAGTAATTCTTGAAAGCAGGTGTAAGTCTTTAGCTATCCCATTACAAACAAGGATATTACATTAAGGAGAATAGTGCAACCTCTGGCTCTGCTATGATTAGAAACTCTAGGTATTAATGTGCAAATTAATTTTTTACTTTCAGCCTCTATGTTCACTCATAACTGATACTGGTGGAAAATAATATCAACAGTTATTGCTAATAATAATAATTATTATGTCTAACATATGTTAAACATTCAGCATTTTGAATGCACTAAATAATTTTATCTTCACAAAAATTCTATCAGCTTGGTGCTATTAATAATCCTATAGCATAGGTGAGGTAACTAAGACAAAGAGAAAGTTAATTTCTCAACTGCATATATCAAATAAGTAGTGATGCTAGAAAGTTTAATCCAAGCAATTTGACTGCAACCTCCAAGTTTTTATAGCAACTAGTAACTTAGGTTATTACTTTAAAATGCTGGATGGCTGTATTAGTTCAATTTGTTAAAGCCAAACATAAGAGTTAGAATACTGAAACTATTGTATATTCATTGAGGTCAATTTTATGTGTATACCTTCTAGAATGCCCTTCAGAGCCATTTAGAAAATTCGGGTTTTTGACTTAAGTTCAATTTGCAGCCTACATAATAACCATTTATTAATATTTATTTATAAGTACAGCCACTTAATCTATCAAGACATTTCTTAGTTAAAATGAAAGGATACAGACTTTTTATTTCCCTTTACTGAAACTAAATGGTTAAAATATTTGTTCAGACTGTAAAGATTAATTATTTGAGGGCTAAGTTTAGAGGAAGTTTAGGGTAAATAATTATTTAATATGAGTTTTCATTTTCTGAGTATGTGATTTCAAGGGATAAAAAATATAAAATGGTATTTCGAATCATAAATAGAGAAAAATGCTTCATTCCAAAGAGGATTTTAAGAATAGAAAAACCCAATTATTGGTTATATTATCTAGTACCCGCAAGTTATCCATGGTACTCCCAGAGTAATGTTATGAATGAAGGTTTTTCCTTCTGTGAGATGACATATCCCACTTATTGAATCTAGATCTTCCAACTTTGTGATCATAACAACACCATGTTATGTACATGACAAAATATGTACATGACATTCTCATTTGGAGGCAGATCATACTAAATGTCATAAATTATTTAGTTAAGTGTGAATAGATGACCTATTTGCTTGATAATTGTCCAGGGATAATGCTAAACTTCCTTAAAAGTGCTGTATAGGCAGTTCCTTTACAGTCGTGCCATGTTAATATTCAATGATGTGGTCCTATCTAATTCCCTGAGTAAGAATGGAAACAAAAAAATAATAAATTATCACTTAAGAAATAATATCAATGAGATTGAGATAAAAATATAAGAATTTCTTAGTGTGTTTCACAGCTATCAAATATATTATTTTAAAATGCATGTATATATGACATACATGTCAAACATTTTATATATATATATATGTCATGGAGCAAAAATGCTTACACATAATTATATGATTTGAAAACACTTGATCAAAGTTAAAGAAATTTCCTTACTGGAGAAATTCTCCTTGCTTGCAATATTCTAACTGAGTGGTAGATTTAGAGAAGTATATAGAATATATTGCCTCCAACTTGTTTTAATGTTGTATTTTTTCAAGTATTTATGTTGATATGTGGTTCTAAACCTGAACAAAACTGAAAATTCAGAATAATTAAGTAGAACTACTTGTTTCTTTTGATGCATTGGAATTAATTTCATAGATTGTAAAGCTTGAAAGGAAGACACCTAGAAAACCATATAATCAAATCCCCTCATCTAACTGGTGAGGTCACTGAGAATCAGATACAGTAAGAATTGCCCCAAATCACATGGTAACTGCGGAGCTAAGACTGCAAGTAAGTTTATAACTTCAGCTGTCAAGTTCTATATTTAATACATTCGTGCTTTGGTATTAAAATTTTACTGTGGTTTGTTTACTGATCATGTGTCTTACTTTTCTGCCTCTAACTTAACCAAAAGTTCCATTAAGGAGTGGGGCCTTTCATTTTCTTTATGTTCCCATCGGGATTGAGTTATTCTGAGGCACAGAATAAGCGCTTAGTAAAATCTTGCACGTCGATTGTTCCATGCATATCAGAAGAAGTCAAGCAAAGAGAAGTCGAGCAACAGCTTTCAGGGTATTCAGTTGCAGCAGTATCAAGGCCTCAAATGAGGAAGACTTGCAGGATAGTCCACCCCCAACCTGAACCTGCTTTTGTCAGAGGTGAGTTTACTGGGGTCACAATGTGTCAAGTGTTCTGCTCTGCTCTTGTTCAGTTACAGCTTCAGAGAGAAGGATTCCCTCTGCCAATATTTGAAATCTGCTCTTAGCCATTAATCTGCCAAAGCACACTCAGATATTGACTCAGGGATTTCTGATAGCTGGATGTGGCTGTGCATTCTTCTAGTCACACAAACACACACATAATTGAGAGAGGAGTGAATGAAAGCAAAGTTGTTATCTTTTGTTATATCCTCTATTGATCAGTTGGACCATATACTGCAGGTGAAAATGTTGTATGACTTAATTGAGAAGGAAAGATCTTGCATTCTAATTATTTATTTGTCTTTGCATTTTGTGCAAATTTTAATTATCTCACTTAAATTTGTCTAATTATTTAATTGCCTTTGCATTTTGTGCAAACTAATTTTCTCACTTAAATTTGCCATTGTCTTTGATGACCTCATTACCTTTATCATTTACAATTTAGATTCTAATAAGTGGAAGTTGAAGATACATAATAAACTTATTTTTATTTTATTAACATTTCTATTGTGTATACATTTATGGCTTTTGTTTGTTCTGAATTATTATTTTGGTAGCTGAAAGTCCCTAGGCTTCAACAGCCCATGGATATAAAAAAGGTCAAAAGCATCTTATTCACATTTAACTTTTTTTTCCTGCGTGAAATATCTGTGTGCATACCAGGATATGACTTACCTGCTTTTTTTCATCCATACTAGTTGCTTCTTATGCTCTCCACTCTTGCACTCTTGCTGCTCTCTCTAGGCTCTCTCTTTATGCTTGCTATGCCTGAGCTGCCTTACCACACTGGTACCACCCTGTCTAGAGCTCCCCTCCAGCTTTCACATAAGCTGTAGTTCTGCCTAACACGGTCACTCAAGCCCAGGTGGGATGGAAGCTGATGCCACCTCTGCCACTAGTACTGTTAATTAGAAAAACTTCAGTTGAATTAAATTTAAAGGAGCTTGAGAGCAATGAACGATTCGCGAATCGGGCAGCCCCAAGAATCACAGCAGATTCAGAAACTCTAGGGGTGTTTCGTGGTCAGACCAGATTTATAGACAAAAAAAGTAAAGTAAGGTACAGAAATCGGAAGTGAAGTGTAGAAACAGCTGGATTGGTTACAGCTTGGCATTTGGCTTATTTGAACACAGTTTGAATACTGGTTGAAGAATGGCTGCTGGGATTGGCCAAGACTCAGCCGTTGTTACAGGCACATACTCCTAAATTAGGTTTTCAATTTTGTCTACCTATTAAGTTAGGTTGCAGTTCATCTACAAGGTCTCAAATATAGACTTACGGAGTCCTTCTCAGGCATATTTAGTCTGCTTTAACAGTACTCGAAAAAGACCATTGTTTGTTGCATGCTACTTCTGCATCTTCACAAGTAGTGATGCGATTGTATCTTCTGCTCCACCATGATGTTACGACAAAGACTCATTCCTTGGCCAAACGTTAGTCAGGTCCCTCTGAGCCCTCTTTTCAACTAGACCTCATCCTTGGGCTTCCATGTCCATCCTTGCAGTGTCTAGTTTTAGCAACAATCCTGCTAAGTCAGTGTAGAGAGAATCCTCCCACCCTCAATAGCTGATCAAATTCCTTAATCCCCCACTATCTCCTAGGTGATAACTGATTAGCCTGGCTGCCTTCAACGAGAATCCTATTAGGTCAGTTTAGCATGAATTCCCCTAGAATGGATGTCTTCCATGGTAAATTTGTGTTTGTTTGTTTGTTTTTGTTTTTTGTTTTGAGACGGAGTCTCGCTCTGTCGCCCAAGCTAGAGTGCAGTGGTGCGATCTCGGCTCACTGCAAGCTCCGCCGCCCGGGTTCACGCCATTCTCCTGCCTCAGTCTCCTGAGTAGCTGGGACTACAGGCGCCGGCCACCACGCCCGGCTAATTTTTTGTGTTTTTAGTAGAGACCTGGTTTCGCTGTGTTAGCCAGGATGGTCGCCAGCCTTGGCCTCCCAAAGTTCTGGGATTACAGGCATGAGCCATTGCGCCCAGCCCTTCCATAGTAATTTTTTATCAATTGACCCCTCACTTGGCTTTAGCTATAAATTCCCACTTTTACTTTTTGTTTTTGGATTTTAGCTTATTCCGTCTCCCCTATTGTTATATCACTGACACCTATCACAATAATCCTGAATAGTCTTTCTTATCATTTTGACAAATGTCAGAATAATTTCGTCTTTAACAGATACACTCTCTAGTAGGCTTGTTTTGGTGGTAGAGTGATATCTTTTTAAACTGAGGCCTTTCCTGAATAGAACATCCTAGTTGAAGTCTATGGCCTAGAAAGGATACAGAAAGTGACTCACAAAGCTCACTGATTCATAGAACAGTACTTATTTTCCTGACAAGTGTCATTTAGTAACCTTATTAATAGCTTATATTTATCAATACATATGTCCACTATTGGCAGTAAGCATCTATAAATTTCCAGAAATAATTTTCTTCCATCTTACGTGAATCTCTAAAATTCTAAGATAGAGAGGTTAATGAGATAGATATTATATCTGCAGTGTTGAACCAAACTTTCTATTCAATGAATGTATACATACACAAATACACACATATCTGATTTTAGAAAGACTAAAGGACTATTGTACACACATACACATATGTGAATATATTTATATATAATTTATGTATGTTTGTGTGTGTATTTGTCATGTAATCTTTCGAGAATTAATGTTATGTACAGTATGTGGTATTCTCTTGCTTTACTGCATTCACTTTCATTTCAGGAAGGGCCTTACAGATAAACATTATTCAAAGCAAGAAAGCATTTAAAATTACATTAAGGCAGAATCAGGTATTTTGGTAGTCATAATAGAGCTAGAAAGCAGCATGAAGTGAACAAAGGGCTACACAGCGGGAAATTTATGCTTCTGAAGAGGCAATTCACACCTGTTAACTACTGTGAACAGAATGAGACACAATACCAAGCTTTCCATCTAAATACAATGCTATTTTTTTTAATTCTTAACATTTAAATTTTTGGCAAAAATAGTTACTGAATTAAATGATTCCGTCTATAGAATAATATAAAATAATGCCTAAACAAGGATAATGTGACAAAAAGAAATGCAAAGACATAGAATAGTAAACAAAACATATGTATCATTATATTCCATAAGGATATTAGGAGAAAAAGGGAAAAAATAATGACTAAATTAGTTTAGAAAACAAAAATATGCAGAGCCAATAGTCAGCTGTGGCTGAAAGTGACCAAGGTACAGCTCGGGCCGTGGCTTCAGAGGGTGCAAGCCTCAAGCCTTGGCATCTTCAACATGGTGTTGAGCCTGCCAGTGCACAGAAGTCAAGAATTGAGGTTTGGGAACCTCTGCCTAGATTTCAGAAGATTTATGAAAATGCCTGGGTGTGCAGGCAGAAATTTGCTGCAGAGGCAGGGCTGTTGTGGAGAACCTCTACTAGGGCAGTGCAGGAGGGAAATTTGGGGTTGGAGTCCCCACACAGAGTCCCTACTGGGGTACAACCTAATGGAGCTGTGAGAAGAGGGCCACTGTCCTCCAGAACCCAGAATGGTAGATCCACTAACAGCTCACACCGTGTGCCTGCAAAAGCCACAGACACTCAGCACCAGCCCATGAAAGCAGCCAGGAGGGAGACTGTATCCTTCAAAGCCACAGGTGTAGAGCTGACCAAGACTATGGGAACAGACCTTTTGCATCAGTGTGACCTGGATATGAGACATGGAGTCAAAGAGATCATTTTGGAGCTTTAAGATTTGACTGCCTTGCTGGATTTTGGACTTGCATGTGGCCTGTAGCCCCTTTGTTTTGGCCAATTTCTCCCATTTGGAATGGCTGTATCTACCCAGTGCCTGTATCCCCATTGTATCTAGGAAGCAACTAACTTGCTTTTGATTTTACAAGCTTATAGGCCAAAGGGACTTGTCTTGTCTCAAATGAGACGTTGGACTGTGGACTTTTGGGTTGAGGCTGAAACGAGTTAAGACTTTGGGGGGCTGTTGGGAAGGCATGATTTGTTCTGAAATGTGAGAATATAAGATTTGGGAGGGGCCAGAGGCAGAATGATATGGTTTGGCTGTGTCCCCAGCCAAATCTCATCTTGAATTCTTATGTGTTGTCGGAGGGACCAGGTGGGAGTTAATTGAATTGTGGGGGCAGGTTTTTCCTATGCTGTTCTCATGATAGTGAATAAGTCTCACGAGATCTGATGGTTTTAAAAAGAGGAGTTTTTCTGCACAAGCTCTCTTCTCTTGTGGGCTGCCATGTGAGATGTGCCTTTCACCTTCTACCATGAGTGTAAGGCCTCCCCCAGCCATGTGGAACTGTAAGTCCAATAAACCTCTTTCTTTTGTAAATTGCCCAGTCTTGGGTATGTCTTTATCAGCAGTGTGAAAATGGACTAATACAATGAGGCTTTGGCTGCCTTCCTTCTGCTACACGTCTAAAAGGCAAGACCAAAAGGATCAAATCCCATTCACAAAGCAGAACCCCAGGACAACTTGGAAATTTGAGGCAACATTTCTTTCTGAACTGGGGATTGCAAGGTGGAGCTGAAAACAGAAAAATATATAATTGCTTTTTAAAGAACACCTGCATCTTCTGCTTCCTTATCCAGTACAGCCAGGATGCTGTGTCTGTCCTAGGATGGTACAAGATGAAAGGCTCTCTATCTCGTAAAGGTTAATAAAGAATTATTTAGAGATATTCTGGACCTGAGAAGTTCTAAAAGCAAGGTGATTAAATAATGGAACCTCCACTCTTTTTCATCCTTGGCTCATAGAACACTTGACTCTTGTTACAAATATACAAACTGCCAAAAAGAGAGGTGAGTATATCTGTATATGATAAGTAATATAGACATTGGGGTATTTCTGAAAAAAACTTTCCACTACAGGACCCACCACTGAATACACTTAACATTGACCACAGATATTTCAATAAAGGGCACCAGAAATTTGAAAAAAGTTCCTACGGAAAAGACACATATCAAAGCAAACAAAAAGGAGAAAAAAGAGAAAAATAAATAAAAATTACAGGGAACAGTGACAACACTAAGGGAAGGAACCTTTAGAAAGAAAACAGATCAAAATACATTGAGAGAAGTTCTATTTCTGCATGGAATATAAGAAGGTATGAGAGTACATAGTTCCCACTCTATAATCAAACAAAAAATTTGAGTAATTGACAAAATCAGAACTTTTCTTGAGCCTACCAAATAGCTGAGGTTGAGGACAATGGAGTAAAATAAATTTCAGGGAGGATCAAGCCCCTCACAGAAAGCAGGGAGGGGCACAGAAAGCATTCCACCTTTTGCCAGAGTGGGGAACTAGGGTGATCTCCATTAAAAGGAGATCAAGAGAAGTCAGTTAGATTCTAAGGAAGGTCTATAGGCTGACCGTGGGCCAGCGAGACTGGTTAGATCAACTGAGAACCACAATATAAGGGGGACTGCATTCACTTGTCAGCTTTCCTCCCAGGGTGTCCACAAGGAAGACTGGGAGCTGTGCTGGACAGAGCGAGCTACATAACAGCAAGGACGTTCAGGAAATGCTCAGCTATGGCTGAAGAGGGCACAAAACCCATTTCCCAGACCTTTCTCTTCTAAGAAACAAGAACTTTAAACTGCTGGGATGGGGACTGGAAATCTACCCAGAGGAAAGCAGGTATGGTTTCTAGAGGAGGGAGAGGCAAATGGCTTGCACTCATGAGGGAGGGGTAGAAAAGCTTTCTGTCCCAGGATGCTGCTGTGGTACCAAAAAGTAAACCGCTATTGCAGGTGGAGGGGGAGAGGAGTTGGGGCAGAGTGTACTCCCACAGTGCAAACTCTGCACCGTGAAAGAAAGCTGAATATTGCATGTTCTTACTCGTATGTGGAAGCTAAAAAAAAATAAAGTTGATCTCATGGAAGTGAAAGGTAGAACAGAGGATATCAGAAGCTGGGAAGGATTGGGAGAAGGGAGGGACAGGGAGAGATTTATTAAAGGACACAAAATTACATCTAGATAGGAGGAATGAGTTCTAGTGTTCTATAGCACTGTAGGGTGACTCTAGATAACAATAATATATAGCTTTAAATAACTAGAAGGAGGCTAGTGACTGTTTCCAACACAAAGAAGTGATAAATGTTTGAGATGATGGATATGCTAATTACCCTGATCTGATCAGTATACATTATATTTATCACCTTATTATGTGTCCTATGAATCTGTACAATTATTATGTGTCGATTAAAATATTTTTTAAAAAACTGGAAAGAAACCCTCAAAAAAACTGCACCTCTGGGGGCCAGACTCACCAGCTTACTGAGAAGTGTAATCAAGAAATGAAAAGCCCCCAAACACCACCGACTTGGCATCAAGTAACAAGCAGCAGGCAAGGCCTACAGGGAAGGCAGGGACCTGGAGAGAAATCCCTCCAGCTCAAGGGGACTGTTGGATCCTGATCAATTTCTCTCTTCCTGTACTTTGGGCCTAGTAAACTCAATTCATTTTCCCTTCTCTCAGGGATCTCTGGCCTTCATTCCCTGTTGTTCAGTATTTGAAAGCTTTTCCCCAATATTTTGCCTAACTGTTGTTTATGGTGCAGAGTAAATAAATCTCAGTAATTCTGTTATGGACACAAGTGGAAATCACATTAATGCTACATTTCTGTGATGGGGTGTTCTCAGTACAGACCTACAAGGATAGGCCAGTGTGCTACAGAGTAAAATAGTCAGAGGGGATCCTAAAAGAAGAGAAAAATTCTTTTGGAGGTGTAGAGTTTCTCATAGGATTAGATATTTAAGGCTCTCCTATCTTGATCTCAAGAGCTGGATTAAATTTAGCTTGGATTAAATATTTACCTGTCATCTATCAATCATCTGTCTATCTATCTATCATCTATCTACCTACCTATCTACCAACTGTCAGATCGATCTATCTATCTATCTATCTATCTATCTATCTATCTATCTATCTATCTATCTATCTATCATCTATCAGACCTGTCTATCCATCTATCTTTCCATCTATGTGTATACATACAGCAGGTACAAAGTGACTAGCCTGTTGTAAGCACTCTAGAAATTAAGATAATAATATTATTACACAGAGCATTAGGAGAAAGTTTAAATACTAGCAACAATGATAATAAAACAGTTAAAATATTAAAGTGGATTATGAAAGCAGGCTTAAGTTTACTTAAATAATATGTAATAAGTGAATCCTGGACTCTAAAAGTACATAATAACTTAGGTAACTTAATTAACATTCATTTTTCCTCATATATGTCAAGCAAAAGCATGACTTTAAGAGTGACATTAATTAAATGATTATGCAAATACAACTTTCTCTCTCTCTCTTTTTGCATATTGCCACAGTCCTAGTTTGAATGTTGGATTGCTATCCAGGAACCTAATCTAGGACCAACTAGCTGTTTAAAATTTAATTTATTAAATCTGCTACAACATAACTACAGATCTCATTTCTGGCACAGTTCTTAAGGTAACCATCATGATGTGAAGTAAATCCAGGGCCAGCTTTATGAGTTTACAACATATACATTCACACAGACTTCTGTACCTGGCTTAATGCCCTACTGTCACCATCTTGAAAATCCTAATAATTTTTGAACAAGGGGCCCAGAATTTTCATTTTGCACTGAAACCCCCAAAATTGTTTGGCCTCATCCTGACTAAATTAGGAGTTTGCTTCATGAAGGCCCAGGCTGTTGAATTCACTAATGCAAGGAGACATTGCTACAAATCCTGGAAATGAGGAACGTTTCAGGTAGCAAGCATATGATTTTGCTTCAATAGTTGGAGCTCTGACTCTCATTGATCGCTTGTCAATAATGGTAGATTAAACAAACATTCTTACTAACCTGGGTTCAGTATTTGTCAGGGCTGATCACTCTAAAATTTGGTGGTCAATCTGTGACTCTTCATTGTAATATAATAGGATTTACTCCAGAACAGATGTTGTTAATTTATATTTTAAAGCCAGGACTTTTTCATTTGCACAGACTAAAAAATAATAATAATTTATGTGGAAAGTTTTATTGCCACTGTCCATTAGATAGAGAGATATTGACAGTATAAAAGTATTAATCTGGGGCTTGTTATGTGGTGAACACAAGCAGAAACTAAATGCAATTGAATCACACTATGAAGATTTTCCACTACAGCTAAAGAGAGATTGATAGCTAAATATAAATATCTGGAATGGTATCCAATGAAGATGAATGGAAAACTCGTTTTTTTTCACTTAGTAGCATAAATTAAATTCTATTTTGTATGCACATATTCTTTTAAGGTAACTTTTTCCCTCTTTTCTTCATTCTCTAGGTTTCATGATTTTCAATTTTCTCCATTGACATAGATCTCTTTTCTTCTATCTCAAGACCAATTTTCTTTTAAAAGGAGTTCTACAAGGGTAATTAAGTATATTTCATGATTGCAAATGTTTTTCTAGGGATCTATGCTCAAATGAACTATTCGGATTTTTCTTTGATGGGAGGGAGAGGGAGACATTTCATAAAATGTCTTACTTGTCTTTGCATATTTAACAATATTATTTCATTTAATCATCTCAAAATCTCAACCCTGAGCGATTATATGTATAATTTTACTAGATGTTTTTGTTATTTGGAAAATTATATAGCACACTTCATTTTACTACCAAAGAAAATGTGCCCATTTAAACATATCTGAAGACATATTTGATTTTTTTAAATCAATTGATAATTGCTTATTTTATTTATTAGCTAATACCTCTTGAGCACTCAATATATCCCCACATAGATTTTATATACATGGTTTGACATGATGTTGGTATTATCAACATTTTTTAAATGACTAAATTAAACGATGTAGAGGTTGCCTTACATTTACATATGGATGAACTTTAAATAATTCTTTATGTTTATACAATTAGTAGTAGCAGAATACAAAATTGAATTTGGATCCGCCTAACTTGAAGGCCATGCCATTTCCACTGTATTATGAGAGAAGTGGAGATTTTTGACCCCTAATGAGGTAATTGGAAAATTACTGTATTAGAGCCTCAAAGTGAACAGGGATAATATTTGGAGTCAATAGAATGGAAAAAGGCCATGGGTGTGCATCATGAAAAGTTCACAGGGTAAAGAAACTTCCAAATGTAATATCTGTTTTTATTAAGATATTTAAATTTAGACTGTTTGGTGCATAAGAATTGCTTGTCAAGAAATCTGCCAAGCCATGTATCTATCTACCTACCCACCTATAATTGCACTATACAGATCCTCAGATTAATAATATAGTTAAAACAATGTAGCTACAGTCTAATATTTTATAATAGTTATTGTTAACTAATTTGGTTATTTCACAATCAATTCCATGAATGCTTGATAAAACCTGAGGTCATATAGTAATATAGTCATTAAAATATTATCTTTTTATATTAGACCATCTGGGTTCTAACTTGGTTTCTTCATTTGCAAGTTAATTTAGCAAGTAATTAATCTCTCTAAGCTTAGGTTTTTCTCATCTAAAAAATAGGCTGTCTAAAGTTAACTATCCCTTAAGATTTTTGTGATGTAATATATGTAAAAGGCACTATCTGGGACATAGGTGGCAGTCAATATATGCTAACTGTTATAATCAGATGAGGCTTCAAATTTCTAAAATTGCTAGACATGTTCTGGAAACTATCCAATTTAACTGAAAATGAGTTAGAATATATTCCAATTACTGAATGATTGCAAATCACCAGAAACACACATAATGAATACAGTTGAGTCACAAAAATGGATACATAGAAATTAAGTCAAGTAGTGAAAAGTCTAGATACACTTCATATTTAATTTTTTATGAATAGTAATCTGTGAAAGTCAAAGAATATGAAAGATGAAAGCATATTTTCCATAGCAATGAAAAATCTATCTAAATATAGGTCTCACAGGGCTAATGTAATTTATGTGCATTTTCTATACGTTCTCTTTGCCAAGGACATTGTCACACTTCACATATTGATGTGGAAGCAAGATTTCTGTATCAGTTAAGAATATCCATTCTTAAGTTATATGACATATATATGATATATAATATATATAAAATATGACAGATATACAATATATAATATATACATATGTAACATATTCTATATACATACATTTTATATATAACATATAATATATACATGTTATAATATATAATTTCCTCTGCAAAACTGTGAAAATGTAGTTTTAATAGAAGCCCTACTTAGTTCTTTGTTCCTCTTAAAGTCTCTAACAATTTTTTGATAACAGATACTTTTCTAAAAACAATTAAATGAATTATTCATAGAATTGTTTTTTGTTCAATTACTTATAATACTGGAAATGCATTATAATGTGTAATTATATTTTTCCAACATAATTACTAAGTGTAATGACAATGTATAATTCTTTATGAGACTCCATGAAGAAAATTGTACTGCTCATGCATAATGCTATAATAGTTACACTTTGTTATTCCAAAAAATTATTATGATTTACTGTTTTAAATAGGCTGTGAGATAATTTTACAGACAGAAAAAAAATGATTTTTTGTTTAGGGTGAGTGAGATAGCACTTTGAAAATTAAAAAAAATTTGAAAATTCTATCACAATGTACTTCAAGCTCATGGGTTTTTATTTATAGTATAATATAATTTACACAAATTGGTACTTGATTTTCCATAAAAGACATGATAAAAAGCATTTTGGTGAAGTAAAATTTTCTCATACAAATCAGCCTCTTGTGTGAAAATAAAATAATGTAAATCAAATTATATTTTTCCAGGACCAAAATACATGTTAGTGTTATATAAGGACTTTTGGGAAGCTAGGTTTTCTATTTTTGGTCATTGAATCTCCTTCACTAAGTGATTGTTTTAGTAAAGTCAGCTATATCAAATTAGTTAGCAACTTATGCTCCTTTCTTTTGAGTAGTTAGCAAGCTAGAAAACCTGAGTCACTCTAATGTTGGTGAGTTTTATAATTTACAGTTACTCTTCACTCATAATTCAAAAGAACATCATAACAATAGTACTTCTAAATTCAAGTTTTCCATATAACACAGTTTAAAAGCTAAAGCAACAAAATTTGCTGTAATTATGTTTATTCAACAGCAAAAAGCTTGTTTCAACTATGTCTAAAGATAAGTTATCTTGAATTGTTTTACCTCACTTTTTTCTACGTAATAAAAATGCAAATTGGAATTTGCCTGAAAGAATAATTTTGTTTTATTGGACATGTTAACAGTGTGAAATTTTTCACATATGTGCGCCAAGAGAACTACAAAATTCTTTGTCAAGGTAACTGTCCACAGTTCCATTTAAAATGCAGTTTTTATTTTTATGAGAAGAAAAGCACCTAATTTCAGAGGTATCAAAAATACAGTTAAAAGTAGGTCCATGTAAATGGCTTGGAAGAAATCTAAATCACACCGTGCATGAAAAGCACAGAACACAGAAATAATGTAAAAACCTCTGTTTCTCTTCTTTTAGGCTGCCCTGTCCCCAGATTTATCTGAATGCTAAACATAAACTTTTGGGGTGGTTAGGTATGGTTTCATATGGAGTCTCTGATTTTGGGTTCAGTTCCTTTTGTTAACATGCAGAGACAAAAATATTTCATACATGTAGAATATTGGTTTGTGAAAAATGGTTAACAGCACTACTGAAATTTCTCTTCTAGTTAGGGCTTTTATTTGTGATTTTGGTTTATTTGAAATTATATACAAACATTATTGAAAACTGAAAGAAAAAATTTATGAAAAACTCTAAACTTTGAAAGTTTGGTTACCCCCAAAAGTGTGTACTTATATATTGGTAAGTTGTCATTTTTAGAACACAATTTTAATCACAAAATTTACTTTAGTATATTTAAAAGATGATACATAAAAGCAGGCTGATGAAGAAAATTAACTGAATGAATCTGAGATCAAGATTAGAATATGTAAACTATTTCCTTAAACGTTCCAGTTCCTGAATGTGTAAAAATAAAAATACAATAAACATAGCTGCAACAAAATTATAGCAAAGACAATATTTCTGAAATATTTTATATATCAGAGACATTAAATTTTCCTGCACAATTTTGTATTCTCTCATTATAAATATCGATTAGTTTATTTAAAACCACTTTGCTACGTTAATACAAGTAGATAATATGGGTCTACACAAATAACTCACACATTTGAATTTTAATATTCTTTATTTAATGAAGAAACAGTAACTTTTGCTTCCGTTAGGGAGATTGGCTTTTGCTTTGTTTTATTTAACTCTTAAAGTTAATTTGAATTATGTTGCATATTAAAATATTTTACTTTTTCTATACAAGTGTTCTGGGATAAGGCGTGAATAGACACATCTATTATACTGGAAGTTAAAATAAAAGAGATGAAATACATATGAGAGGTTTAGGACTTTTTCCTCAGAGTGAGTGAAGTAACAGGTTGGATAATATTCTGATAATGTAGCTGTATAGCATATTCTAGATACATTATCCTTGTTTAATTAATACTAATATACATAAATAGGTATATAGGAAGAAGACCCAGTAGGATGTAAGTTTAAAACATTTAAGTGCTATTCACCAAAACATTTTGAGGGACTTGTGTGTGCCAGACAATAAAGAAAAGAGAGAATTCCCTGGATCCTTTGATTCGTGGAAACGCAGTCCACTTAACCCAAGTATTGTAGCAATAACGTGGTCTTTTTAAAAATGTGTTTTTTTAATGGGTTGAAAAACAACATTCTATGAGTTTCCAATCATATATATTTATATAATTGTGTGTGTCTGTTTCTCTGCATAACCGTATATGTGTAGTGAATGGCTCAGATAATTTCTTATACTGAATAATCTAAAAACTACTTCAGCCTTGGCTTGTTAATACATAAGAGTTAAACTGATAAATATTTAATTGTTTTTTATGTTTTCAATTTTCATGACTGCAAATCAGGTAATATTTCCTGTACCCATTGTCATCCTAATTAGAAGGTAGAATGAACTCTTCTGTCCATTGTACCCTATATATATATTTCTGCCATAGATCCCATAATTACTCATTGTGATTATTTCATTGTGTTGTATTTTTTATTTAATTTAATGTTTTATTTCCATTTTTATTTTAGATTCAAGGGTACATGTCCAAGTTACTTATTAGGATATATTGCATGGTACTGAGGTTTGGGCCTCAAAGAGCAGAGAGAGAGTTCTTCTGCGAGTTCTTCCTGTCACCCAGACAGTGAGCATAGTACTCTCTCTAACAATATTTATCTTAAAGGTAATGATCATATATCTTTAATCTTTGTTACCCTCATTCAGCATGATTCAGTATGGATATATGCATTATGAATTGATGATGGTTTGTGTTTGAATGAATCATGACTGGTTGGAGAATGTGGAGAATTCACCCATAGAATTAAGAAAGATTAAGATTAAGAAAGATGCAAAGGCATAAGAATGACACAGTGGACTTTGGGACTCAGGTGGGAAGTGGGAGAGGGATAAAAGACTACAAATTGTGTGCAGTGTATACCACTTGGGTGATGGGTGCACTAAAATCTCACAAATCACCACTAAAAAACTTACTCATGTAACCAACCACCACCTACTCCCCAAGAACCTATGGAAATAAAAAAATTTAAAAAAAATGAAGAAAGATAAGATTAATTAAGATCACCACAAAAATAATTCTAAAACAGAAGTCTTCCTATAAAAATCAAGGTCTAGCTGGGCATGGTGGCTCACGCCAGCACTTTGGGAGGTTGAGGCGGACGGATCACGAGGTCAGGAGTTTGAGAACAGCCTGGCCAGTATGGTGAAACCCCATCTCTACTAAAAATACAAAAATTAGCCAGGCATGGTGATGCACGCCTGTAACCCCTGCTACTCAGGAGGCTGAGGCAGGAGAATTATTTGAACCAGGGAGGCAGAGGTTGAGTGAGCAGAGATCACACCATTGCACACCAGCCTGGGCAACAGAGCAAGACTCCATCTCAAATAAATAAATAAATAAATAAATAAATAAATAAATAATCAAGGTGCACCACTAAAGTGACATATTCTGATAAAGAAATGAATATAAAACTTACCTTAGAGATGAAATTAATGTAAGTTAGTAAAAGTATTAAGAGTTCTTCTGAGAAACAGAACCAATAGGATAGATAGATAGATACATACATACGTACGTACATACATACATACATAGACAGACAGATAGATAGATAAGATGCAATTTATTAAGGGAATTGGCTCAGATAATTATGAATGCGGGGAAATCCAAGATCAAGTCACCAGTAGCTTAGGGCCATATCTCTCTGTTTGTTTTGTTTGAATGCTGCATCCTCTGGAGGGGAGGAGCTCTGCCTTCACATGGCAGAAAAGCAGAAGAGAGTGAACTCACTCCCACAAGAATTTTTAAAGCTGCCTGAATATACATTCATGAGAGTGGAGCCCCTAAAAACCTGACACCTCCCATGAGGCCTCACTGTTGCATTGAGAGTTACGTTTTAACATGAATTTTTGGAGGGGTCAAAACATTCAAACCATAGCAGTAAAAAGCAGTGACAGGCATGAAAGATGAAAGAAAGAAAAAGAAAGAAAGAAAAGAAAGCAAGCAAGCAAGAAAGAAAGAGAAAGGAAGGAAGAAAGAAAGGAAGGGAGAGAGAACAAAAGGGAGAACAAAAGAACGAAAGAATGAAAGAATGAAAGAACGAAAGAAAGAAAGAAAGAAGGAAAGAAAAAGAAAGAGAAAGAAAAAGGAAGGAAGGAAGGAAGGGGAAATGGACACAAATTATTCCTTCTCTGGAAAAAAACAATTGGTTGAAAAATTTTTTAAATGAAGAAATTAGCAGCTAACTATGTTTATACTTCAGGAATTTTTTGTTTATTTTTCTTTTAGATATAGTCATTTAAAAATTTTGGGCTAAATATAACGTAACAGAATATTATAATTAACATGTGAAGAGAACTAAATAAGTTAACTTATGTATAAATACTAATCTATAAACTTGAATTACCCAGCCCCATTGGATATCCTGAAAACTAACTGAGTAAATACAAAGTGGAGATTTTGTTTAGCCTCATAAAATGTGATTAAGTGCCTCATTAGTCATTTAAGAAGTGTACCAGTGAAATAACTCCCTGGAAGTATGTCTGGTGACAGATTAGAAGGGATCAAGGTTAATGGAGTAGTTGGAAATGATACTTATACATAATGCAGGTTGGAAATGAAAGATGTTATATAGGAGAAAGATTACTTTAGGAAGTAAATGGGAAACAAAACCTCATACAGGAACTAAAGTCTTAAATTTCTATACAATGTAAGAAGCAAAGGATAAAGTATTTAATAATACAATTACACAATTTAAAAAGAGATGGTTTCCCCTGGGTACATTCAAATATCATTAGTGCTTTACAAACTATGAATACAATATAATTATTTGGGAATTAATATAATTTGTTTTAAAAATCATGTTTCCAAATAAGTTGCATTTCAAGAATTCTATTTGCCTTTCATTGGTTAAATTTCGGTTCATCTATATTTATACATATTATTTCTGACCACTCCTTACTATACACCCTTCTTCAATCATTTCATATGTTATAATAGCAGTGAACTTTTCAGTGGACTTCAAATTTAACATATTTGGAGAATATGCTGACATATTCATAGTTTGCTTGAATATGCATTAAGCTTTAAGATATATTTTAATGAAAATACAATTGATAAAATTAACATTTTTTTCAAAGTAGAACTATAAATTATCGGACTAGAAAATTGAGAATTAGTAGAAATTGGCAATAAAACTATATTTGCAAAAGTTACTGCAGTACGTATTTTGAAATGACTTACTTCGGTTAACTCCACAGCACATGGATTGAAGTTTGAAAGCAAGTGACATTTTAGAAATTTCTTTAATGAATTTTTCATTCAAATGGCATTGGTGAGCCTTGAGGAATATCTAACTCTATTATAATTAAAGTTTAGTAAGAGTCAGGAAAGAGACGATTGAAAATGGCAAAGTGATGTGTTCTTGTATCAAGATATTTTTTCTACTTTAAGAAACCGTACTCCTCATTATTGATATGGTTTTATTCAACATGATTGTCAGTAGAAAGAGTTTTTTACTGGAAAATATATAATGGCATATACATGACTAATGGACTGATAGTTGGTAGAAAGTGTACTTCAATAGTTTTAAATCCCATTTTGAATTTAGTTCTGGAAAATTAATACAGACAGTCCCTGACTAATTAAGGGGGGAAGAAATCTTTAAAATGGCATTAAGAAAAAATACATTTTTACTATTTGTAGGAATTTTCTGTTATTTTCAAAATGTAACTTGCAAAATTAGACTGGAATATTCACAAGGGAGGGCACATTCTCAAAAATTATATATGGAGATGCTTAATGGACAGAATAACAGCAAAGAAAGAATAATAAATGGAGATTTCTTAGAACTCTAGGATGACTAATTTAGGCCATTTGAACGTGGGCTTATCCAAGGAATACACCACTATTTCTGATTATGACTTTGATAGCTGAGAATTATTTTCCATTTCAAGTATAAAAGTGAATGCTTTAATAAAATAAAAGAAAACAAAGATTAACATGGTTCTAGAATATGAAAAAAATAATCGTTTTTGCCTTTTTTCAGTTAATTAAAATTGAATTGCTTTGTGGTTGCTTTCCACAAAAAGCCACAAAGGAAAGGTTAGTTTCCTTTGTTTTTAGGCAGAATTAACTTATACATAACAGTAAAGCTTGCATGGAAAGTGTGTCCTCCACGCCCACATGTTCACAGAGCAGTGTGTCGGTGAAGCACAAGAGCTGCACCCACTTGAGAGCCTTTTGCTCCTCTTGTGAAAGGCTATTTTATGACAGGGCCATATATGCAAAAGGGCCCCCAAACTCAGAATGAGCCAAGAAAACAAAGGATGAAGCAGACGAACCCAATTTGTTGCTATAGAGTGATTTATTTGGGGGAACTTATGAACAGAAGCATGGTGTTGGGTGGCTGAAAGACACACCCCGCTCCATTACTCTCCAGCCTCCCCGCTCCATTACTCTCCAGGCACAAGGCTTATCTACCATAGAGAAAGTGTGTATCTGCTCTATAGAGACAATTAAAGACAATGCTAGAACAGGCAAAATACTTTATGTGTAATAGTCTGTAACTTGTCCCATAACATCAAAGTTCACATGTTCTTATACTGAGGACAGGAAATAAAATAAAAGTCAGGAGGCATAGATGGGACTGGGCTAATCAGAAGTCAACATGCTGGATTAGCATCCAAGATAGAGTCACTTTTGACTCCATAAGACTGTCAAAAGCAGTCACACACTGGCACAATCCCTGAACAAGAACCATATGGTGAAGTAAAGGTCTGATGTGCTGTTGGACTTTGTGCTGAAATAAACACAAATATGCACGTGTCTTTTTAGCTTCTTTTCCACTAACTTAGTAGTGGGAGAGCTGGATTGAGTGGTAGATCTTTCAGTTCTCTGTGAAATTTTGAAACTGTTTTCCATAGACGTAGTATTAATTTACATTCCCACTAATTTACATTCACAGAGCAGTGTATACATGTTCCCTTTTCACTACACCTGCAGCCACGTCTATTATTTTTTTTATTTTCTAATAATGACTTCTGGCTGGGGTAAGGTGACATATTGCAGTTTTAATTTGCATTTCCCTGATGATTAGTGATATTCAGCGTTTTTTCAATATATTTTTGAAAATTGGCCAATATGGTTTTGGTCATTTATATATCTTATTTTGAGAAATGTCTGTTCATGTGATTTGCTCACTTTCTAATGGGATTATTTGTTTTTTTTTCTTGATGATTTTTTTGAATTCCTTAGAGATTCTAGATATTAATCCTTTGTCAGAGTTTGCAAATATTTTCTCCCATTCTTTAAGTTGTCTGTTTACTCTGTTGATTATTCCTTTTGCTGTTCAGAAGCTTTTTAGTTTAATTAGGTCCCATTAATTTTTTTCTTGTTGCATTTGCTTTGGGGGTCTTGGTCATAAATTCTTTGCCTAGGTTGATGTCCAGAAGAGTTTTTTCTAGATTTTCTCCTAGACTTTTTATGGTTTCAGGTCTTAGATTTAAGTTGTTCATCCACCTTGAGTTAATTTGTGTGTATGGTGAGAGACAGGGATCCAGTTTCTTTCTTGTACATGTGGCTATCCAATCTTGCCTCCAATGTTTATCGAATAGTATGTCCTTTCCCCAGAATATGTTTTTATCTGCTTTAAGATCAGTTACTTGTAAGTATTGGCTGAATTTCTGAGCTCTCTGTTCTGTTACCTTGGTCTATGTGTTTGTTTTTATACCAGTACCATGCTGTTTTGGTTACTCTGGCCTTGGTTTACTTGAAGTTGGGTAATGTTATACCTCCAGATTTGTTCTTTTTGTTTAGGATTGTTTTGGCTATTTGAGCTCTTTCTTGGTTCCTTATGAGTTTTGGGATTTTTTTAGGATTTTTTTTTTCTAATTCTGTGAAAAATGGCACTGGTATTTTGACGGGAATTGCATTGAGAGAGTAGATTGCTTTAGGCAGTATGATCATTTTTACAGTATTGATTCTTCCTAATTTATGAGCATGGGGAGGTTTTTCTGTTTGTGTCATCTATGGTTTCTTTCATGAGGGTTTTGTAGTTCCCCTTGTAGAGATCTTTCACCTCCTTAGCTAAATATATTTCTAGGTATTTTATTTTATTTTTGCAGCTGTTGTAAATGTGATTGAGTTTTTGATTTGATTCTCAGCTTGCTTGTTTTTGGTGTATTGATTTGTATATGTTGATTTTAAAAGCTGAGACTTTACTGAATTCATTTATCAAATCTAGGAGTCTCTTGGAGTAGTCTTCAGGGTTGTCTAAGCATCATCAGCAAACAGAGATAGTTCGACTTCCTCCTTTCCAGTTTGGATGCCCTCATTTCTTTCTCTTGCTTGATTGCTCTGGCTAAGTCTTACAGAACTAATGTCGAATTGAAGTGGTCAAAGTGGACATCCTTGACTTGTTCTAGTTTTCAGGGCGAATGCTTTCAATGGTTACCCATTCAGTAGGATGTTGGCTTTGGGTTTGTTGTGTATGGCTTTTACTATTTTGAGGTCTCTTCCTTCCATGCCTAGTTTGTTGAGAGTTTGTATCATAAAGGGGATGCTAGATCTTATCAAATGTTTTTTTCTGTATATATTAAGATTATCATATGGTTTTGTTTTAATTCTGTTTATGAGGTGAATTGAATCACATTTATTTACTTGTGTATGTTGAATCACCCTTGAATCTCTGGGATGAAATCCACTTGATTAAGGTGAATTATCTTTTTGGTGCTGTTGGATTTGGTTTGCTAGATTTTTGTTGAGCATTTTTACATCTACATTAATCAAGGATATTGGACTGCAGTTTTTGTTTTTGTTTTTTTAATGTCTTTCCTGGCTTTGGTATCGGGGTAGTACTGGTTTCATAGGATGATTTAGGAATGATTCCCTCCTTTTTGATCTTTTGTAATAGTTTCAGTAGGATTGGTGTTTTTTGTTTATTTTATATATTTGTCCATATGACACAGTCATATGTTCTTATTCTTTATTATATATTATTATGTAGGAAAAAATGACAATTAAAAATGTCTGTGGATTTTAAATTGTTTAGCAATACCTTAGTAATTTTTTTAAAGGTAGGGTATAAGTATGACAAGATCCAACAACTAACTAGAAAAAGTTTTAAGTCTTAAAGTCTCCTACTAAATCACCTAGAAGGTTTAAGTAAAAACTTAAAATATTCTTGAGATCTTAGCAGAAAATATGTGCCTGTCTCTTAAGAGAGTACTTGTTAAAATGGCAATTGCATTTTAAATGAATTACTACTTATTTGTTTAAAAAATGTTAAATTCTTCACACTTTTCAAGTAATAAAGAAAATGAAGAAGGCTTAAAATTATCTAGACTCCAACAGTCCAAAAATAAGCACTATAAAAAACACAGACTAGATTCTAAAAATCTCTCTATATTAACACTTAAAAGAAAATTAAAATCCTTAAAATAATAGTTCAATAATATTTTTATTTTAACAGAAAAATTAAATGACACTTTAGTTTTTCAAATGATACTCATTCCTAAATTATACTTCCAGAAATAAGAAGTATTACTAAAAAAAGAAAAAGAAATTCCAATCTTGTATTTTAAAACCTTTTCAGGAACAATAGTAGGTATGAATTTATCTCTTTTTCCCCCTTCACATCTTTTATATTCAATCTGTTCATTTTGATTTTATCATTTTCAATTTTCTTTTGTTATCCCTTCTGTCTTATACACCATTTTTCTAAGATATTTTTGGAAAGTTTATTTATTATACTTAATGAAATAAGCATTTCTGAAATGTGCTGATATTTCTATTTGTATTTATCCTTTCATTCTGAAGATAGGCTCACTTTCCAATCCTCCTTTTTACTGACTACCTATTCTGTAAAACCATGTATCTTTCTTATGCTTTATAAAAGTAGGACTGCATCAGCTATAATTTATTTAAGAGTATGACAATTTCTTTGAGATCATTCTATATTTCCTTGAGTCATTCTACTTTTATTCTGTGTTCCAGCTGTTTTCTGCTTATGTTGATTTCCTTCTTTTTCTCTTACATCCATGCACAGCTCCTATGAATTGCTTTGTGATTAATCTAAGTTATTAAGGACTATTTAACTATGAATTGAAGAACCAGCGGAATTTTGACAAGTAAGTTGGAGGCACATAACCTTCTAGTTTGTGTCTGTTGTCTCTCACTCATTATGTATGGATACGTATATTGTAGCTATCACCTAAATTTTTCAGACAACCTATGTCCTTCCTTGGTCATTGACCCTTTAGTTAAGATCTGACAGTCACCATATTCCTTTTCTTCTAACCCTGGTAGTGTCCCAGAGCAAAGAGCCTATGTCAAAGGATTAGGGCAATTTAACTGAGATCTCAGGAAATAGCTGCAGCCCTTTGATAGTGACCTGTGCTTTGTGCAGTTTTCACAGGGTTAGCAGATATGTTTTATAATTTGACAGTATTTATTTATTTATTTAGAAGGAGACTTGCTCTGTCACCCAGGCTGGAGTACAGTGAAGCAATCTCGGGCTCACTGCAAACTGCGCCTCCTGGGTTCAAGCGGTTCTCCTGCTTTAGCCTCCTGAGTAGCTGGGATTACAGCTGTGCACTAGCACACCCAGCTAATTTTTGTAATTTTACTAGAGATAGGGTTTCACCATGTTGGACAGGCTGGTCTTGAACTCCTGACCTCAACTGATCCACCTGTCTCAACCTCCCAAAATGCTGGGATTACAGGCATGAGCCACCACTTTTGGCCACTATTTACTTTTGAATATAAAGGTTTTCTTTTCTTTCAACTGTTTTGTTATAAGAATAAGAGTGGATTTTAAAAGTCTTTACTAGAAGATTCCAGCTAAAATTCTGGAAATTTTAAATATTTTAAAATTGGATATGTAATATCATAAACTACTGAAAAAATTCCCTTATGAAGAGACTAAACAGAGATATTAATAGTGCATAATGCAAAAAAGCCTATTATTATATTGTTATTTCATCCAACTTAGAAAAATTTCATTTTTCTAACTAGGTAAGTACCAGTTGAGCATTTCTATTTACCATGCACTGAACTAGCTATGGTGTAAATCACAAAAATGAATGAAGCATAAACTCTGAACACTAGGTATTTTAAATGTCATTGAGATGATATTGGTATGCATATGTCTGTGGTTAGGAAATGTTATGATTTGGGCTTAAGGAGAAGGAAAAATATTATCATATATGGTATTGCTTGTGGCTTTAGCTTAAGGTAAAAGAGAGAATTTAGATGACAAATGGTGTTTCTTGTGACACAGAAAGACATGAAACAGATAGTAAATCAGGATGGAATGGTAACTTTAAAAAAGCAGTGAAGATGGTACAACAAGGTTTATATTTACTAGAACAGTGTAATAAGTCCTAGTACCTGCTGAGTGTTCTGTATGAAACGAGAGCAAGAGAACCACAGTCAGATGAGTGCACAAAAATGTGGATCTGACTCATGAGTAATGGGGTGGAAGGCAGTTTGTGGGACACCAAGGACAACATAAGCTAAGTAAAGACGTTTATTTGTAATTGAATAAACAGACATAGGTCACAGTTTATGTAATCAAAAAATATATATATATATATAACCTGTGTAAAACTGGGCTTCTATAAGTCTTTCACTATCATGTCAAATTTTAAGACCCAAGTCAAACTCCCCAAAAGGAAAAAAAACAAAAAGTAAAAAATAAAACTAAAACCTTTTAAAACCAACCAACAAAGGAATTTAATTAAATATATAAGCCCTGCAGTAGTGCTTAAAACTGTCCTCACGCCTGTAATCCCAGCACTTTGGGAGGCCGAGGCGGGCGGATCACGAGGTCAGGAGATCGAGACCATCCTGGCTAACACGGTGAAACCCGCTCTCTACTAAAAATACAAAAAATTAACTGGGCGTGGTGGCGGGCGCCTGTAGTCCCAGCTACTCTGGAGACTGAGACAGGAGAATCACTTGAATCCGGGAAGCGGAGGTTGCAGTGAGCAGAGATCACGCCACTGCACTCCAGCCTGGGCAACAGAGAGAGACTCCGTCTCAAAACAAAACAAAACAAAAAACAAACAAAAAAACTGTCCTTCTCTCTCAATATTTTAGAGATGAATGCCCTTCTCACTGTCTCTTGACTCCCCAAAACTTTTCTTTCTCTCTTGCTTGTTCCTTGCCTTCACATACTATAGTTTCTCTCGTGGGTTGCCTGGGGCAATGGAAATTGAAGAAACCTTTGCAGAAACTCTGGTACTATGCTTAGTTTATTACCTCTTTCAGCAAAACAAAAGATCTGAGAAGACTCCAACATCAAAGATAGCTTAGCAATTGAGAAAGAAAAACATCTCAACACTATTGATCCTCTCACTTAAGTAAGCAGTGTTTCTGAAACTGGTTTCTTGAAACCCAGATATTGAACGAGGTGTATTTAGATGATGCCTCTTTTATTTTGATGAAAATATTAATATGTGTACATTCTGAAGTATTTAATTACCTGATAACCAAATATTGCCATGCAGTTTGAGCCAATATTTTTATTAATTGTGCATGATTGATTTTCATTTCAGAAGGAGAAAAAAAGAAAAGTGATCTTAAGTAAATGTAAATGATGCTTTCTCACTACATGTAAATGAGTTAAGAAGACTAATTATTCAAGAGAAATACTCTTATAACCAGTTTACACCACTAGTATGAGCACATTTAGAAGTTAATAATGATGGCTGGACTGTTGATTTCAGTTTTGAATATTAAAAATGTTTAGCCTCACTCGCATATTATCTTGTTAAATGGGAAACACAAAAAGAAGAATGAAAATGGTGTTTATGTATTTGCGTACATATGATTCAAAAAAATTCTACATGTATTAACGTTGCTCAAACTTTTGTTCCACCTCGTACAAAAAGGCTTCCAATAATTGGAACTCATCACCTAATCTATCTTGTCTTTTTTTTCTACTTAAATAATCTTTCTTCTTTTTTCCCTGTTTCTTCTTTCCTCTTATCAAGTGTTTCCTACTTGCTTAAAATACCTTTCTCGCTCCACTCCACCAAAATGAAACAAATCAAAATGAAAATTGCAATTATTTCTAAGTCCAATACGAACACACACTTTATGAGAATTTCTCTTCTTCCATCATTATCAGTCAACATCCATAAAAGATTTGAATGACATCTGATTTAGATCACAATCACAAATATGTACAAAAATAGCTTAGCTTATCAAGTACCTGTCCTAAAGTTTGCTCACTTTAATTGACCTCACTCAGATGGGAAACTACTGACTCAGAACTGCATGCATAGTTAAGTTTATTGATTTCGCAAGATTGGTTGTCTGGCTTGTTGCATCTGACAGCAGATTAGAAGCTTTCCTGATAGCTTAACACATTGAGCTATAATAAAGAAGTAGGAGATAAGAGAGGTGCACCATCAATTAGAGATCAGTCTGTGTACTGCAAATACTATTAAATACCTTACCAGCTCCTAAAGGTATCATTCTATGGACCCTGATACCAAAATTAATGTTAATAATAATAATGAAGAGATCTAAATACAAGATATTTATAAGCTGGTACTGTCAGTATCTTATTTAGGTGTTTGCAGGTTTTTATTTAGAAGTACATAAAATGCATAATAAAAATCAAATTATAAAATAATATATAGTACTTGGATAGATCTTAATAAAACCCAGTGAGGAATTTCTTCTTTATCATTTCTTACATTTTTTTTTCTTGAACACTCTATTCTCTTGTCTAGCTAGTACAAATTGACAGAAAATTCTTCTTCATACTGAACTGAACTTTGCCTTTCTCTGACATGAAGCAATTGATCCTCTTTTTTTTTTAATAAAACAATTCTGAAATTAGGTGACTTCTCTTCTAAATAAAAACTTTTTTAACCTTTAAAATGTTTATCTTCTTTAAGAAATATATTTCTTTAATAAAATTTATTAGTTTCTAATAATTATCTGCTATGACTTTCATTGTTCCTGTTACATAATTTCCAGGTTTAATGTAGTTTTCAAATGATTTGGAGTTAAGTTTATTCTTTCCGATCCTGACTTAATGAAATTTAATTTGAACCAAAGTAAAACTCTACATTTATTCTTAATCAAAACTTGTGAACTTGTAAAACTATTATATAAAAGCTTGATTTTATCATTTAATTTTTAAACCCACCTTACCACCTAGTATCTTTATGCATATATTTAATTTTGTCTATCTTTTTATCTGTTGATGAAAATATGGGTTGTTTACACTTTTTGTTTATGTGCTGTAAATAATGCTGCTATAAACATTTATATATTTTCTGTGTGTGGATAGATGTATTCATTTCTGCTAGGTAGATACATAGAAAATGGAATTTTTGGATTTCCTAAGTGTATTTAACTTTAAAACAAGTTGTCAGGTAGTGTGATGGCTCCAGATTTGCAGCATGGTACTGGTACAAAAACAGATACATAGAACAATGGAACAGAACAGAGGCCTCAGAAATAATACCACACATCTACAACCATCTGATCTTTGACAAACCTGACACACACAATCAATGGGGAAAAGATTCCCTATTTAATAAATGGTGTTGGGAAAACTGGCTAGCCATATGGAGAAACTGAATCTGGATCCCTTCCTTACACCTTACAAAAAAATCAACTCAAGAGGGATCAAAGACTTAAATGTAAGACCTAGGATCATAAAAATCCTAGAAGAAAACCTGGGCAATACCATTCAGGACATAGGCATGGGCAAAAACTTCATGTGTAAAACACCAAAAGCAATGCCAACAAAAGCCAAAATTGACAAATGGGATCTAATTAAACTAAAGAGCTTCTGCACACCGAAGGAAACTATCATCAGAGTAGTAAGACCCCGAGGTTTTTCTCCAATACTGTATTGATTGATTAAGCAAAATTTGAAAATAATTGTTTCTCAACTGTATGAATTGTCTTCCTAACTAGATCGAAAGTTCTTAAACATTGAGAATGAGTTCTCTATTTCACACGCCTAATGACTCCACAAGCATAGAACACACAAGGTGAATTAAATTCCATTTTATCATTTGCATATTATGTATTTATTTTCAGGAAAATATTGTTTGATATGTCTCAGACACTTGAGGCATAACATATACCTTTAAATAAAATGGAATATTTCAAATATGAGAAGAATATACAAAATAATAATTTATCCACTAAGAGTTATAGCTTTGTGGGATTAAGAGTATACTTACCGAATTAATCCATGAAGTTTCTATTTAGCTTTATTTCGAGTATGAAAAAGCATAGAAATTATGAACAAAATTATTAATTGTTTCCTGTTAAGTTGGTGTAGATCTGAAAGATGTTTTGAAGTAAGGTTGTAAATACGTGGGAGAATGAATATGTTGCTATTTACTGGTAAGTAAAATTCTGTATTCCATTTTAATAAATGTTTCTTGCTGTGTGAAAGATTGTTGTACTCTCAACTTGATTCTACATAAGAATGTGTAAATTAGTTTTGCTCCTGTTAATGCCTTCCTTCTTATACAAATCTCCATACTTAGCTCTTGTGGAATGCTATTAATGCAATTCTTAAAGACTATTAACTAATGTCTTAATACCTAACACTTAATGAAACTTTACTTTGAGAGACTGTTGTAAATGTCTCAGACTTCAGACATGAGAAAATAGACTTCAAATTATCTTTTAAAATACTCCACAGAAAAGTTTTTCCTGAAATCAGAGGACATGAAAGGTTTCCTGGGAAACCATAAAGGATCCATACTGATTTGCCCAGGTTGTCTGTTATCCAATGACCTCTCTCTAATTGGGGGAGGAGCGAAGAACAAAGAAGGAAGGCAGAGAACAGCTGGACCAGATAAGAGAGAACTGGAAAGAACAAAGCCATTGAAAACAGAATTGGAAACCCTTGAGCCAGACCATCTCTATTTTCAGGCTAATCTTCATACTCTGCAGAAGTCCTTTTGGTGCCTAACCTAGAGACAACCAAAATGGCATGTTCATGCTCAAATTCTTTTTTTTCATGCACTGTTAGAGAATAGCAGTTATAAAAGCTTTTATTCTCGAATGCATCCACTACCTCCCTTCAGTTTTTTTCATGTTGTGATTTTACAGAGTATCATTACTCTGACAAATGGTCACCCATCCACAAAATCATAAATTACCTACCATCTGCCAGAGTTCTAAGATCCTAGATACCTATATCTTCATTCAATATTTGACTTTTCAAAAACAAGCCATCTGAGAATGAACGTGCATTTGATTAAAGAAAAATTATAAAAATATAAGTATCTTGTATATAATAGTGACTACATGATATGTTTAATCCATAAAACATATTGAAAATATTTTCTTCCATTTTGACCAAATACAAATAGTTATCACTAGATTTAACTATGAGCTTTAATTTGTGTATTAATTCATTTTGGAATTCTGCGCTTCATAGTTTGGATTTTCCCTAACATTTCATAAGCTATTTATTATAACAATCGCCCTTTACCTACAAAACTTAAGCCATGTTATGCAAAAAAATGCCATTTGAGATATACTACTGTTAATTTTTCCACTTGAAACGATAATTCCTTTATCACTAGTACTTCCTTTGCACCTCAAAAAATATATGCTGAACACCTGCAATGTGATAGGCATTGTGTTTGACTATACAGGGGGTAGAAAAGCAAGATCCAGTTTCTGTTGTAATGGATATTAAAACCCAGTAGAGAGAATTTAATAAACACCAAAATAACAGACACAATTTAGATGATAAATATAAAACATATACGTATTTTGTGAGATTTCATGCTGAAAGAGAAAACATGTATTGAAAGAAGATCTTTGAGTCATGTCCTAACGTTCAGTTATAATTCAATTGGTTAAAGATTGGAAAAAAATAGAGTCCAGTTGTAATTGTTTTGCTGGAGCCTAAATTACATGTAATGTACAATTATAAGGAAAAACTTACAAGGTAGAATGGGATCACATGATAGCATTCCTTAAATTTTAGGTAGAGAAGTTTTCAGTTAATTTTGTAGGAAATCCACAAATATAATGAATAACATTTTCTCGGGAAAATCTCCGTTATTCAGGGACCTGTTTTCCCATGCACGAAATCACCTGAGGATTCCATTTCAGGTTTTGGACTACAAGAGTATTATTGATTATGGTTGGGGATTATTTTTCGGGAAAGCACAAGTTACTCTAAAATACAGATGAAAAGTTTTGTACACTTGTTAGAAGATATAGAAAAGAAAATATACAGAAATTTTAGTAAATAATATAAAATGGCAGGAGAAAGGGAAATTGATCAAAATATTCCAAAGCTTATCCTGCAAATTAGAGATTTAAGAAAGAGCCCACAAGTTAATACTGTGAGGAAATAATAGAAAACAATATGAATGTTATCTTAAGGGGACTGAGTGCAAAGAAGAAAAATGAGGAGGGAGGCCCTGACGATGAGGATAATAGATGCTCCTCCCCTTCACCCTACTGACCTCTATGTGTCAGGAGCTCAGCTGAGCTGTGTTTGTGTGTGTGTGGGGGGGGGGTGGGGGTGGGGGTGGGGGAGAGAGACATAGAGAGAGAGAGAGAGCATGCTGAACTGTCAGGTGACAGAGTAGCCAATTAAAGCAACAAGCCAAAAGGTAAAAGAGTTAAGCCTTTACTCACTCATTGCTATGGTGTAAGCAAAAGGCTAAAACTGAGGATAATGCAGACTCCCTCTACTCAATTTTGCCCCGTGGAAAGGCACACCAGGGGAAAGTCAGGAAGATCAGCACAGACATGGTGTCTTTCTAAGTGTTGAGGGAGACCAAAAACAAAGGCTCTGACAGTTTCATAGACCCTGTAGTTGAGGGTGGGGGATTAAGGGGTGGAAAATTACTGAGTAATGAGTGAAAACGGGGAAAGTGCCTTTAAGGTTTTCCCCTCCTTCCCGTTGATATGGAGGCCTCAGCCAATGGGCCTGAAGCCGACCTAGGTGTTAGGTTTCAGATAAAAAGACCTAGGAATGTGAATATGTGTAAAGAGCATGGTAGGAAAGGGCTCAAGTCCTTGACTGTAACTCCCTTCAGAGACTGCAATGCCCTGGGTGTACCCCAAGGCTGGTGTTGGGAGGCCAGCTTCCTCTTATGAAGCCTGCCAGGTAAAGCCTTTGTCATTGCCTATGGTCAAGGCTAAAAAAATCACAGGTAGGTTTTTAACCAGAAGATAGACTACTCACTGTGTCATATTATGAGGTTGAGAAAATACTTTGATCCCATTACCCGAAGTTAACTTTAACTCAAAGAACTGCTGTCTGCCTTTCTAGTGGACAAGACCCAATTGCATTAAGTTTCTGTCTTAAATAAACACACACACACACCCCAGACACCATCTCATACTCTTTCTTCCTGACCTTTTTCTTCCTCCCGAGTCTCAAACTATAGAGATTTAAGTAGAAATGAAGATATTAATAAAACAACTTATGAAGGAGATACAAGCCTATGTTTTCAAGATTCTTTTCAATACTAGTTGTCTTCTTAATAAATGCTCTGTTGAAACAAGGAAATATTTTAAAAATACTAATTATAGATCAGATTTCTCTTTTCAAATCACTGGTGCTGGCCGGGCGCGGTTGCTCACGCCTGTAATCCCAGCACTTTGGGAGGACCAGGAGGGCGGATCATGAGGTCAGGAGATCGAGACTATCCTGGCTAATTCGGTGAAACCCCGTCTCTACTAAAAAAATATGAAAAAAGTTAGCCGGGCGTGGTGGCGGGCGCCTGCAGTCCCACCTACTCGGGAGGCTGAGGCAGGAGAATGGCGTGAACCTGGGAGGCGGAGCTTGCAGTGAGCTGAGATCGCGCCACTGCACTCCAGCCTGGGCGACAGAGAGAGACTGTCTCAAAAACAACAACAACAACAAAAACAAAAATCACGAGTGCTATCACCAATATTTTGTGTTAGACCATAAAAGGAAATGGTTTATCCTCCTAAATGAAAATTTGGTGATATGTTTTTGGATGGGTGAGAGAGAAAGGAATAAGGAGCACGTTATCAAGTAAGAGGCTTCATCAGTGGTACAGGGGTGTGTAAAGAGAATTGAAATAGGGTGGCTTTAGTTGAAAGGGAACAGGTAGGACACATGAAACAACATACATAAAAGACATCCATTTACTACTAACTAGATTCACCAAACATTAAATTTTTATTTACTTCTGATGATTCTTAAAGGAAAAGTTATTGATAACATTTGAATCCATCTCCCAACTTCTACTCCCTCTCTGCCTACCCAGACAAAGGAACTGTCCTGCAGTTGATGTTTATCAGTCCCATCCATGTATTTTATACTTGTAGTACAAATACAAGTATGGATAAACAATCATTAGTGCTTTTACTTCTTAAAATGTACATGCATGTAATATCTTCTGTATAATTTAAAAATACGGGTTTTACTAAAAAAAGTAAGCATGCTGTTATTAGTTTACCATGAAACATGTAGAATTTGCATTTTTCAGTTCAATTGCTGTATGAACTTGTTAGACTTGATACATAATAATTGTTTATGCAAACAGACATAGATACTTATTTCCTTTTATTTGTTGGCTGCTATAAAATTCTGCTCATATCCACAAGTATTTATATGTGTGTGTGTATATACATGTATCTTTAACTTTCGATATATCTTTAACTTACAGAAATGTTATCACATTATTCTTTTAAATATATGATACATATTTATGTTTCGATTGTCAATATGCGAGAGTGTACAACTCCCTTCCACAAATTTACGAAAGCTTGAAATTGCATAATTTCAAAATTTTGACAGTATAATGCTTATGAATGGGATATTATTTTAATTTCACACATTATTACTGAGAATGAGCATCATCTCAATCAAGGCCTTTGTGAAACATCTTATATTTGGCAGCTGCAAAGGAGGCCCTGAATTTCTGATTCCTAGAGACTCATGATTTAGCCACTGACCTGTAAACCTGATTGCCAGAACACTGCAGTTGCCTTTCCGCTGCTTTGGCCTACAAAGGTAACTGTGGCCCAACTGATAATTTCTGAAACTAAGTAATTCTACCTGCCCATTGCTGTTGCAGAGGTTGATGGAAATCAGTTCCAAGGCATCATCTCTCCACTTCATCTTAAATAAATCAGCCACCTCAAAGATTTCCAAGGATTTTTCTGTTCCTTCGCTGAGGGATTAATATTCCTTTCTAAGAAAGTTCTGGCATCTCAAGCTCATTAACTGTTGGGCTACTTTTGAATTTAAGCTTCAATAACCTAACCAAACATGCTTACACAGTAAATCCCAAGTCCCAACTGATTATGTGACCCAATCTCATATTTAATCTTTCTGGATCAAATCCCTATAAAACCCATTTCCACACTAGAATCCTGCAATCTATCTAGATCCCACAATTCTTAGTGTACTCTACATCCTCTCAGAACTGACATTGCAGTTTTCACTCTGGGCCATGATGGAATTAGCTTTCATTAGGACTTCTGAGGCAAAGAGAAGTGATAAAATATGTCTTGAGTAGAATGGGCACTCACATTGTGAGTCAATGCTCCTGATGAAATCCTTGAAATATCTTTATGCTGGGGTGAGCATGTTTCTTCAGAAAAGGAATGAGAGATTGCTTCCATATGCATAGAATTTTAAAGATGATTTGGAAATTAAATTTAATCTGTTTCTAACCAAATGTCTCAACTATAAATCCGAGGATACTAATCTTTCAAAATCAATATCATGTTAACTTTAGTGAGGTGTGCCTTTAATTGGCATTATAATTTCATTACACTCAAAATTATGTTTGGGATTTTATCTTCAGCCATGTCTGTCTACCTGGTCTAAAAGGAAGGAGATTTTTTTTCTTTTAATACTGGCATAGAAGACATTTGATTCTCTACCTTTGTCTTAGATTTGGAGCGTAAGATGTTAAAATTATTTTAAATTTCTTTCTAACAGAAAGAGCTAGTGCTCTAACAGTCAAAAAGAGCTAGTGCATCCTACCTGCTTTGTAGTAGTTTCAATGTTACAGCACATATATGCAACTTGGTCAACCAAAGTCTTGCCCTCTAAGTGTGATCCCATCCTCCCCACCAGTGGTGATAATTTGAATAACTGGGATGCTACATGTCAAAGATGCTGGTGAGCCCTTTTTTTCTTCAGCAAGGAAGTCACTGAGGGTGCATAAAATACATGAGTAATTCAGGGCCAAAGTTTTATCTTGAAGAACTCTTTCTTGGGGCCACCCTTGATACTAACCTTTGTACTATTCAATGGTCAAACAAGAAACAAATTTAAGTAAGATGAATAAAGAATATTTAATGAAGATATGATCTAGAGAATTGTGAACTAGGTTAAGGGAAGCAACAAATAATGTTGAAGTTCCCAGAGACTATTGGGAAGCTGTTCCCATTCTAGTCTTGGAGGGGCAATGGATGGAAATAGTGTTGCTTAAGTGGTAACGTTAGTAATATTAGCTGGAGCTGTGGAGAAGGAGCAGCCTGACTGGAACTATTTTTGTGGGAGGGGTAGCTTCTTCCAGAAGTTATAGCCCATGGAATTGAGAATGGGGAAAAAAGAATAGCCCCCACCCTTTCTCCTGTCTCCATGTCCTGCTGGTGTCTCTTAACTAAATTCAGCTGGAAGTTAATCAGCAAAAGCCCAGATAATGCAATACATGAGGTTGGCTTTCTGTATTACAGAACAGGATAGAGAAAAGAAGAAAAAAAACAGAAAAAGATCAATTTGGGGAAGGGGTACAAATGGGGATGCCTGGCACAAATGATCTTTCTCTGCATTTCAACAATTCCTTAAAGTAATAACATATTTGCTTTTGCTTCATATTCAGACTCTTTACTTATTGTTATGGTTTCTGTCTGGGAAGTGTGTGTCTGTGTGTGTGTGTGTGAGTGAGGAAAATAGTGTGTGTGTGTGGTTGTTGAGTGAGGAAAATAGTGTGTGTGTGTGTGTGTGTGTGTGTGTGTGTGTGTGGTTGTTGAGAGAGGAAAATATGCCTCTTTCAATATGTCATAGGTGTGACCCCAGGTCTTAATCATGATCCTTGGATATAATTTTCTTAGAATGCTTTGATTCTCCACACGAATTTGGAATTTTTTTTCTAGTCATTTCTAGCTATATGACTGTCACCTTAGAATTTCTTGTTATTGTACTTCTAAGTTTGTCCATTTTCACACTTTCTTGATTTTTTTTCATTTCCTTGAAATATATTTTCACATTTTAAAATCAAGAATTCAGAGGAAGTAACATTCTTCAGGAGCTCTGTGTGTAAGAAAACCTTAGTTGTGTTCTTGAATTTGAATGATAATTTGACTAGATATAGAATTCTAGATTGAAAATTTTTTTTCTCATATTTGGAGGCATCACTCCAGTTTCTCATAGCACTCTGTGTTATGAATAAAAGGTCAAAAGTAAATCTGATCCTCAAAATTTTATAGGTAAACTTTTAAATTTTCTTTTCATAATAATTTGTGATTCTGTCTTTATCATTGGTGTTCTAAACTGTTATCTGTCTATATCTACATCTGGTTCTTTCTTCATATATGCTACTTTGCCCTTTGTCAACAGCTTAAAGACCTCTTATTGAGCCAACAAATTCCTTGTATTTTTTTTTTGATTAATTAGATGAAAATAATCGAACAGGTTTTTGGGTGGGCCACCAATAATGTTTGTTGCACTTTGTAGATATAACTCCTGGATTTTCACCTCCGTGATCTTAACTTCATGTTTTCTGTTGTTTTCTTTTTGCATTGTGTTCTTACTTTTCTTAATTTTATCTTTCAAGCTTCCTATTAAATCAATTATTCCTGCATTCATGGTGTTTCCCCTGATTTCTAGCAATTCTTTTACAGATAAAATACCTTTGGGCATCTGTCGGAGGAAACTAATTAGAAAATGTTAAGGTTATCTCATGTGCCATGAAACTGTGTTTGTCTGAGGATCACTTGTATTGTTTATTTAGATTTAGTTTTGTATTACATTATTATGAAAAATTATCAAAAGAAGAATGAGTAATAAATTTTACTCTGTTATTCCATTCCCTGGCTTGAATATTTTGCTGTTTTTTTAATTCTGTTTCTCAATCCCTCATTTGTTGTTGTTTTTGGGGTTTTCTGGGCTATTTAAAGAAAGCTCTAAAAAGGCCACATTTATCATTTCACAGAAAATTACTTTTGTAAGTATCTTTAACAGGTAGACTTAAATAAACAAAAATGTAATCACACTCAACAATATTAACAACAATGTCTTAATAGTTTTGTGAACCAAATAACCAGGTCATGCTCAGTTTGCATTTGCCTCAAAAATGTATATCTATTTTTCTTCACTTGATTTAGGGATGAAACAAGGTACACACTTGCATTCAGGATATATGTCTCATAAGACTCTTTAACTCTATAATAGTTGCTCTCTTCTATTTTAATTTTTGCCATTTATTTTTTGAAAATCTGTGTCATTTTCATTTGTTGAAATATTTCATATTTTGAAATTTGATAATCACATTCTGCAGTTAGTGTTCATTATGTTTCCTTATTCATCAAATATGCTCTAAATTGATAGTTAGCTACAAAGACTAAAATAGACATAGAGGCTATTTTTTGCCTTTGTGTTGATAAAATTATCCTGCATAGTGTTATGTACTTCTTCTTATCTTAAGTCAGAAGGCTAAATGATTACGTTATTTTTTTGTGATGCTAAAATTAATCAGTGATTTCAAGTGTCAGCCTGATTGATCTACTAATACCATGTGCCTTCCCACTGTCACCTGATTCATCTATTATAAGGTCCACTTCAAACTTTCAACTAATGGTTTTAACAGCCAGCCATGGCCGAACATGGCTAATTATTTCCTGAGGTATGGCAAAATGGTACTCTAATTCTCTTATTTCTTCTGCATTTAATAGCTATAAGAAATTATTGATGAAGAAATTTTTCAGACATCCTCCCTGGATGTGAAAGAAGAAATTTCCCAGACCAACTACTTGGATATATTAAATACAGTCTATAAAGGAAGAGCATGATAAATGCTTCTTTCTCTTAATTCATCAATTTTTAAAATAATGAGTTGGTGCCTTAACAATCAACAAATGGGAATATCATTATAAACTCATTGATGTTTTACATATTTGATGTATTTCAATCCATTACATTTATTAATCTTTCTGATGTTCAAATTATTTTATCTTTAGGTCCCTCATATTAGTTCCTATGTCCCTTACACATAACACCAGAATATTAGCTTCTTTGCTTTTAGTTGCAACAACATGTCTGAAGCTTACTATGCATATTTCCTTCCACAGATCTGGAATCAACCCTTTATCTAAAAAGCTTTAGTTTATTGCACGGTAAACAATATTCAGCAACCACAATTTGTTCACTAAGGGTGTTCATTCCTATTAAGTTTTTCATGATTTTATATATAATCAATGAAAATAACTAGGAAATATGTTGGTTTTGTTTTGTTCTTTTTTTAAACTCTAATTTTAGTTTCAGGGGTACATGTGCAGATCTGTTATATAGGAAAGTTGTATGTCATAGGGGTTTGGTGTAGATCATTTGGTGTACAGGTAATAAGCATGGTATCAGGTAATTTTTTGATCCTCACCCTTCTCCCAACGTCCACCCTTAGCGTGGCCCTGGTGTTTATTTTCTCCTGTGTCCATGAGTACTCATTGTTTAACTTCTACTTATAAGTGAAAACATATGGTATTTGGTTTTCTGTTCTTGTGTTATTTGGCTCGGGATAATGGCCTCCAGCTCTGTCCACGTTGCTGAAAAGGACAGGATTTTGTTCTTTTTTATGGCTGTGTAGTATTCCATGGTATATATGTACAATATTTTATTTATCCAGTCTGTAATTAATGAGCATCTAGATGCCTGTGTCTTTGCTATTGTAAATAGTGCTGTGATAAGCATACAAGTGCATGTGTCTTTACAGTAGAATGATTTATATATATTCTTTTGGGTACATAATAGTAAAATTGCTGGGTGAAATGGCAGTTCTGTTTTAAGTTCTTTGAAAAATTACCAAACTGCTTTCCACAGGGGGTGAAATAATTTACATTCCCACCATCAGTGTATAAGCATTTCCTTTTCTCCTCAACCTTGCCAGCATCTGTGAACTTTTGATTTTGTAATGATAGCCATTCTGACTGGTGTGAGATGGTATCTTATTGTGTTTTTGATTTGCATTTCTCTAATTAGTGATGTTAAGAGTTTTATCATATGCTTGCTGACCACATGTATGTCTTCTTTTGAAAAGTGTGTATTCATGTCCTGAGTCCGCTTTTTAATAGAGTTGTTTGGTTTTTGCTTGTTAATTTAATTTTCTCATAGGTTCTGGATATTAGATCTTTGTTGGATGTATAGTTTAAAATTTTTTCTCCCATTCTGTGGGTTGTCTGTTTACTCTGTTGATAATTTCTTTTAATGTGCAGAAGCTCTTTAGTTTAATTAGATATCATTTGTCAATTTTTGTGTTGCTCATGCTTTTGCAGTCTTTGTCAGGAAATCTTTGCCAGGGCATATGTTCAGAGTGGTATTTCGTAGGTTTTCTTTAAGGGTTTTTAATACTTCTTGGTTTTACACTTATGTTTTTAATCCATATTGAGCTTATTTTTGTATGTGGTGTATGGAAGGGGTCCAGTTTCCATCTTCTGCATACAGCTAGCCAGCTATCCCAGCATCATTTATTGAATAGGGGGTCCTTTCCCTATTGCTTATTTTTATTGACTTTGTCGAAGATCAGATGGCTTTACATGTGCGGCTTTATTTCTGGGTTCTGTATTCTGTTCCATGGATCTATGTGTCTGTTTTTGTAACAGTACCAGGCTGTTTGGGTTACTGTAGCCTTATAGTATAGTTTGAAATCAGGTAATGTGATGCCTCTGGCTTTGTTCTCTTTGCTTATGATTGCTTTGTCTATTTGGGTTCATTTTTGGTTCCATATGAATTTTAGTTTTTTTTTTTTTCTGATTCTGTAAAGAATGTCATTGGTAGTTTGATAAAAATAGCATTGAATCTGTAAGATCACTTTGGGCAGTGTGGCCATTTTAACAATGTCAGTTCTTTCTATCTAAGAGCACAGAATGTTTTTCCATTTGTTTGTGTCATTACTGACTTCTAGATCTTTTACTTCCTTGGTTAGCTGTATTCCTAGGAATTTTATTCTTTTCTGTGACTATTTCAGTGGGATTGCATTCTTGATTTGGCATTCAGCTTGGGTGTTGTTGGTATATAGAAATGCTACTAATTTTTGTACATTGAGTTTGTATTCTGAAACTTTGCTGAAGTTGTTAATTTTGGGCAGAGATGCTGGGGTTTTCTATGTTTAAAATTATATCAACTACAAACGGAGATAATTTCACTTCCTCTCTTCCTATTTGGATGCCTTTTATTTCTTTTTCTTGTTTGATTGCTCTGGCCAGGACTTCCAGTATTATATTGATTAGGAGAGGTAAGAGTGGGTACCCCTGTCTTGTTCCATTTCTCAAGAGGAATGTTTTCAGCTTTTGCCCATTTTATATGATGTTAGCTGTGGGAATGTCACAGATGGCTCTTATTATTTTGAGGTATGTTCCTTCAACACCTAGTTTTTTGAGAGTTTTAAACCTGAAGAAATGTTGAATTTTACTGAAATACTTTTTTTTGCATCTATTGAGATGATCATGTGATTTTGGCTTTTAGTTCTGTTTATGTGGTGAATCACATTTACTGATTTATGTATGTGGAAACAACCTTGCATTCCAGGGATAAGGCCTACTCTATAAGTGTGGATTAGCTTTTTAATGTGCTGTTGGATTAACTTTGCTAGTGTTTTGTTGAGGATTTTTGCATCTGTGCTCATCAAAAATATTGGCATGAAGTTTTCTTTTTTTGCTGGGTCTCTGCCAGGTTTTGGTATCAGAATAATGCTCACCTCATAGAAGGAGTTAGGGAGGAATCCTTCCTCAACTTTTTGGAATAGTTTTGATAGGAATGGTACCAGCTCTTCTTTTATGTCTGGTAGAATTTGCCTGTGACTATGTATGGTCCTGGTCTTTTTCTAGTTGGTAGGCTTTTTATTTTTATTTTTTTTGAGACAGAGTCTTTCTCTGTTGCCCAGGCTGCAGTGCAGTGGTGTGATCTTGGCTCACTGCAACCTCCACCTCCCAGGTTCAAGCAATTCCCCTGCCTCAGCCTCCTGAGTAGCTGGGATTACAGGCACCTGCCACCATGCCTGGCTGATTGTTGTATTTTTAGTAGAGACGAGGTTTCACCATGTTGGCCAGGCTGGTCTTGAGCTCCTGACCTCAAGTGATCCTCTAGCTTTGGCTTCTCAAAGTTCTGGGATTACAAGTGTGAGCCACCACACCAGGAAGTTAGTAGGGTTTTTATTACTGATTAAACTTTGAAACTCATTATTGGTCTGTTCAGCATTTCAATTTTTTTTCTGGTTCAATAATGGGAGGTCATATGTTTCCAGGAATTTATTTGTTTCCTGTAGGTTTTCCAGTTTGTGTGCATAGATGTGGTCCTAATAGTCTCTGAGGGTTTTTTGTATTTCTTAGGGGTTGGTGGTAATGTCCCTTTTGTCATTTCTTATTGTGTTTATTTGGATCTTGTCTCTTTTTTTTTTATTAGTCTAGCTAGCGTTCATCCATTTTTTTTTATTCTTTCAACAAACAACTTATTATTTTCTTGTTCTTGTGTGTGGTTTTTCACATCTCATTTTCCTTCAGTTCTTCTCTGATTTAGGTAATTTCTTGTCTTGTGTTATCTTCAGAACTGAGTTACTCTTGTTTTTCTGGTTCCTCTATATGAGATGTTAAGTTGTTAATTTGAGATCTTTCTAACTTTTGATGTGGTCATTCAGCACTATAAAATTTTCTCTTAACACTGCTTTAACAGAGATTCTGGTATATTACATCCTTGTTCTCATTAGATAATTTATTAATTTTGGCCTTAATTTCATTGTTTACTCAGAAGTTATTCAAGAGCAGGTTGTTTAATTTCCATGTAATTAAGAAATGACTGCCTTAGTACTGATTTCTAGTTTCATTGTGATGTAGTTCAAGAGTGTGGTTGGTATGTTTTTAGTTTCTGTGAATTTGCTGAGAATTGTTCTATGGCCAATTGTGTGGTCAATTTTAGAGTATATGCCATGTGCCAGTGATAAGAATGTACATTCTGTTGGTTTTGTGTGGAGAGTTCTGTAGATGTCTCTTAGGTTCATTGGTCAAGTGTTGAGTTTTTTTGTAGGTCTCTCAGAACTTCTTTTATGAATATGGATGCTCCTGTGCTGGGTGCATGTATGTTTAGGATAGTAATGTTTTCTTGTTGAATTAAACCCTTTACCATTATGTAATGTCCTTCTTTGTCTTTTTTGATTGCTGTTGGTTTAAATTTTGTTTTGTCTAAAATTAGAATAGCAACCCCCACATTATTTTTGTTTTCTGTTTGCCTGGTATATTTTTCTCTATCCCTATACTTTGAGCCCATAGGTGTCATTCATGTGAGATAGAGCTCTTGTAGATAGCATGCAATTGTGTTTTGTTTCTTTATCCAACTTGCCACTCTGTGCCTTCTAATTGTGGCATTTAGCCCATTTATATTCAATTTTAATATTGATATGTGTGGATTTAATTCTTTGAAGGTGTTGTCAGCTGGCTATTATGCAGACTTGATTGTGTGGTTGCTTTATAGTGTAAATGGTCCATGAACTTAAGGTGTTTTGGTGGTAGCCGGTAATAGTCTTTTGTTTCCGTATTTAGCACTCTCATAAGGTCCTTTTGTAAAGCAGGTCTGGTGATAATGAATTCCTGTAGCATTTGCTTGTTTGAAAAATATATTATTTCTCTTTCACTTATAAATCTTAGTCTGACTGGATATTAAATTCTTGCTTACAGTTTTGTTTCATTTTAATTTTAAGAATATTGAATACAAACCCTCAATCCTTTCCAGCTTCTGGGGTTTCTGCTAAAAGGTCTTAATGGGGTTCCCTTTGTAGGTGACCTACTATTGCGGGATCTGGCCAGCAGCCCACAATGCAATGGGGCTTTTTCTTTGCTCCCAGGTGGATCGGCAGGTCGAGAAAAAATAGACACACACAAGATAGTGAAAGCTGGGTCCAGGGGGTTCACCACCTTCTGGTCCTGCAGTGCCACAAATGCGCTGGATATACCAGAATTTATTGTTAAGTTTAGTGAGGGCGGGGGTAGGTTAGTGAGGGATTTAGGGTCATTTGATTATGAGGTGAGATGGTCACATGGGGATGAAGTAATTCTTTAACAGAACATCTATATGCAGAAGTACAGTATACAGAGATAAGAATTTACAATATAGTGTGTGCATCAGTAATTTCTAACAGAGCCTTAAAACAGAAACATAGTCTTTCATAACCTATGATTAGCAAGATATTAATCAGCAGTAACAGTTGCAGCAAAAGCTGGTTGCAAACAATCCATAGAAACAGGACGTGAAGCTAGGCAACCAGTTAGACCAGAAATTCTCAGAAGGGAGTATGCCTTAACCCTAAAGAGGCCTAGAAGAGCCGTGGCAAGATGAGGGCATTTATAGCCTTATCTTATCCATATGGACAGGCGCCCACCATGCGTCCATTTATAGGCTCTCCACAAGGGTCGCATTCCATTCCCAGAGCTATGAGCATCTGCTTTTCTGGGATAGGAATCTTGGTGATGTGAAACCTCCCTGACTGCATGTCCGTTCATAGGCTCTCTGCAGGGGGAAGCACATCATGTGCTGTTGGCTCATTCTGGCAGTCCAACCTGGCATTGTCTTTACACAATCCTGCATGCAAATTTGTATTTACAGTAATCAGGAGCATTTCATCTTTTGTTCCATAGCAATAGTTTCAGGGGTCTCTTTAAAACCTACCTCTTCTATCTATCTACCTTTAATATTTTTTTCTTTCTTAGCAATGTCCTTCTTGTTTATTATCTTGCAGGGGTTTGCTGCATTTCCTGAATTTGAATGCTGGTCTCTCTAGCAAGGTTGGGGACATTTCCATGGATGAGATCCTCAAATATGTTTTCCAAGTTGCTTGGTTTTTCTCTTTCTCTTTCAGGGATGCCAGTTAGTGGTAGATTTGGTCTCTTTACATAATCCTGTATTTCTTGGAAGAATCCTTCATTCTTTTTAATTATTTTTCTTTATTTTTGTCTGACTGAGTTAATTTGAAGAACTGGTCTTTAAGCTCTGAGATTCTTTCCTCAGCTTGGTCTGTTCTGTTGTTAATGCTTGCTAATTGTATTATGAAATTATTTTAGTTTGTTTTTCAGCTCTATAATCAGTTTGATTCTTCCTTAAAATGACTTTTTCATCTTTCATCTCCTGTAATGTTTTGTTGTATTTCTTGGATTCTTTAAGTGAGTTTTGACTTTCTCCTAATTCTCAATGATCTTCATTCCCATGCTTATTCTGAATTCTAGGTCTGTCATTTCAGCCATTTTAGCCTAGTTAAGAACCGTTGCTGGAGAACTAGTGCAGTTGTTTAGAGTTAAGAAGACACTCTGGCTTTTTGAGTTGTCAGAGTTCTTGCCCTGGTCTTTTCTCATCTGTGTGAGCTGATGTTCGTTCAGTCTTTGAAGGTGCTCTCCTTTGGATGGGTATTTTTGCTTTTATCTTCTTTGATGTCCTTGGGGGTTTGATTGTGGTGTAACGTGGGTTCAGTCAACTGGCTTTGATTCTGGAAGATTTCAGAGGACTCAGCTCAGCATTCCTGGGCTGCATGCTCTAACTCTGGAAGGTTGGTACCAGGTATCTGGCTTTATTCTCTGGCCCCTCGAGGTTAGGAATCTGCTGCGCTTAAGGAGCTGAGGTTTTCCTGGTCCGTTGGCAGCAACACTCTGATGGGGGGGTGCCAGCCAAAGCATTTTGTCAGGGCGATGGCAGCGGGATCTGTGCTTTCTTATGTGTGCCAGCACCCACGGCGACATGGTGACTTGCGCATGTGTAGGCTGGGGTGAGGTGCTGGGGGAAGCCTTTGCCTTAATTTTTAAAGGCACTATATACTGGCAAAATATTTTGGTGTTGTATTTTGGGCTGCAGTCCAGTGGGTGGTGCTTAAGAGTGTTAGCCAGCAGCTTAACTCTTATCCTGCTGCATAGCTCTTTTGTGTTTTGGTGCGGTTGGAAGTAGTGCTCTGTGGTGGAGAGGGAAAGAGATGGCCCTCTTACCTAGTCCACTCCTGGGACTTGGAGGAGCTCGCTCTGACCACTGGTTCCATGCCTGCATTGCTTTTGTCGAGTGTTCTGGTCCATAGGGCTCCCTCATGCAGGGGCCGTAGTTGGCAGACAGGCTGTATGCTTGCCATATTGGCCCTGCAGAGGGAGGCACCGCCTGCTCCTTCACGAGCCTGCAAAGCTGGGCATCTCACCTCTCTCACTGATCCAAGAGTGAGGGTTCCCTCTGCTTGGGCACCACCCAAGCCAGCAAATCTCAGTTGGCTAGGAGCTGCGGCATGGATAGGGTCGCCAAATTTGCTGTTAAGGTGCTTCCCAGGAGAACACAGTGTTTTGCCTTCTCACATAGTTCAGGCAGAAGCAGGACAGCTGGCCTGGAAGCAGGCGTGCCTCACATGGCTAGGAGAGGCACAGACACCCTGCACTCCAGGTGTTTCGCAGGGCAACAGGAACCTGTGTGCCTCAGCAGAATTCAGGCAGAAGCAAGTCCCCTAGGCTGGAAGCTCTAGCACCTGTGGCTCTAGCCACAGGTGGAGTTACCTGTCCTGCTGTCTGGGTTTTTCCTGGGGCAATAAGAGGCTGCAGCCACAGACTGAGTTCAGGCAGAAGTGGAACTGCTGGGTCTAAAGCTGGCACTGAGGGCTATTGGAGGTGGAGCAATCTTACTGCTCCTAGGCACTGTGACTGCAACTTCTATTGGGGCTATGACACTGGTGCCAATCTGTTTCAGAGTCCACGGCTTGTAGAAGTCTTGCTGGAATTGACAGTTGCCTCTGCAAAAACTCCAGGTGGCTTTCTTCCTCAGTTTAGCAGCATGGTGGGCCAGGGGTATTCTCCTGTTCCCAGGCTTGCGCAGGTCCCTGTGGAGAGTGTGAATCCCTGTGAGGCTCTCACTCACTCACCCTTTCCTGTGCTGGGATCTCCTCCTGGCTCTGCATTGACCCCAGATGGGCTGCTGCGCAGCTTTGCTCCTCTCTGCTCTCTGTGTCCCCTTGCTGCCTTGATAGACCTTGATGAGGTTTCTTAGCGGAGCAGCTTGTAGGGTCAGTGTTCACTAGCTCTTTTATTTTTCTCTCCATCAGAGTGGTGCACTTGAGCTGCTTCTGGTCCACCATCTTGATGATATTCAGAATTTTATTTACTCTGAACTGTTTCTTGTAATGACCTGTGCTGAAAGCATGTTGGTGCTTGGAAGGAAAGCTGGGAATAAAAACTGGAAATATATTTTTTAAGACAGAGAAAAATAAAGCAAGTTTATAGTAATGTTTCTAAATCAAATTAAATATATGATTTTAACTTAATTTTGTTCATTTTATATTTGTATTTTTTCTTACATTGAAAATTTTGCTTCCTAATTACCTTAACATAATTTATTATGTCCTTTTTTATACAAATGAAATATCAGTTTAAATTTCTGTAGGATTCTTTTTTCCCTCTTAAGATATCTCTTACTAAAAAAAATACTGTCAAAATTATGTGTTTAAAAACCAGTGGAATTAATTCTTCTCTGTATTAATATGATACCAACTGAATATACATATGGGCAAATTTGGTCTTAAAAGTTGTTCTGGGGGATTGATTGTTTTCCTTTAAAATCATTTTAATTAGGTCAACATTTATTTGGTTCCAAACTCAAAATTATAAAATTGAGAGACCTAGCTTCCATCCCCGTGACTATCCTCATGTTTTTTTCCTTTTCTTGTCGGAAACCATTTGTAAATGTTTTTGTTATCCTTTAAGGATTTCTTCTGAAAAACTAATACACACCTATACAAACACAAACATACGTATATACCCTTATACATCACATTCTCAATTTATTACATAATATTTGCATACTGTATATTCTTCTTAAACTTGCTGGATTTTTTCTTAACAATGAAATGTTCTGGAGACTACTACAGAGAAGGGTAGAGAGCTCTGTCTGACTGCTCTTTAATGTGCCATGTATTTTTGTAAGGAATTTATCCAGCTTATTTAAAATGTCTCCTATTAAGGGGGATAGTGTTGGTTCCATTTTTTTGCTATTACAAATAATATAACAGTCTTATGATTGTGTCACCATATTTTTCTTATATGTTTTTGAGAGGAAAGCCCTAGAAATATGATTTCTGAGTCAAAGAGGTAAACATTTATGTAATTTTCTATGTACAATCATATTTCTCATAACGATGTTTTGGTCAAGATGTACTGCATAAATGATGGTGGTCTCATAAGATTGTAAAGGAGCTGAAAAATTCCTATAGCCTAGTGACATCATGGCTGATGTAATGTCATCACACAATGCATTACTTATGTGTTTGTGGTGATGCTGGTGTAAACAAACTTACTCAACTCTCAGTCATATAAAAGTATAGCACATACAGTTATGTACAACACATAATACTTGATAATAATAATAAATGATTATATTACTGTTTTACATATTTACGATACTAATAATTTTTATTGTTATTTTAGTGTATACCCCTTTGACTTATATTAAAAAATAGTTAACTGCTAACCAACCTTAAGCAGATCCTTCAGGAAATATCATAGAAGAAGGGATTTATTTTTTGTTTTTTCTTTTTTATTTTCTTTTCTTTCTTTCTTTTTTTTTGTTTTTTTTTTTTTTTTTTTTTTTTAGACAGAGTCTTGCTCTGTCGCCCAGGCTGGGGTGTAGGGGCATGATCTCATCTCACTGCAACCTGTGCCTCCTGGGTTCAAGCAATTCTCCTGCCTCAGCCTCCTGAGTAGCAGGGATTACAAGCATGCACCACTACACCTAGCTAATTTTTGTATTTTCAGTACAGACAGGGTTTCACCATGTTGGCCAGGCTGGTCTAGAACTCCTGACCTCATGATCTGCCTGTCTCGGCCTCCCAAAGTGCTGGGATTACAGGTGTAAGCCACCATGCCTGGCCAGGAGGCATTGTTTTCATAGGAGACAACAGTTCTATGTATGTTATTGCCCCGAAGACCTTCCAGTGGGACAAGATGTGGGGGTAGAAGATAGTGATATTGATGATCCCAATTTTTTGTAGGCCTTGGCTAATTTGTGTGTTTTAGTTTTAGTTTTTGACAAAAAGGATTTAAAACAAAATTTTAAAAAGTTAAAGGGAAGAACAACTTACAGGTGAAGGGTGTAAAATAGAATACTCTTGTACAGCCATACAGTGTGTTTGTGTTTTAAGCTAAGTGCTATTACAAAAGAGTCAGTGTAAAAAAATTTAAAGTTTACAAAATAAAAAATTTACAGTTTGTTTGATTTATTATTGAAAAAATAAGAAATCATTAAAAAAATTTAATGTAGCTCAGGTCTACAGTGTTTATAAAGTCTACAGTAGTGTATAGTCATGTCATAGGCCTTCATATTTAGCCACCACTCCACCACTCACTCATTGACTCTACCAAGGCAACGTTGAGCCCTGCAGCTTCCATTCATAGTAAATACCCTACTACAGTGTTCCATTTTTTATACAATACTTTATCTTTTCCATATTTAGATACACATATACCTACCATTGTGTGACAGTTGCCTACAATATTCAGTACGCTAATATGTGGTACAGGTTTGTAGCCTAGGAGCAATAGGCTATACCATGTAGCCTGGGTGTGTAGTAGGCTGTGTCATCTAGGTTTATGTAAGTGCACCCCATGATGTTCCCACGAGGACAGTTTCCTCAAGGGTCCCTTTCTCTGAACGTAACCCTGTTGTTAAGCGACTAATGACTGCACTGCCAAATACTGCTCCGTAGAGTAAACACTAGTAGTTATTACGACTAGTAGGACAGTGAAGGTTTCCCAGTCTCCCTAGTATCTCCTCAGATCTCTGAGTAAACTAATTAGGAAAACAGGGAATTCTAAGGTTATTTTTTGGGCCTGTCTTATCTGGGTTTCCTTGAAGGTCAGTTGGACTGTTATGTTTTCATTTGTTTGTTTTGTTTTATTTCAATGTCATGCATTATTTGGTCCTTATATTCTATTTAAATTATTCTGAATGAAGAACCATGTTGATTCATCTAAATCGTTCGCTGAAGTTGTTATTTTATAAATTTATTTCCTCATCAAGATTCTTAGTTGAAAGTAAGGTTTGACTGTACACTGCATATGCGCACGTGGGTGCTCACTGGACAGAATCTACATTACATGAGAGAGAAACAAGCAGCATGCACACTGAGCTCCTCCCACCTCAAGGCAGAAAATGTTGACATTACTCTGTGACCCTGTCAGCCACACTAGAAACCCTAGTTTTACTAAAGCATATAATTGTCATCATTTTATAGAAAATATTCCTCAAGTTTTAGCATAAACAAAATAAAGCAGTTGCAATTCAAAGAGGGAAGAGGTGAACAGTGCAGAAATTCTATAAGTAGAGTTAATTATATTACGTCCAGATAGTTTCTTACCTGATTTGCGCTGCCTTCCAACTCCTGTTTTTGTTATCTGCTGAATAAAATGATTGTCTCTACTGTCAGCTGCCACGTGTTTCTGCTAAAAGGACAGTTCTGCTATTTATCTCCAAGATTTCTATAGTTATGTCAAAACATCTAATCTACTGCCTTCCTCCAATTCCCTAGTTACTAATTTCTTTCACTTTATAAGTCTTAACTACTATTTAAATGAGACTTGATATGGGGTGGAATTAACTAAATGTGTGCAGACCTTAATTGATACATTGATGAAAATAATTCCATTTCTGTAGAATACAAAAAAAAGTTGAGTTACATTATTTATCAAGTCCAAACTTACATTTTTTATGGTAACTATTGGATACCCACTGAAATTATTGAAGGCATAATATAAAAACTCTTTAGTCCCATGAACTTTTTTCTTTTTTTCTGAGATGGGGTCTTGCTCTGTCACTCAAGTTGGAGTGCAGTGGCATGATCATAAGCTCACTGCAGCCTTGAACTTTTGGGCTCAATTGATCCTCCCCCTTCAGCCTCCAGAGTAGCTGTGACTCCAGGCACCTGATGCCATATCTGGATAATTGTTCTTACAAAATTGTTTTAGGCTGAGCACGGTGGTTCACAGCTGTAATCCCAGCACTTTTGAAGGCTGAGGCAGGTGGATCACTTGAGGTCAGGAGTTATAGAGCAACCTGGCTAACGTGGCAAAACCCCTCTCTAATAAAGGTACACAAATTAGCTGGATGTCGTGGCATGCACCTGTAGTTCCAGCTATTTGGGAGGCTGAGACATGAGAATCACTCGAACCCAGGAGGTGGAAGTTGCAGTGAGTCAAGATCACGCCACTGCACTCCACCCTGGCGATAGAGCTAGACTCTCTCCTCTCCCCCCACCCCCAAAAAATTGTTCTGGAGATGGGGGTCTGTGCTATGTTGCTCAAGCTGGTCTTGAACTTCTGGGCTTTAAGTGATCCTCCTGCCTTAGCCTCTGGAGTAGTTGGTATTACAGGTGCAACCACCATGTCCGGCTCTTGAACTTATATTTATGAAGTACATGGGCTGAACATTTTCACACATTATCATTTCTCCATCTCTAATATACTTTATTTTTAAAAATAGTTTTAGATGAAAAAAAATTTGGACAATATAGTACAAAGATTTCCCATATACTCTACACGCAGTTTTCCCTATCATTAACATCTCACTTTAGTATGATACCTTGGCATAATTCAGAAACTATTATTGATACATAAATATTTAACATCCATAAATTTCCCATATTTCCTCCATTTTTTTGTTGTTGTTGAGACAGAGTTTCGCTCTGTCACCCAGGCTGGAGTGCAGTGATGCAATCTCAGCTCACTGCAATCTTCACCTCCCAGATTCAAGCGATTCTCCTGTCTCAGCCTCCTGAGTAGTTGGGATTACAGGTGCCCACCACCATGCCAGCTAATTTTTGTATTTTTAGTAGAGACAGAGTTTCACCATGTTGGCTAGGCTGGTCTCAGACTCCTGACCTCAGGTGATCTGCCCGCCTTGGCCTCCCAAAGTGCTGGGATTACAGGTGTGAGGCACTGTGCCTGGCCTGCTTAGTTTGTACATAATGTCTTTTTTCTATTCCAGAAGACTATCCGAAATACCACATTATATTCAGTTGTCTTGTCTCCTTAGGCTCCTCCTTGCTCTGGCAGTTTCATAGACTTTTCTTGTCTTTGACGACCTTTACAGTTTTAAGGAATGTTACCTACTTTGTAGTCACCCTGCTATTGAAATTTATTTCATGTTTTTCTCATGATAAGACTGAGATCACACTTTATAGGAAAGACCACAGAGGTAAAGTGCCATTTTTTCATCACACTTTATCCCAGGTACATTTTATCAACATGATTTCTCACAGTTGATGTTGACCTTGATTACCTGACTGAGATTGTGTTGTCAAGTTTATCCATTGTAAAGTCATTCTTATTTTTTTTCTGCCTTCTTTTCATATTGTATTTTTGCAGGTATCTATGTGCAGCCTACACCTTAGAAGTGTGTAGTTATGTTCTTCATTCTTGATGGTAGAATATCTACACTAATTATTTTAAATTCTTCTTCATGGGGAATTTGTCTCTTTTCTCCCATTAATTTATTCCAAATTTAATTTATATCATGGATGTGTGTGTGTGTGTGTTTAAATGTTGGATTATAATCCAATACTACTTGATTTTGTTGCTCAAAATGTTCAGCATTGGCCATTGAGAGCTGATTTTGGCTCCTGTGATCTTTAGACATATCTCCATTAATGTATTTTGTTTCTTTTTCTTTTTTTCCCAGCACGTCCTTACTCTGGCACTACGAAATGCTCCAGACTCGTGTGTATTTCTTGCTCCACCATAGAATCAGCCATTTCTACAAATGTCACTGGTTTCTTTTATGGAGAATGACATTGGAAACCAAGATCTGACTACTAAGTGTGTTCTTTGCTACTGGGTTGTCATTTCTCTTAAGGCTTCCAAGCTGACAGAGCAAACGAGTATATGACACATCTGATTTTTTATTTGACTGTGGAACTCTGTATCTATGTGAGAGGATTTAATTGTTTCTGATTAAAATTTCTCATAACTAGTTCTACAATGATATTTTAATTACAACTGATACAAAGCCTATAACTTAAAAGATTCTCTTTTGGTATGAGAGAGTGATAAGTTGGTTTGATAAAATTTTTCTAAACTCATGTCTGAGTTGTTATGTATTTATACTCATTAAAATTTTAGAACTTACTATCAAGACCTTTATGATATACTTTTTGTCCTATAAATTCTGGCATGGTCTTTGCCCCAAATAGCAAAATTTGACATGACTCTAAGAGATCTTCTTCAAAGTCATAAAAAGCAATGAATTTAATAGGAAAGCAGACTCATGATCTTTAGAAGTGAAATTGAAATGCAACTTAAATATCAAGATTTCTGTTGTTTCTATTTGTCAGTTGTCACTTTATTAATTACTATCTGCTAAAAAACTGTCAGAATCAGGATTTTGTAAGTCATAAACTCAAAATCATGCTTCTTATGGTATCTATAGAAAATACAACTAATAGACTGAATTTTACTTCCTAGAAGTATATTATGTAAACCTGTTCAACAATAATAAAATTGATATACAAAGTCATTGCCTTTCTTACAGTAAGTTACAACATCGAACTAATTAGATTATTGTTTAGTTTCCGTGTCTCAACTTGTTGCATAATTTAAATGACAAATGTAATTATTTGGTTTTATATTATTTAGAATCTTGTATCAGAAGTTGTGGAATTCCAGAGTTTCTGAAGTATATGGGTTTTAATATAAAAATTAATTTTTGTTTAAAATCAAATTATTACAATATAGATTAATATAGTACAGAAGTTAAAATGGTAAAACAATTCTTAAGCTGTACTTGTGTTTGCTAGGTTAAGTTAAAAGACAAGATTGTCTAAAATATCAGCTTATGAGGTTATGAGGCTACTAAAATCATTTTAAGCCAATATTCTTAAAAATGTCTTCCTCATTCTTACAGTATGTATGTAGTACACAGCCGTTTAACACTTGTATGATAGACACATAATGATCGTGATCATCCGTTTCAGATAATTCTTTGTAAGTTGTCAAATCTTGCTGAAAAGGCATACACTGGAGAAGTGACTTTTTTGCTTGCTTTGCACTTCGCTGACTTAGACAGGGATCTAATAGAAGTTGTAATTGGCTTTTCTGATCGACAATGAAGAGCACATTTCTTACTGCTTTGATTCTCTTTGTGGATTGATAAATGCTGTGAGATATGGTACTGTGCTGAAGTGAAGTGTGCTAATGTGAAGGGAATGTGAGCTAATGACTTACTAAGCACTACAGGGTGGCAATCGCCTCGTTTTTTGGTCCCAGTTCTTTAATGCTTCATTTTGTCCTCTTTTGGAAAGGTTCTTAATCTTTCTGGCTCAATCAACAAAATAAGTACTATATTTACCTGACATATGATACATGACTTGGGTGTAATGGGCCATTTTTGATGGGAAGAGGCAGTACCATTTGTTAAATGATACCCTTGGCTCCTGGAAAAGTTAATAAAGTTTCCCCAAAGCACTTAACCTCCTTCAAATGAATCATTTATACACTAGGAGAAACTGTCTCAATGATTATCGACACTAGGCCTAACACTTTATAAAATAGATAGAGGATACCAAATCATTTGGTTAACTATCAAAAATCTCTAGATGAAAATCTTGCTACAGATTGATCTTAAATTATTTTAAAATAATTGAATCTGAATGTGGTACTGAAATATTCTTGTTTAACAGTATTTCTTTAAAAGGAACATCTGACTGAACATTTTTTATCATAAGACATTAAGTCTACAAAGAAGATTTAATTTGTAAATGTTTATAGGCTATAATTACTAATTAGTTTTTACCTCCCCCTTCTTTACTGTAAATAGATTCTTTGATCCTCATTTTCTCAGTGGGCATCTAAAATGCCAAATAATCTTTTTTTCCCGAAGGCCTACTTTTATCAATAATAAATTAGGAATGAAGCTTACAAATACAGAGCAACTTACTTATTCCTAGTACATAATTATCCATACAGATGTGCACAATCAGTATGCACATGTGTAAGAAAATACAAATGTGTATGGTTGTCCTTCTTTCTTTCATTTACCTGTATCTACCTATTTACTTATCTGTTTTTACTGTATATGCTTTATTGCAGATATTGTACATCCAAATTAATAGTAAATACTAGTGCCTTCTTTTAAAGTAAAACACGTTTCCTTTTTTCTTTTTTCTTTTTTTTTTTTTTGAGAAGGAGTTTCACTCTTGTTGCCCAGGCTAGAGTGCAATGGCGCGATCTTGGCTCACTGCAACCTCCAACTCCCGTGTTCAAGTCATTCTCCAGACTCAGCTTCCTGAGTAGCTGGGATTACAGGCGCCTGCCACCGTGCCCAGCTAATTTTTGTATTTTTTAGTCGAGACAAGGTTTCACTATGTTGGCCAAGCTGGTCTCGAACTCCTGACCTCAGGTAATCCGCCCGCCTCGGCCTCCCAAAGTGCTGGGATTACAGGCATGAGCCACCACACCTGGCCAAAACATGTTAATTTTTAAATATCAAGAGTCTAGATATCATTTGCAATAAGTCAATAAATATTTGCTTGGTTATATAAAGATAGAAGGTGTCACACCAGATATCAAAGTCCTGCCATTCAACTAAATCAAACACTCAGGAGAATGTGACAGCTTGGACTCAGGAATTTAAATTCTGTAATGTAAATTGAGAACTATTTATTATTATTCTCATAATTGTTTACATTTCTGAATTTCAATTTCTTCCTTTCACTATAAAGGAAAACACAGTCCAAAAGGAAAAAAATAAATTTAATGCTTTTTCAGTTCATAATTCACAAACATTCACATACATGATCTCATTTTACTTCATAACACTCTATGAAGTATAGAAAGCAGACACTATTACCACCATATAGCAGATGAAAAAACCATATTTTAAAAAATTATAATTAATATGCTAAAGACACCTAGGTATCAATAGTAATAATGTATTAGAACAAAGCATGAACGATATTTTGGGCCCCAATTTTTATCTTGCTGTTAATATTGTTGCTATTATTGCAAATAACATGGATCCTATGACATAAAATATTGTGGCTTAAATGTAAAGGGGCAGAGTATTTTATTTCCAAGCATTTACAAAACATATTAGCTATAATAATTTTTTACCAAAGTATTGTTATACTGTATGCTTAGCTTTCCTTCAATTGAAAAAAAAGTCATTTAAGAAAGAAAAATATGACCATACTTCAGATTAATATAATTATACTTCGGTAATAATATTTCATTATTATATTTAAAGATTCAAATCAGAGATTGTAACCCTATAGTATGTTCTCTGTACCAAATCAGGGAGCAAAAGGTTTGTGAGCTACCAAAGAATGCTTATATTTTTAAGACTTTATCAAAATATGCTTCCTCCACTTTTTTTTTCATCAGTTAATGCTAGGTTGGTTTCATAACAACATCTGGAGAAAGTGCTATTTTCTTTCTAATATGGCAACAGAGAAATTGTGTGTCTCCTCTAAGTATCAAAATATTTGTATAATCTTTTAATAATATCTATTTTAAAATTATTCTGTATTTTAATATTTCTGTTGTATTTTCCCTAAGATACACTTGCAATTCTTATCAAGTAAAAATACATCAAAGATATCAACAACCACAGACGTATACACCCGACAAGGTAATGGAAATTTTTTTTTTGTCTTTTACAATTTTTTTAATAGATTTAGGGGTACCAGTGCAGTTGTGTTATATGGGTATATCATATAGTGGTGAAGCCTGGGCTTTCACTGCAGTCATCACCTGAATAGTGAACATGGTGCCTTATAAGTAGTATTTCATCTCTTATACCCCTCTCAGCCTCCCACATTTCAGAGTCTCCAGTGTCCATTATTTCATTTTGTATGTCCATGTGTACCTATTATTTAGCTGCTACTCAGAAGTGAGGCCAAGTGATTTTTGACTGTTTCTGAATCATTTCACTTAGGATATGGCCTCTAGTTCCATCCATGTTGCTTGCAATAGACATAATTTTATTCTATTTTGTGGTTGAGTAGTATTCCACAATATATGTATGTGTGTATATACAGATATATAGATAGATATAGATATATATAGATAGATATAGATATATGTAGATAGATACACACACACACACACACACACACACAACATTGTGTTGTATATATATTCTTATATACCCCACACCCAGTTTTCCCTATTATTCATATCTAACAATAGTGTGTCACATTTGTCACTATTGATTTATTTTGGTAAGTTATTATTACCTAAAATACATAGTTTATTCAAATTATCTTAGTTTTTACCTAATATTCTTTCTCTGTTCCAGGATTCTATCTAGGGTACCATAACATGGAATTTAATATCCTTGACAAACATTATTTGTATATATATGCTTGAATTCCTTTCTGGGCTCTCTATTCTGTTCCATTGGTCTACAATTTCTGTTCTTATGCCAATATCATACATTTTAAGTTAATATAGCTTTATAGTATAACTTGAAATCAGGGAGTGTGATGCCTCCAGGTTTTTTTCTTCTTTTCCTTAAGATTGCTTTTGCCATTTGGGGTCTTTTGTGGGTCCATGCAAACTTCAGAAGAGTTTTTCTATTTCTAGAGAAAAGAAATTTTGATGGGGACTGTATTGATTCTGTAGGTCACTTGGGTGTTATGGACATTTTAACAATATTAAGTCTTTGATTCCATGAATATGGAACATCTCTTCACTTATTTGTGTCTTCTTCAAATTATTTCATCAATGTCTTACAGTTTTTAGTGTACAGATCTTTTATCTCCTTGGTTAAATTCATTAAATATTTTTCATGCAATTATAAATATAATTGATTTTCTTAATCTCTCTCTCTTTTTTTTTTTTGTTTTGAGACGAAGTCTTGCTCTGTCACCTAGGCTGGAGTGCAGTGGCACGATCTCATCTCACTGCAACTTCCACCTCCTGGGTTCAAGCGATTCTCCTGCCTCAGCCTCCCGAGTAGCTGGGACTACAGGCGTGAGCCACTACGCCCCGCCCTTAATTTCTTTTTTAGGTAGTTTGTTGTTAGTGCACAACTGATTTTTGTATGTTAATTTTCTATCTTCCATTTAGTCATATGTCTACTACTACAATAATTTTTACTCCTTCCACAGCACACTAACTCTGAATTTCTCTTCACAATCATGTATAGAACCGCTGTATATTCTAGTACATCATTTATTGGACCAACAAATACATGGCATCTGGCAAGGTAATTTTGATGAACTATTTAAGTAGCTGTATGATTTCATCTTGACTCTGGTTAGAATGTTTATCATTTGTTACTGTAAGACTGATAAATGGATAATGTCTGTCACTGTCAAAGTACTGGTATTATCTTCATTCATAGGTAAAACATTGTATATATAATAAGTATGCCTTGTGTGTTGGCATGAGGTAAAACATCATCTGAATATATATTTATTATATCTACAAATTGGTAGGTTGTTTTAGAATTGCAACAGAAATTTAATGAGTTTGAATAACAAATTAACATTTGCTGATTAAAATTAAAGGTTAATTTTTCAATTAGCTAAGTTGCTCTCAGCCAATTCTTCAGATTATTTGGTTCAGATGACTGTCTAGATTCCAATAATTAAGACCTTTTTATTTTTTCAAATAAATTGCTTGCTTTTTTTCAAGAACTAATCTCTCTTGCTGAAAAAGTATTTCGAATAGCAGACTTCCTCCCAATTAATTCTGTTATTTGCTTCTTAACTTGTCATCTTGGATTCTTTATTTGTAATTGTTTTGTTCATGTGAATTTCAATGACTCTACTGAATATGTAACACATCATATCTAACTTCAGTGGACATCAGATGGGCTATATATAATGTTGCTTGATTAAAGTCATACTCTTTTGCTCTAAAACTCTGATTCTTTTATTGACTCATCATATTTTAATAAAATTGAATTAAAACGCAGAAATGTGTAAAGACTAATAATCTATTACCAATCCTCACATGCTATTGTATTTTAGAAATTAGATTCTATATAATCAGCCTGATTCTTCCCATCACCTATCTTAATGAATCTCACCCAAAGCTATGTATTTCAGAAAAGATGAGAATTTTCATCCAGACAAAACATGCTCTAAATAAGAACTGAGAACACTGCCTGTTCGGAAGAAAGAAGACTAGTGCTTAAAAATCTTTCTCTTATATGTATGACTTTGAGCCACTTAAAATTTCCAAGTCTAAATTTCTTCCTTTGAAAATGGGAATGAAGCTTATCTTTGAGTGCTCTTAATATTAATAAATTATATATGTAAAGTACTTTAGATGATTCTTAAGATAGATGTTCTGAAATAAATATTATTTGTTGTATAACCCGATAATATATTAGAATAAATTATTATTCTAATAATATAATGGCACTATTACTATAAAATAGACTATTTTTTAAGGTCAAGTTGCATGAATTCAATAAACACTGAGTGCATCTTATATACCAGCTATTAAGCTCTTGGGATTGAATAAGAGTAAACAAAAATCTTTGTTCTTATATCTCGGCTCTCATAAAGTTTATAACCTGGCAGGAATGAGGAATACAGACAATATATAAATGTATGGTAACTAAATGCATTTATAATAACAATATATAAAAAATATATAGTTTGTCAGACAATAAGTTTTATTTTTAAAAAATCAGGAAAGGGGAATATGGAGTGGTTGGTGAGAACTGTGGATTAAATTAAAAAAGTGATGTAAGATAAAATGTCACTGATAAAGAGATTACAGTTTTCTAATGCTGGAATATATTCATTTGTTCATTCCTATTTTCTCACTTTTTATTTTAATTTTGTTTAAACTTTAGAGTAGTTGAAAGAATCGTACAATGAATATTCTCACAATCTTCACCTAAAATTAATAATTTTTAACATTTTGTCACATTTGCTTATCATTTTCTCTGAATATATATATATATATATATGCATAAGTATGCCTTGTGTGTTGGCAGGACTATATATATATATATATATTCAAAGCATATATATATATATTCAAAGCATATATATATATATATGCTTTTGTTTCCTAGATGAAGTATTACAGAATAAGTAACAGAGAGTAATACGCTTTAATTCTAAATCTTCAAGTCCCTACCCCCTAAATACAAGAATATACTCCTACATATCAATAATGATGCTCCTTAAATTTTAAATAACATTTTATTATATCCAGCCAATATTCAATGTAACCTAGTATCACAACATTATTATTGACAGCTGTGTTTTGTTTGTTGCTTGGTGTAGGATATCATGAGATGGTCATTATCACTTGCTACATTAAAACAAAGCAATACAGTTGCTTGAAACACCAGTGGTTTATTATTTCTTACGACTCTGTTGGTCCGGAGTTTGGGCAAGCCTCAGCTGGTTGGTCCATTTGCTACACATGATGTAGTCTGGGGTCACTCACATAGCTACAGTCACTCAGAGACGGACCGAGGCTGGAATATCCATGTGGTTACTAGTTATTCAGAAGTCTAGCCCGAACTTTCTTATATGATGGCAGATGGGATCCAAGAGCAAAGACAGAGATTCCTAGACTCTTAAAGTCTTGGCTGAGAATGGCTATGCTTCACTTCTGCTTCAGTTTATGATTCAAAGCAATTCAGAAATCCAACCTAGGTTCAAAGAAAAGGGAATTTGTTCTGCCTCTTGTTGGAAGGAGGTACAAAGAATTTGTCGTCATTTAAATTCTATTATATCAAGGATCCCACATTGCATTAAGATTAAAGATATATCTCTTTGTCCCATTTTGATCTAGAGCAGCAATACTCCTTTTAAAATTGTAGCTCCTTTTAAAATTGTATTTTTTCATGACAATAACATTTTGAGGTCTATCTGTTAATAGGAGTCTTATATAATACCCCAGTAATCCGGATTTGTCTATTTCATCATTATTTATTAAACATTTTGGTTAAGATAGTATATAAGTAATATTGTAAACTTTTCAATACATTACATCAGAAGGCAATTTTTACTGGGCTCATTTTTCCCCTTTCATTTCTTTTGTTTAAGATAAGATCCACCATAATTAACCCTTTAAAGCTACCACTCCACATGGTAACTAGTAAGTGTTTGTGGGTATTTAAATCATGTGTGTTCCCGGTTTTCTATCACCCTTTGACTTAATGTATTTTAACACACATTGGTTATCCTTCCCTGAATTGATCATTACATAAAAGTTACAAAATATTTTCTAATTCTATAATTTATTGTATATCGTGATGTTCTTCTATAAAGAGTAGCCTTTTTTCCTTCTTTTCAGTATCATTATGAATTCTTTTTATACAAATATTATAACTTATCACGATTTCTCTTTATTTATTTTTAAATAGCATTATTTCATACCACGCAATTCATACCATACAACCTCATACCATACGATTAAGCCATTTTAAGTTTGAAGATTTTTGTAAACTTATAGAGTTGGATAATCATCATCAAAATCCACTTTTAAAATATTTCCATCATACCAAAACATTATTTTGTGGCCACTTAGAGTCAATCTCACTACAACTTCCAGTCACAAGCAACCACCTATCTGCCTTTTTTCTCCATAGGTTTTTTTCTGTTTCATGTAAATGATATTATACAATATTTACACTCTTATTTCTGGCTTCTTTCAGTTAGCATAATGTTTTCAAGGTTTATCCATGCCTTTGAATGTATTCCTAGTTTGTTCCACTTAAGTGGTGAATATTTCATTGCATGAATATACTATATTGTGCTTATTTATACACCAGTTTATGTTTAGGCTGCTTCAGTTTTTAACATTTGTGAATATATTGCCTTGAACATTCAGTGGAAGTCTTTTTGTGGACATTCATTTTTATTTATCTTGGGTAAATACCTTGAATGCAACAGGTGGGTTAATATGGTAATTATATGTTTCACTTTCTAAGAAACTATTCTATTTTACACTCCCATCAGCAATGCATGATGGTTTTATTACTATTTCTGATGATAAATTGTCCAATGTTTGGACAATTGAAATTATAAGAAAATTAGGACAAAGACTTAAAGGTCTAAGGAAGTGAGCCCTACGTATATTTGGGGAAAAGCGTTTCCTGCAGAGGGAAAACAAAGTGCAAATGCCAATGCAGAACACAGCAGCGCGGCTAGAAACAGTGAGCCGGGGAGAAATTACAAAGAGATGAGTTCAGAGAGATAACAGGACCATATTTTTCAGGACCTTGTAGTCCACTGTAAGTACTTTTGCTTTGACACTGAGTGTGGTAGGGGAATAACAGAGGGTTTAGAGAAAAGGATTCACATGATCAAACTTATGTTTTAACAATACCACTTTAGGTCCTAATTTTAAATTATATGAGTGTGACGAGGAGGGAAGCAAGGATATTCGAGAACCAGTATTGCATAGTTAGTGTGACAGTGGAGGGTGGATTGTGGCAAAAAAAAAAAAAAAAAAAAAAAAAAAAAAGCAAAGAATGAGATCTAAGAGTGATTAATGCATTCATTGAAAAACTGGGACCTTTTTTTTGTGTGTGTGATGAATGAAACTATTGTGATGAGCCTGATGGTCTAACCTGCTGCAAGTTCTGGGAGATGAACTATGGAATCCAAATCCTTACACGTTCAAATCTAGTGGAGGTTACTACCTGCTCCAGTAAATGTTAATGAGACTATCCTATGTCTGGTTGGCTGCAATTCCAGGACACTGGCAGCAAATCCAGGAATCTCCTAATTGGTTGAAACAAATTTGATTGATGGTATATGTGAAGCTGGGGAAAGGAGGACACCTGGGATGCTTCATCTTCCCTCCTATAAGATGACTGTCAGGTCCTTGCACAGTTTCAGGCTCTTATAGTCCTCAAAAGAAAATAAAACAGTCCAGCCAGACTCCTCTTTCAGAATAGTCACTATAAGAAAGAGGAGTCCATTACTCTCTTACTATATCCTAATAAAGTTTTGTGGTGACTGTTACATTGTCATTAACTGTGTTTTGCAGAGCAAACAAGATTCTCTGATAGGTCAGAAAAAGAGAAGAGTAAGAGATGACCCTAAATGTTTTGTTCTGAACAACTGGAAGAGGGGAAAAAATGAAGAAAGGAAGAATGAGTTGATAGAAAAATATAGTATTAGTTTTAGGTTAGCATTAGATTGGAATAGATTACTATTAGCATTTTTCTTAGATGTATGAAGTTTGAGAAAAAAAATTGAATTTATTCTATATGAGAAATGCAATCATTCAATCTAAGGCAGTTTGTTAATGTTTTTACATGGATTTTTCAGGATTTCAAAGTCAGTCACTAACTTTGAACTCTTGTTTTGGGGTTCCCATAAAATCCTCTCTACCCCACCCATGATCTCTAGCATGGTATCTCACATATCCTAGCTTTTTCCGGAGTTCAAATATTTTTTTTTGCCATTATCTCCATTAGAACTATATAGATTTCTCTCCTGGATCCTTCCTCCTGCTAACTAATCAATAAAATAATCCTCTCACTCATTCCTTTGCTGAAAAACATTTATTGTAAGTGTACTTAAGAATGTCTTGTGTTTCATAAAATGATAAATGAAGGACAAAGGGTCAGTCTGTTCATAGCATGGGGGATGGGGTGACGTGGGGAAGAGGAGCCTTGCGATAAATAAGTAAACAAAAATGTTAAATATTTGAAAAATTATAAAGCATATTCATTATAGAGATAATTCAGTGTTTTATTATGAAGAATATTAAGAAATACACCAGTAAGAAGGTAATATTTAGGCTCATACTTGAAAAATAAAAATAAAATCAAAAAAGAGCCTTCTGAGCAAAGGATTTGAACATTGTTAAGGTTTAATAATGGAAAAACCTTGTTCACTTTCAGGAATTGAAAAGTGGCTTGTCTATCTGGAATACAGGGAGGAAGGAGTTGAAATGAGATGGGAAGGTAAGCAGGGTCCAGATTTCTACAGAGCTTTGCAGGCTGTAATTTATAAAGGGGTTTACATGCTATTTTACATTTAAAGGAAAGCTATTAAAATGTTTTTTAAAGAGAAAAGGAGGAGTAGAATCTGGATGTGGATTAAACTTTCCTCATAAATACTTTTAAATGATGTCTTTATTGAAATGCAAAGAATGTTATTAATAAAAAGTAAGAAATTATAGAGATAATTTGGAGCACTCAGTTGTCTAAGTAAAAGATGAAGTGCCTGGGACTGTTAAGAAGGTATGGAAATAGAGAGAAGTACATGGAACTAAGATAAATTTTGGAAATAGAAAATTTTGACATAAAAGAATTCATTGAAAGATTAGCCACTGGGGAAGGGGGAGGTTGGTGATAGAGTAGAATCGAGTATGGTTTTTGAATTCTGGTTCATTTGGAAATGCTCAAGAGGAATGGATTGACGTGTGTGTGTGCACATGCTTGTGCATGTGTGTGCGTTTTATCTGTGGGACATGCAAGGGACAATGTCTATTGAAAAGTAAATAAACAAATATAGATGTCAAATATATGGCCTATAGTTTTTTTTTACTTTTATTTTAGAGTCATCTGTATGCAGAGGAGGTATAAAGTCATGCAAATGGATAAGATTTCAAGAAGAAAGAAGAAAAAGGTAGGCTCTGAGTTTGGAGAGTTGAATGAGCCTACAGAGATAATGAAGTTGTTGCTGGAGAGGTAAGATGAAAATGAAGAGTGAGTGCTTCAGGGAAAACAAGGAGCTTGTTTCAAAAAAGAAATATCAACTGTGTTAATGTTTCTAGGAAGTCAAACAGTATTTGAAACCGAGAAATCAGAAATATGAAATCATGCTTGGCAACATGGAATTCATTACTGAACTTTAATCTTGTAGAATACTAATGGAGAGTAGTTTAACTTTATCTACTACTGGACACAGGACATAATATAAAGTGTACAGTGTTAATTCTGAAGTATCATTTTTAGTTATACTTCTAAATTTTACCTGCTCATATTAACTTTAGAAAAATGAACTGGACAATTTTGGTATTGAAATTTTCTTTTTCTTGAAACACCTGTCTGCTTGTCAGTATGTGTTGCAAGAGTATCTCAATCTATTCTCTGCCAGGTAGTAAAAGGGACCTTATTGAATATACTAGTTCAGGGATAAAGTATCCAGAAGATCTTTGCCATATTTCTCATGATTATGTACCCACTGTATAAGTTGCTTATTGCTGCTATAATAATATACCACAGAGTTAGTGCCTTAAAATAACAAACATTTGTAATTTTCTAGTTCCGGAAATCAGAATTCTAAAATGTGTTGCAAGTGTTGCATTCCTTCTGAAGGCTCTAAGGGAGAATCTGTTTCTTTGTATTTTCCAGCTTCTGGGGGCTGTCTACGTCCCTTGTCTGGTGGCTACTTTCCTCTATTTTCAAAGCCAGCAACAGTGGGTTGCATGGCTATCTCTCTTATCCTGCTTCTATTGTCACACTTTTTTTCTCTGCCTACAGTCTAGAAATATTTTCCACTTTCAAAGACCCATGTGATTACATTGGTTCTATGTGGATAATCCACATGTAGCCTCCCTGTTTCAAGATCATTAACTTAAGCATATCTGTAACGTCCTGTTACTATATAAAATAATTTATTTACAGGTTATTAGAGATCAGGCTGTGGATGTTTAGTGGGGTAGGCAGTACTCCTCCTCCTCCAATCAACCTTAGTATGTATTGCTCAGCTGATTCCAACCTTGGATGATAAAGAGGGGGTATATATTGGCCAACTAAAACATTAACACAATGTAATGACTAAAATGGAAATTTCAGATAAAATGATGGGTGAAGAGGCAAAAAACTATGTAATATCATGTTAGTCACTATCAAATGGACACTACACGAAGTTTACACACATACACCTCTAAAACTACTTTGGCTTAATATGTTTTTTCTTTCCTTGCATCAGTATTTCTATAAAAATGAAATATATAATAAATTGTGAGAAAACTAACCTTATATCTGAACAACGTCTTGGATTTTGTTTGTTTCTTAGCCTTGTTGTTCAACTCCCTGATTTCTTTTGTAAAGAGAGAATGGCTATGTAGGGATACAGAGAATTAGCATACTGTTAAATATTATGCCATTCTGGAGTGTGCAGCTATATACATTCAGTTTTATAAAAATCCAGTAGTGTAAAATAGGCCTAGTGGCCCAATCACTCTGTCACTCCAAATAATGACACCATTTTTTGAGCTGGTATTCATGAACATGAAATTAGCCATTTTGAATTGAACCATCCAGTGGCATGCAGTACATTCAAACTGTTGTACAGTCTTCACCTCTGTCCAGTTCCAAAATATTTTCATCACCTCAAAGGGAAATCTTATATCCATTAAACAGTTGCTCCCCATTGCCCCTTCTGTTAACCAATATGTTGTCTCTATGGATTTACCTATTCTATTTATCTCATACAAATGAAATCATACAATGTATGATTTTTGTGTCTACCTTCTGCCTCAGCACACTATTTTAGAGGATCATCTATATGTAGCCTGAGTGTTGACCATCTTTTCATGTGATTGTTGGTTGTTTGTGTATCTTCTTTGAATAAATATTTATGTAAGTTTTGCTCATTTTAAAATTGTCTTCAAATCATTGAGTTGTAAGAGTTATTTATATACTCTTAATATTAAACCTTTATTAGGTACATGATTTGCAAGTATTTTCTCCTATTCTGTAGGTTGCAGTTTCAACTTTTTCAAAATGCCCTGTGATAGTCAAACATTTTTAATTTTGATAAAGTCTTACTTATCTTCTTTTTAGTTGTGGCTTGTGCTTTGGTGTTATATCTAAGAAGTCATTGCCAAACACGAGGTCATGAAGATTTATTGCCTCCACAACGTCTTCTGTCTTCTAATTTTTTAAAGGTTGTAGCTCTTATATTTAAGTAATTGATCCCTTTTAACTTATTTTAACACATAATGTGATGTAGAGGTCCAACCTTCTTTTTCTTTTTTGGATGTGGATACCAACTTGCCCCAGCACTACTTTTTGATGAGACTATTTCTCTTCATTGAACAGTCTTGTCATGCTTGTCAAAAATAAATTGGCTAAAGATACATGAGCTTATTTCTTGACTCTCAATTTTATTCCCTTAATCTATATGTCTGTTTTTATACTAGTACCACACTGTTTTGATTACTGTAGTTTTATTGAAGTTTTGAAATCAAGGAAATATGAATGCTCTTTCTTTTCTTTTTTAATGCTTTTGTTATTCAGGGTCCCTTGGTATTCCGTGACTTTGAGGCACAGATTTTCTATTTCTGTAAAAAACGCTGTTTGATTTGTAATAGGGATTACATTGAATCTGTAGCTCAATGTTAGCAGTATTCTCACTTTATAAAGTCTTCTAATCTATGAACATTTCTGCTTATTTTTGTCTTTAATTTCTTTCAGCAGAGTTTTCAGTATACACGTCTTTCATCTCTTTGGTTAAATTTATTCCTAGGTATTTTATTCTTTTGCAAGCTATTATAAATGAAATTGTTTTCTTAATTTTATTTTCAGATTGCTGATTGACTGGTGGCAAAACACAATTTTGCGTATTGAAACTATTCTGTAACTGACCTCATTTATTAGCTCTAGTAGTATTTTGTTTTTTTCTTGGGATTTTCTGTGTATAAAATTATGTCATCTCTAGTAGAAACAGCTTAAATTGTTTCTAACTGGGATGCCATTTTTTTTCTTTTTCTTGCCTACTTTCATATATATATATATATATATATATATATGGCAAACTTCTAATACAATGTTGAATATTGATGGTGAAAAAGGTTATTCTTATCTTATTCCTGATCTTAGGGGCAAAGCTTTCCACATTTCACCTTTGTGCATAATGTAAGCTGTGAGTTTTTAATAAATGTCCTGTATCTTGTTAAGAAAATTCCTTCCTATTGCTAGATTATTGTTTTTTTTTCTACCATAAAAAGTGTTGGAATCTATCAAATTTTTTTTCTTTTAAAAATGTTCCTTAGTTCTATTAATGTGTGTATTACTTAGATTGATTTTCTCTATTTGAACAACCCTTGTATTACTGGGATAAGTCCCACTTGTTTCATGGTGTATAATACTTAAAATATGCTATTAAATTCCATTTGCCTGTATTCTGTTAAGGATGTTGGCATGAAATTCACAAGAGCTATTGGTTGGTTGTCTTTTTTTCTTGACATATCTTTGTCTGCGTTTGGTATAGGTCATACTGGCATCATAGAATATGCTAGTACATGTGATTCCTCTTTAATTTTTAAATAGAGATTGAAGAAGATTGTTGTTACATCTTTAGATATTTTGTAGAAATCATGAGTGAAACCATTTGATCTTGGACTTTTCATTGCTGAAAGTTATTATTACTATTACTATTGCTGGTTAAATCTAATTTCTTCTCACAGGTTTTCAGATTTTGTTTTTTCATAATCCAGTTTTTGTAGATTGTGTGTTTCTAAACATTTGTCTATTGCTCTTTGGTCACCAAGTTTGGTGTACATTTGTTCATAATTGTTTTTATAATCCTTTATATTTCTATAAGGATAAATAGGGATGGCCTCACTTTCATTTCTAGTTTTGGTTATTTGTGTATTCTCTCTTTTTACTTTGTATTTAAAGCTAAAGTTTTGCCAGTTTTTTGACCTTTTCCAAGAGCCAATTTTGTGTTTCATTCTCTTTCTATTCCCTATTTTATTTGTTTCAGCTCTAATTATTAATATTCCATCATTCTGCTAGTTTTGGGTTTAGTTTTCTCTTATTTTTCTAGTAACCATGGTGTAAAGTTGAGTTATTGATTTGAGATATATCTTCGTAGTTTTAAGTTTAATATTTAGTGCTTTAAATTTCCCTTCAGAACTGCTTTCACTGCATTCCATGTTTCTATATGTTGTGTTTTTGTTTTTATGCTTTACATGATTTAAATATTTTCAAATTCCTTGAAATTTATTTTATGGCCTGAAATATTCTGGAGACTGTATAATGTGCACTATAGAAGAATGTACTCTCTGCTGTACTGGGAGAGTGTTCTGTATATGGCTTTTGGGTCTCACTAGTTTACAGAATTTCTCACATTCTCTATTATTCATCTTCTATCTACCCATTATTAAAAGCAGTGTATTAAATTCCCCATTTTCTTAGTAGAAATGCTTATTTTTCCCTCCAATTCTGTCAATGTTTGCCCCATATGCTTCGGGAGTTCTGTTGTTTGGTGCATATACTTTTATAATTGTCACATCTTCTTGATGGATTCATTTTTTGTCAATATATACTCTTCTTATTTCTTGAAATATCTTTTGACTTAAAGTCTATTTTGTATCGTATTAATATAACCAACTCGGTTTGCCTTTGATTACTATTTGCAAGGAGTATCTTTTTTTCTTCCATTTTTCACTTTCAAATTATTTGTGATTTTGGATCTAAATTTAAAAGACTGTTATTTATATCAACTCTGCCTCTCTCTGTATTATGATTGGAGAGTTTAATCCACTTATATTTAAAGTAATTACTGATAACAAGGGGCTTCTGCCATTTTGTTATTTGTTTTTTTCTGTCATCCCTTCTTTGTCATTTCCTACATCACTGCCTTCTTTTATGTTTAATAGATTTTACCATACCATTTTGATTTTCTTCTTATTTCCTTTTGCAAACAATTTTTAGATATTTTCTTAGGGATTACTATTAAAATTCTAAATTCATAACAATCTACTTTAAATAGATACCAACTTAGCTTCAATAGCATTCAAAAACTGTGCTCTTATACAAATCTATCCCACAATTTTTTTGTCACAAATAGTATCTTTATATAATTTGTACCCATTAATATAAATTTATAAATACTGTTTTATATATTTGTCTTTCAAAATATGTAGGAAATAGAAAGATGAGTTGCAAACTAGAAGTGTAATAATAGACATTTATATTTAGCTGAAGGACACCTTTTAGTATTTCTTACAGGGCAATTCTGTTAGCAAATGAAGTTTATTAGCTTTCGTTTATTTAGAAAGGCCTTTTTCCTTTATGTTGGAGGATTATTTTGCCAGATATAGAATACTTTTGGTGAATATAGAATTTTGGGGTGAGTTTTTTTCATTCTTTTGGCACTCTAAAAATGTCTTCTCACTCTTTTCCAGCCTCCATAACTTCTGTTGAGAAATCGGCCTTAATCTTATTGATGATGACTTTCACATGGTGAGTTTCTTCTCTCTTGGTTCCTTCAAGGTTCCATCTTTGTCCTTGGCTTTTCACAATCTGTTTATAATGTGTCTCCATGTTAATATCTTTATGTTTATTCTTCATGTACCTCACTGAGCTTCTTGATGTGTAAATTCATGTCTTTTTAAATATCTGAGACATTTTCAGTCATTACTTCTTCAAATATTATTTCTTCCCACTTCTCTCCATTTTTTCCTCTGAGATTCTCATTATGCGTATATTGGCATGCTTGATAGTGCCCCACAGGTCACCTAGTCTGTTTACTTTGTTCATTCCTTTTTCTTTCTTCTGCTCAGACTCATTAATTTAAATTTTTCCTGTCTTCAACTTCTCTGATACTTCTTTCTGACTACTCAATTCTACTACCGAAACCCTGTAGCATGTTTATACATTTTAGTTCTTAAAATATTTATCTGTAGAATTTCTGTTCGATTTCTATTAAAGTTTGGTCTCTTTATTAATATTCTCTATTTGTTAATACATTGTTCTCTGCGTTTTCTTTAGCTCTTTATCTATGGCTTCTTTTAGCTCTTTGAGAATATTTAAGGCAGGTGATTTAAAGTGTTAGTCTAGTAAGTCCAATGTCTATACTTTCTCAGCGATAGTTTCTGTTCATTTCTTTTGCAAAGTGGCAACACTTTCTTCTTTCTTTGTATGCCTTTGATTTTGTTGTTTGTTTTTGTTGGGCATTTTGAATACTATAATGTGGTAGCTTCAGAAGTCAGATTCTTTCCCTTCTTTAGGGTTTGTTGTTGTTTATTTTCATAAGGTATAGATGGTTACTTGTTTAGTAACTTTTATAAAGTCTTTTTTGTCATATAGTCTGTATTTTCTGTCACGTGTGGTCTCTGATGTCTCTGTTTCTTTAGTGTGTGTTCAACTAGTGTTTTTAACAGATTTCTCTCTGAGCAACACAAGAGGAAAAATTAAAATAAGAGAGAGAGAGAAAGAGACAGAGAGAGACAGAGGAGAGGAAAAGAAAGCAAAAACAAAACAACAAATATAATCTCAGTCTTTGCTTATAGTATATGCTGGGGCCTTCAACACTTAGTAAGGCAGTTTATAACTCTGCTGTCACTGAGACTAGAGATTATCTAAAGTTGAAAGCTTAGAGTCTTCTCAGGATTTTTGTGTGCATACATTATGCTCTGGGTGTGCACGTGGCTTTCTCTACACCCCATATAAATAGGCATTTTTGAATGGCCTAATTTTGCAAAGAAATCCTCCCCCCAAATTTTTCCTCCAAGGCTTTTGATGTTCTATTGTATGCTTCAACTGTAATGTCGCCCCAGGTGGCTGCAGTTTGTTCATTGGCCTTACAATGTTTTTGGGAAATGTCCCCTGCTTTGTGGTCCAGTGTGAGTTTCAAGTTAGAAAAACCAAAGACAAATGACTTGTGTCAGTCCTTCAGGTAGCTTCTAAACAGGTTGAAACAGACAAACACAATTCTTTGGGAATAAGGTCTGAAACAGAGCCTCTGGTCACGGGTACCCACATTGGAAATGGTATCTTAGAAGAAATAGCCAAAAATTAAATATTATTGATAGTCTTTAAAATACATTTTTACAAGTAATTTGCTCAAATTTAGATTCTAACAAGGTATACATATGCGTTTTCTATCATAAATTTATTGCAAATAAATTTATGTTTTCTTTTAAAATATCCCACATCATACTTTTTACTTTGATTCGTCAAGGGGTCATTTCACTTTATATAAATAATAAGTTATCCTTAAAATGTGATGAGATTCAGAGAAGTTTTGGCAAACTTCCTTCATAGGTTGTTCTGGGTGCTTCACGTTTAGCGCCACATCCAGAGGAACAAAATCTATTTTTAGTGGTTAGGACTGCAAATAGCTCCACTGCAAGATTTTCTTTCAACCTTTCATGTCATAATTTTATAGTCCTTATTCTTTGCCTGATTCAATCATTTCATTACCGTTGATAACCATGGCTTTCTATTTCTATTATTTATCCTACATTTATCAGTTATAATTCTTCAGTAAAGATTTTCCCCTCGTCAACGTAGACTATTTGGAAAGGCAAAAAAAAAACCTAATGCTTTGTTTTGATAGTTTATAAGTTTGTTTTTGGTCTTTTTTTCCTACTTTTTTGAGTTAATATCATAACTTTTTATATAGTCAGTGTTTGCTCAATAGTATTTATCATTATTTTTGATGCTCAAATTATTCATCATTGGCCTATAGGTGCTCCCTTATGTGGGCTTATGTATCTTTAAAATATATGTAGCTTCTTTTTCTTTCTTCTTCTTCTTCTTTTTTTTTTTTTTTTTTTGAGACGTAGTCTTGCTTTGTCGCCCAGGCTGGGGTGCAATGCCATGATCTTGGCTCACTGCAACCTCCACCTCCTAGGTTCAAGTGATTCTCCTGCCTCCACCTCCCGAGTAGCTGGGATTCCTGGTATCCGCCACCATGCCCGGCTAATTTTTGTATTTTTAATTGAGACGGGGTTTCACCATGTTGGCCAGGCTGTTCTGGAACTCCTGACCTCAGGTGATCTGCCCGCCTTGACCTCCCAAAGTGCTGGGATTACCGGTGTGAGCCACCGCTCCCGGCCAAAATATATATAATTTCTAAACACTAAAAAAGGTGTTTTTTACAGCCCTGAAATGTTTTTCTTTGTTGCTCTTATAAAGCATTAAAACACACATAAAAACAACAGCTTTTCACATTATATGAATACTAGCTTGTTTTTATTTGTAGATAAAATAAAGCAAACAAATACAATAGTTATATAATTTTGTATAATGCCTCTTGTTATTTCCATTTTGTCTGACTATTAATATTAGTCTAGAGAAAGGCATGGCAGTGATTTAATTTCTATAAATTGATTAGAGTTTAAAGGCAGCAAACATTCAGGGAGCCACATCATTCTATCTCTGAGTATTGTTTTCTGAGTCCTCTCTTCAAATCAGCTTGCTGAAGGATAAGGGCTTGCCCCTTTTATTCAGGTAAAGTCAACTCAATATGAAACATAAAAATTATTGTATTTCTCATTTTTTGAGTGATGCTTAAAGCATTAAAAAATAGTTGGGTAGCTATAAAGCATTATATCATAACTTCTCAGCAATTGTATTTCTAAGCAATTTAAAAATAAATTCTGCATTTAAATTATTTATGCATTTTGTGCTGACCTTTTGATAAAACATACAGTGGTAGATGGGGTGATGATGTTCTGATATAGCAAGGCCAGGAATGCTTTCAAGGAGAGAAAAGCAAATTAAAAGCTTGAAAACTATGTTCATTCAACTGTTGTATTCTTTAAAAGTTTTTACTTTTGGGATAGCCTTATATAATACATCTGTTGCTTCTCTGTGTTATCCAGAGGATTTTATTCTAACAAATCCACAATTAATGTATAGCATTTAGTCTCTAAATTACTCCTCAAAGAAGGTAATATTGATCAATTATAACTCTATATCACTAAATTTTCAAATAAATATTAAAGAAACTCACAAGCTCACTCATCCCTGTTACGCATTTGGAAACCTATAATGAAAAAAGGTATGAAATTATTCTGAAAGCTTCTAGAGAAATTACAGGATTACATAGCCACCTGAATACAAAACAGCTTTTCACAAAACATATTCATTTAAATAAAAATAAGGGAGATTGTTTCTTTTTTATTGCTGTTGTTCTTATAAAGTATTATTTCTTTTTATTTGTGAAAAATCAGTACTGTAGTAGGAATGAAGTCATGTGTGCAAGCAGCTGTTTATTTCATGGAGATTGTGAAAAAGTTTCCGTTAATACAGATCCTCAGATATCTGCCTCTAGATCCCAGATGAGCACCAGTTGCAGCAGTCAAACGTCATCTATCTGTATATCAAGATAAATTATGAAAGGATTATATACCAACTGTCTAAATGACAAAGAGAAGAAAGGTAAGTAGCCTGGAAGAAAGGAAGTGACTTAGAGGCCCCTAATGTTTCCCTAAGCAAGAATAAACTTCAGCCAGACTTCCTGGCTCTAGGCCCCTGCCCACCAAGTTCTTAGAACATTTACTTTAGAAAACTTGTAATTATAATCTTTTTCTGGGCCCATTTGATGTGAAAATCTTTTAGAAAGCCTTTACCTAGCTTTAGTAATCAGGACTTTTTTTTCCTCAAATACCTGGCAGCCATTTCTTTGAAATGTAATCATCAAGAAAGATGGAATCTCTACCTCCCAATGTCTTGGGAGAGTAGGAGCTTGACCTCTGTGATCCCCTTGCACTAAATTGCAAAACTACCTCCTGTCATGAACATACAAGACAGTTTACTTTTTATGGGTGTCGGCGGGCAGGGTGGGGCCGTGCAGGGGCGGAGGGTAAGACCAATTAGCAAATACAAACAGCCTGTGATCCTCTTGCCCTATGCCATCTCTACCTCAATTCTTAGAAACTCTTCATCCATTTGTTTTAGTAAAGTTGAATTGCCCTGTTGCAATAGCCTGGAATAAGTCTTCCTTGTCTGTGTAATTTCAGACAGTACAATTTTTGCTGTGGCACAATGTTTGAAGAAAGGTAGGAGAGAGAGAGAAACCGTAGAGAGACTAGAAGATAACATAATTGTTTATAGGAATAATTATGTTATTTATTCTTATAATATTTATAGGAAGTTAGGAAAAACTTCCTAACACTCAAAATTCTAAAACAATAAAATAAATTTTGATACACTTTAACACTATATAATTATTTTGCATAACAAAAAATGATCAAAGTTATAAATCAAATGAACTGATGAAAAAAAATTCTCATACTTTATAGCACAGAGAAAAGGTTAACATCCCTGATATAAAAAGAATTCCTAAAAATCAAGAACAACACATAACAGAACATGGGCAAAAAGGAATAAATAATCACATCACATTTTTAAAAAAAGTTAAAAAGAGTCTTATGCCCACAAGAAGATGCTCAATTTTGCCAAAATAGCAGAAATGCAAATTAAAACTTCATTAAAATATTTTTACCTACTTAGCAGAATTTTTTTAAAAAATTTCAAACTTTAGCAGCATACTCTTTTAATTCCCTTTTTCTTTTACTGTCTGCCTTTATTCCCTTTGATAAAAATTTTATTTTTTGAATATATAAAATATGCATAAATTATCAAATTCAATGCTACATAAAAAGAATTATTATGAGGGTTCTAATTATATCTCTGCCTTCCATCCTTGTCTTTCCCTACCATTATAGAAAGCATTTGTATTAATTTTTATTTACTTTTCTAAAACTTATTTTAGCAAATATATATGTATATGAGTGAACACGTTAATACATATACACATTTCTCTTCCTCTTTCTTATAGAAAAAGTGGCATGCAGTACTTATTGTTCTGCACTTTGCCTTTTTCATTTTATATTCCATTCTGCAGATTATTTCCAGTCAGTGCAGAGATGTTCTTTCTTCATTTTTAAAGCTACGGAATGTTTCAGTATGTGGATGAACTATAAATTATTCAACTAGTCCTGCACTCACAGACACCTGAATTATTTCCAAACTTTTGTAATTACAAATTATACCACAGTAAATAACCTTAGACCCAAGCCTTCTTACATTTTTGACAATGTTTCATAGAAGTGGTCTTGCTGGGTCAAGAGCTAAATGAACATATACGTTTTATAGATATTGTTAAATTTATCTCTACTGGGGTTGAACCATTATTTATTCCCAATGTCAATGTAAGATAGATCTCCCCAAAAGTAATGTATTGTCATGCTTTTGTGATGGGGCCCATCTGCAGGTGTAAATGACATCTCTGAGTAGTATTAATTTGCATTTCTCCTATTATGAGTGAAATTGACCCTAATGTGGCCTAACTTTCACAGTAGTGAGGACCAAGTTCTGATTTTTTTTTTAATCTTGCCCAAATTCCCATCTAATGGGTCTGGGGAGTTAAGCCCTACAAACCATAAATTCTCATCAGATGGGTTTTATTTAACTCTGTATATCATGACTTACTTTCCAATCTGACTCTGGCAACACAAGGAGGAAAATCAAAATATTTTTCTCCAAAACATGTTTCTCTGCCATATCTTGAAATTGCCCAGTAAAGTCTCTTGTGGGAAAAATTCACTTCTATAGAGAATCCCCTCTCCCCGTTGTTTTCCTTCCTTCCTTTCCAGATCCATGAGATAACCAACTAAGAACCAGGCACCCTTTTAGGTCCAATAAGAAACATTTTGTCACCTGCTCTCTCTCTGAAGTCTGCTATGTGAGATATTCCTCTGCACAATAAAACTTCATGTCCCATAACCTTTATCTTAACCTGAACATCTCCTTTCTATTGATCCCAGGTCTTCAGATAAACTCAACTGTCAACCAGAAAATGTTTAAATTTACCTATAGCGCTGGAAGCCCCCACTTTGAGTTGTCCCGCCTTTCTGAACCAAACCAATGTATTTCTTAAATGTGTTTGATTGATGTCTCATGCCTCCTTAAAATATATAAAACGAAGCTGTACCTCTACCACCTTGGGCACATGTTCTCAGGACCTCCACGGACCATGATCACTCATATTTGGCTCAGAATAAATCTCTTAAAATATTTTATATAGTTTGACTCTTTTCATTGACAGTAGTTATATACTATCTCTCCTATTCATTTTCCTTCCTGTAGCTTCAGAACTTTGACTTACCCTAAGCTGATGAGTTTTTCTCATTCACTGAATTAATAAACCAAATAGCATGATAATTTTCTCTACTCCCAACACCTCTTTACACTTGTGCTTATATACTCTACGTCAGCAAAGTGCAGAGACAGTGCCGTGTTTTTCTAACTTAAAATGTATGCAAACAAAAAATCCTTTTTTGATCCAACCACCCTTCTTTGCCATTGTTCTGCTTCCAAAATAACTCTTCAAAAATTATCTCTATTTCTTGTCATCATTTTTTGTCTCTCTGAAGTTCACACTTGTCCCTTCACTGGGCTGATTTCATCAAGGTTCCCCAAATCCTCCATGCAGTTAAGCCCCAAAGCCAACCAGAAGCCTTTCTAATTTAGCCTATCAGCATAATTTTATACACATGATCAAATCCTTCTTGAAATACTGTCTTTGCTTCCAAGACAGCACAACCTGGCTTGTTTTCTTTCTCATAAGATGTTATTTTTCACCCCTCCTTGGAACTCTTCCATTCTCCCTGACTCTCCCCTGGGGATTTCACCTAATTTCATGGCTTTAAATGTTAGCTGTATGATAATTAATTACCAAGAGAGACAATAAGCAGGGTTAACAGACACACAGACATTTGCTCTATCAGTTAGTAACTCTTTGTCTTTGGCACAAATACTTAATTTCTTTATGTCTTAGCCTTCTCATGGTAAAATGTTGATAATAATAGTACCTATGGGAATTTTGTATAAATTAAAAACTCATACATATAGTAGAGAAAACAGTTCCTAGGGTATAATAAATACAAAAGAAGCATGAATGGATATTATTTTAGTCTCAGGGAAAATCTCTCTTACTGAAACTGCAGACTCCTAAACACACAGTTATTTTTTTAACACTTTCACCTAGTTATTTTATGAGGCCTCTAAACAATATATACAGAATGCCTCTTGATTTTATGTCTCAAATCTCTCCTCAAATTCTCTTCTAGGTAAAGGGGAGTTCCATTCTTACTTTCACATTCTAAATTTGTTCTATCAGCAAATTCTTTTGACTTTCCCTTCAAAATGGATCAATAACTTGACAATTTCTCACCATCTCTGTTGCTACTATTCTAGTTGGAGCGAGCATCATCTCTTATATCAATTCTTGCCTCAAAATGATCTACTTCTGTTCTTGGCCCTCTTTAACATACATTTCCACACAGCAGCCAGAGTGACTCAGTAGACTATATATTATCTCTTTTTCTGCTTCAATCACTCCCATGACTTTCCTTCATGAAACGCCAAACTCACTGCTCTGGCTTGAAAGATCTCAGAGAATACATTGCCATATGCTTGACCTCGCTGATTTCTAATTCTAGACTTTCTTCCCTCTGGCCTCACTGGCTTCATTCCTACTCCCAGAACATTCGCCTGTGTTCAGCTTCAGGATATTTCTTTTTCTTGTTGGTTTCTCTGTCTGGAATGGTCTCCCTAGAGACATCTACATTTCAGACTTCCTTATAAATTCTTTACTCAGAAATCAATTTAATGGAAAGACCTTCTCTTGTCAAACTATTTAACATTAAATTTCCTCCCTCTACCACCCTTGCACTTCTGTTACCGGTTTTACTTCTTTCATTCACACTTTGAGCATTCTATTTTATTGATTTTTTTCTCATTTATTTTTTGTCTTTCTGTTGCTATAAATGTAAATTCCATAGTACTCTTAAATTTTGTCCCCACTGTGAAACCCTCAGTGTTGGAACAGTGCCTAGCACAAAGAAGACATGTGGCCCGGCACGGTGGCTCACGCCTGTAATCCCAGCACTTTGGGAGGCCAAGGCAGGTGGATCACGAGATCAGGAAATCAAGACCATCCTGGCTAACACAGTGAAACCCTGTCTCTACTAAAAATACAAAAAATTAGCTGGGCGTGGTGGCAGGCTCCTGTAGTCCCAGCTACTCGGGAGGCTGAGGCAGGAGAATGGTGTGAATCCGGGAGGCGGATGTTGCACTGAGCCGCGAACGTGCCACTGCACTCCAGCCTGGGAGGCACAGCGAGACTCTGTCTAAAAAAAAAAAAAAAAAAAAAAAGGCATATATAAATATTAGCTAGATAAATCAATGAATTGAGTAGGCTATTGATTGTTAAAAAAACAAAAAAATGTTTTTTTTATAGACCACTATGTATTTGAAAAGGCAATTTTCCAGAATATAACAAATAAAGGTACGCAAAACATTTGTTTGCATTCATATGTAGTAAATTAAATAGAAGAAAATAAGGGTATTTTCTCTTTTTATTTCTCTCTCTGCTTCTCTATGCATATACACACGTATGCTTATATACACATAAAACTTAAGCACACTTTAATTACTTGCACGTTATGCTTATTTAAGATTCAAAAATTTAAAATATCATGCACAAACAGCTCAAGAGAGATAAAAGAAGCCACAAAGAATTCCTTCATTCAGAAGTTGCTATAGATATTTTAACATGTAAATGTAATATTGTTTATATATATGTTTTATAGAAAATTGAGATTTTTATACTTGTATGAACCCATATTATAATTAAGCAATAGAATCCCATCTTGGTAGGTAGCTACTATGCTGTATACTTACTCCAAATTGTTTTATATTCCTCCATCCTTTACACATAGAAAACTATATTTTATCATATTTTTCCATTTAGATGAGACCAAGTAATTAGCTCAGGCCATGGAAATGTGAGCAGAGTAAATGCACTTCATATCTATAATGAAAAAAAGAAATGCCCTTCAGACTTTCTTTAGGAAGGCTATGCAGCTGTGAAAGAAGCATTCTGGATCTCTGAGTCAGCACCTTGAGATCAGATGCCCAGGATTGGCTCAGTCTGTAGTAGTTTCTGTGTGAGTGAGAAAGACACTTTTGTTAGTTTGTTGAGAGTTACAAGTTGCTTATTACTTCAGCATAGCTTATTCTATTAAGACTAGTACACCCATGAGGGTATCTTCCCCAATCGTTAATTATTTTTCTATATTTCTATTTTATTTCTTATATATCATTCTCTCATAGATGTTTTAAAATCTAAGTACTAATAAAGCAATGATTTAACTATTTCCTAAAATTCCAGTTTCTGATTTGCTTAGCAGTTTGTTCTTCCTCTAGAAAAGTTATTTGCTCTCATATTGCCAATTCTGATCCATTGTCCTCAATAAAAGAGCACGTTGGACTCTAAAGGTAGAATATAAAATATTTATTCCACCTTTTTATATTGGCAATACTGAGAAATTTCCTTGGGTATAAAGTAACAATCTCAGTTTCACTCCCACTTAAGGGATTATTTTCTGAAATAGAACAGCCATTATTAATGGCCTCTGTGATCCACCTGCAAAAGAGGATTTTGACTGGCCCAATTACTTTCTTCTCATACCTTAACTCTGATGCAGGCGTTGTCCTAAGAGTCAAATTATTTCAAGTGTTATAGAACAGAAGCAAGGGGGATTAAAAAAAAGGCAAAGAGATAATGCTGGCTGACAGCTGGAGCGGTGGTTTTCAGTGGGGTGAGGTATAACAGAAGTAAAAGAGTAATCGTGCTGAGTAAAGGAAGTGGCTGAAAAAGAAAAATTATTTCTATTATCTATGACATTTCTATGTATATATCTATAATTTATTGATTATCTATCTATCTATCTATCTATCTATCTATCTATCTAATTTATTTATGTCTCTATCTCCCCCTAATCACATTTAATTAATTCAAGAAAATAGTTTTGACTTTAACTTTGATTTCTGGACTGTGATCTTTGATGAAGATTCAGATCTGAGGTCCGGTTATATTTTATATTATATAAGCAACTCCTACCCTTTTAATTCTATTCATGTTTCAAATCAAGTTTTTAATTACCTCAACCTTTGTTTCATTTATCTTTTCCAAACAGTTTTGCAAACACATCTGTAATAACTGAAATGTATCTCAATTTTTATTTTATTTTTCTCAAACTCAAATGCTCTAGTTCAAATTATATTCATAGATAAAACATGAATTAGATAATCACAACCTGGAAATCTAAAAACCATTGTCAGAAATCAGTTATTCTAATAACTGATTTGTTCCTATCTCTACCGGTATAGTGAAAATGACTTGATTTGCAGTTTATTAGATGACACTACTGGACTTTTATAGTTGCTATTGTTTCTCTTTGGAGAAAATAGTTGGCATGACTAAAATTTAAATACAAAAAGTTAACACAAATATAATAATTATGAAGAGTTCAAATTCAGTTTTCTTTGACAAATTTAATGTTAGTTTTGATCAAATAAAAATATGACATTATCTTAACAGCTATCATAAATATAAACTACTTTTGTCTTCAGAAAATCTCCTGGAGACAGTTAAAGATATCTTATTGATAACACAATTTACATTATATCTCAGTTTTATAGCCTAAAGGGAGAGGCTGACTGTGTATATTATATCAGCATACAGATTTATATGATTCAATATATTTACATCCAGGGAAGTTCAATATTTTATTTTCTGAAGCAAGAAAGTTTTCCTCTCACTGACTCACCCCAGAAGAATGGTGATATACATAACTATATTGGCCAAACTAGAACACATGTCTATATTGGTACTACATCTAGTAGACAAAATATATAAATATATAAATATATAATAAATAAAAATATAAAAATGCATATACAGGCATAGTTATTAAATACAGGCAAATGAATTCAATAATCTAAAATTATTAGTAAAATTGGCAAACAGTTAACAAAACTAATTCTTATTTTCAGTAAGAATGCAGAAAAATGTAAAAACTCATTCAGTTAGTAAAGGGTAAATTGTTACACTAAAAAATAGGTTTATTTTTACATATGAGACAATTTTTTATATGCATGACTCAGAAATTCTACACACAGAAACTTATGCTCTGTAGAAAATAATGATGTTTTATGAAAATATTCTGAAGCTGGGATGCTTATCAGATATTGTTTATTGTCACAAATATTTGAAAAAAGTCAAATAGGTTAAAACAAAGACACAAATAAGTAATCATTAAATTATAAGAGAATACATTCATATGATACAATACCTTCCTTTATTTACATTGGAGAATAATATTTATTTCCTTGGAAAAATATTTCTATTATCTGAAAGAGCTTTTTATTATGTTATTGATACTGACAAGAGACAGGCAAATTCCTAGGTAGACATGGATGGGTTCCTAGTGAAGCCCGACCTTCAAGCCAAGGACAATTTAAAGCCTGAAAACCGAGCTGCCAGATCCAGATTGATTCCACAACTAGAGTGAGAACTTCTATCCCCATCTTACCCACTATCTCTTCATTAGTTCGTTTGGAATGATGCCTTTTAACCAATTGAATGGTGCTTTTTCCAAGGCCACCCACGGACCAATAAGCATGCACTCCCCTACTCTAAGCCCATAAAAACCCCAAACTTAGCCTCACAGATGGCTACCCACTTTCAGACATCCTCTTGTTGCAGAGAGCTTTCTTTCTGTCACTTAATAACATTTTACTCTGCCTTACTCACTCTCCGGTGTCCATGTACCTTATTCCTCTTCGTCATAAGACCAGAACCCAGAACTCACCGAACTGTGGGACTGAAAGAGCTCCTGCTCCTCAAGCTACAGGTGGAGGAAGTAAAAGAGCTGTAATAGTCCCTCCTGCTAGCCAAACAACCAGAGAGGAGAAGCCACTGGGTGCCACTCCCTCCTGCTCACTGAACTATGGGAACAAAAAAGCCACAACATTACTATACTTAGTATAGATACTATATATGATATTCCTGTGACATCTGTGTGTGTATATTTGGGTATATGTGATTTTGGTATATGTGATATTTATTATATAAATATACACACACACTTATATAATAAATATATATATATTTAGAAAGAGAGAGAGAGATTGACAAAATACAAAGGTTTTAATGTTCCATATTATTGAAAATTTCTCATTTTCGTCATGATTTAATTGTCCTTTTTTAACGTTTATCTTTAACCACTGAAGTTCAGTTGGGGCCTCTGCTCCACGTCATTGTCATCACTCCATGTCTTGGACTCATGGAAAAGCTATCATTTTGAGCGGTTCTGTTTCTAGTTGCACTAACAGAGAAAAAGTTACATGGAAAATCATTCCATTTGCTTCTTGTGGAGATGTCCAGAAGTCAGGCATGGCCAAAGTAAGACTCACAGGCCCTGTAACTCCAAAGGGCATGGAGGTGAGCCACTCTGTGCTGCATGTGCTTAGACTAAAGAGTGCTGGAGGTATTGTGAACAGCATTAATGATGCCCACACTTACGTGGCAGGTGGGGAAGAGAGAGAAAAAGAAAGACAGGAAGTAAGACATTTCCATTGAAGAGATAGTCTTTACTGACAGCCATTTATTTTTTTTTGTGGTAATTACAGCTCTTGCCTTGAAATTTGTTTCATAAACTTCCTATGGTGGTTATTGAGACACCTAGCACCATTTGGCCTGTGGGTTCATCTAAGAGACACAAACTCATTTAAATCAAACCAAAAGAAAGCTATACAAATCCTAGCAGAACATACTGAGTTTTAGGTCCATCGCCTCATTTTTATAAAGTTTAACTTAATTTATTTTACTCCTCTATATGTATGATTATCTATATTGTTATGACTTATAATTACACAACTCTTATTTAGTAAGCAGTAATGAGTTAAAGATAAAAGTGCTGAGGTGGTGTTTCTCTGATTCTATGTCAGCCAACAGCCTTTGATATATGGCTACTTTGATTTAAAGAAACAGAGAGCATATAAATAAAGTTTTTTCTTACTTTCTTGATAAGAACTCTCTTCTTTGTGGAACTACACAGAACTTAGATGTTTCCTATCCAAAAGCTAGATTTTCTTGTAGGTTAGATAAATAATTTCTTCTACAACACGAAGGGAGAGAAGAAGCTTCAGAAAGACACAGGGCATCAGAACGCACCATAAACTGAGTTTATTCCCAACAGAGAAGCTAGTGATGCAAGGGAAAAGTTAGTCACATACGCGATATAGGACCCAAAACAGGGGAATGTCGGAATTCAATGGCAGAAGTCAAGGAAGTGAAGTATGTGTTGCACAGGTAGCAGAGGATAGGAAATTTTTATTAGGGATTTAGAAAAAAGAATAACAATTTAAAGGGAAGAAAGAAAAAAAAAATGAAACCAGTGGGTTCTTGAAGATTTGGCCAAGCACTGCAAATCTAGTAATAACAGTAATAAATACCCAATCTGTCACCTTCAGAGGAAAGTACAAAGCAGCTACAATACATGCTACCATAGGTAGGGACTTCATAAGAGAAAGGATTAATTTAGCCAGTAGAATTTATACATATGTGTGTGTGTGTGTGTGTGTGTGTGTGTGTGTGTGTATCTTGAGGAGGGCAAAATTAACAGATTTTGATATCAAATTAGGCCAGAGGTAAGACAGGCAACCATCAACTCACATTTGAGAATATATATACATTTGTAATTTTTATTTATGTGTTTAATTTGACTACTTAGCAATTAAAATTAATTCCACAATGAGTCCATGAGTTAGGTAGTCAGATGTGCTCTGTCTTTGAAAGTTTAATGTATGTAGTTAATGTAGTATGGTTTTTAAGACAAAAATCAAGGAATCTAGATGAAGACATCTCATCCCAGATTAAGACCATTCTCAGTGGCTAGAGTTTTTCTATCCACAATAAGAGAAGTCTCAGAACTAAATCCAAATAGAAGCAGTTTGGCTTAACTTACATGATATTCATTCACATCAAGGAGAAATGCATGAGAATTGTAGCTAATCTGAATTCCCTTTGGAATGGAATTATTTCCATGGCTAATTATTTGCCTCCTGGAAAGACTGCAGGCAGCTTTGAGTGCTATGTGGCTCCCACAGGGAAACATTTATTAGGGACAAGGACACAAGATGATAATAGCATGCAGGCATCAGTCCTAGAAGACTGATATTATAAATACATGGTCTAATATGGTTGGCAGGAAAATACAAATGTTTTCATATAGAAAGAAAATTGGAAAAGTTAAGCTATTTGATGTTAAAAAAGAGTCACGTTAGTATTGAGTAATATGGTGATTATAGCTAATGTTATTATTAGAAATAATAGTGCCACCTCAAATAGAAGAGTCATTCCAAATTCACCACTTTCAAAGACTGTGTTCATCTAATTAGGAATTTTAGGTCCTTATTCCCACAATGAAAACACATGAAATGCATGAATAAGACTGTTAATTATGATACATTTCAGCTTCAAAGAAACTTTAGCAGGAATGAGGACACCAAGGAAAGCGTTAAATTCAAATTAAGGTAATTAGGAGTTACAAGGGAATACTTATATTTATGCTTTTTAAAAGCTATGGTCTTCCAGTGCACAGTGTCCTTCTTGGAATAAAACTTTATATTTTCCGGAAGTTTTCTTAACCCATCTCAGTTATGATTACAAATACGCAATAGAAAAGCATTAATTTTATAAAAACTGCCCAGTAGGATGCTTAAACCAACAAAGTTATTTGTTGATGGTTACCTTTTGACCAATGACATTATAGTTAACATTTTAAGGGAAAGAATGTAATCCTCAATGTCAACAGACTTCACTAGTCTTAGAAAATGCACAAACTATTGTTGATGGATCTGTTTTTAGATAGTGCTGGTCACAGTGGCTCATGCCTGCAACCCAAGAAGGCCAAGAGGGAAGATCGGTTGAAGCTACGAGTTCAAGACCAGCCTGGGCAATGTAGTGAGGCCATGATCTCTACCAGAAAAAGAATTAGCTGGGCATGGTGGCAGGCACCTGTGGTCCCAGGGACTCAGGAGGCTGAGGTGGCATGATGGCTTGAGCCCAGGAGTTTGAGGCTACAATGACCCATGATCACACCACTGCACTCCAGCCTGGGTGGCAGAACATGACCCTGTCTCTAATAAAATAAATAAATAAATAAATAAATAAATATTGTTAGAGTTTAAATAATCATAGTCAATGGGATGATTTTTTGTTTTTTTGTTTGTTTTTACCAGACACCCAAAACATTCTGATGTTGATGAGTTGCTTGTGTCATAATTATGAGTCTTTCGGGGCCAACTTAACGTCATTATGTACAAAAGGATTGAATGCTCCAGCAAGTGTTACTTTTTCTTGGTTACAGGGTGTATTCGTCCATTTTCAAGCTGCTAATAAAGACATACCTGAGACTGGGTAAATTATGAAGAAAAAGAAGTTTAATGGGAGCACAGTACCACCTGGCCGGGGAGGCTTCAAGCTCACGCCAGAAGGCAAAAGTCACATCTTACATGGCAGCGAGCAAGAAATAAAATGAGAGCCAAGCAGAAAGGGAAACCCCTTATAAAACCATCAGATCTCATGAGACTTATTTACTACCACGAGAACAGTATGTGGGAAACCGCCCCCATGATTCATTATCTCTTACTGGGTCCCTCCCAAAACATGTGGGATTTATGGAAGCTACAATTAAAGATGAGATTTGAATGGAGACACATCCAAACCATATCACTGGCCCCCCAACCCCTGCAAAGGTCTCTGAAGTGCCCTGGAGAAACTTTCACCGTTGTCATGGTGATTAACATTTGGCTCCTCTTTACTTATACAAATTTCTGCAGAGGGCTTGATTTTTTTTCCCCAGAAAATGGGTTTTCTTTTCTTCAGCATCATTAGGCTGCAAATTTTCCAAACTTTTATGCTTTGTCACCTTTTGAATGCATTGCTGCTTATAAATTTTTCCACCATATACCCTAAGTCATCTCTCTCAAGTTCAAATTTCCACAGATTTCTAGGGCAGGGGCAAAGTACTGCCAGTCTCTTTGCATAGCAAGAGGGACCTTTACTCCAGTTCCCAACAAGTTCCTCATCTCCATCTGAGACCACCTCAGCCTGGATTTCATTGTCCCCATCATTATCAGCATTTTGGTCAAAGCTATTCAACAAGTCACTAGGAAGTTCCAAACTTTCCCACATTTTTCTATCCACTTCTGAGCCTTCCAAATGGTTCCAACCTCTGCCTGTTACCCAATTCCAAAGTTGTTTCCCTATTTTTGGTTATCTTCACAGCAGTACCCTACTACCCAGTATCAATTTACTGTACTATTCCATTTTCATGCTACTGATAAAGACATGCCTGAGACTGGGTAATTTATAAAGAAAAAGAGGTTTAATGGACTCACAGTTCCACATGCCTATGGAGGCTTCACAGTCGTGGTGGAAGGCAAAAGGCATGTCTTACAGGGTGGCAGGCAAAAAGAGAAAATGAGAGCCAAGCGAAAACAAAACCCCTTATAAAACCATCAGATTTTGTGACACTTATTCACTACCATTAGAACAGTATGGGGTAAACCCATCCTGTGATTCAATTATCTCCCACCATGTCCCTCTCACAACATGTAGGAATTATGGGAGCTACAATGAAAGATGAGATTTGAATGGGACACAGCCAAACCATATCACAGGGTATACAATCAAGGACCTCATAAACTGATGCCTTTGAATAACAATTTCAGAAAATCATAAATAATTTGAAGGCTAAATATCATGCTTTAAGAAAGACCTGTATCAACCTTCCACAAGAGAATACTATCAAAATTTGTCAACATCATAGAGTTAAAACTCAAATCTGATTATTCATATATAATACAATAGTTCTGATGAAAAGTCAAGGAGGCCAAAATACTTATTTGATTAAAAGTGTCTATCTTTTTTTAAGGTCTCTAAATGAAATATAAAGTCATTTTCAATTTCAGCTTGCTCAAATACCACTCTACACTCGTTAGAAAATCTCAATTCTAAACCTATGTACTTTTCTTTATTCCTTTGCATGTGTGATGCTTCTCCCCACATAGAATTGTATATATTTCCTTCCCATGTCCTCCTTTTTGGACTAGATGAAACTTACTTATTCTTCAGATTACACTTCAATCAAAAATTTCCCAGGGGAGCCTTTCTTCATCTCTCTTAATCCCTTGGTCCCACAGTGAAGAATTACTTCCTGTGTTACATGCCTCTATGCCTTCTCTTTTTTACATCCCAGGCTCTTACCTTCTATAGCTATATAACAGGGACCGGTAAGTAGGTTATTATTATATGAATTTTGTTTTATGCTTTCCCTCTTTCATTTGTCCCAGTGTTCCTTGGTGCTCATAAATCAGGTCAGGTAGATGGACCTTCAAGAATCTCCACAAAACATAAGAGTACGTCAAGCTGGAGACCAAATGTATACATGGTTACATCTCATTGGCTGTCAGGACTGGTGAGACAAATCAAGGACCATTTGCAATGACTGATGCCGAGGAATGAGAATGCAGCCTTCCCATGACACTGTCTAAGCATCTATTCAAAGGAGAGAAAGTAGGACCTAAAAGTTTGAAATTAATTTAGGACTACATATGACATTTCATTAACCAGATTTATCCAGATATGAGTTGCTCATTTTTGTGCATTAGAACCAATGGAGAATTTATAGACAAATACATACAATCATAGAAAAATTAAGAAAATTGCATTTTTACATTCCTTATTTATTATTTTAAAAATTTATATACCTTAGATATATATGTGTGATTTTTTATCAATGTCTGTCTTCCTTACCAGTATATAAAACTTCATACGGAAACAATATTTTCTTCCTTTAAATTTTATCTCCTTCAACCTGCATTTTTAGCAGAGCACCTTACACACCATAGAAGCTAAGTAACCACTGAATAAATATGTCATAAATATGGAGTAAAATTATAATAATATATATCATTTGCATATAAATATTATATATGTTATAAACATAATATATGTTATATAATTAAAGTATATTTATTGGAATTTTTTATTGTCAAAAATTCATGCAAATTTGATACTTCCAGAATTCATTTTAAGTTAATATTGGGATAGAGATGCACCTTCATTCATTTCATATGGTTATTAATTGACACAATACTATACAATTATGCATTGCATAAGGGCATTTTCACCAGCAATGGACTAAATATATGACAGGGGTCCCATAAGATTATAATGCCATCTTTCTATTGTAGCTTTTCTATGTTTAGATATGATTAGATACACAAATACCACTGTGTTACAATTGCCTACATGCTATACAGGTTTGTAGCCTAGGGGTAATAGGTTATACCATAGCATCTAGGTATTTATTAGGCTGTAACATCTAGGTTTCTGTTAGTACACTCTATGATGTTCACACAAGAATAAATTTGCCTATGGACACATTTCTCAGAAAGTATCCCTAAGGATAAGTGATGGAGTGATGCATGGGTGTATATTAGAGAATTAATAGTAGTCTCACATTTTACAAATCCATCTGTTATTTCATTTTTGTTACTGCATCACACAAAAATATCTGGATGGATGTTCAACAATTTAAAGAGTATTTTGGATGTGGTTTAGTGTGAATTACAGTGTGTGTATATGATAGAAAATTCAGTTTTAAAAGAGCAAAGGAAATTCAATGGAAAAAAGATAATATTTTCAATAAATGGTGCTGGAATAACTGAACATGCACATGCAAGTAATAAATCTGATCAGAAACTTTAAACTTTTCAGAAAAATTAACTCAAAATGGATTACAGGCCTGAATTTAAAATGCAAAATTATAAAGATTCCATACTCTATTCGGAAGGCAGAACAGAAGAAAATCTAAGAAACCTTAGGTATGATGATGACTCTTTCAATACATTCAAAAGCACAATCCATGAAAGAAAAATAAAATGATAATTTGGACTTAATCAAAATTAAAAATCTACTCTCTGCGAAAGACGGTGTCAGGAGAATAATAAGACAAACTACAGACTGAAAGAAAATTCTTGCAAAACACATAACTGATAAATGACTGTTATGAAAAATTTACAAAGAACACTCAAAACTCAACAAGAAAACAAACACAAAAATTTGTAATGGATGGTATGATTTGACTCTGTCTCCACTCAAATCTCATCTTGAAATGTATTTCTCAAAATCCCCACTTGTCACGGGAGGGACCTGGTGGGAGGTAATTGAATCATGGGAGTGGTTACCTCCATGCTGTTCTCGTGATAGTGAGTGAGTTCTCATGAGATCTGATGATTTTACAAGGGGCTTTCCCTTCACTTCACTCTGCACTTCTCCTTGCTGCCACCATGTGAAGAAGGATGTGTTTGCTGCCCCTTCTGCCATGATTGTAAGTTTCCTGAGGCCTCTCCAGTCATGCTGAACTGTGAATCAATTAAATCTCTTTCCTTTGTAAATTGCCAGTCTTGGGTATGTCTTTATTTGCAGCGTGAGAATGCACTAATACAATGGAGAAAATATATGAACAATTTACCAAAAAAGATACACAGATGAGAAATAAGTATATGAAAAGATTATCAACATCATATGTCATTAGGGAGTTGTAAATTAAAGGAATGTTATATGACTATCCATTAAATGGCTGAAATGTGAAGCACTGAGAATGGCAAATGTTGGTGGGGATGTGCAACAACAAGAGCTCTCATTCATTGCTGGTGGGAATACAAAATGGTACAGCTCTTTTGGAGACATACTGGTAGTTTCTTACAAAGCTAAATATACTCTCACCACACAATCCAAGAATCATGCTCCTGAGTATTCCAATGGGATGGAAATTGATTTTCTCAAAAACCTTCACACAAGTGTTTATAGCCTTTTTATTTATAATTGCCTGAATTTGGCAAAAACCAAGATGCTCCCAACAATAGATGAATGAACAAACAAACTGTGATATATCCATGCCATGGCATATTATTTAGTGGTGAAAAGAAATATAATATCAAGTCATCAAAAGACAAGGAAGAAACTTAAATGTATATTGCTAAGTGGAAGAAGTAAATCTGAAAAGCCTGCATACTGCGTGATCCCAATTATATGACATTTGGAATAGGGAAAACAGTAAAAATAGCAATGGTTGCCAGTGTTTTGGAAAGATGGAGGTAACAGTGACTACGTAGAGCACAGGGGCTTTTTAGGGTGATGGAACTATTTTTTATGGTGCTGTAATAGTGGATACATGTTATTATACATTTATCAAAAGAACACCATGGACTACAGTTAATACTAGTATATCAGTACTGGTTTATAAATTGTAACAAATGTACAACTCTAATTGAAGATATTAATAATAAAGAAGTCTGTTGGGGTGGGTTGACAGGTGAGGGGAAGAAGGCAGGTATGGAAGAACTCTGTACTTTCTGCTCAATTTTTTATAAATCTAAAACTGCTTTAAAAATAAAGTTAGTTAATTTAAAAAATTTACTTTGAAGAACCTTGCTTAAGGATGAACTTCTTAAAAAAATAAGCACAACAGATTCTATCCAGATCCATTTATGCTACTTCCACTGATGTGCCTTGGGTAAATCATTTTATCACTTTTGTCTCAGTTTTCTATCTACAAAATAGAGTGATGCTGCCACCACATAAAGTGATTTAGGACTACAACTGGAACAGGGTCTGGCACGCAGTAAGTTTATTATTTTCAGCACAACAATTATCCATGAGAAAAACTGAAACTGAAGTAGAACAAGAAGGTGACAAGAGAAATGTGTCATAGGTATGAGATTATATGACCAGACAACACAATCCTGTTTTAAGTCCCACACTGAGCAATTGTGATATTGAACAGTCATTAGACTGGAAAGCATTCCTTTGTGATTGATTAATTTCTCACATGGGCATGTATGTTAATTTTGTCTATAAAGACTATTGATTCACCCAATCAATTTTGTGAAGATCATCAAGTAATGTTAACCACAGGCATCTATTCAAAACTTTTATTTTCTAGGCACTGTTCTAAGAGTTTTGCATCTTACATAATTTGCACATAAACTCTTAAATAGGTACTACAATTCTTCTCATTTGATAAATGAGGAAACTGAGGTTAATTGACTTAACTTCTCATGGCACACTGCAAATGAGTAGAAAACCTGAAACTTGAAAATAAGCAGCCTGATTCTAAAACCCAAATTTTGACATGCTGTCAACTTTATAATACATGCATTATATATATGTGCTTATCTTTGTTTCTTGTTCTATATTAAGATTTGAATTTGGCTCCACAATTTATTCATTTTGTTCTCTTAAGCATCTTTATTGGCCTCTATGGAGAGAATGTTAATATCACAAGATTTTGAAAGGATTAAATAGGCAAATGCATATAAATTACTTTTAATAGTCCTTGAAGTAAAGCACATACATCAAACATGTTATCTTTTGTTATAATTGAAACTATTTGTTAATTAGTTTGTTATTTCAATATTATTACTGGCTATGCCAATAGCAACTTTTAGAATTTTTATAACTTTATTACATATTTATATTAAACTATTTTGTAGAATATGAATAATATTTATAAATGTTTTATCATAGCCAATAATGATTCCTACTTTACCGTAAAGATAGATCTAGGATCATTAACTAGAAGATTTTTAGTGGAGCAGTTCTATCATTGAAGAGTAAGGGATAACACTGAATTTGACACAGTGACTTTTCTGTAGAAGGCTCTCCATAAATATTTTATGAATGAATTAATAGCATTCATTGCAGTACTGCCCTCCTAGAGAACAAGCATAGCAAATGACAACACTAGCCCTAATGCCATGGTTAACCACAAACACAGGAGGAAACTCAGCTCGACTGAACAAATATAACACACTTAAACCTAAAACACTTGGTAAAGTCATAAATCTTACAAAGGTCCAAAGGAGTTTCTAGGAAAAAATCTTTGTCAGTGGAAGATTAACAGAGAAGGTAAGACTTAAGTTTAGATTTCATAGCTTAATAGAATTTATTGAGGAGAAAGTATTCCATTCATCAAGTCATGTGTATTATAAATAAAAGAATTACCACTTAGTGCTAGGGTTAGAATAGTAAATTAGTAATTATTAAATATTCTTTTTTCCATATGATGATTTATTGAACATATTACATAAACCTCATGTAGCTATATGCAAATTTATATACATCTAGTAATCTAGTAATGTTTTATGCAACCATTTCTGTGATAATGCTACCTAACAGACCACTGCAAAATTCAGTGACTTGAATGACACACCTGGCCTGACTAGAACGGATTATAGTTAAGCCAGTCTTGGCTAGGCTCTTCTGGGTGGATATACTTCAAGATGCAAGTCAACCAGCATAAAGTGGGTTAGGTTCAGGCCTACTTCAATTTTCTTTTATCCACATTAGACCAGTGGCTACTCAAGACAAATTCTCCTTATGGTGAATTGACAGAAGGTCCAGAGGCCAGTGCAAAGGCTTCTGCTTCTTTTACATCCAGTAACTTTCCATTGGTCAAAGTAAGTCATGTGGTCAATTCTAACTATAAAGGATTGTATATAATGTGCTCAAACTCTCCAGTGCAACACAAGAGGCATGCATTTTGTTCAGGGAACCATAAATGCACATATACTGTCATTTTGAAGAAAAAAGAAACATTGCCAGTCTTTCTGGGGAAAGAATAATTAACTCTAAGCCAAAAATTATGCAAAGCAGTTAGTCATCTGAATAAGAGAGATTAGAGACATTGGATAAATTTGAGTCCCAGAAGTAAAATGAAATGTGTTACTCAAGGAAGAAAATTTGGGGCTTTGCCTGACTGGGAATAGACACTCATAAGAATTAAAACATAAAGCCAAAGAGTCAGACAAAGAAACCATGGACTAATAATTATTTGGACTTCAATGTTAGGGTAGTAAGACCCCAATCTTGGGATTCTTCCTAAGCTGAAATGTACATATTTTCTATACCTTCTATGTAAAATTATACTTACCTATGTGAATATGTTTTTAACTTCAAAAATCATGCTACCTGATTTTGTAATAGACATATTTTTACTGCATGCAGTTGGCACAATTCTTGAGATAACTCTCATGGCCCACATTTATTTGCAATTCTCTCCCCTTGAGTGTGGTGGGACATGGAACCTGCTTCTAAACAATAGAACATGACAAAGGTGAAGGGATTTTGATGACATAACTAATCAATTAGTTGACTTTAAGTTAATAAAAAGACCAATGTGGGTGGGCCTGCCCTAATCAGGTGAGCTATTTTAACAGTGGTCTAAAGGTCGGAATTGGAAGGAAAACACCAGTGTCTGTTTCTCTCTTTCTCTCTCCCTTTTTCTGGCTTTGAAGTAGCAACTTTAAATGAATTCTATAGCTTCAAGGAAATGAGTGCTGCTGACAACAAACTGATCCTTCCCTAGCTGAGCCTCCAGATGAGAACACAACATGTCCAACACCTTGAATTCAACTTTCCTGACAGCCTGAGCAGAAGACCCAGAGAAGCCTAGCTCTTGACTCATGGAAACTGTGAGATAAAAATGTAACAAAGAGAAAAATAATAAACTAAAATAAAGTAAAATTATATCTTAAGTCTGTGTTTGTGATAGTTCGTTACATAGCAATAGAAAACAGATGCATTGCATTAAAATTAAAAAGCATGGATGATACTACGATTCAATAAACATTTTGTAATGAGTCTCAGATAGAAGGAAACATTCCATCTGGGGATCATGTGCACAAGGCGAGAACCTGTCCATGGTTTTAGAGCAAAACTTGGATGGTTATTCTGTGTACCTAGTGAGGCTACTTGATCTTTTCAAATGTGCCCTGAATATAATTACTTTACTGTAATTTTACTGATGTAAAAATTAATTCACACTCAAAATGACATAAGGCAAAAACCTTATTATTTGCCAACATATAAATTGATTTTATTATTTTTATTAACATATTTAATATCAAGACCCTTATATTTTTTTGTGTCAAAAGCTATTTGAATACAATGTAACAGAAGAAAAATATTTCAACATACATCAGATATATTAACAGGAAAAAGTTGAAGTGTTAAAGATTGGTGGGTTTGTTTTCCTAATATACTTTAAATATCGTGTCACTGGTCACATTTCTTGGGGGCAGACTCAAAGACAAAAATGTGGTTGCAGGAAGTGTATTCTAGACTGCTCTCCGAATCAAAGCCTCTAGGAAAAAGGGAAGAAAGTAGAATTGATTGGGCAAGGCAAGAAAGTGTTCTGTAATGCATTCTCAACCGGAACCTCAGTTGGTCTTCTGATAAGTTCTGAAGCTGAGGCGATCCTTCAAAGATGTACTGAATTTGGGCCAACTGTCTAAGCCTTTATATCCCTTACCGAGAACATTCACTGGGTGCTGGTTACACAGAAAAGAGGAATAGCAACTCTCTTAGGTTGCAAACAATTCCTGGAAAAGGCTGTCAACGGAGGCCTGACATCTGGCAACACTCCTAGCAGCTGAGGGAGAATTTCTTTAGTTCTAAAAGAGGACTGGATGGAGCATCAGCATGTTCCTGATACTGATTTGATATTTTATCTCAGTTCAGGCTAAGTACATTAAGCTGGAAATCAGGAGTAGAAGGTAAATCAGTGACCATTTTCTTACTTTCCTAAACAAGAATAGACTAAATTACTTTGCCTTTCTTTTGTTTTTCCCACATGTAAAATGAGGATAATAGGAGTTGTGCCCCTAATAACCTCATGGGACTATTCCTTGAATTAGAATGGTGAGTGGGTAGGGGTGGTACAAATAGATGAAAACATCTTTAAAGTTCTTTCAGGAAGATGTATATATTAAAATTATGCTGAAGTTCATAGTAAATTGCTATCAAAATGATATATTTGAAAACATAGAAACTGCTTCTGACAAAGCTACTTGTAATTGGGAATTAAGCCTTTCATGACATTGTCACGTTTGGATCTATCTTAAGTCCTGGACAGTCTTGTGATAGTGAATACTTTTATTGATCTCTGGACCCTAAATAAAAGAAAATTCAATGGAAGCCATAGAATTTCTAGTGGGGCAGTCGCAGAGCCAGTGATTAAGAGCCTGGTCTTTCACCTAAGCATTACAATTCTGCCCTGAGAAGCTTAACACCTCACCTAAAGACTCAGGCAAGTCCCAAGTGACTGTGAGCGGACATCATAAACACATGTCTAAATTAAACAAAGAAAAAAAAATAAAATTGGGGGAAAATTTTACAAGAAACTTTTGAGTTTGGAGTAAAGAACAAGGAAAAGCTTAATGAAATCATTTTTAAAAGTCTTTAAAGAGAAGAAACACAACAAAACACAACTCTGTTTTAACTGAAGATTAGGCTACCAGAGGAGAGCTCAATTGTGTCCAGATAAAGTGCTATCATCCTTTACCTTAATGAACTCTGTACTGACAAGTCTTTTATGACAAATTTTGTGCTCTAGCAGCAACTTCAAATCTATATGAGATTTGGAGCTTCATTTAAAAAGTCATATCTGGCTCTGTCATGCGTGTGTGACAAGTTCACTCAGTCCTCATCTGGGTCACTAAATGGGGATCCCATGATAGAGAAAACAGACATTCCATCCATCTTGCTTTGCATGAGTGCGCCTCTGTCAGTGAAACTACATAACAGTGTTCATTTTATATACTCTCAAGAACAGCAGACCTGAATCGGCTTCCAATAGTCCAAACAGAAGCATCTTGCAAGTGTCAATTTAGAATACATTCGGTCCCCTTAACCAAAAAGCAAAAACTAAGCCAACAATTTCTCCAACCCCATAGCATATAATTTTTCAGAGTTCTTGTATACCTCTTTGTTTCAAAAGGAAAGATTAATTGCTCTTCCTTGTTTGAAACAAGAAAAAAACCATATCATGTAGACAGTAAAGAGAGTTTATTGTGCAGTTAATTAAATTTTATTAACATTTTACTTCAATTATTTCCTCAAAGAAATTACATAAAAATTTGCCAGCAGTTTAAAATGGAAAAGATTTCATCTTAGAGGTGTAGCAGTCTTTTGCGCAATTTTATGTTTTTTTCCTATCTTTGTTTTCATTTGTTACATGGGTTATTTGATTTTCCTTTAAGCAATGTGAAAAAAAAAACAAACCTGTGGCCTTTCTGTTTTCTTGTAAGACCTGAGACATCTCACGATTAGTGAAAAAGTTGTATTCCTAGAACTCCTCAAAAATATTCTTTGGTTTTTAAAAAAAGTCAAGTTGCTGTAAGTAATTTTAAAATAATATGCAAGTCAAATTAAAAGTGGTCTTGTCATCTATACAACAAAAGTGAGGCATGCACATAATTTTTAAAAAGGCATCATGAAGTCTCTTACGTGTTGCTTCATCTTTATGGTGGATAGGAAAGTCTTATGAAACTGCTTAGCCCTTATGAAGCTTGGAAGTAATAAAGAGAATAACCCGAGTCTGTTCAACTGTAAATGCTTACTAAAGATGAGCTTCGAATGGATTGTAAAGTTACTGGCTTCAAATAGCAATAAAAAGAACAATAATTGAAAAGGATAGAATGACAAGCTGGACTTTACTATTACAAAAAAAAAATGTAACCACTGTATACAAAAGGACAAGGCTGCAATGTCTGAAACTTCGAAATACCATTTAGGAGTCATATTTTTCCCCTAAGATTTTCTCCAACACACATTTTGTGAGAATTCTTTCTGACCTCTTGTCTATAGAGATGCTGGTATCTGTAGAGGAAATTTTATAGAAAGCATCCCCTTGAAATGAAGGAACAACTTACATTTGCCCTTCACTGATATAAACTATATTGAAAACAACTTATGTTGCTCAGCAACAGTTAATATACCAAAATAAAACACCACCCTCCACCTGGCTCTTAAAAGCAACAAAATTGAATTTCTTAACATGGCTTCTGATATCTATTTAGTTTAGATTAAATATAGGTTAAAGTGTAATCTTTCTGTAATCTGATCACAGATTCCAACAAATAAGATAGCTAGAGGCAGGACATGAAATAGAAAATTCCAAATTGTTTTAAGCATGTTTGTATCTAGACTGTGAAGCAGAGTCCCCAGTGGCTTCCAGTGCCAGCCTTGCATCTTCCAAAGGATGTGGTATCTCTCAGTGAACTCCCTCTGAACTCCACTTGTCAAAATAATGGCGAAATAACCACATCACGTAAACAAAACAAAACAAGAGGCTGGATTGCTGCTATTGTTAGCATCATTAAAAATTAAGGATGGCTGTTTTCGAGCAAATATTTAATGCTGACGATTCCATTCTTTGTAATGTTTTTCTCTAAAATGTAGAGTTGTTTTTTCAAAATATTTTAAAGCTGTTACTTTACTTTCATAAATCATATTTGATTTCCTTTTTATATTGTTAAATTTTTGTTTTACCTCACAGATTATTTTATTTATGAGATTTGAGATCCCATTTAAGCATGTCACATTATAACATAGCAACATATAAACTGTTGTAAAACAGGAAAGCAATTCTTTCTCCTTCAAATATCGATTAGAAGTTATATAAGTGTTGAAATAACAAAATAAATACATACCAAATGTGTATGAAACTTCTAATGATTCTGAGGTATCAATAAAGCATCTATTACTTAGGCGAAACATTGAAACAAGTTTTCCATCTAAATCTATAAGGAAGTATATTGAAAATGCAGAAAAAAAACCTTTATCTCAGAGGTTAGTTTTGAGGTCCTCTTGCTTATAATTTGATTTGCAAAACCCCCATGTACAAGCCCTGTTATTGGTCCTATTTTGTGAATAAAAGTAAAATTTGAGTCAGCTCTGACACTGTAGAACAGGTGCTCCATGTCAAGTTTTAAGTTTCTATTCTAATTCCATCAAATATGAATAGTTTATACCTGCTATGGTATTCATACCAGCAAAGGCAAATATTAGAGTCATACGGACGTTTTTATTTTGACAAGAGAAAAGCCTACAGTCAATGGGATGAAAATACAGTCCTGAAATGTATAGAGTTTATATGATCGGTGTTGAATTCTGGGGCAAGTTAGCAGCCTCTCAACAGCTGTATGTATAGTCATGTGATTGACCCTTCTGATGTCTTTTTGGCCTGCAGTGCTAAAAAATAATTCCCAAGGAATCACAGGTGTTAGAAGTGATGCTATAAAAGTAACAGTTACTAAAGTGATGATAGACTATACGTGTTTTTTTCTTAGAATATCATCAATTTTTGGCTGAATCAATGTCTTTGCCTCAGATTCCGTTCTCCAGTGTTTTTCAATTTACAAACTGTCCTCTCCTTGTTCTGCCTTTTTATTTTGCGCATCCCATTTCCCCTTCTTAGAATTTTCTTCCTCTACCTTAGTTCAGGTAAAACCCTGCTTATACGTCATTCCTGAAGTTGGATGTTCCTTTGCTAGGAAGCTATTTACATAACCACGTCCATCTCAGGTCAAAGTAGGTGCTGCTTCCTGTACTTCTAGAGCAGCACTCCCTTCTCCAATCAGAGTGTTTATTAGATGGTGTCATTTGAGCACCTAAACACCATCTATCTTATTCATTGCTGTTTTTCTCTCTGCACACAATACTGTGTCTGGCAGGTAGTAGATTCTTGACTAAGTAAAAGTCAATAATCACAGTCTCGTATCTTAACACTCCCTCATTTGTGCTACTTACCCCAGTCATTTGGAACAATTTGCCATCCTTCTACTTTTTCATGTTGTCTTGTATCTTTGCACCATAACTCCTTCTACTCAGAATTGCCTTCCGTCATTCATCCTCTACCCCCCTAAGCTGGCTAGTTTTTACTATCCTTCAAGATTCAACTTAGCCATCACCTCATCTGGGAAGCTGCCTATGACCATAACCAACCTACTTTTGACATAAAAGAGCATTGTCTCAGTCTGCTCCTGGAATTCTCATTCAAATTTCATATAGATAGAACTGTGCTGAAATTATCCTAAATTTTGTACTCCCCAATTTGATTAAAATATCTTAAAGGCAAAGGTGCTAACTGACTTCACTATATCTTATGCCCCATATCTATCTATATTATTCTATACTCATGGAAGATATTCAAGTACATAGAAGATGTTCCAAGGTGTTTACTCAGATTTAAAAAGTCTGAGCCCAGGCTCCACAGTGTCCTTCCTGTATAATCTTTGTTAAGTTACTTAACATTTCTGAACTTTAGTTTTGTTATTTTTGAAATGGGAGCTGTAATACTTGTTATATCTATAAATGGACAGTTTCCTTTGCCATGACATAATGTTTCCAAGTGGAAAGATTTCAGCTGGAGTAGAATAATTCTTCTCTCCGTATGCCTTACTCGCCGATACCTGTGAAAGAGGAGTGACTTTTCTGGGTGGTAAGCTTGGGGTTGTATTTATCTTATTAGTCTATACACTACAGAGTGTGTATTCTCTATACTACACTAAAAGACCTCCCTGCAATTCTCCATATTGCCTGTGACTATGTAGATAAGATGTTTAACACCCCACTGTCAACATTAGACAGATCAACGAGACAGAAAGTTCACAAAGATATCCAGGAATTGAACTCAGCTCTGCACCAAGCAGACCTAATAGACATCTACAGAACTCTCCACCCCAAATCAACAGAATATACATTCTTTTCAGCACCACACCACACCTATTCCAAAATTGACCACATAGTTGGAAGTAAAGCTCTCCTCAGAAAATGTAAAAGAACAGAAATTATAACAAACTCTCTCTCAGACCACAGTGCAATCAAACTAGAACTCAGGATTAAGAAACTCACTCAAAACAGCTCAACTACATGGAAACTGAACAACTTGCTCCTGTATGACTACTGGGTACATAACGAAATGAAGGCAGAAATAAAGATGTTCTTTGAAACCAACAAGAACAAAGACACAACATACCAGAATCTCTGGGACACATTCAAAACAGTGTGTAGAGGGAAATTTATAACACTAAATACCCACAAGAGAAAGCAGGAAAGATAAAAAATTGACACCCTAACATCACAATTAAAAGAACTAGAGAAGCAAGAGCAAACACATTCAAAAGCTAGCAGAAGACAAGAAATAACTAAGATCAGAGCAGAAGTGAAGGAAATAGAGACACAAAAAACCCTTCAAAAAATCAATGAGTTCAGGAGCTGGTTTTTTGAAAAGATCAACAAAATTGATAGACCGCTAGCAAGACTAATAAAGAAGAAAAGAGAGAAGAATCAAATAGACAATAAAAAATGACGAAGGGGATATCACCACCAATCCCATAGAAATACAAACTACCATCAGTGAATACTATAAACACCTCTACGCAAATAAACTAGGAAATCTAGAAGAAATGGATTAATTCCTCCACACATACACTCTCCCAAGACTAAACCAGGAAGAAGTTGAATCTCTGTATAGACCAATAACAGGCTCTGAAATTGAGGCAATAATTAATATCTTACCAACCAAAAAAAGTCCAGGATCAGATGGATTCACAGCCGAATTCTACCAGAGGTACAAGGAGGAACTGGTACCCTTCCTTCTGAAACTAGTCCAATCAATAGGAAAAGAGGGAATCCTCCCTAACTCATTTTATGAGGCCAGCATCATCCTGATACCAAAGCCTGGCAGAGACACAACAAAAAAAGGGAATTTTAGACCAATATCCTTGATGAACATTGATGCAAAAATCCTCAATAAAATACTGGCAAACCGAATCCAGCAACACATCAAAAAGCTTATCCACCATCATCAAGTGGGCTTCATCCCCGGGATGCAAGGCTGGTTCAACATATGAAAATCAATAAATGTAATCCAGCATATAAACAGAACCAAAGACAAAAACCACATTATTATCTCAATAGATGCAGAAAAGGCCTTTGACAAAATTCAACAACCCTTCATGCTAAAAACTCTCAATAAATTAGGTATTGATGGGATGTATCTCAAAATAATAAGAGCTACCTATGACAAACCCACAGCCAATATCGTACTGAATGGATAAAAACTGAAAGCATTCCCTTTGAAAACTGGCACAAGACAGGGAGGCCCTCTCTCACCATTCCTATTCAACATAGTGTTGGAAGTTCTGGCCAGGGCAATCAGTCAGGAGAAGGAAATAAAGGGCATTCAATTAGGAAAAGAGGAGGTCAAATTGTCCCTGTTTGCAGATGACATGATTGTATATCTAGAAAACCCCATCATCTCAGCCCAAAATCTCCTTAAGCTGATAAGCAACTTCAGCAAAGTCTCAGGATACAAAATCAATGTGCAAAAATCACAAGCATTCTTATACACCAATAACAGACAAACAGAGAGCCAAATCATGAGTGAAATCCCATTCACAATTGCTTCAAAGAGAATAAAATACCTAGGAATCCAACTTACAAGGGATGTGAAAGACCTCTTCAAGGAGAACTACAAACCACTGCTCAATGAAGTAAAAGAGGATACAAACAAATGGAAGAACCTTCCATGCTCATGGGTAGGAAGAATAAATATCGTGAAAATGGCCATACTGCCCAAGGTAATTTATAGATTCAATGTCATCCCCATCAAGCTACCAATGACTTTCTTCACAGAATTGGAAAAAACTACTTTAAAGTTCATATAGAAGCAAAAAAGAGCCCGTGTCACCAAGTCAATCCTAACCCAAAAGAACAAAGCTGGAGGCATCATGCTACCTGACTTCAAACTATACTACAAGTCTACAGTAACCAAAACAGCATGGTACTGGTACCAAAACAGAGATATAGACCAATGGAACAGAACAGAGCCCTCAGAAATAATGCCGCATATCTACAACTATCTGATCTTTGACAAACCTGACAAAAACAAGCAATGGGGAAAGGATTCCCTATTTAATAAATGGTGCTGGGAAAACTGGCTAGCCATATGTAGAAAGCTGAAACTGCCCTTCCTTACACCTTATACAAAAATTAATTCAAGATGGATTAAAGACTTACATGTTAGACCTAAAACCATAAAAACCCTAGAAGAAAACCCAGGTGATACCATTCAGGACATAGGCATGGGCAAAGGACTTCATGTCTAAAACACCAAAAGCAATGGAAACAAAAGCCAAAATTGACAAATGGGGTCTAATTAAACTAAAGAGCTTCTGCACAGCAAAAGAAACCACCATCAGAGTGAACAGGAAACCTACAAAATGGGAGAAAATTTTCGCAACCTACTCATCTGACAAAGGGCTAATATCCAGAATCTACAATGAACTCAAACAAATTTACAAGAAAAAAACAATCCCATCAAAAAGTGGGCAAAGGATATGAACAGACACTTCTCAAAAGAAGACATTTATGCAGCCAAAAAACACATGAAAAAATGCTCATCATCACTGGTCATCAGAGAAATGCAAATCAAAACCACAATGAGATACCATCTCACACCAGTTAGAATGGCAATCATTAAAAAGTCAGGAAACAGCAGGTGCTGGAGAGGATGTGGAGAAATAGGAACACTTTTACACTGTTGGTGGGACTGTAAACTATTTCAACCATTGTGGAAGTCAGTGAGGCGATTCCTCAGGGATCTAGAACTAGAAATACCATTTGACCCAGCCATCCCATTACTGGGTATATACCCAAAGGAATATAAATCTTGCTGCTATAAAGACACATGCACACGTATGTTTATCGTGGCACTATTCACAATAGCAAAGATTTGGAACCAACCCAAGTGTCCATCAATGATAGACTGGATTAAGAAAATGTGGCACATGTACACCATGGAATACTATGCAGCCATAAAAAATGATGAGTTCATATCCCTTGTAGGGACATGGATGAAGCTGGCAACCATCATTCTTAGCAAACTATCGCAAGGACAAAAAACCAAACACCGCATGTTCTCACTCATAGATGGGAATTGAACAATGAGAACACATGGACACAGGAAGGGGAACATCACACCCCAGGGCCTGTTGTGGGGTGGGCGGAGGGGGGAGGGATAGCATTAGGAGATGTACCTAATGCTAAATGACAAGTTAATGGGTGCAGCACACCAACATGGCACCTGTATACATATGTAACAAACCTGCACGTTGTGCACATGTACCCTAAAACTTAAAGTATAATAATCATAAAAAAAGAGGAACAACAACAACAGCAACAACAAAAAAGACTTTATATTTCACAGATTAAGAGTGAACAGGCCTCTTTTGCCTCAGATCTGAAGCTACGTTCACTAATAGACTTTTCCTCTTATAATAATAGTAAGCTCTTTATCTGTTTATCAACAGTTGTAATAACACTCCAGGGAAAGGATGTTATCACAGAATTAAGAGTATAACAAGGAGTTAGGAGGTAGGGCAAGATGACCAAATCGAACCTTCCACTGATCATTCTCCATGCAGGAACACCAAATTGAACAACTATCCACACGAAAAAGCACCAAAAATCAGATGAGTGATCACAGCACCTGGTTTTAACATCATGTTAAGGAAAGAGGCAATGAAGAGGGAAGGGAAGATAGTCTTGACTCACCTACAACACCCCTGCCCCATCCCCTAGCAGTGGCTCCATGGCACAGAGAGACGATTAGTGTGCTTGGGGGAGGGAGAGCATGGTCATTGTGCGACTTCACATTGGAACTCAGTGCTGTCCTGTCACGGCAGAAAGCAGCACAGGGCAGAACTGAGCCAGCACCCAAGGAGGAAGCATTTAGACCAGTCTTAACCAGAAGCCAATAGCTTATCCCAGTGGTTGGAACCTGAGTTCTTGCAAGCTACACCACCATGGATTAAAGTGCTCTGGGGTTCTAAATAAACTTGAAAGGACTTGAAAGTCCACAAGGATTGCAATTCCTGGGCAAGCCCTGGTACTGCCCTGAGCTTGGAGCCAGATTGGAGTGCATGGGACTTACACCAGCTGGGGCAGCCAAGGGTATGTTTGCATCACCCTTCCCCAAACCCCAGGCAGCACAACTTGCAGCTCCGGGCGAGGTTCCTTCCCTCCGTTTGAAGAGAGAAGAGAGAGAGTAAAGAGGACTTTTTTTTGCAATTTGGATATGAGCTGAGCCACAATAAAATAGGGCACCAGACAGAGACCTGAGGCCCCTATTCCAAGCCCTAGTCATGAATGACATTTCTAGACACACCCTGGGCCAGAAGGTAACTGGCAGACTTGAAATAGAAATCTAGTCCTAGTAGGATTCATTACCTGCTGACTAAAGGGAGCTTGGGCCCTGAATAATCAGCAGTAGGGGCCAGGCAGTACTTAGCACAGGCCTTAGGTGAGACTCAGAGCCATGCTGGCTTCAGGTGTGAGCCAGCACATCCACAGCTGTGGTGGCTATGAGGAGAGAACCTGTTAGAGGAAAGGAGAGGGAAGAGTAGAGGGGATTTTGTATTGAGTCTTGGGTGCCATCTCAGCCCCAGTGTAGTAGAGCACCAAGTGGGCTCCTGGGGTCCACCATTCCAGGCCTTGGCTCTTGGATGGCATTTATGGACCTGCTCTCAATGAGCTCACTGCCCTGTATGGAGAGACTCAGGACTAACATCATTCACCACAGGCTGAAGAGCCCCTGGGCCTTGAATGAATACTGGCAGCTGCCAGCAGCCATACTCACTGAGTGTCTGGGACAGTGGTGGCCAACGGGGAGAGACTCCTCTGCTTGTGGGAAGGGGAGGGAAGTGTGGGAAGATCTTTGTCTTATGGCTTGGGTGCCAACTCATCTGCAGCAGAATGGAGCACAGGTAGATTCCTGAATACCCAACTCCAGATCCTGGCTCCTTGATGGCATCTATGGACTTTCCTGAAATTTTCGTGAAGTTGCCACCCTGAAGGGAAGGAGAGAAGCCTGGCTAGATTCACCACCTGCTGATTGTAGAGCCTGTAGGCCTTGAGTGAACATAGGCAGTAGCCAGGCAGTGGTCACCATAGGCTCTGAGATCCAGGGCTGTGTTGGCTTAGGTCTGACCCAGCACAATCCCAGTGGTGGTGAGCACAGGAATGCTTATGTAACACATGCCCAGCTCCAAGCAGCTCAATACAGACAGAGAGACTCTGTTTGTTTGGGGAAAAGTAAGGGAGAAGAAAAAGAATCTCTTCCTAGTAGTCAAGGGAATTCTCCCAGATCTAACCTAGGAAAACCAAGAACATCTCTTCTAGTCTGCAAGAGTCACAATATTACGGAGCTTGGGGTGTCCCCTAATGCAGATATGGCTGCAATGACCAAAGACTTAGATTATAACACCTATGTGCCTTTGAATATTTGGAAAGCCTTCCCAAGAAGGATGGCTACAAATAAGCCCAGATTCCAAACACTACAATAAACACCAAACTTTTCAATCTCAAGACATTAACAAATACCCACAAAGGCAAAACCATGCAGGAAAATATTACCTTAACAAATGAAGTAAATAAGGCACTAGTGACCAGTCCTACAAAGACAGAGATATGTGACCTTTCACAGAAAGAATTCAAAATAGCTGTGTTAAGGAAGCTCAATAAAATTCAAGATAACATAGAGAAGATATTCAGAACCCTGTAAGATAAATTTAACAGAGATCAAAATAATTGAAAAGAATAAAGCAGAAATTCTGGAGCTGAAAATGCAACTGACATACCGAAGAATGCATCAGAGTCTCTTAACAGCAGAATTGACAAGCAAAAGAAATAATTAGAGAGCTTAAAGACAGGCTATTTGAAAACGTACAGTCAGAGGACACAGAAGAAAAGAGAACAAAGAAGAATGAAACATGCCTTCAAGGTCTAGAAAATACCCTCAAAAGAACAAATCTGAGTAATTGGCCTTAAAGAGAAAGTACAGAGATAGGGGTGGAAGGTTTATTCAAAAAGAAAATAACAGAAATTTCCAAACCTAGAGAAAGATATCAATATTCAAGTACAAGAAGGGTATAGAACACCTAGTTAATTTAACCCAAATAAGACTATCTCAAGACATGTAATAATCAAACTTCTAAAAGTAAAGAATAAAGAAAGGATACTAAAAGCAGAAAGACGAATGAAAGAAATAACATACGAAGAGGCTTCAATATGTTTGGCAGCCGACTTCTCAGTGGAAACCTTACAGGCCAGGAGAGAGTGGCATGAGACATTTAAAGTGCTGAAGGGAAACAAACAAACAAAAAAGCTTTTATCCTGGGATAGTATAACCAGCCAAAAATTCCCTCAAACATGAAAGAGAAATAAAGACTTTCCAAGACAAACCAAAGCTGAGGGATATTGTTAACACCAGACCTGTCCTACAAGAAATGTTACAGGGAGTTCTTCAACCTGAAGAAAAAGGACATTAATGAGCAATAAGAAATTATCTGAAGTTATACAACTTTCTGGTGATAGTAAGTACATGGAAAAACACAATATTAGAACACTGTAATGATAGTGTATAAACTACTCATACTTTGAGTAGAAAGACTAAAAAATGAACATATCAAAAATAATAACTATAACTTTTCAAGACATAGTATATATAATAAGATAAATAGAAACAACAAAAAGTTAAAAAGCAGGGGAATAAACTTAAAGTGTAGAGAGTTTTTAATAGTTTTCTCTTTGTTTATGCAATCAGTGTTGTCTTCGGTTTAAAACAATAGATTATAAGACGTTATTTGCAAGCCTCATGGTAAATTCAAATCCAAAACCACAACAGATATACAAAAAATTAAAAACAATAAATTAAAACACAGAACCCGAGAAAATCACCCTCAGTAACAGGAACAGGAAGGAATGAAAGAAGGAAAACCACAAAACAACCAGAAAACAAATAAGAAAATGGCAGAAGTAAGTCCTTAATAGTAATATGGAATGTAAATGAACTAAATCCCCCAAGCAGAAGACATAGAGTGGTTGAATATTTTTTTAAATAATCCAATAATCTGTTGCCTATAAGAAACATACCTCACCTATAAAGACACACATAGCCTGAAAATAAAGGGATGGAAAAATATATTTCATGCAAATGGAAACTAGAAAAGAACAGGAAAGCTATACTTAAATCAGACAAAATATATTTCAAGAAAAAAATTATAAAAAGAGACAAGGTCATGATATACTGATAAAGGGGTCAATTCAGCAAGAGGATATAACAATTTGCAAATATATGTGCACCCAACACTGGAGCACCCAGATATATATCAAATATTATTAGAGCTAAAGAGAGAGATAGACTCTAATACAATAATAGCTGGAGACTTCAACATCCCACTTTCAGCATTGGACAGAGCTTCCAGACAGAAAATCAACAAAGAAACATTGGATTTAATCTGTACAATAGACCAAATAGACCTAGTAGATATTTACAGAACGTGTCATCCAACAGCTGCAGAATACACATTCTTCTCCTCACAACATGGATCATTCTCAAGGATAGCCCATATGTAAGACCACAAAACAGGCCTTACTGTATTCAAAAAATTAAAAGTATTTCAAGTAATTCCTCTTACCACAACGGAATAAAACTAGAAATCAATAAGAGGAATTTTGGAAAATGCAAACACATGAAAATTAAACAATATGTACTGAATAGGTAGTGGGTTAATGAAGAAAATAAGAAGGAAATTAAAAAATTTCTTGAAACAAATGATAATGGAAAGGTAACATACCAAAACATATGGGATATAGCAAAAGCTGTTCTAAGGAGAAAGTTAATGGCAGTAAGCACTTACATCAAAAAAGTAGAAAAAAACTTCAAGTAAACAACATAACAAAGAATATTAATAAACTAGAAAAGCAGGAGCAAAACTAACTCAGAATTAGTAGAAGAAAAGAAATAAAAAAGCTCAGAGCATGAATAAAGGAAACTGAAATAAAAATATAAACAATCAACAAAAGGAAAAGTGGCTTTTTTTGAAAAGATAAATAAAATCATCAAACCTTTAGAAACACAGAAAGAGAGAAGTCCCAAATAAATAAAATCAGAGATGAAAAAGGAGACATTACAACCAATACTGCAGAAATTCAAAGGATTATTAGAGGCTACTACGAGCAACTATATGCCAATAAAGTGGAAACTGTAGAAAAAAGGGATACATTCCTAGACAATGCAACCTCTTAGAATTGAACAATGAAGACATCTAAAACCTGAACAGATCAACAGCAAGAACTGAGATTGAAGCCAGAAAATAAAGTCTCCTAGCAAAGAAAATCCCAGTACCTGAAGGCTTATTTAGCAAAATTTACCAAACTTTTCAAGAAGTAATACCAATCTTACTCAAACTAGTCTGAAAAATAGAGGATGAGGGAATATTTCCAAATCCATTCTATGAGGCCAGTATCACCCTGACACAAAAACCAAACAAAGTCAGAAAGAAAGAAAGAAAGAAAGAAAGAAAGAAAGAAAGAAAGAAAGAAAGAAAGAAAGAGAGAGAGAGAGAGAGAGAGAGAGAGAAAGAAAGGAAAGAAAGAAAGAAAGAAAGAAAGAAAGAAAGAAAGAAAGAAAGAAAGATTCTACTGTGCAGAATCCCTGATGAACATTGATGCAAAAATTCTCATCAAAATACTAGCAAACCGAGTTCAAGAACACATTAAAAACATCATTCATTATGACCAAGCAGGATTTATCCCAGGCATTCAAAGATGAGTCAACATATGCAAATCCATCAACGTGATACATCATATCAACAGAATGAAAGACAATAACTGTATTATCATTTTAATTGATTCTAAGACAACATTTGATATAATTCAGCATCCCCTCATGATGAAAACCTCAGAAAATCTGGTACAGAAAGAACATACCTCAGCAAATAAAAGCCATATACAACAGACCCACAGCTAATATTACATTGAATGACAAAGATGGAAAGCATTTCCTCTATGATCTGGAACACAAGGATGCCCACTTTCCACTGTTATTCAACATAGTACTAGAAGTGCTAGCTGGAGCAATCAGGCAAGTGAAAAGAATAAAGGACATCCAAACTGGAAAAGAAAAGTCACATTATCCTTGTTTGCAGATGACATGACCTTATATTTGAAAAAACTAAAGACACCACCAAAAAGCTGTTAGAACTGTTAAACAAATTCAGTAAACTTGCAGGACACAAACTCAAATTACAAAAAACAGTAGCAATTTTACATGTCGACAGTGAACAATCTGAAAAAGAAGTCAAGAAAATAATCCCATCTATAATCACTACAAATAAAATAAAATATGTAGGAATAAACTTAACCAAAGAAATGAAAGATCTCTACAATGAAAACAGTAAAATACTCGATAAAAGAAGCTGATGAGGACACACAGAAAATGGAAAGATATTCCATATTCATGAATTGGATCAATATTGTTAAAGTGTCCATATTACCTAAAGCAATCTACAGATTCAGTGCAATTGTTATTGAAATACCAATGACATTCTTCACAAAAATAGGAAAATAATCTTAAAATTTATGTAGAATGATAAAATACTCAGAGGAGCCAAAGCTATCCTGAGCAAAAAGAACAAAACTGGAGGAATCACATTACTTGATTTCAAATTACAGAGCTACAGTAACCAAAACAGCATGGTACTGGCATAAAAACAGAAACATAGACCAATGGAGTAGAATAAATCTATACATGCACAGTGAATTCATTTTCAACAAGAGTGTCAAGAACATACATTGGAGAAAGGAGAGTCTCTTCAATAAACGGTGTTGAGAAAACAAGATATCCATATGCAGAAGAATGAAACTAGACTTCTATCTCTCACCACATACAAAAATCAAGTAAAAATGGATTCACAACTTAAATCTAAGACCCCAAACTATGCAACTACTAAAAGAAAGCATTGGAGAAGCTCTCCAGGACATTGGAGGGCAAAGAGTTCTTGAATAATACCCCAAAAACACAGGCAATCAAAGCAAAAGTGGGCAAATGGGATCATATCAAATTAAGAAGCTTCTGCACAACAGTGGAAACAATCAACAGAGAGAAAAGACAACCCACAAAATGGGAGAAAATATTTGCAAACTACCTGTCTGACAAGGGAATAATAACCAGAATATATAAGGAGCTCAAACAACTCTACAAGAAAAAAAAATTTAATAATCCAATTTAAAAATGGGCAAAATATCTTAATAGATATTTATCAAAAGACATACAAATGGAAAACAGGTATATGAAAAGGTACTCAACAATATTAACCATCAAAGTGAAAATCAAAACTATGAGATATCATCTCACCCCAGTTAAAATTGCTTTTATCCAAGAGACATGCAATGACAAATGCTGGAGAGGCTGTGGAGAAAAGGGAATCCTTGAACACTGTTGGTGGGAATGCAAATTAGTACAACCACTCTGAAGAACAGTTGGGAGGCTCCTCAAAAAACTAAAAATAGAACTACTACATGATCCAGCAATCCTATTCCTAGGTGTATTCTCAAAGAAAGGAAACCAGTATATCGAAGAGACAGTCTCTGAAAACCCAAAGTGAGTCCATTAGAGAAGTCATACATTGGGCAGAAATGGCTAGGTCTTTTCTTAGGCAATGACCGAGGTCTGCTCTGCAGAGTGTGAACTTGGCTTCAAAGCTGAAGCATACCCAGGCCTGAATAAGTTAAAGCCAGGTATTGCCATATAACCATAGTTCTAATAGTTGGGCAATGTGTATGCAGAATGTTCCTTTTTTTGTTTGTTTGTTTTTTTTGAGACGGTCTCACTCATTCACCCAGGCTGGAGTGCAGTGGCATGATCTCAGCTCACGGCAACCTCCTCCTCCTGGGTTCAAGTGATTCTCCTACCTCAGCCTCCCCAGTAGCTGGGATTACAGGCCTGTGCCACCACCCCTGGCTAATTTTTGTATTTTTAGTAGAGATGGAGTTTTTTCACGTTGGCCAGGCTGGTCTCAAACTCCTAGCCTCAAGTGATCTGCCAGCCTCAGCCTCCCAAAGTGTTGGGATCATAGGCGTGAGCCACTGCACCCTGCTTGTTTTGTCTTACAGTAGGTTTTGAATGGTACATGTCCATGTCTGTCACATGTGACATTATTCTCCCATCTTTTGGCTATAAGTTTCATTACATAGAGATTTTTGTTTTATTCACTGGCTTATGACATGTGTCTTCAAGAAAGTCAAGTATGAGTAGGAGCTAAATAAATATTTGTTGAATGAATGAATGAAATCTGTCTCATTTCTGTGTCCATCTCTCACTTTTTCCCAAATATTGGCAGGGATCAAGAATGTAGTTTATTGGATACCTTCTGTCCCCGAAATGTATATGGCCTATCTCATAGTATTTTGGTAAGGATCGTATTGAATAAAGTACATAAGTTGATATCAAAATTTTCATAGCAATGCACAAATGTTCAAAATCAATAGTACCAAATACTATTGCCAATTTAAAATTACTATTTCTGTCCTTTCCTTTTGTTTTTCTATTAATTATTGCTTTTAATTCACATTTTCCAGTTGCAAGGGTATCTATTCTTTCTTTCCATTTTATTCTCTGCCATACAATCTAACACATCTTACTCATTTATTGTTACTTCCAAATAAAATAGTGACAGTACTACATGAAGAGAGATAGATGAAATTCAAATTGGAAATTATTTTTCTAAGACAGCTTATATAAAACATTTTGTTGTATGAAAACTTTGAAACCAGAAACTACAGTGTAATGTGGACATTGTAAATTTGTCACTGATAGTGAAAATGAACTCACTATCTTGCACTCAACACACATCCCACTAACTGATCTTCTGTGCATTCTAAGAGGCATCAATTCATTGGATTCAGCCTTGACTGCATCACATCTACTGAACTGGGTGGTCTTTCAGGGCAGCCTCAGCTACCTTGGCCATAACCCCTCTGATCTGATTTCACTGTGTATGTCTTCCTTTTGAGTTACCTTAGACCTTTTCAGTTAACTCCTCCCATGCCTCAACTCCTTCCTAAATAGCTCCCATTCACATTACTTAAATATATTTAGAAACCCTAGTAAAGCATTACATACAAGGTAGCAATTGCAGCCAACTTTTTTGGAGTACTTTGTCTGTGTCTAATCCTGTGTTAATTCTTTTCATATATTATCACATTTGGTTCTCACAACAGTACTGTGAGATAGGTATATAATTATTATCCTCTTAATTTTATAAAACACAGAAAAGGAAATGAAAAGAAATAGCAATTTCCCCAGATTACACAGCTACCAGGTAGGAGAGTGAATATATGAACAGAGGTAAAATGGCCTAAAGGTTTACCTTCTTAATTGGATTGCTCGACTGCCGGGTTAGTTATTATTGGTATTTCCTCAAATACAGCATAATTATGTAACCTGTTGCGAAATATTTAATATCTATTAATTATTAAATAAGAAACAATTCAGCCTGACATTCAAACTTGTCTGCAGTAGTACAAACTCATTCTTCCAATTTCATCTTCTGTTCACTCCTCTCTCACGTTTTTTCTTAGCCGCCAAAGTATTCAACTAGTTTTCTCGCCCCATCCCCTATATATAAATGTATTTGTAACTTTTCCCAGCTCTATATTCTTATGCTGGTTAAATTTCACCCATACTTCAAAGAATACATTTTAAAAACAAAGTCCTCTCAATTCTCTATCCAAGGTGCTCCTTGAGAGATGAACTTGTATTATAATGCATTGTACGTACTGCCGTATAATATGGATATTCAAGTTCTATTTTACAACATAAACTGTGTCCTTCTTTGAGAGGTGGGTGTGTTACCATCTGAGTCTTAATCCTCACCACTTTCAGCAGAGTGACTTTTATATAATATGTCCAATAAATGATTCTGAATCGAAAGAAACCAAAACCAACCTGGTAGAAATTTTCCTTGTGGCCAAGAAGAAAAAGATACACTGAGAATGAAGTCATAAATGATTACAATAGTTTCCATATCTACAAAGGATATGTCCCAAGACCCCCAAGTTAATACCAAATCACAAATAGTACCAAAACCTATAAATACTATGATTTTTCTCTACATAGCTACCTATGGTTAAGTTTAATTTATAAATTAGGCACATTAAGAGATTAACAATAACTTATAATAAAATAGAACATGTATAACAATAACTGTAATAAAAATATGAATGTGGTCCCTCTCAAAATATCTTATTGTTTGTAATATTTTCAGACTCTGGTTGATCATGGGTAAATGAAATCAGGAAAAGTAAAACCACATATAACAGGGGAACTGCTGTGCTCTGTTTACAGCATTCTCTTTTGGAATGAAATTTTCACTCAGTTTGCTATAGATGCAAATATTGTTTTCTACTCAAATGTGTTTTGTTTTTTAATTCTAATTCTAAAAAGCTCCTTTTGCAATAGAAGTGAAGGAATTTTAGGAATGGTGCATTCTATATTGGCACAATACTCTTTGTATTTTTAGTACCAACTTCGGATATTACTTAACTCTACGAAGGAAAAAAAAATGCTGGCACCACATGAAAATCACATCTGCTGTCACAACTATTTTCATAGGTCCCTTTCTTTCTCCAAAATGGCAATAGAAAAGCTGTGCACAGAACAGAAGCCTGAAATGTGGGAGCCTGCCCAGGCGCCCCATTGTCCTTTCTGTCGTATTATAAATGAAACAAAAAGACAGCACAGGCAGTTGGCTACAGGTCTGACTGCCAACAGTAATAAATAAAATGTTTAAAGTTATGTCTTTTTCAAACGGGAATGTCTTGATACTCCACAAAAATAAACATATTAGTCCTAACATACAGCGAATTCATATAAAGTAGCAGCAAGTTTCCTGATAGAGGCGATCAATTCAATTCAGTTCTTAAATAGTAAGTCCTAGAAAATATGTGGAAAGTCACGGTGTAAGAGGAGAACTGCCTTTGCTTCCAAAATTTACCCAGGGGTAGTTCAATTTTTATTTAAATCTTAGCACTGGAGGCTTAGAAGGACAATGTGCTGTAGCGGAAAAAACAGGTTTTGAAACCTGACCTGATAAAAATACTGATTCTGGCATTTCATAATTGGAAGATGGTTTCATGTTACTTAATTTCTCTAATATTTCTTTTTTTAATTTATAAAATGAAGAAAATATTAACCTTTTTTGTATATACATAGTAGCTGTTAAAGATAGTCATTATGTCTGAAACATAGGTGTCCCACAAACAATAGCTAATTCTATTATTATTATCCCTGTATGTGAATAATGGCAAAAGGCATCAACATTCTGAATCGTATCCTATGTAAAGGAAACAAAGACTGCAGGACCTCATTAGAAATTTCCTTCGAGTTGAAAAGAGTCAAGTCACCTTCTCTCCTCTGGTCCTCAGTCGTTCATTCTAGAGGAATCATCTCCCCAATACAAAAATTAAAATAAGAAAACAAATAACCACAAAAAAACCACCCAAATGGGAGATGAATAAAAACTCTGGAAAGAGTTCAATACTTTTCTCCTAGCTACTTCTAATTTCCAGTTCTTTGAGATAATTGCCTATTAGTATTCATCCCATTAAGCAGCCAAAGTGTTTATAACAGAGGAGAATGACAACTGCTTTACCAGTCCTAATTTTAAACTGGGATAAAGATTACTACCTGACTATACTTATTAGCTTTTATTTTTAACAAATTACCCTGTAACATTAATTAATTCATTTTTCATTTTTTCTTCAACTGACATAACCAAATGTAGTTTACATGCCAGATGATACGATGTATATAGATTTGGATTTTGACTTTAAGAAGCCAAAAACTTAGTATTTAAAACAAGAGAAAAAAAGCAGTTACTGGTCCAGAGCTGTTTAGACTTCTGTAAAACAATAAAGAAAATTTTTAAAGTATTTTTTTTCTGGATATATTAGCACATATCCTAACACATATGCTAACATATCATATATTGTATGTAAACACATGATCCTTCACTTGTGATAGATAACTGGAATTCATGAGCTAAAACAAAGCTTCTAATTTATATTTCACTTTTATCCATCAAAAAATGATGTGGAGAGCATAGAGAAGATTGTTGAAAGAGAATAGAAACATAATATAAATGAAGATATAGCAAGGGTAATTTAGCTTATCTGTATAAATTCAAATCACTGAGCCCAGTTGAAGTACGTAGAAGGAGTTGGGAGAATTTGCAAAAGTGCTGCAAAACCAGTGTTGACAACATTTGTGAAACTAGGAAGAATAAGACAATCAGTGAAAAATGAAAGACTAGCAAATGTTTCTCCATGTAAGAAACTAAAGTTTCTAGCATAGACGGTTCAATAGATAATTTGTACATCTTAGAAATAAAAACATTGACCATTAGCAAGTGGCATATATTTACACAGAAGAGAAGCCAATTCACCCTTTAAAAAATCCTAAGTTAAACAGTGCATCACAATTGGATTAAGTTGTATACCAAAATCTCTCTTCATGGTTTTCAAGAAGAATGCAGAGATGTATCAAGAAGTCATTGTAAAACTTTCTGGTTTTAAATGTAGATTGATATAAGTTAGCAGGAACATTTCCAAATGGGTTTAATAAATTTTGTCTTTAGTCTTACTTGCCCAGAATTTTAATGGCATAAATTTGATAGGTGTAGCTAATAAGTTCTGTATCAGAATCAGAATATAAAACTATTTAAACATGGTAGATTAACTCTAACATAATGGAAGTAACTGGATAACTGTAAATTAATAGATGTTCATGTCATACAACAAACTATACTAGGATCAAGTGGTAAGACTGCCTTAAAAATGGCATGTATGTGTATATTTTAAGGTCAAACTTAAAGTTTGAAAGAATATTATATATAATTAAGTTAAAAATCCCACTGAATACAAATATTTCCTCCTGATTAATGATTAACTAGCTTTAATCTTAAGAGAGGGAATCACATTCTCCCTTTGCAAATATTTTTTGTGTTCCTTCAATCTAAAGTTGTGCAGGGAAGTAAAATTGATCATAGCACCATAAAATACATTATTTGCATATATATTGCAAATAATATATAATTGCATATATATGCAAATAATATATATTGCATATAATATTTGCATATTATATATAACTAATCACTTTTTACATCACTTACACATATAAAATTTTCTCCAACCAACCAAACGTTTTCAGCATAATGTAACCTCTGTATCAAACTAAGTTTCTTGTTGTCAAATGGTATATGCATAGATCATAGTGTGGAATACAGTGGAAATTGACGCAAAATTCAATTCAAATATTTCAAAAGAGGTAGGATTTTATACAAAAACAATGATGTGATGAAGAATGTTTGAATTGCATGCAAAATCTTTACAAATGAGCATCTGGCTATTTAAGCCAATCAATTTTGAAGTTAAATCATAAAATATTTATGACATGCTGAACATTTCCAAAGAGAACAACTTGAATATCAAAGAAATAAAAGAGGAACCTGTAGTAATTGATGGAGTGTACTACTATCTCAAGAATGATTTTCTTTATAATAATATTGTCGAACAGGAATTGAAAAATATCATGTTATGCTATTATAAAACTTTGTTAAAAAATTGCATACACACCCAAAATCTGTCAAAACTTGATGCATTCTAAGTTAACTCATATTTTCTACAATTCAAAATTTGTTGACTATCATATAGACTTTCCACTTTGAAAATACTAGTTTTAAGACAAGTTTATAAAAACAATTTTCAAACCTTTCTATGGAATTTTATTTCTTTTTGTAGAGTAGAATCATTTCAATTGCCTTTTTCTGACACTAGTTATGCTTAGCAGGCATCTCATCTGCTACCTGTTGAGAAACTTTATTCTGTATTTCAACAGATTAGACTTTATACTTTACTACCTATTCATTCATTAATGTATTCAAAAATATTTGTTGTGTTCCTTAAACCTGCTAAGATTTGTTGTAAAAGCCAAGGGACTGCAGTGAATAAAACAGATAAAAATCTATCTTTCAGGCATTTTATATTGAGTCAACATCTTAACCAATTCTCTTTCCATCTTCCGTCCATCCTGTCTTTTGTAATGGTACTTAACAAATCACCTCTGCAACATAATAGCCTTTCAAATTTTTGAAGTTGTCATGTTCTACTTTAATCCTCTCTTCTTCCTGTTAGAAATACCCAGGTCCTTTCATTGTATTCTGATTGACACAGTTTTGAAACATATCACCAACTGAGGCACCGTGATTTCTAAATTACTCCCTCATCCTTTTTAACTTTCTTTAGTGCCTTCCTATAATTTGTCAGAGAAGTTTTTAGAATGTAGCTTACCAAATGTAAATTTGATAGATATACAATATGCAAATATAGGATAGAGAATAAATACTCTATCCCTTGTCCAGGGCATTATATATCCATCTGTACAGATAATAACGTGTCTGTAATATTTTCAGGGACATATCAAAGCTTAGAGCCAAATTAAGCTTTTCTTCATCTAACTCACCCATAGTGATTTAGCTGCAAATATTTCAGTCAGATATTTTCAATCCTATATTTATTTGAGTTGAGGTTTTTCTTTTTCTTTTTTTTTTTTTTTTCCTTTTTTGGCACTGCAGGGCATCATATTTATCTCTGTTAAATTTCATTTTGTTGATTTTGGCCTATTGTTTTAGGCTTTTAGGGGGATGTTTAGTGTTGATTCTGTCCCAACAATATTTGTAATATTCCCTAGGTTTGTGTCACCTACAAATTTAATAAGCACACTTTTTTCCCACTAATTAAAAAATAAAAAATAATAAACCAGAGACAAGCATAGATCCCTGTAGTAACCTGCTGGAGATTGACACTGGCTACTTCTTTACATGAGGGTGTTAAACCAGGTCTCAATTTCCCTTTCTCTGTTATTATCCAATTTACGTTCCACAAGATTACAACCAACCCATCATGAATACAGTTATAATGCTTTTCTGAAACAGGAATATACCATGGTTACAGTATCCCCAGTAATTTCCCCCAAAAGAATTGTGTAGCTCCTTCCTCTGTGCATTTATTGCATGTTTTATGTACCTACAATATATTACCTACTAGAATTATGTTAGAGTCATTTGTTTCCACAGCAGGTCAAGCAATGGTACTCAATATTTATTAGTTGAACGAGTAAATGAGTGGTAGGTTAGCTTATGCTAACTTCTCAGTCAAGGACCCTAACAGAAAATGACACAAAGCTGTTGTCCTGTAAATGCTGAATGACTTCTGGCAACACCTAAGGTCTTAGCTAACAAGATTCAGTATATTAAGATCATTGCATGGCTATAAGTTGTACAGATGACAGGAATTGCTACTTGCATTTAGAGCTGGAGAAACTAGAGTAACTAAAAATTATGACTGCTCCAGGGTCTATGACAAAGCAACTTAAAATAGGACTCACACGTCCTACTTTACAGAAATGTTCCACTCAAATCAGGGACAAATCTGTCAAATCAGAGAAGCTGCTTGGGGGTATATCATGTTTTGCCAATGCAAATTAATGTAGCAGTTTAGAATTAATGTTTTCTTTTATTACATGATTTCTTTTGTTTGTTAATGTTTTATAACAGTGTAAGCAACTATTTTTATTATTAAGTATTTACCATGCATCAGCTATGTAGTATCTATTCTGCTATGTATTTGTAGCACTGTGGAGACTCTAGGAAATATACTAAATATAGGATATTTAATTTGCTATACATAATGCATATATGTATAGAAAAGTTCTCCTCACTCGTGGTGACTCACCATCTATTTGAGGAAGGCACATGCATGAGAAAATTAAATAGCTAAATATGCATGATTAAGTTCAACCAGTAGTTTGATAATGTAACAATAATGGTAATTTGGATTTTATTTAATTAATGATACAACACACATTTAATGAATGGTAACTATGTATTTGCTACGAAATTTCCCCACTGGGAAAAACAGTTATGGATCCTACACTTTATTAACCTATAGTTTAATATTAGAAACATTGCAGAAGTTTAGAGAAGAGAGATTTAGTTAGGCTATTTGGTCAGTAGAAGATTCATGAGGACATTGTACCTTGAATGCTGTTATCTTGACAGCTGAATAGTCACAGAATAGAGCAAAGCTGAATTCCAGGCTAGAGAATAATTGACTTTGCCTATGAAAAAGAACGGTAATGACAAAAATAGATGCTACTTCTTAAGAGATGCTGTTTTTTTTTTCTTTCTCTTCTTTTGTTCAATCCTTCATATATATCAAACACAGAAAGATAACGATACAGATTTCAACTGGAAGAGACCAAGGCTTGCACTGGGGAAAGATGAGCACAAAACTGTAACCTGATTAAATGAGTTTTAGCATCCTTTGAAAAAGTAAAATATTTACTGCTCTATTACACAAAGAATTTATTTTAAGTTCAAAACCTAAATATCTCATTTATACTCTCTGAATCTAAATGTCAAACTGGTGTGAAGACTAAAATAAAACACGACTTAAAGAGAGAGAACTCTCATACCACAAGCTTCCAACTTACCTAGAAAAGGCCACTGCAGTGCATTTTCAATGCTGCCTGTCATTCAATTTGCAAATTACAGGTCTGCTACCGAACATTGATGATCCATCACTGCCATGACAACAAAAGCGCTGCCTTGGCGACACTCACTGCTGGTGAGAGGCTGACACACTGCTTATAAATACTGTAGTTGGGAGATTAGAGTAAATTTCACAGAAAACAACATAATGAATCATGGTATGGAAATGCAATTGAAGTATGTCAATTTATTTGTATGCAAATGCATTCCAAAATTTTGTGTAGTCAAATGTACCTACTTAATTACAAGTTCAAAACAAATGCTCAAATGTACATATATAAACTTTAAATTTATACTTGATAACTTAATTGATGGTATACCACTTCTCATTTTTGATCAGAATTCAGAAAAATAAATATGAAATATAAAAACCTGTCAAATTAAACATACCTTGGGCAACTTTTTAATAAATGCCAGTTTTACTATATAAAAAAATCAGAAACATTGCTCAACAATTATTATTTTGTCATATTCACAGACATGAATTAGAATTTCATGTGACATTATTTACATTTATATATTTTAAATTATATTCCATTCTGTATGAGAAAATAAGAGAGTTTTGCAACTACATGTTAGAAAAAAGAAAAATTAATATGTGCTTGTTTGGAAAATATAAAATAAGACTAAAACACATTTATCTTATTTTAGTTTTGGGTTACATAAGAAAAAAGTAACATATGAATAGAATATTAAGTACGCAACACCCAGTTTGTTAAATTATCTGAAAATTTCCAATTGTCAACATGTTGAACATCTTAAAATTTCTGTGGAGTGAGTACTCATTGGATGAGTATTGGAAATGCTGACCCTGCAATGACTCAGCTTAGGAACAATAATGGTTTTGAGGTATCACTCTGGGAGTGGGCGGTTTTATTTTTTATACTGCTCATTGAGATTCTATTCTTACAATATTACATATTATTACACATTTACTATGTCTCTCTTTATTTCTCCAATCAACTTGAGGACAGTCTTTTTCTTTGTTTATTGTATTCCTCTATGGTGTTTAGGGTATTGATGAGCACATCATAGGCACTGAATGCATATTAGCTAAATTCAATGGAAACTAGCTTAAAATAGTTCTGACTAGTTCATGATTCATGAGAAATAGAGCTTTGAAAATAGTGCATTTGGTCTGAGTTCAAAGCTCTTTGTTTCACAAGAATCACTGGATTGGAAGACATCTTAGCTCTTTGGGTCCAAACTCCCATTCAGTTTGCCTGCCATAAATTCCTGGGACAATTGCATTCGGGACTTCATACAAACTCTTTAGGTTGTCCATTCTTCACTAAAGATCGTATTTTTGGAAACACCTTATAATATTTACCTGTTTACCAGAAGCTTTTATCATTTGGTTCTAAATTTATTCTTTCAGTCTCAAGAATTCATCAAATATAGATATTTTTCAATGGCAACAGAATTTTCTATGGATCAGGAACCATGCTAATAAATGGGCAGGGACTCAGAGATGATTTAAAAAGTTACTTGAACTCTGGAAAGAGTTTATAATAAGTAAAGGGACAATGACATACACATACACATACACACATGTATGTATCAGTACATATATGTTATTTGTATATCTATAATATCTATATATATATTGCATACACATACATTTATATACAGAGATGTACATTTTTTCAGGTTATAAAATAGTTATATGTCGACTGTAAAAATAGGAAAACATTCATAATCTGATTGAAATGCTTATATAACTACGTATTACCTTGTCTATTTTTTACATCTTCTAAAGCTTTTTGTTTTGAAGTAAAAAGTAATTTTACATTCAAAGGAAGTTGCAAAAATAATAAAGAAGTCTAATGTACTTAAAGGTAACACTTTAAACAGCTACAGTACCACATCAAATAAGGAAATGAACACTGGTAAAAATCCATAAACTTCATTCAGATTTTACTCGTTTTTCATACACTAACTTGTGTGTGTAATGATCTATGACATCTTCTCACATGTGTAAATATGTATAACTACTGCCACAGCAAAGATGTAGAACAGTTCAATCATCACACAGATCTGCATGCTGCTCCTTTACAGTCTCATGCCCCTCCCTCTCCCCACTCATGCCTAAAGCTTGGCAACCACTAATCTTTCTCCATCTTTATAATGTCATTTTTAGAAGGCTATAAAAATGGAAGTATATAGTGCGTAACCCTTTAAGATTGGTCCCACCTTTCACTATTCAATACAATGCCTCTTTAAAAAATTACTTTTTTAGAGATGGGATCTCTTTGTTGCTCAGGCTGGAGTGTAGTGGCATGAACTTAGTGCACTGCCATTTAGAACTCTTGGGCTCAAGGGATTCTCCCACTTCAGCCTCTTGAATAGCTGGAACTACAGGCTCCTGTCTCCACACCCAGGTATTTAAAAAATTTTTTTTTTGTACATATGGGGTCTCACTGTGTTGCTGAGGCTGGTTTTGAACTCCTGGGCTTAAGAGATCTCCCCATCTTGGCCTCCAAATGTGCTGGGATTACATGCGTGAACCACTGCACCTGACAAGCAGAAGGCCTTTGGCATACATTTAAATCATTATATGTATCCATAGTTTATCCCTTCTTATTGCTGAGTTGTATTTCATGTTATGAATATGCTATAGTTGATTTCGTCATTCACCCAGTGAAGGACATTTTGGTTATTTTCCGTTTGGAGTACTACAAATAAAGCTGCTATGAGCATTCATGTACAGATTTTTGTGTGAATATGTTTTCATGTTCCTGGGATAAATGCTTCTTAGTGCGGTCCTGGATGTATGGTAAGTGTAGGTTTGGTTTCTTAAGAAACTGGCAAACTATTTTCCAGAACAAGTAAACTACTTCATCTTCCAACCAATACTGTATGAGAGATCTACATCTATTTTATTTGTATCTTTGACAGAATGTACCTACAATTATTTTTATTTTCTGTCATATTTATATTTATATAATATGCATGTTTATTCAACTATAAGCTTATGATTTACAAAACTCCCTTTCCTGAAATAATTGTATAACGTACAAAACACACACACACATAATACATGTATTCAGTTTTGAAGTCTTTTTTACTTAATATTTTATTGCATTTCCTGATATTTTCATATATTCTGGTTTTTAATATTTTATTTTATTGTAATATCTACAGGCAAAAACTCATATCTTGAACAACTCTCAAGTAATGTCAAGTTCTTCATTTTTATATTTAAGTATCATTTATTTATTTAGCTAACTCTTATATAACACTAAGTCATTTAATCCCCAAACTAAACTTACCATATATGAAATATTGTCATCCCCATTATAGAAATTGAGGCAAGAGAGGTTAAGTAACTTATTAATGCTTGAATAATTACGTATTAGCAGACCCAGAATTCAAGTTCAGGTTGTTTGGTCTTACACACCCTGCTCTGTAACACTTCCCTAGCATACCAGAAATCTGTAATCATGAGAAACAAATAATACAATCTCATTCGAGGGACATTCTACAAAATGCTTGACAAGTAATGCTCAAAACTGGCAATGTCATTGAAAAGAAAGAAAATCTGAAACTTTCACAGGCAATAGGAGATTGAGGAGGTGTGAGTACTAAATGTCTTGTATTTATGCTTGATGGGGTCATGCAAAAGAAAAGAGACGTTGGAGAAAAACTGAAGACATTTGAATAAAGTGTGGACTTTAGTTAATATTAATATATCAATTATGATTCATTAGTTGTGACAAATGTACCATACTACCGGAAGATGTTAATAGGGGAAACTAGGTGTGAGATGTTTGGGAACTCTCTGTACTTTCTTTGCAATAGCTCTAAAATTGTTCTTAGAAAAGGTTTCTAAGAATTGCAAATTGCAGCATAATCTTTATAGTATTCTTTTTGTTAAAGTAAACAAAAAGTATTATAAATATAAAAAAGAGTATTATAAATACATAATATTTATCACATACATACATACACACACATATTTTATTATTTTGGAAAATGTGTAGAAAGAAAAAGACTAGGCTATTAACATTTACTACCCCAGTGACTACCTCAGGGAACGGAATGGAGAGGTGCTGAAAGAACATTGATAACTTTTATTTCACACATGCAATTGGCACTTAAGGAACCACTTGGACATCTTTCCTCTCTGAGTCAGGCCTCCAATGATTCTAATACCAGGAAAGAGACCCTGACATAGGGATTAATATGCTCTCCATTTCCTGTCCAATGCAGTTGCCAAACAATATTCAACTTCTCCCTCAAAGTGGTTGTTTTCAGTCATCCAAATTGCCTTTGGCTTCGGACTGATAAATATATACATTCAGATTAGGATTTAGAGCTGAGCTTCTACAAACTCTACCAGCTTTCCATTTCAGGAAAAAAGGAGAGAGAGAGTAAGAGAGAAGGAAGGAAGGGAGGGAGGAATGTAGGAAGCAAAGGAGGGAGAGAGGTAATAGGGAGAGAGAAAGAAATAAAAAAATGAAAGAAATAAGGAAGGAAAAAAGAGACAAAGAAAGAGAAGAAGAGAGAGAGAAAGAAAAAAAGAAAGGAGGGAAGGAAAGGAAAGAAGAAAGAAGAAAGGAAAGAAGGAAGGAAGGAAAAGAAAGAAAGAAGGGAGGAAAGAAAAAGAGAAAGAAAGAAAAAAAGAAAGAAGGAAAGAAAGAAAGAAAGGGAGAGAAAGAAAGAAAGATTGGTGAATTTATTGCCCCCTTTTACCTGGAATTTTCTGTTTCTTGCCTTCCTTGTATAAAAATGGTAGGCCTTGAAAATTTAAACTACAACTCTGGCTTTGAGATAAAAGTATAATAAACTTTATAATCTATATATGAAAAAATTACAAGTAATAGACAAAAGCATATCTATTCATAAAATAATTTTCACCAAGCAATGTGTTAGGTAATTTTTCATTTCTCACAGTACTTGGAACCCATCTTACACAGAATATTGAAGTAATACTGGCCCACCATCCTTTGATAAAATGTCAAAATGTATTAGTCACGCATAAGAAGGAAACATTATTACATCATGGAATATCAAGAATTTCAGACTCTATTTGAGAATTTCCTAAAGATTAGGATGATAACATATTGACAGCCTCACTAGTTTTAATGATCATTTGTCATTTTATAGATATTAAATGTAAAATAAAACACAAAAGGAAAAATGAAGCTTTTATAAAACTATTAACTACTTGAATAGTGCAAGCTCAAATCAGAGAAGCTTTGCAGTTCTGTACCAGTTTCTGAAAATACTGTCTCAAACCCCCTCTCTGTGTCCATCTTTGTTTACGTTTTTAGATTTTAAAATAAGTATTTTTATTAAAAAAAAATACTCTGGGGCCGGGTGCAGTGGCTCATGCCTGTAATCTCAGCACTTTGGGAGGCCGAGGCAGGCAGATCATAAGGTCAGAAGTTTGAGACCAGCCTGGCCTATATGGTGAAACCCCGTCTCTACTAATAATACAAAAATTAGCTGGCATGGTGGTGTGCACCTGTAGTCCCAGCTATTCGGGAGGCTGAGGCAGAATAATTGCTTGAACCCAGGAGGCAGAAGTTGCAGTGAGCCAAGATTACGCTACTGCACTCCAGCCTGGGCGACAGAGTGAGGCTCCATCTCAAAAAAAAAAAAAAAGAAAAAAAAATACTCTGACAAATGAAAATGTACCCTTTTATTTATCAACATACTATTTGGAAACTCCCAAATAGTCAAAATTTCTTCATTTTTTAATACTATTTATTTCCCCAAAACCCACAACAACAGGAAGACTCTTATGGGGAAAAAAAAGCAATTTATCTGCCTCATCTTTTTAGGCTTTTGAGAAAGTAAAAAATGCTTAGTGGGATACTTAATAGTCTAACTTTTACATTCTAAATAAAGTTAATAATTTGCAAGAAGGATATTTAAAACTTAAATCAATTTAGTGATTACGTGTGGCACTATTTATTTATTTATTTATTTTGAGATGGAGTCTTGCTCTGTTGCCAGACTGGAGTGCAGTGGCACCATCTCGGCTCACTGCAACCTCCGACTCTCTGGTTCAAGCGATTCTCCTACCTCAGCCTCCCGAGTAGCTGGAATTACAGGCACGCGCCCCCATGTCCAGCTAATTTTTGTATTTTTAGTAGAGAGGGGGTTTCACCATGTTGGTCAGGATGGTCTCAGTCTCCCGACCTCATGATTTGCCCGCCTCGGCTTCCCAAAGTGCTGGGATTACAGGGTTAGCCACCCCGCCCAGCCATTGATTGTTTAAAGCTATTAGAATTAAGTTCTCTAAAAGTTGCATACACTCTTGGTTTTGTTTTGCAGGATTTTCAAATATAATAATAATTATCCAAAAATCTAAATGATCTAAATTATAAAAAATAATGTCAGGGGATAAAAAGATGCCTATAAATTATTTAATTTTGATTTTATTCATGTAGAACATTTATTATTTCAAAATATCATTTTTCTAATTCTCCCCAAAATTTCAATGCCTAAAAGGTGTTTGCATATTTACCTATTTTATATTTGCTCTGAGATATTTTTTTCTTATTCTTTTTATTCTTTCATAATCAGCCTCTCTATTTGAAGACATTATTGGACTAGGAACATGTTCATTTCTGTTGTACACATAATAATTTGGCTTTTATCACATGTTTATATAAGACATGGTCATTGTTTTTGGAAAAAAACCTATTATATACATTGTCTGGCATAGTATTAAATTATGTTTGCATAAGCACTCATATGATAATACCAGTCTTCGAATTTACTGCCATGATTTCAAGCCATGAAATAAATATAGCCAATCTTATTCTTTTATGTTTTAGCTGTCAAGAAACTGAGAGAAAATTTAATGGCCATTTGCAATAACTATCCAATTCCATGTTTGGGAAACATTTTCCAAATCATTAGGAACTCTCTGTTTTAATTAAATTTTTCTTACGTGTATGTAAATGGCTTTGCTGTAACCATAAATAGTTCATCTTTCTTTACTTTCCCTTCTCCTATTTTTAAGCTTCTTTTTTGTTCACAGTATTTTTTTTTCTGCTTTTATTTCATTGCTATTTACTACAGTGTCTTCAACTCTGTTGTACTTGTGTATGCCTTCCAAATCTATGACCACCAATTCTAATTCTGCTTGGAATCTTCACTTGCTAATCTTATGATGATATCTCAATGTATCTAAAATACAAATTTTCTCCCTTGAAAAGTGGCTTCCATTATTTTTTTCTCAAATTTATAGGTATCATCACCATTTAAGCCCATCATTTAAACAAAAAACTTTGGACTTCACCTTTGAGGCTTTTCTGGGCTGTTACTAATCTATATTCATGAAATTTTTGTAGTCCAGGCACTCCATCTCCACATAAATCATTTCAACAATCTCTTAAATAACTTATCTTTCTTTAATCTCTATCACCACTTCATTCACTCTTTAACATGTTATTGTAATTAAGCTTTAAAACAGAGAAATAATTATGCCAATTCTATTTAAGCCTCTTACTTTCCTCTCCCTTTCCTACTGGAATAAATACAAACGTTTCCACAGCTTTTCAGATGCTTTGCACATTTTTACTAACCTGCCTCTCTTCCCATTCTTTCCGTGCTCCATCATACAACTTTCCCTTTCTCATGCCATGCAATTCTGTGTAGCAATTACTGACCTCGCTGTCTGACAAATGGCTATACATTGTTCAAGTCCAAACAAACAAAAAAATAAGAACATAAAATTAATAATAAGAATAATAAAAATATCTAATTTTTTAACATTTTACAATATATCAGGACTTGCTTTAAGGCCTTTATATCTAAAATTTAATTTAATATTTACAGCAACCATATTAAGTAAGCCATACTGTTAATAAGAGGCTAAATTTCACTGAAAATCCAGAGCTCTCTTTCTTAAACATCTCTGAATATTTTAAAGCCTTGTATGGGCCTCAATGTCTTCACTCATAGATGCGTTTAATGGTTGAATCCATTTCATACAGTAGTTATGAAGATCTTATTAGTTATACATGTGAAACATTTGGAACAAAAACCAGCATATGGCACTAATATATACATAAGCAATTGTTATTATTCACTACTATTTTCTAATGACTCAAATATCATCACCCCTATGGGTGCTGATATTTGAGTCATTAGGGGATAGCCATGAATAATAACATAATCTGTTATGATTATATTATTATTATTAATCTGTTATGATTACTTCATTAGAATAAGTTTTTCTATATTACTCTGATACCTCTAATTACTATCATGCAAGCACATTGTATATTTGTATTGTGTTTGTAGCATTTATCTCTGATTATCCTCAAATTTGGTAATTATATTTTATTTTTACAAGTATATTTATTGTACATATTTATTTTTATATATCTCCAGTGTCACACAGTCAGCGCTTAATAAATGCGTTTATATATAACTCTTGATTACCTACCTCTCAGTAGTTTAAGGAAGGGAACCAAAGAGCAAGAGTGACTGTTAAGCTGAGAAACATAGTTTTTTAATTGAGTCTCCATCCTGGAGAGGCTGTTTTCTAAGACCTTTCAGCCCCTCCTTCATCAGCCAGAATCTTATTGGGAGACATTTGCTTGGTAGCCAGTTTTGATTTTCTGCTCTGTCGTTGGTGTTGTTTTCTGAATTCTAACCAAACATAGCTTTATTCAGCAGCATCATTTCTCTCTAATGCTCACATCTCATCCCTTTAGCAAGCAAAGTGAGAAAATGGCTGACCCTTCCCCGCCGATTCTAAAATGTCTACTGTACGTGCAAGGAATGTTCTTTATCAATTCAGTTTTCTTAAAGACTTTTCTTATGAGGAACTTGAGACAAGTTCTCTCAAGGGCAAGACAGAGAAATATGACTATAGTACTTCAAATTATAGTATTAAAATATCCCCAACTCTTAATTCTGAATGTGTCACAGACAACACAATTCTCTCCAACAAATTCGTAAAGTAATAGCATACTCCATATAAAGTAGTCCATAAATGGATATGAAGGTACTTTTTAAGTCATTATTTTGTTTTAGATTCTTTAGTCGGGCATCCTGGTATCCAACTATAAGACGAAAGTCATCTTAATCGTTTCTCTGTATGCAAATAAAACTACTAAGGGCTCATTCTAATATGCCAGAGTTCACGAGGTGAGAATATGAATTAATTTACAATGACTCTTAGAGTATAAAATTAAATTAAGTAGGAAGAGCATAAATATTAAATCAGTGAAACACTGTCAGCACCAGGAATTATTGCTATTTTTATTGCTATATGCAAAATGTAGCAAACTTTCTCTCTTGCAAGTGAATCTTAAATATATGGAATGAAAATTCATTCACTCTCACCTTTATCTGGTGGAAAGTCATAAGAAAGCAGCCTACAAAACATTATTAGCAGCCCTGATTGCAACTAACCAAATACTACTTACCGAATTAATCTTTCAAGGGGATCACGAATTTGACCTGCAACTTTCTTTTAATTCAAATGTATTCTACTAAATCGGCTATTCTGATATCACTTGAATTTAATACACAAATAATATACCTTATTTTGTTTTTGTCTTCTCCTATATGACCTTTCATTTATGGCTGTATTCAAACATTAACAAGAAATTCTTACATTGAGAATGTTTTTTAAATCTTAGCTAATGGATCCTTTCCATCCAAACTATTTACAGCACCACCTTATGCTACCCTGCTTTCTCTCCCTGAACCCACTGCTGGAGTTGCTCCAAAGGCTGTAGCAAGGGAGTTCCCACATAAGAGTGCCCCAAACTCTCCTGAGATGGGGCCAGTTGGGATTACAAAGAAAGAAAGACTAAATACTAGTGTCATAAGTCCAAAGCATGTATTAAGATAACTAACTTATACAGCTAGATGTAGCATCTTCATGATGGATGTTCTACCTAGGTATGCCCATAGTGAAGTGGTTGGGGACAAGAATTTATATGAGGGTTTGAGGAATTTGACTCAGAACCAGTGGGGCCAATCTCCTTCAGTGTTTAGAGCAACAGCTTAGACACCTTTATCAGGGCCTAGATATGTTTAAGCCTCCAGCTTGGGTTCAGCCCTTTGGGTGAAACATGCAGCTGTCTAAGTCACAGAGCGGTCAAAGCATTCTGTGTTTCTTGGTCAGGACATAGAAAGAAAGCAGGGGGTTTTGAGGACATAACCAAATTCAGAAATCCAAATAAGACACATTTTAATATGTATCTAGTTCTACTTAAATTCTATTATTTTGTTAGTGTTATTATTATTTATACTGGTAAACAATGTTAGATTCCCATAAGGCCGGAAAAATTGCTATTGTCTGCCAAGATCAGCTCTATTCCAACATTTGGAGATTTGGATGTACATTCTAGATATTACTATAGAAAATGGATTTGTTTTTTAATGAGAAAAAAGTAATTTATTATTCAAATAATTTTAATCAAAATAGCAGTGAGATACCATTTCAGCTATAAAATTGGTAAATATTTTAAAATGAAAATATCTACTGTTACTGAAGTTGTTAAACCTGTATTTGCAGTGAGATAATCAGTTGAGGCAAAGTGGCTTGTTATGTGAAAGTTGGATTGTTTGTATTTTTGTCTTTTTTCTTTATATATACCTTTTGTTTTCTATAACAAACATGAAGTACTTTGTAATAAAATATACACCTTAATCACCCTTCCTTTTAATTTAAAGCAGTATTGCTGTTTTAATTTTCTCTTTTTATGCTTATCTTCTCCATACTAACCCATTCCAACTCCAATTTCTTTCATTTCTTCTTAGAAGGTCTAATTTTCATTCTGAAATTGTACATATAAGGCTTTTCAGGAATTTCTTCATTTTTGCCATGTGCTTAATTAAATTGAGCTTACTTTCTGAATCATTCTATCATAACAGGTTTAAATTTATTATTTATTTTCTATTTTTTTCACTTTGCAAATAAAAATTGTATATATTTATTAGGTACAACATTTGTGAAATACACACACATTGTGGAATGCTAAATAGAACTGATTAACAAATGCGTTACCTCATATACTTTTCTTTGTGATGAAGACACAAAATCTACTATCTTAGAAATTGTTGTGAATATAATATATTGTTATAAAGTTCATTTCTTAACCATTGTGATCAGACAGAAATCACATAGGTTAGAATTAATGAAACACAAGCATATATGGAGAGATAATATTGACTAATAATATTCAGCATTTTACTAAAATAGAGGTATAAATAGAGCATGTTTTTGTTGAAGTTATACACATTATTAGCCTGTGTATTGGATTCTTGGAAACCGGACTTTATTACTCAAAAATAGTTTAACCTAATAAAAACTAAGAATGCAAATTTGCTTGGTACCATCATTATGTCTTTGGATTAATAAAAATGTTTGTAAATTTTTTTATAGAGAGAGCTTCATTTAGTATTAAAAATTGCTAGATTTCTGACCCCTTTCTAAAACTGTTGCTTTTAGTAATTACATAGGAATATGTCTGCCATTTCACTATCACATAAGCTTTTACATCAACTTTTGTGTAAACTATATACCAAGTCCTACAATGATCATAAATGGTTAACTTTCTTATTCTCATTTACATCATTCTTAGTAATAAATATTTTTTAAAAAATATATGTGAATGCTTAGTTGTATCTTTTAAATGGGATGACTGAAAAAACTGTGTGCTTGAAAGTATCTAAACTTCAACAGTCAGGTACAATGAAAAGGATACATGGACCTTTATTGCTCAAACTAATGCGTAAAGTACAGCAAAGATGAAAAGATATAAATGATGATACAGAACAGATCTAAATAAGCAAAGTCAAAACTGTACAACTTCTATTAGTAATTTCATAAGTCCCTGTGTATCTGGGAGATTTCCCGAAAAGTTAGTTATTAAAGCAGTGGTTGGTTAGAAAATACATGCTGTGTAAGCGTTGAATGATGATAATGCATGCAAGAAAATTAAAGAGATCATTGTATAGCATTTCACATGAAGAAGGCTGAGAAAATGTACGCCTTATCATTTATTTTCTTAATAGAAAGATAATAAAGTTCCTATATTTTGATTACAAAAATATCATTAATATATTTCTAATGAAATATAAATTGTATAGAAATTCAAGTGATTAAAAGCAGTGTACATTAAGAAACATGAGAAAATAGCAATGATATATGCAACTTAATAATTGATAGATGCAACTCAATAATATGCACTTTAAATATATAAATTTAAATATAAAATATTAAAAGATTTAATACCTGGGTTGATAGTCTGAAAATGCATTTATTTATATTTAGACATGTACAAAGAATTATGTTAGGAATTATATTTATTATGTATCTTATACATTATAAACAGGGTAATCGTTGTGGTGTTCGAGGTCAAAAAAATAAGCCAAAAAGGAACTATTGAAAATGAGGAATGAAAAGATAATGTAAGAAGAATTGGGCTGAGATAATAGTTTCCTTAACTCTTGATTGTGGTTTGAAGATAAGGAGCAGACTGCCTTGCAGAGCATCTTTAAAAGAAAAAAAAAAATCCCTTACAATTGGCACACCTTTTCAGAGCTGCTGTACAATCAATTGAAGAGGGGTCTGATTCAACACATTTAGGCAAAGAAAGAAAATTGGAAACTTTTATAACTCTATTTCACCATTTACCTTTCAAAATCTAGGGAGTAGGAGCCTTAGCTCTATTTTTTTTTCTTTTTCTTGAAAAAGGAGGTTGAATCAGTTCCCTCTTCAATTGATTACACTGGGCAGTAGTTAAAGCAATCTAAAATCTGATATGTGGAAGCTCTTCATAGGCTCAGAAAACTAACTTTAAGTGACAGTTGATTTCACCAAGCTTTCTTTTAAAATTGTCACCCACTGACAAAGGAAAGAAGATCAGTTTTTAATCTTGAAAAACTGGTTATATATTTGTAAAATTATGCTTTGAAAGAAATTAATATCCAATGTTTTATAGGAAAAAACAGCGATTTATTTACACATTTGCTTATTTATTTTATATAGGTCTGAGTTTATAATATTCTTCATTATAGAAAAGTTATAGAAATAGAGAAAAAAAGGAAGAAGTAGGTATAAAATATAATCCATCTGAAACTTAGCTTTTATGTGGCTAGCCTGGCACAAGGATCACATAAAAAATCTGACATTTAAAAAATAGTATATTTCTGTAATGTAAAATTAATTTGTCTTATTTAAGACTTCTAAAAATGCACCATGTAATTCCCTTGACAACATAGGCAGAGCTTATAATTCCCGCCCCTCGCACCCCGCCCCGGCTCCTACCTCATTTCTTTCTCATAACACCTCACATCCACAATAGATGTTCCCGAGTTTTTAAGGCCAACTCAAGCATTCTGAAATTTTCTGCAGGTGCCAACTCAGGGCTGGCACTTTCTTGTATTTCCCTCTTTCTCTCTGACTTGTAAGATTGCTTCCACCAATGACTGTATGCCCCATTGAAGATCAAGGTGGTCTGAAACCTCTCAATCCTTCTGCTTACTGCAGTTACCCTGATTATATACTACAAAGACCCAGGAATTTAGTAAAAACCAGGTTTTCAATAACAGACTGAGGAAGAGCTTTTGTGCACATCCCTATATTAATATCTTTCTTTCCACAAGCTCCCACACTCAGAAACATATATGTATACCCTAAATTTATTATAAATTAGCAAATATAACTGATCAAGTACAGTGTAGTGATTCATATAAACCTTAACGTTGGCCAAAATACATACGTCACTGCTAATACTGTTTTACTGACCTACATTAGAGACATATCTTTAGTGAATTCTATTGCTTTTATCTCTAGACTTATTTATTTGTAAAGTTGAATTTGTTGAAAAAAAATACACCATTAGTTGCTGCTGGAACATTTTCTTATTTAATATACCATTGTATATGTGTAGTACCATTGTATAAGATATATATGCAAACCTTATAGAACTGCTCTGTAATGTCATATAATAATATATATTTATATATTTTACTATTTGTACAAGAACAAGATGTTACTGTGGCTGAGGACATTAGGCAATACTTTCATTTCTCAAAGCAAAGTCCCAGACCACTTCTGCAGCATTTACACAAAAACAAGCCAAAATGTGTTCTGCCAGTACTAGCCCATCATTTATCTCCTTAAGAGAGAGCTGATGTGCCGTGAATTCTGCATTTCTCACCCCAAAACAAGAAGGGAGGGATTATTAACGGCTCATCTGATCACATGAGGAGAGATTGAAAACAAATACTCCAAGAGCTTAGCTTCAAACCTCTACTCTGGAGGGATATGCAGAGTAGCCTGATTCATGCTGGAAGAGTCTAAATGAAAGAGGTTATGGCTGGTCAGTTCCAACAGCAGAATGGGAAGTGACTACTTTTGGAATGGCCAGAACAGGCAGAGTTTCATGGCCAAAGGATGTGTAAAGCTCTCTAGGCCAGTTCTGGGCCTCACGGAAGGAAGCTGGACTGCATTACTTTTTTTTTTCCACTTTTTTTTTTGTATTATACTTTAAGTTCTAGGGTACATGTGCACAACGTGCAGGTTTGTTACATATGTACACTTTCAGGGCAGCCTTTTAGATATTGTCCCTCTCAAAGTAATACAGTCACAATAAACATGCACACATATGTTTATTGCGACTGCATTACTTTGAGAGGGACAATATCTAAAAGGCTCCCCTGAAAGTTTAGAAGATCTTAACAGAGATACTGGGATCAGAAATTAAGGCTAAGAGGGACATCTTTAAATCCCAGGGGTTTTCACTTGTTCTTGAAGTTCAAGGAATAAGGATCTCCTAAGAACCCACATAAATATCCATGAAAGACAGAATCTGTGTGTGCAGTGAACTCCCCATAATGCATAATATGACCAGATTAAATCCATATTACTAACATAAACTCTTACTTTTATTTTCCTTTCTGAATGTTTTCTCTTTCAAAATTATGGTTGCCTGAAACAGGATCTAGAAAGTTTAAGGAGTCAATGAATGAAAATGGGAGTAGAAACTGACCACGTGCTACTTCTCCAGTGTAAGTTTCTCAGCTAAATTAAGCTCCTTCAAATTAGAAGGAGGAGAAAAATAAACTACATTAAATATGAAATTTTGGAACTTTGATATTATACTGGCTTGAATTTTTTATATGTGCAAAAATAGTCTTTTATTATCTGAAAATGACTAAAACAACTCTGAAATGTTTCTAAGATTTTATTTCACAGTAGCAAAATTTAGCCCAAGGAATACGTTTAATGAAGTATTAGTTACTGAGAAATAATAAAATTGCTTTTTGCTTCCATCCTTCAGTGCAATACATTCAATAAAGTGTTACACATAATTAAAAACTTTCTTTTTTTTTGAGACGGAGTCTCACTCTGTTGCCTAGGCTGGACTGCAGCGGCGCAATCTCAGCTCACTGCAACCTCTGCCTCCCAGGTTTAAGCGATTCTCCTGCCTCAGCCTCTGAAGTAGCTGGGATTACAGGCACACACCACCACGCCCGGCTAATTTTTGTATTTTTAGCAGAGACAGGGTTTCACCATGTTGGTCAGGCTGGTCTTGAACTCCTGACCTCGTGATCCGCCTGCCTTGGCCTCCCAAAGTGCTGGGATTACAGGCATGAGCCACTGTGCCTGGCCAAAAACTTTTAAAAATACAATAAAAATATTGTTTCTTACATTTTCTACATAAAAAATGATGCAAACATTTTATTATGTAAGCTGAATGTTAAAATAAAGCCTAATAAAAAGGAAAACACATTGGTATTAGATCAAGAGAAGACAGAATTGGCTCTAAATCCTAGTTCTAAAATTATGCAATTTTCCAAGGAATATGGCTGCTTACCTAGTATCGAAAGAGTTTAGTTATAGGAATTAACGTTAGCTAGTCAAATAATCTAGATGAGAAATTCAATTTATTTAATTAAATGACATTTTATTTAAATGTTTCTATTACAAATAGACTTCTGTAATAAAAAAATACCTCTCCAAATAAAAATTTTTATTACTTTTGATGTCTGTTCAATATTTTACATACAAGGTAGAAATATATTGATAAATAGACATTTTCTTGTTATGTTTGCTACATATTTTAAACTCCCTAAGATTCCTAAGTCTATTTTTAGATGGGTGAAAATGTTATAGAAACTAAGATGTGTTTTATGAGTATTTAACCAGTGCCTCCAGACATATTCATATGCTTTTTAAAAGCAAACATCTATGAGCATTTGAACTACTAATGCATTTAAAGTTAGATTTTAGTGATAGAACTGTATTTATAGACTGCTAAACTAGAAAATTGTGCCTTAATAAGAAGTTTTTAAAAATAACAAAATGATGTGCAGCTCACAATTAAATGGAGAGGAACTTATGCCCCAACTCCTGAGAATAGTGCAGCTGCATAAATTCTTTGGAATTCTTCTGTTCAACAGATTTTTCTGTCATTCCTATTTACTTATTTATTCAATTACCTATTTGTGTCAGTATGGACAGACTGATATTTGTTTTGTATTCTAGGTTATAATCCAATACTACTTCATTAATTTTCTTATTCGAGTGTTTCTTGCATTGGTCATTAGGAGTTCTTGCAAGGGGGTTTGATGTCCCTTTGGCATTCTCCTACCATTATGTTTTTCTATTTTTTCTTTGTTTATTTGGGTTTGCTTGCCCATAGCAAATTTCTTTGAAATAGTACAGTACAGAAAGAGAAGAGGGGAGAAGAGTAACTTACGATGGTGAAAAGTGACAAACACTACCTCAAGTTAGGTTAACTTCAACAGTGATAAGTCATGTTTATACTAGTTACCCTTGATATGATGTGATGAGAATGGTGCTTTACCTATCTGCTCCTCCTCCCCAAAATCCGTAACACAAATCTAATCATGATAGCAATCAAACCCTAGTGAAGACATTCCTCAAAATAATTGATCAATAATCCTCAAAACTGTTGAGATCATCAAAAGCAGGAAGTCTGTGAACAATGACTGCAGAGAGGCCAACAGAGATACTAAAACTAAATGTAATAGGGCATCCTGGATAGGATCCTGAAACAGAGAAGTGATGACAAGTAAAAATTAAGGAAAACAGAGTAACTTATGGACTTCAATGAATAATAATAGTGAATCAATATTTTTATTTTAATTGTGACAAATATATTAATAATAAGGGAAACTGGGCTTGCGGTATATATCTCATTTCCAGGACATTTTATAAATATGAAACTATTCTAAAATAAACAAGGTTATTGAAAAGAGAATAATATTAAGATAATTAATTACCATTAATTCATATAAGATAAAAATATCTAACAAAGTTTAACAAATGGAAGATAAACTTTACAACCAAGTTTAAACTTTGCTTTGCTCTTAATATTTACTTTTAAATATGAACTCAATTTTTCAAACTTTTTCAATCCGCAAGTAAAATGATAATTCCAAAGGCAAAATAGCTAGATGAATATAAATAATGCATGCAAATAGTATTTAAATTACAATTAAGCTAGTCATCCAAAATCTGTTGTTGAAAGAAAATTGGAAGAGGGAAACACCCTGCATACATTTAAATGTTTTAAATGGATGCCTTTTTAAAAATGTACCACACACTCCTACATTTTGTATCTTCTTAATTTATCATGGCATGCTGTGTTTGTGGCTATAGAGATGCATCCAAATCTTTAGTACATAGGATGAGATGGTTTACCCTACTGGTTCCCAATCTGGCTATATGTTGGAATTACATGGAGAACACAGTTGTCCAATTGTATTTGAATCTCTGGAGTTGAGAAACAAGCATTCACATTTTTTAAATGTTTTTCAGGTGATTCTAAATTTGGGCCAGGTTAGAAATGACTGTAGTCCATGAATAATCCTCATGTGAACAGCAGGATATACCTCCACATGCAGTTGACCTTCTCTGGTCATGTGTTCTGAGTAACACCCAAGTCCTATCACATATTGAGGAGTGGATGTGAACTTTTATTCCTCTACAGAATGTAAATTTTTCCTCTCTTTTGTGTCATTACTGGCGATTTTCTTATCTGCTGTAGCTCACAACATTTGCTTTTATCTATAATGTCCATTTATCACAGATATCCGTGCAGATTTAAAGATACCACTCAAATCTTTTCCCACAGATGCTTCCAGCACTGTCTTCTCCAGACTTTTACCATTTGTTCTTCTGTTTAGTTTAGTTTCTGAGGATTTTCAGCTTTTTAAATTTCAACTTTTTTGTTTTGTTTTCTGTTTTCTACTTTCTTGTGTCTTCTGCCTCTTGCCACTTTACTCAAACAATAAAAAGTAGGTTGAAAACACTGATGTTATTATAAGTATCATCTACTAAATAGATAATCTATTTTCTTAGACTGAATTACCCAGCCCATCATAGCATACTGAATTGATGCTGAGTTCTTAAAACCTTCTGCTGCACTCATAGTGGTTATTTCTATGCCACTTATGCCACCAGTTGCTTGGTGATCACGTTTTTCCTCTTCATTGCTGTTATCACTGCTGTTAGTATTATGCTTAATGTTGCAGCCATTTAAGTCAATGCCAGAATATTCCTTAAAAGCTAAGACCTACAATATTGTGTTCCTGGTGTAATGAAACAGAGACTGATCTGGCAGACAGAATATAATGAGATTACTTTGATATTATGGTATCTTCTGAATGTTTGCTAAAAACTATACACATTGAATAAGATGTTTTTTAGTTAATTGAAAATATAGTAGCAAATTCCTTCTTATATCATAACTCAATTGTATGGCAAAACAGATACTTTTCCTGAGGGTTGGAAAGAGTGGCGGTTAGCTCCATTAGGCCTGAGAGATCATAATTCTATGGACTTGTGATTTGTACCCAGAATAGTGAAATAATCCAGATGGATTCAAATTTTATATGACATCTTGGCAGTAGATGTTTATCACAACATAAATCCTTCACATAAATTAAGGGAAGGTAAAGATAAATTTGAAGACAAAATTATTACAGGTCATTTATTTTTAAATAGCTAAAGAAATATAGAGTGGCAGAAGTATATAAACATTCCTAACCCTGTATAACAGGGACAACATAAAATTGATTCAAATGCAGACTTCACTTCTTCCAGAATATGGCACATCCCTCAGTTTTGTCCTATCATTCGCAATAATAATTTCAGAGAAATCACGATTTTTAAAATGTTCCTGGGTATGTGTGTGTGCATAACAATACATTTTATTTGTCTACACATAAAAATTAACTTACCAAATATTTTAAAAGTGTTTTGTTAAAACTGATGTAACTTGTCAATGGACCTATGTATAATTCTACATAGCAAACTATACATGCCTACTCTGGAATATATATAGATGTGTAAGGAATACGAGGTCATTAGTTATTCCTAGATTACGGAGTGTAAGAGTTCTATTTGATCAATTTATTCGTCTTTGGTTTTGCATTGGGACTATTATATGCTTAATATTTAGTAAATATTTGCAGAAAAATGATTATACAAAGTTTAGGTCATCTCATATTTAGCTCTTTTCACAGTGACTATAGAACTTACAGCATCTTGATTGCATGCATACTAGGGTCCATTGGTGTATTCGTCTGTTTTCACACTGCTGATAAAGAAATACCCGCAACTGGGGAATTTAAGAAAGAAAGAGATTTAATGGATTTACACTTCCACGTGCCTGGGGAGTCCTCACAATCATGGCGGAAGGTCAAAAGCATGTCTCACATGGCAGCAGACAAGAGAAGAGAGTTCGTGCAGGGAAATTCTCCTTTTTAAAACCATCAAATCTAGAGAGACTTATTCACTACCACAAGAACAGCACAGGAAACACCTGCCCCCGTGATTCAATTACCTCCCACCGGGTCCCTCCTACAATAGGTAGGAATTCAAGATGAGATTTGGGTGGAAACAAAGCCAAACCATATCATTCAGCCCCTAGCCCCTTCCAAATCTCATGTCCTCAGATTTCAAAACCAATCAAGCCTTCCCAACAGTCCCTCAAAGTCTTAACTCATTTCAGCACTAACTCAAAAGTCCACAGTCCAAAGTCTCATCTGAGACAAGGCAAGTCTCTTCCACCTATGAGCGTGTAAAATCAAAAGTAAGTTAGTTACTTCCTAGATACAACGGGGATACAAGCATTTGGTAAATACAACCATTCCAAATGAGAGAAATTGGCCAAAACCAAGGAGCTACATGCCCCATGCAAGTCCAAAATCCATCAAGGCAGTCAAATCTTAAAGCTCCAAAATGTCTCCTTTGACTCCATGTCTCACATCCAGGTCACGCTGATGCAAGAGATGGGTTCCTATTCACTGTCTTGGGCAGCTCTGCCCCTGTGGTTTTGCAGGGTACTGCCTCCCCTCCTGACTGCTTTCATGGGCTGGTGTTGAGTGTCTGCAGCTTTTCCAGGTGCACGGTGCAAGCCGTCGGTGGATCTACCATTCCGGGTTCTGGAGGACAGTGGCCCTCTTCTCACAGCTCTGCCTGGTGATGACAGAGTAGGGAATCTGTTTGGGGTCTCCAACCCCACATTTCCCTTCTGCACTGCCCTAGTAGAATTGCTCCATGAGAGTCCCACCTGCAGCAAACATCTGCCTGGGCATCAGGTGTTTCCATACATCCTCTGAAATCCAGGAGGAGGTCCCCAAGCGTCGTTTTTTTTTTTTTTTTTTTTTTTTTTTTTTTTTTTTTTTTTTTGAGACTGAGTTTCGCTCTCGTTGCTCAGGCTGGAAGTGCAATGGCATGTCCTCAGCTCACCGCAACTTCCGCCTCCCGGGTTCAAGTGATTCTCCTGCCTCAGCCTCCTGAGTAGCTGGTATTACAGGCATGCACCACCACATCTGTCTAATTTTTGTATTTTTAATAGAGACGGGGATTCTCCATGTTGATCAGGCTGGTCTCAAACTCCCAACCTCAGGTGATTCGCCTGCCTCAGCCTCCCAAAGTGCTGGGATAACAGGCATGAGCCACTGCGCCTGGCCCCAAATCTCAATTCTTGACGTTTGTGGACTCGCAGGCTCAATGTCACTTGGAAGCTGCCAAGGCTTGGGACTGGCACACTCTGAAGCCACAGCCCGAGCTCTCCATTGGCCCCTTTCAGCCACGGCTAGTGCGGCTAGGATGCAGGGCGCCAAGTCTTTAGACTGCGCACAGCAGAGAGACCCTGGGCCCGGCCCACAAAACCACATTTTCTTCCTAAACCTCCAAGCCTGTGATGGGAGGGGCTGCCACAAACGTCTCTGTCATACTCTGGAGCCATTTTCCCCATTGTCTCGGTGATTAACATTCGGCTCCTCGTTACTTAAGCAAATTTATGCAGCCAGCTTGAATTTCTCCTCAGAAAATGGGATTTTCTTTTCATGCCTTTAGCAGCATACAAGTCACCCCTCGAATGCTCTGCTGCTTAGAAATTTCTTCCGCAAGATACCCTAAACTATCTCTCTCAAGTTCAAAGTTCCACAAATCACTAGGACAGGGGCAAAATGCTGCCAGTCTCCTTGCTAAAACATAACAAGAGTCACCTTTACTCTGGGTCCCAACAAGTTTCTCATCTCCATCTGAGACCACCTCGGCCTGGATTTTGTTGTCCATATTGTTAGCAGCATTTTGGTCAAAGCCATTCAACAAGTCTCTAGGAAGTTTCAAAATTTCCCACATTTTCCCATCTTCTTCTGAGCCCTCCAAACTGTTCCAACCTCTGCTTGTTACCCAGTTCCAAAGTCACTTCCACATTTTCAGGTATCTTTTCATCAGTGCCCTACTCTGCTGGTACCAATTTACTGTATTAGTCTGTTTTCACACTGCTGATAAAGACATACTGGAGACTGGGGAATTTACAAAAGAAAGAAGTTTAATGGACTTACAGTTCCACGTGGGTGGGGAGGCCTCACAATCATGGCAGAAGGTCAAAGGCATGTCTCACATGGTGACAGACAAGAAAAGAGAGCTTGTGCAGGGAAATTCCCCTTTTTAAAACCATCAGATCTCATAAGACTTATTCACTATCATGAGAACAGCACAGGAAAGACCTGCCCCCATGATTCAATTACCTCCCACCGGGCCCCTCCCACAACACATGGGAATTCAAGACAAGATTTGGGTGGGGACACAGCCAAGCCATATCAACTGGATCAGAGGAATATATTTTTAAAATCAAAAGTTATCTTAAGCAGCATCTCATCAATACCCTGAATTTATTGGTAAGGAATCTCTAAGATGTTAAATGATTCCCATGTTCATGTATTCGGAATAACTGAGATCACAAACAACTCTGTTCTCAATTGCTCTTGAGTAAGCACTTTTTACATTTATTCTGTTCTGATAATGTCTTTGCTACTGTCCATTTTCACACATCTCTGACCATCAAAAATTCATTCAAGCAGAAGATTAGTATTTACTTGTAGCAAGCATGAAAGTTATCTTTATAAAAATATTTTCTGTCCCCAAAGGAAGTTATTAAGTTATCTTATTGTTTCCATTCAAGACTAAGTAACTCAAATGTTATCAAGCATTTTTTTTTTCAGACGGTAATTTCTGGTTCTTCAATAGTTGTCAGTGTTTCTTTCTCTCAGAGAATTTTCTCTTAATGGACTCTCTGTCACTTACGTACCTTAATTTTTCATCACAGAAGCACATCTAATTATCAAATAAAAGCTTTTGAATAGATTACAATAGGAAACTAAAAATGCTGAAGTCACCAGCCATTATTTTTTTATTATTATAACCTTTGTGAATATTGTTAGTCAGCATATTATGTATCACCTTGATATTCTCAGGATGTTTGATAATCATCATGATCTAACTGTCTTCAGCTAATATGCAGAATATATAATTGCTAATGAAGGAATACAGTAAGCATTCATGATCTGTCTTTGCCTCTTATTTCTTGAATAACACATGTTCTATTTAAGCTAGACTCTTCTCATATACACTAGCTGGAAAAACCCATGGGATGATGTATTAACGTATTTTCATACTGCTATAAATAAATACCTGAGACTGGGTAATCTATAAGGAGAAAGAGGTTTAATAGACTCACAGTTCCACATGTCTGGTGAGGCCTCACAATCATGGTGGAAGGAAAAGGAGGAGCAAATGCACGTCTTACATGGCAGCAGGCAAGAGAGCATGTGGAGGAGAACTGCCCTTTATAAAACCATAGATCTCATATTCACTATCATGAGAACAGCATGGGAAAAACCCACCACGTGACTTGATTACCTCTTACCAGGTCCCTCCCATGACATGTGGAGATTATGGGAACTATAATTCAAGATGAGATTTGGGTTGGGGACACAGCCAAACCATATCATTCAGCCCCGGCCCCTTCCAAATCTCATATCCTCACATTTCAAAACCAATCATGCTTTCCCAAAAATCCCCCAAAGTGAATTCATTTCAGCATTAACTCAAAAGTCCACAGTCCAAAATCTCTTCTGAGGCGAGGCAAGTCCCTTCTGCTTATGAGCCTGTAAAATCAAAAGCAAGTTTGTTACTTCCTAGATACAATGGGGTTACAGGCATTGGGTAAATACTCCCATTGGAAATGGGAGAAATTGGCCAAAACCAACGAACTGCAGGCCCCACGCAAATCCAAAATCCAGCTGGGCAGTCAAATCTTAAAGCTCCAAAATGATCTCCTTTGACTTCATGTCTCACATCCAGGTCACACTGATGCAAGAGATGGGTTCCCATGGTCTTGGGCAGCTCCGCCCCTGTGGTTTTGTAGGGCACAGCCTCCCTCCTGGCTGCTTTCATGGGCTGGCGTTAAGTAGTTGCAGCTTTTCCAGGTGCATGGTGCAAGCTGTTGATGAATCTACCATTCTAGGGCTGGGGTCTGGAGGACAGTGGTCCTCTTCTCACAGCTTCACTAGGCAGTACCCCCGTGGGGACTCTGTGTAGGGGCTCCCACCACACATTTCCCTTCTGCTGTGTCCTAGCAGAGTTTTCCCATGAGGGCTCTGCCCTTGCATCACACCTCTCCTGGACATTCAGGAGTTTCCATACATCCTCTCAAATCTAGGGGGAGGTTTCCAAACCTCAATTCTTGACATCTGTGCACCCACAGGCCCAACACCACATCTAAGCCACCAAGGCTTGGGGCTTGCACCTTCTGAAGGAATGGCCTGAGCTGTATATTGGCCTCTTTTAGCCATGGCTGGGACACAGGGCACCAAGTCCCAAGACTGCACGAACCAGCAAGACCCTGGGCCTGGCCCAGCCCATGAAACTGTTTTTTCCTCCTATGCTTCTGGGCCTGTGATGGGAGGGGCTGCCTTGAAGACCCTGACATGCCCTGAAGACATTTTCCCCCATTGTCTTGGTGATTAACATTTGGCTCTTTGTTACTTATGCAAATTTCTGCAGCAGACTTGCATTTCTCCTCAGGAAATTGGTTCTTCTTTTCTATCACATTGTCAGGCTGCAAATTTTTCAAACTTTTATGCTCTGCTTCCCTTTTAAACATAAGTTCCCATTTCCAAACTGTATGTTTGTGAATGAATAAAACTGAATGCTTTTAAGAGCACTCAAGTCACACCTTGAATGCTTTGCTGCTTAGAAATTTCTTCCACCAGATGCCCTAAATCATCTCTCTCAGGTTCAAATTTCCACAGATCTCTAGGGCAGGGGCACAATGCTGCCATTCTCTTTTCCAAAGCATAGCAAGAATTGCCTTTGCTCCAGTTCCTAATAAGTTTCTCATCTCCATGTGAGATGAACTCAGCCTGGACTTTTTAGTCAAAACCATTCATTAAGTCTCTGGGAAACTCTAAAGTTTCCCATATCTTCCTATCTTCTTTTGAGCCCTCCAAACTGTTCCAATCTCTGCCTATTATGCAGTTCCAGAGTCACTTCCACATGTTTGGTTATCTTAATAGCAGTACCCCACTCTACTGGTAGCAATTTACTGTATTAATTCATTTTCATACTGCTGTGAGGAAATACCTGCTGCTGGCTAATTTATAAAGAAAAAGAGGTTTAATGGACTCACATGGCTGGGGAGGAATCACAATCATGGCAGAAAGGAAGGAGGCACAAAGGTGTGTCTTACATGGTGGCAGGCAAGAAAGCATGTGTAGGGGAACTGCCCTTTATAAAACCATCAGATCTCATAAGACTTATTCACTATCATAAGAACAGTACAGGAAAAACCCATTCCCATAATTCAATTACCTCCCACTAGGTCCCTCCCATGACATACAGGGATTGTGTCAGCAACAATTCAAGATGAGATTTGGGTTGGGACATAGCCAAACCATATCAGATGAGAATTGGCACATAATTTTCATATATGCAATTTTTTTTACATTTGTGCACCTGTCTAGCATCAGAACTCACATTAAGATAACATTTTTTTTCAGCAGGTGAGACTTGCATTTTTTCTTGTTTTCTTCTATTCTAACATTACTTCAGTTGGTCATTTGCTACTCTTCATAATGACAAGTAGAATTTTAATCTACAAAACATTTTAAGCCGTAAATTTCAGTTGTAAAATGTCTAAATATAAAATCAAACAGCAAATACATTAAATATAGGCACTTAAAAAGTAGAAGAAAGCTTTTGCTTACACTGTGAAGCATAGCTGGTAGCAGCAATAATATGTTTGATATTTATCCACCATTATTTATGCTACATCAAGCCTTCTTTAATGCTGATGGACTAGAATAAATCCTTTTCTGGACAGTATTACCACTTAGGGTTTATATAAAAGGAAAAGTATCTATCTATAAGTCTGGAGGTGTTAAGGTTTTATCAACCACTAGTTAGACATCAGTGCTTATTTGTTCACGTGCTTTTCAGCATGCTCTAACTTCACATAACATGTGGACTACTCACAAAAATAAAATGAGCAATCTTCATATAATAAAGCTTGTTTAAAGTCAAGAAATTGCCACTGATAGTTTCTGTCATATTGAATCCCTATGATCATCAGTTTCTACTCTGTAATGTGAGAACTTTGGAATTTTGATCTCTTAGCCCCACCAAGACTTATTTTTATAGTATTAGGGAGTTGTTTGTGCTTGTCTTTCACAGTCTTTGAGAACTAGACATCATGCATCTTCATCTTTTTCTTTAATCTTTTCATTGTCTCTTTTTCTAAGTCTTACTCATACACAGAAGAGATAATACATTTCCAGCAATTTCTGGTATTTCTATCAAAGACATTTTATATTAACCTAACGTTAGATGATGGGTAAGCTGATTGAATGTATCCAGTGATGCCAAAGGTATTGTATACCTTTAGAACATTGGCTACCCATCTGTGTTTTCCCAGCAAGTTGTCCTAAAGCTTTATATTGAGAGGGAATGAGAAGTAACAGATCATTAAGGAAACAGTACATACAACTGTAAAGCAAAATAGCTGATTTCAACAGTACCTAAAATACTTTTCCTAAGTAATTTTCTAGAAAGAAAGACTCTTTCTTGTTCCACTGACACGTGTATATGCCCAGTGAGTAACTGTGAATAGTATAAATGATACAGAGGTGGTATGTATGTGTAAGGGTACATAAGTGTGTGAATGTGTATGTGTGTATGCGTTTGTTTAAGGGTGTGTGTTGACTTGCACAGAGGGAACATTGCTCTGTGGGTCTACAGAATTCAAAATAAAAACCAGGGAAATTCCCATTTATAATCAGAGATAGATAAATTCAATGACATTTTGTGTTGGCTACCCTTGGTAATTGAAATGCATCAATTTTCCCTTTCTACCATGAGACAGAGGGAAAACGTTGGTTCCAGAATTTATGCAACAGTTTTGGAAAAGTTTCACAATTAATTATAGAGATTTAGTTTGCTATCTTGGAAATACTATGGGGGATTGTCAAAAATTTGCAAAGCATATGGATGAGGGGTGTAAGATGAAGATACACATCACATTTACTGTGGGGAGAATGGCAGACAGTCCAATACATACTGAGAGACATCCAGCTGGGAGTAATTTCCCACCTAAATGAACACGAAAATATTCAAATACAGAAAAATATTCCAAGGCAAATTAATGTGAAGATCCTTATAATCTAAACATAACAGATTACAACTTTTACAACTATCCACTTACGATACCCTGCAAAGAAAGAGATTTTACAGTGATCTTACATTCACCTCTCATTTGACATATCTGAATTATTTGCTTTTTCAAATGAGAAAGTAAAGAAAAATCACAAATGTAAATGTTTCTCAATTTGGCATGGTGACAACATCTATTGCTCTATTTCCAAAGATAAAAGACACAAACTAGGATAATATAGTTGGGTATATAACTTGTACCCAAACATGATAGATTATCATTAACCTGGGGGGAGCTCTGATTTTGTTCTGTTTTGTATATCACCTTTATCAGTAATTAGAATCCAGACACTGTAAAATCTAAAAAATTAGAAGTGCGTAGCAACTTTTAAAATTCTATTAAAGAGAGAGGCACAGTTAATGTTGCATGACAGAAAACAGAAATGTTTAATAGACCTATATGTGATTTCTTTGAAAAGACACACAGACAGATACACGCACACACTTGTTTATGTTTTGAATATACTATACTTGCATTGACTGTACCAAATATGAAAAAAATAAGAGTTTTAGTTGATTAAATGTCAATATGCCAATAAAATGTGAAGATTTGTAGGGAGGAAAAGAGCTCTGTATGAAAGAGAGCAGAAAACTTGATCATACTTCTGAGTAAAATTTATATGGGTGAAGATTTTTGGCTAAATATTAGAAAACAAAATTAAGTAGTGGATCTTACTCAGCAATGTGTGAAGTTACCTATTATTCTGTCTATCACTAGAAAAGCAATTTGTGTACTGAGTGGTGGTTGGACTAGATGGCTTCTGAGTTTTGTTCCTTCTAAGATTCTATTATGATTTTATATAATAATTCATTATTAGAATCTGAGTCGTTATTGTATTACTTGGGATTTCTAAGTAGAAATGTTGGTCTGATAATTATTAATATGATAGGTGAATTTAAAACAGAAAGAATATAGTACATTTTATCCATTTAAGTTTCTTTCAATACTTGTACATTGAAAATCTATTAGTACCCGGAGCGGTGCTTGATATTGAAAATGTAAAGGTGAATGAGGCCAGCTCTGCCCTAGTGGAGCTTACAGTGTAATGGGGGACACAGACACATAATCTGGTCATTTATTTGCTACATTATATGATAAGTGCAATGAGATGTCACGTAAAAATAAAAAAGAGTAGTTGGTATTGAATTTATTCTTAAGAATAATAAACAAATTATATTTATTTATTCTTTGAAAACCCTCTCAGAAAAAAATTCCAAGAGTGAGTTTAAAGTCAAAATAAAAGTCTAACTATATTTATAAATATAGGTTTATCTCTTCTGAACAATTTGGTTGACTTTAAAAATTGTTTGAAGAGAAAAGAAATTTCTTTTATTTATGGCACTCAAGAAAATAATTTCCTGTTGTTCTATTGTAAGTAATTTGTGTGTGTATGTATGTGTAGTTGATAGCCAATTTGTATTGTGTTAAATAAAGATGACTATTATTTCTATAACTGGACACATCAGAAGAATATTCTGAATCTGATATAAAATGCTAATATTCTGTACACTTATTAAATCTTCAAAATATGCTTATAGTTATTATGACTAACTCACAGTGGTCATTTTATGTCAATATCAATAATGTTTTATATAAATCTTATATCAGTAATATCTGAGACCAGAAACCTGGGCATCACCCTTTTCTCTCTCCACTCTCATATCCTACATCCAGTTCATCACAGGCTCATTCCAAATATACCTCCAAAATATAAATCAATTATATTCTTTTTTTCCTATCACCCACTGTCCTTTTCCTGAGGCAAACATTATCTCTCTCCTACATTACTTTAATATTACTAATATGTAAATGGTTGTGTTTTTTACTCTTCCAAATTTCTTCCACTGTAAAAGGAATTATCTTTCAACAACAACAACAAATGTCATTATATTACTTCACTGCTTAAAAAACTTTCACAGGCCCATATTATTTTTAGGAAAATATCTAAAGCACCTATCATGGTTACAAGGCGTGGTATGGTTAGCCCTCTGCTTACCACTTCTCCATGCTCCTTCCTATTATGAACTTTTTAAGTTAGGAATTCTCCATATTTTGGTTTTTTTTTTTTTTTGAGACGGAGTTTTGCTCTGTCACCAGGCTGGAGTGCACTGGCGCAATCTCGGCTCACTGCAACCTCCGTCTCCCGGGTTCAAGCGAATCCCCTGCCTCAGCCTCCCAAGTAGCTGAGACTACAGGTGCATGCCACCATGCCAAGCTAATTTTTTGTATTTTAGTAGAGACGGGGTTTCACCATGTTGGCCAGGATAGTCTTGATCTCCTGACCTTGTGAACCGCCCACCTCGGCCTCCCAAAGTGCTGGGATTACAGGCGTGAAACACCACGCCCAGCCAGGAATTCGCCACATTTCTAACAGCCCATTATATATTATCTTCCTTCTAACAAAAACGTGAAAGCATTCTTATCACCTATTTAACACCTGCTCATCTTTCAGATTGGAGCTCAGATGTTACCTTCGGTGTCCAGCCATAATACCTTAATTCTGTACTATCTTTATTTTAACACCTATCACCCTGTGTTTTAACCTTGTCTTAACTCTTCTATATCAATCATTACTGTATAAACTCAATGAGGGAAGATATTTTATAATCAGTGGCCAGCACAGTGTTCTACACATGGAAGGTACTACATATGTTTACTGAAAGAAAGGAACAAAGAAAGGGAAAACTCATTTTAAATGTAATTTTGGATAAAATAGTCCTAATAGGTCACATTTTCATGGCCTTTTCACTTCATATCCAGCTTGGCTTCTCAGAATTCTAAGATTACTTAGTTATATCTCCTTTATAGCTTATTTTAATAAATACAAGTCAAAGATTGACAAAATATGTCTGATCATATAGAGATCTGTGTATCAGCTTAGAATTAGAGTTTCTGGATCAATTTAGTCCTGGTATTTTTATTTTATTTTTAGGATGTATATATAAATATATACACACACACATATCCATTAGCTTTTCAGCTAGATATCCTGGAAAGTAAAGGCAAACTGAATGTCTATATTTTCTTGTTAAGCGTGCGTTTCTTCCTTTCATTCTGTCTTCCCAAAGTGGTTGAATTTCAATCCTGAGATTACTAAATATGATTAAACTAATATGTGGTCTTGTGATCTATGTAAAAGAGGCTTGCACTTCATCTGACTATTGTAAGACTTTAAGCCATGGAAATTATTTCCAGATATGGTAAGATACTACTGTAATTTCTGCTGTCCCTTGAAAATTGAGAGCTGAATATTTAGGGAGTGTGGGATTCTCATTCTTCTATGTGTCTTTAAGCACAACATGGTAGTAACAAGTTACTCCATAGGAAATGCAGAAACGATAACTACTTCGGTTTCCTTAATTTTATATGTTTTAAACCTGTCAAATATTAGTCATTTAAACCTCTATGTTTTATGTTGTAAGTATGAAATATGTACATTTGAATTGATAAATCCTGCAGAGTAGCAAAGATCTTGGATATAGATACTTCTCAGTAAGTGATAGGACCCAACTAGTTTTTTTTTTTAAGGATATACACTCTCTTTTCCCAAAACATCTTAAGTAATATTATCCTATATTAGAAATGTTGTTAGAGTTATTTATTTCCACTAATCTTGACCTGAAAGCAGAGAATAAATTGAAGTAAATTTTTTTAAGTCATCATCTCCTCATTTCCTTATCTTGAACCTTTGTTCTCATTTGAAAGGTTCAAATTTCTCTCCCTAGTAGTATTAGCAATAGCTTGACTTAGGTCATCTTTATTTTTATTTCTGCTTCAAAATGTAACATTCTTTTCTTTATTTCTATTAATTATTGATGTCAATAACAATAAATGTGTTCTCTTTTTCTACAGATTGGAGTTTGCTAAACTTAATACTACTTTGTGATGGTGCAGTGAGTTGTGGTATGTATGATAGGGCAAATATGGTCCTTGTTTTTTAAAGAAGTATATGGATATATCAGGGGCCAAGTTGGCTGACTAGAAACAGCTGCAGTAGGAGCCTCTCACCAAGAACCGAAGTGGCGAGTGAATCCGGCACCGGCAACTGAGATGTCCAGGTCTCTCATTGGGACTGACTAGGTAGTTGGCATGACCTATGGAAAGTGAGGAAATGCAGGATGGTGTGACGGCCCACCTGGGAGCCACACTGGGTATCCACCCCAAGCCAAGGGAAGCAGTGAGTGATCATGCTACCCTGCCTGGGAAACCATGCTTTTCCCATAGATCTGTGCAACCTGCAGATCAGGAAATCCCCTTTTTGAGCCCACACCAACAGGACCTTGGGTCCCAAGCACAGAGCAGTGCTGATTCTCAGCAGCTACTCAGATGGAGACTGCCCAAGACTACGGAGTTCCCAGAGGGAGGGTTGGCCGCAGTCGTTGCACCTGACTGCTGTCTAAGACAACTGAGCTCCAGGGTGGAGGGACAGCTGCCATTTCTGGAGCTACAGTCTGCTGTTTTTCCCCTGCTGGTGCCAGGGTGACTGGATGATTTGGACCCGAGAGGAATTCCTCAAATCACATCACAGCGGCTGTAGCAGATAATGGCCAGACTGCCTCTTTAGGCCAGGCCCTGACCCATCCCTCCTCACTGTGCAGGGCCTCCCTGCAGGAATTTCAGCAACTCTAGCCAGGGGATTAAGGAGAGAACTCTGAGCTCCTTGGGACTGAGCCCCTGATGGGAGGGGCAGCCATGGTCTCTGAGGAGCAGTAAACTTACTTTTTACTCCTGCTGTCTCTGAGGAATCCGGGTAGCCCAGGTGAGTGGGATTCCCCCCAGTCCAGCACACCTTCTCTGCCAAGGAGCAGCCAGAGTGCTTCATTAAGCAAGTACCAGATCTCATGCATCCTGACAGGGTAAAACCCCACAATAGGGGTTGCCAGACCACCTTATACAGGAATATTCCTGCTGGTATAAGGTCGGTGCCCCTCAGGGACAGAGATCCCTGAAGATGGAGCATCATCTTCAGGACAGCAAGGAGACAATCATCCTTGCTGTTTTGCAACCACCACAGGAGACACCTTGAGGTATGGGAAAAACTGAGGCAACTAGGCCTGGAGTAGACCCCCAGCAAACTGCTACAGCCCTGTGGAATAGGGACCTGACTGTTAAAAACAAAACAAGCAAACAGAAAGCAACAACAACAACAGTAATGATATGGTTTGGTTGTGTCCTCACCCAAATCTCAACTTGAATTGTATCTCCCAGAATTCCCAGGTGTTGTGGCAGGGACCCAGGAGGAGGTAATTGAATCATGGGGGCCAGTCTTTCCCACTCTATTCTCGTGATAGTGAATAACTCTCATGAGATCTGATGGGTTTATCAGGGGTTTCTGCTTTTGCTTCTTCCTCATTTTTCTCTTGTCACCACCATGTAAGAAGTGGCGTTTGCCTCCTGCCATGATTCTGAGGCCTCCCCAGCCATGTGGAACTATAAGTCCAATTAAACCTCTTTTTCTTCCCAGTCTCAAATATGTTTTTATCAGCAGTGTGAAAATGAACTAATATGAGTGTCAGCAAAAGAGTCCCCACAAAAACCCCATCCAAAGGCCAGCAGACTCAAAGATCAAAGGTATATAAACTCACAAAGATGAAAAAGAATTGACAAAAAAACACTGAAAATTCAAAAAGCCACAGTGCCTTTCTCCTCCAAATGATTGCACCACTTCTCCAGCAGGGGCACGGAACTGGACTGAGGCTGGGATGGATGAATTGACAAACGTAGGATTCAGAAGGTAATAACAAATTTTGCCGAGCTAAAGGAGCATGTTCTAACTCAATGGAAAGAAGCTAAGAATTATGATGAAACATTATGATTGCTGTTAACCAGAATAACCAGTTTAGAGAGGAATATAAATGACCTCATGAAGCTGAAAAACACAACATAATAACTTCACAATGCAACTACATGTATCGATAACTGTATTGACCAAGCAGAGGAAGGAAATTAAGAGCTTGAATACTATCTTGCTGAAATAAGACAGGCAGACAAGATTAGAGAAAAAATAATGAAAAGGAACAAACAAAACCTCTGAGAACTATGGGATTATGTAAAAAGACCACAACTATGACTGACTGAGGTACCTGAAAGAGACAGGGAGAATGGAACCAAATTGGAAAACAGACTTAGGATATCATCCAGAAGAAGTTCCCCAACCTAAGAAGACAGGGCAACATTCAAATTCAGGAAATGGAGAGAACCCTTTAAGATACTCTATGAGAAGATCAACCCCAAGACACATAATCATCAGATTCTCCAAGATCAAAATGTAAAAAAAAAAAAAAAAAAAATAGTGTTAAGGGTAGCCAGAGATAAAGGCCAGGTCACCCACAAAAGGAAGCCCATTAGATTAACAGTGGGCCTCTCAGCAGATACCCTACATGCCAGAAGAGATTGGGTGCCAATATTCAATATTCTTTAAAAAAAATTTCCAACCCAGAATTTCATATCCAATCAAACTAAATTTCATGAGCAAAGGAGAAATAAAATCCATTTCAGACAAGCAAATGTTGACAAAATCTGTCACCACCAGGTCTGCCTTGCAAGAGCTCTTGAAAGAAGCATTAAATTTGGGAAGGAAAAGCTGTTATCAGCCACTGCAAAAACACTGAATTACACAGATCAAATGACACTATGAAGCAACTACATCAACAAGTCCGCAAAATAACCATCTAGCATCATGTTGACAGGATCAAATTCACACCTAAAAATATTAAACTTAAATGTAAATGGGCTAAATGCCCCAATTAAAAGACACAGAATGGCAAGCTGGATAAATAGTCAAGACCCATCACTGTGCTGTATTCAAGAGACCCATCTCATGTGCAAAAACACAAAGACTCAAAATAAGGGGATGGGGGAAAATTTACCAAGCAAATAAAAAGCAGAAAAAAGGGTGTTACAATGCTAGTTTCTGACAGAACAGACTTTAAACCAAAAAAGATTAAAAAAGAAAAAGAAGGGCATTACATAATGGTGGAGGGATTAATTCAACAAGAAGAGCTAACTATCCTAAATATATTTGCACCCAATACAGAAGTACCCAGATTCATAAAACATATTTTTATTTATCTACAAAGAGACTTAGACTCCCACACAATAATAGTGGGAAACTTTAACAGCCCACTGTCAGTTTTAGAAAGATCATAGAGACAGAAAGTTAACAAGGATATTCAGAACTTGAACTCAGCTCTGGATCAAGTGGACCTGATAGGTAACTGCAGAACTCTCCACCCCAAAACAACAGAATATACGTTCTTCCTAACACCACATGGCACTTACTCTAAAGTTGTTTACATATTTGGAAGTAAAACAGTCCTCAGCAAATGCAAAAAGAATTGAAATCATAACAAACAGTTGCTCAGACCACAGTTCAATCAAATTAGAACTCAACATTAAGAAATTAACTCAAACCACACAACTACATGAAAACTGAACAATCTGCTTCTAAATGACTCCTGAGTACATAATGAAAGTAAGGCAGGAATCAAGAACTTCTTATAAACCAACGAGAACAAAGAGACAATGTATCAGAATCTCTGGGATGCAGCTAAAGCAGTGTTAAGAGGGAAATTTATAGCACTAAATGCCCACATCAAAAAGCTGGAAAGATCTCAAATCAAAACTGTAACATAACAATTAAAAGAACTAGAGAATCAAGAGCAAACAAACACAAGAGCTATCAGAAAACAATAAATAACCAAGATCAGAGCAGAACTGAAGAAGACAGAAACCTGAAAACCTGCTCAAAAATAATCAATGAATCCAGGAGCTTTTTTGGAAAAATGTTCTTTTGGAAAAAATTAATAAAATAGACCACTAGCTAGACTAATAAAGAAGAAAAGAGAGAAGGATCAAACGGACACAATAAAATGATAGAGGGGATATCACCACTGACCCCACAGACATATAAACAACCATCTGAGAATACTATAAACACATCTATGCAAATAAGCTAGAAAATATAGAAAAAAAATGGATAAATTCCTGGACACATACACCCTCCCAATATTAACCAGGAAGAAGCTAAATCCCTGAATAGACCAATAAAAAGTTCTGAAATTGAGGCAATAATAAACAGCCCGCCAAGCAAAAAAAAAAAAAAAAAAAGCCCATGATCAGACAGATTTACAGCTGAATTCTACCAGAAGTACAAAGAGAAGCTGGTGCCATTTCTTCTCAAACTATTCCAAATAATTGAAAGGTGGACCTTTTCCCTAACTCATTTTATGAGGCCAGTATCATCACAATACCAAACTCTGGAAGAGATATACCAAAAAAAGAGAAATCTATTGCATGAGGAACATGCAGTGTTCCTCAATATCCTCAATAAAATACTGGCAAACTGAATCCAGCAGCAGATCAAAAAGCTTATCCACCAAGGTCAAGTTGGCTTCACCCCTGGGATGCAAGACTGGATCAGCGTATGCAAGTCAATAAACATGATTCATCACATAAACAGAACTAAAGACAAAAGCCATATGATTATCTCAATAGATGCACAAAAGATCTTCAATAAAATTCAACATCCCTTCATGTTAAAAACTCTCAGTAAACAAGGTATTGATGGAACATATCTCAAAATAATAAGAGTCATTTATGACAAACCTACAGCCAATATCATACTGAATGGGCAAAAGCTGGAAGCATTCCCCTTGAAAACTGGCACAAGACAAGGATGCCCTCTCTCACTACTCCTATTCAACCTAGCATTGGAAGTTCTGGCCAGGGCAATCAGACAAGAGAAAGATATATAGGATGTTCAAATAAGAAAAGAGAAGTCAAAATATCTCTGTGTAGATAACATGATCCTGTATCTAGAAAACCCTGTCTTCTCAAACTAAAAGCTCCTTAAGCTGATAAGCAATTTCAGCCAAATCTCAGGATACAAAATTACTGTGTAAAAATCACAAGCATTTCTACACCAACAACAGACAAGCAGAGAGCCAAATCATGAATTAACTCCCATTCACAATTACTACAAAGAGAATAAAATACCTAGGAATACAGCTAACAAGGGAAGTGAAGGACCTCTTCAAGAACTACAAACCACTGCTCAAGGAAATAAGAGAGGACACAAACAAATGGAAAAACATTCCATCTTCATGGATAGGTAGAATCAATATTGTGAAAATGTCCATACTGCCCAAAGTAATTTATAGATTCAATGCTATTTCCATCAAACTACCATTGACATTCCTCAAAGAACTAGAAGAAACTACTTTAAATTTCATATAGAAGCAAAAAGGAGTCTGTATAGCCAAGACAATCCTAAACAAAAAGAACAAAGCTGGAGGCATCATGTTACCCAACTTCAAACTATACTACAAGGCTGCAGTAACCAAAACATTATGGTACTGGTACAAAAACAGACATATAGACCAGGATAAATATATCAGAAATAAGACTGCATATCTGGTCTTCTACAAACCTGACAAAAACAAGCAATGGGGAAGGGATTTCTTATTTAATAAATGGTGCTGGGAAAACTGGCTAGCCATATGCAGAAAATTGAAATTAGACCCCTTCCTTACACCTTATACAAAAATGCACTCAAGAAAGATTAAAGATTTAAAGTAAAACCCAAAACTATAAAAGCCCTAGAACAGAATTTAGGCAATACCATTCAGGACATAGACATGGCAAAGATTTCATGATGAAAACGTCAAAAGCAGTTGCAACAAAAGCAAAAATTGACAAATGGGATCTAATTAAACTATAGAGCTTCTGCACAGCAAAAGAAACTATCATCAGATTGAACAGACAACCTACAAAATGGGAGAAAAATTTTGCAATCTATCCATCTGACAAAGGTCTAATACCCAGAATCTACAAGGAACTTAAGCAATTTTACAAGAAAAATACAAACAACCCCATTAAAAACTGGGCAAAAGACATGAAGAGACACTTCTCAAAAGAAGACATTTATGCGGCCAATAAACATATGAAAAAGAGCTCAACATCACTGATCATTACAGAAATTAAAATCAAAACCACAATGAGATACCATCACATACCAGTCATAGTGGCAATTATTAAATTGTCAAGAAACAACAGATCCTGGTGAGGCTATGGAGAAATAGGAATGCTTTCACACTGTTGGTGGGAATGTAAATTAGTTCAACCATTGTGGAAGACAGTGTGGAGATTCTTCAAAACCTAGAGGCAGAAATACCATTTGATTCAGTGATCCCATTAGTGGTATATACCAAAAGTAATATAAATCATTCTGTTATAAAGATATATACCCACATATGTTCATTGTGGCACTATTCAAAACAGCAGAGATGGAATCAATCCCAGTGCCTATCACTGATGGACTGGATAAAGAAAATGTGGTACATATACATCATGGAGTACTATGCAACCACAAAAAAGAACGAGATCATGTCCTTTGCAGGAACACGGACGGAGCTGGAAGGCATTATCCTCAGGAAACTAACACAGGAACAGAAAACTATACACTGCGTGTTCTCACTTACAGCGGGAGCTGAACAATGAGAACGCGTGGACACAGGTGGGGGAACAGCGCACACTGGGGCCTGTCAAAGCCTGTCAAGGGGGCCTGTCAAGGGGAGGGAGAGCATCAGAATAAATAGCTAAAGCATGGGGGCTTAATATCTAGGTGATGGGTTGTCATGTGCAGCAAACCACCACAGCACACGTTTACCTATGTAACCAAACAGCACATCCTGCACATGTATCCTGGAACTTAAAATAAAAGTAAATAAAATTTAAAAAGTCAATGAAGGCATGGTCAGAAAAATATGAAGCCATGTTTCCTGGGTAAACCACGGTAACTAAGAATTAGCCATTAATGGCAAATTGATAGACAAGGAAATGTTTGAAAAATGCAAGGATTGCTGTCTGTCACATTGAAAATGGACCAGCTTAGAACTGAACAGATCCAATGATAATGGTAAACCATAGCTCTGTGTAATTTCAGCTTGAATTTATAATACTTTCGAGATTTTTGAAACATAAAAAGCTGTAGTGCCAAAATCATGTTTTCTGCCAAGGATTGCTTTTAGTATGTGATTAACCTCCCAAACGGTAACCTATTTCCAAAGTCCTCTTAGGAGGTTACACTTTGGGAACAGCAAATAGAGTATAATGGCTGACATTATTTACCTGCTGCTACTCCTGCTCCTTGTTTGTCACATAATGGTCTCTCATTTTATCATTTATGTAACTGGTGACCATTAGCTCACAGGTTTACAGTACTTCAATGTAAAATGGAGGGGGAAGGAGCAAGTGAGTAAAACTAATTTACTTATGAAATGGCAACTTGAGGAAATGTATTTCGAAAGAATGACATTCCTTGAACTCATCTTTTCGTAAGTTCCATTTTTAAGGCCCTTTAAAAAGAGACCTCCGTGTTCCAGTAAAATTGCTAGAGCGGTAAATGTTCCATCATATATGCTTTCTTCAATCTTCTACTCAAGAACTTCAGAATAAGTATAATAATCACAATAATACATGTCGCTATTAAATTTTTACCACACTTTTTCTTAAGAGCTCGTAGTATACTCTGTGGCCACAGTTAATCTATTCTTAAAAAAAAAAATCCCTGTGGAACAGTATATATTTATTGAGATCTATTATCTAAAGAAACTGGGAAATCTGAACTTATTTACTGGCTTCTTTGGTTCAGTTATATTAATTAACTGTTAAGTTTGTCAGGCTAAATGATAGGTGCATTGTAAACATTGATAAATGCATTTCTGATCATTTTTTCAAACTTTTTCACAAGTCAACCAATTTTGTGAGACTCATCTTTTCCCGTTCGAGAGTGGTTTTACCACAATTTATAAAAAGAGAAGTATTGGACAAGAAAACTGTACTGATATCTTTTCTGGGAATCATATTGTGTTTGTCAGATTTATCAAAGATGGCAGAAGAGTGAGGGTTATAATAATCAATATTTTTAAAATAAGACACCTGTTCTATTAGAGCATGCATAAATATGTGCTGACTCTTATGAGTAACTTAGGTCTAAAGAGCTCTGGCCTCCTTTGAAAGAGAGTTACATAAACATAAGACAATCATCAGCAACACTAGGAAATTACATATGTGTCAATACAGGGATACATTAAATAGGCTGAGTTGAGGTCAGCTGGATGACATTTTGGTGTGATTTTTAATTAGGCTTTCCTGTTTTTTCTGGCATGCCAGATTTCCTCACAGCAGCAGAGCTACTATATTTTATTGAACATTTTCAGTCATATGATGATTCAGTCTTTTCTATCCATATGTAATTGTAATAAACAAATAATGCCTTTGAATTTGCAAAATTTGCTACGTTGTTGCAACGTATTAACTGTTGCGACTGAAGCTTTAAAGAAGTGATATAATTTGCTGCTATTTCTCTTCTCGTTTTTATTATAGTAGATTCTATGAAGAGGGGTAAGATATAATGGAAAGAGCATTGAAAGTTCTCCTGGTCTCCATAATTCAACTTATTGTCTGTGACACTTTAAGTGACTCAGTCTGATCCTTGGCTTACATATCAAAATGATAATTTATCAAAATGATAATAGAAACATGTCCCTCGATTCTCATAATTAGTGATAGAATTCACATATCATAATGCATACTAAAATAATTTTATAAAGGAATAAAGCCAGTATAAACATTCATAAAAGGTTTTTATGTAAACATAAATTTCATTTCCCTGAGATCAGTGCTCAAAGGGGCTAGGTCATATGGTGGTTTCATGTGTAGTTTTTAAAGAAACTGCCAAAGTGTTTTTGAGAGCAGCTGTACCATTTTTACAATGCTACCCACCAGCAATGTATGAGTGGTGGACTTTCTCTGTATCCTTGCCAGGATTTCATGTTGTCACTAGTATTTATTTTAGTCATTCTTATAGACATATAGTGATATCTCATTGAGGTTTTAATTTATATTTTATTAATGGATAATTTTAATTATCTTTTAATGTACTTATTCGGTATCTGTGTATCTTCTGGTAAAATGTTTGCTCATGTCATTTGCATATTCCTAATTGGATTTTTTATACTGTTGAGGTTTGAGAGTTTTAAAAAATTCTAGATACAAGTACTCTATCAGATATAAATTTGCAAATATTTTATTTCAATATATCATTTGTAATTATATCAACAGCTTGTTTCATGGAAACAGACTTTTTAATTTTGAAGAAAACCAATTTATCAATTTTTTTCCTTTTATGGAGTATATGTTGGTGTCAAATCTCAGAACTCTTTTCCTAGTCCCAGTTATCAAAGATTTTCTCATTTTTTTTCTAGAGGTTTTATAACTTTATGTTTACATTTAAGCCCACAATCCTCTTTGAATTAGTTTCTGTATAAGTTGTGACACTTTTGTTAAGGTTAAATGTCCAATTTGAATTTATGAATGTCCAATTACTCATATAAAATATCCAATTGGATATTTTGCCTAGAAAGTTGAAGAGGATGGGCCTTTTCAGTTGAATTGTTTTTGCTCTTTTGTCAAAAATTAATTGCGCACAATTATGTTGGTTATTTCTGGGTTTTCTGTTCTGTTACATTAACTTCTGTGTCTGTTCCTCTACTGATACCACACAGTCCTAAATGCTATCTCTATATAGTGTACCTTAACCTTGAGAAGAGTGATTACTTCCACTTACTATTTTTCAAAATTGTTTTGGTTATTCAAGGACCTTTATCTTTCGGCATAAAATTTAGAATAAGTTTGTATATGTCTGCAAAAATTATTGCTGAGATTTTGAAAGCGATCTGAAGAGAATCCATCCTTTACTATGTTGAATCTTCTATTCTATGAGCATATATATCTTTCCAATGATCTCCTTCTTCAATGTCTTTCATCAGCATTTGTAACCTTTATCATTATATCCTATACATACTTTCTTAGATACAAGTGCTCTGTCATTCTAGATACAAGATTTTATTTTGTATGAAAATGAAAGATTTTATTTACTTGGAGTAATGGTTAATAGGGTTGTATTTTTATTTTCAGTTTTCACTTATTTGTTGATAGAATAAGGGATCATAATTGATTTTTATATGTTGATATTATATCATGTAACCTCACTGAAATAACTTCTTATCTTTAGAAGTTTTTGTATATTCTTTGGAAATTTCTTCATATAGAGTCATGCCATATGAAAATGGAAGTAACTTTATTTCTTTTTTCAAATAAGTATGATCATTATTCCTTTTGATTGCCTTATTGCACTGGCTAGAATTTTCAGTTACACATTGAATAAGAATAGTTAGTGGACATCTTTGTCTTGTTCTGTATTTTTAGACAGAAAGCTCTCAGAATTTTATCATCAAGTATGATAATAGATACATGATTTTTGTTTAATTATTGTATAAATGATCTTTATTAAGCTGAGATGTTCTCTATTTCCAGTGTGCAAATTTTTGTCATAAATCAGTTTCATTTTGTCAAATTGTTTTTTGACTTCATTGATATGATCATATAATTTTTTTCTTTAGCCTTTTGATATGGTAGGCTACATTGAACACTTTTAAAATATTAAGCTTAGTTTGCATACAGAAATATATTTCATTTGTAAATCTATTATTATTTTATGAATTGGTAGATTAGATTTGCTAATATTTTGAGGATTTTTATGTAAGTTTATTAGATATATTGACTTATAACTTTCTTTCGTGGGGTGGTTCCTGAATGTTTTGTTACCAAGATAATACTTTCCTCATAAAATAAGTTCAGAAGTGTTTTATTCTCTACTATTTTCTAGATAAAATTGTATAGATTTTGTGTTAATTTTTTTTAACATTCAGTGAAATTCTATAGAGAAACCATACAGACCTTTACATACTAATTTTAGTGTCTTTTAAAAACACATTTCTTTAATGATTACAGACTATTCAGTTTATTTATCTCATCTTTTCTTAGTTTTGGTAACTCATGATGTTTCTATAATTGTTATATTTTATCTAAGTTGCTGAAGTTATGCATGTCAAATTCTTTGTTATTAATACCTTATTATGCTTTCAAAGGCTGCAGGCTGCATTGTGATTTCTGATATTGATTACTTGTGTCCTCTTTATTTTTGTCAGTTTTGTTAGAGTTTTATAATTTTTTTAAAACATGTATTTTGAAAGAACGAGCTTTTGGTTTTATTAGTTTTTTCTATTTATTGTCTGTTTTAAATTTCATTGATTTTTGCTTTTACCTTTATGGTATCCTTTCTTCTATTTGCTTAGTTTTATTTTGCTCTTCTTTTTCTAATTTATTGAGTTAGGAACTTCCATGACTACTTTGAGATCCTTTTTCTTTCTTCTTTTTTTCTTCTTCTACTTGTATTATAGGTTCCAGAGGTACATATGTGGGTTTGTTACATGGGTAAATTGCATGCCACTGAAGCTTGGTCTACCAATTATCCCATCGCCCAGGTAGTGAGCATAGTACAAATAGATATCCTTTCAACCCAAGCCCCCATTCCACCCTCTCTTCTCAAGAGATCTCCAGTGTCTGTTGTTTCCATCATTGTGTCCATGTGTATTCAATGTTTAGCTCCTGCTTATAAGTGAGAGCATGTGGTACTTGGTTTCATGTTCCTACATTAGTTTGTTTAGAATAATGGCCTCAAGCTGTATCCATTTAGCTACAAAGAATGTAATTTTGTTCTTTTAATGGCTATGTAATATTCCATGGTGTACATATATCACATTTGCTTTAATCCACCATTGATGGACATCTTGGTTGATTCCATGCCTTTGCTATTGTGAACAGTGCTGCAGTGAACATATGAGTGCATGTGTCTTTTTAGCCAACATCATACTGTATGGGCAAAAGCTAGAAGCATTCCCTCTGAGAACTGGATGACCACTCTCACAACTTCTATTCAACATAGTACTGGAAGTCCCAGCCTGAACAATTGGGAAGAGAAAGAAATAAAAGACATGCAAGTAGGAAGAAAGGGAGTCAAACTATCTCTCTTCACAGATAATATGATTCTATACCTAGAAAACTCCATAGACTCTCCCAGAAGGTGTCTATATCTGATAAATGACTTCAGTAAATTTTCATGATACAAAATCAATGTACATAAATCAGCAGCATTTCTATACACCAATAATGTCCATGCTTAGAGCCAAATCAAGAACACAACCCCATTCACAATAGCTGCAGAAAGAATAAAATACCTAGGAACCCAGCTTGTGAAGGAGGTGAAAGATTTCTATAATGAGAATTACAAACACTAACTTGAATCGTTTTTGGGAATCAAAACTTTCTGGCTCACCAAGGTAGGAGAGTCAACGACTGAAAGTGGACGTGGAAATTATGTGTATAAAACAAGTCATATATGTTTAGTTTGGTACTAAGCAATTAAGAAGATATGGGATCATCATACATCTTTAGGGAGTAAGTATATATAAGGCACCAGTTAAGTGAGAAAATTGAATGACAATGAGATACAATTAGAAAAGAAAAAGAACAGAAAATACTCAGTAAAGAAAAAGGAAAAGAAAAACATCAACGAGTAAAAGGAAGCTTTATTTATATAGTAGAGTTTACCAAGATGCTGTGTGTTTATTTTTCACGAGTAATGGAGTGTTTTGTTTGGTTTTATTTTTATAGATAAGAGAATCTTTTCAGGTTACCCATTATTTTTCCTCAGTGATTGTTACTTCTTCTTATCTTTCAAGAAAAGTAACAGAAGAGATAATTCCAGTAGCTGAACAAGAAATACAGAACCAAATAATTTTCTGTAAAAGACTGTCTCCCATAAGAAACAATTTATCTCCTTACAAAAGGAATATTCACATATATTTATTGCTTTTAATTTATATGGTATGGTAAATTCTATGGAAAATCAAGGGAAGAAATGAGTTTTCCCTTGATTTTCTCTGTTGTTTCTTTCTTTTCTTTTTTCTGCTCTCTTTAGGGCTAACTTGTTTCTGATATCCATTCTCCCTCCATCATGGTTTCCTTACTACGTGAGAATGTAGTAAGGAATGCGCAGGAATGTAGCAAAATGTGCAGGCTGGCACATTTTAGTGTAACTTTGAGAAAAGATGCAATGTATGTTAAAACAAACAGCATTATTATTTGGGCAGCAAATTATTTGTATGAAAGGCCTATCCTTCCAGATCACTAACTCTATGCCTATCCTCATAATTCTTGAATTGTCTGTAGATCACTCATTCATTGAGTTATCTTTTACAATTCATTATTTATTCTAGCCATCACTTTTCACCTTGCCTGATTATATTCCCTGGTATAATAATGTAATTATTCCCTTCCAAACATTTCAACTCTTCCTTTTATTTCTCCCCTTCTACTACTAGCAAAATCCTTATTCTGGTTGAAGCCAGTTATCCTCCTCTCTGGGCGTTCATCTTAATATTTGAAATTGTTGGGTACACTGACTGCTGGCTACATGTGTTCAATTTAAATTCACGATCCCATACACCAAATGGTCAATACTGCCAAGAAATATGGAGAAGACTCTAAAATAATTTCACATGCCTAATGTCCAAGATAATGATTTAAGACTTCCTCTCTTTTCACCCCCTCTCAGCTGATTGCCTTGCATCGTATTCCACTGAGAAAATAGAAACCCTATAGAATAACTTTATCTCAATTCCACCAACAAACCTAGTATTATACTCTACCATAGTCTCCATCTGGCATCTAGTTACAAGAAAAATAATGACCTTTGTCCTATCTAAGAACAGTCCTCTTCTTATGTTTGGCTCCCTTTTTTTCTAAATTACTCCAGGGATTTCATTCTTTTTTGTTTGTTTGTTTGTTTTGTGAGATGGAGTCTTGCTCTGTTTCCCAGGCTGGAGTGCAGTGGCGCAATCTCGGCTCACTGCTACCTCTGCCTCCCGGGTTCATGCCATTCTCCTGCCTCAGCCTCCCGTGTAGCTGGGACTACAGGCACCCGCCACCATGCCTGGTTAATTTTTTTTGTATTTTTAGTAGAGATGGGGTTTCACCATGTTACCCAGGATGGTCTCGATCTCCTGACCTCATGATCCGCTCGCCTCGGCCTCCCAAAGTGCTGGGATTACAGGCGTGAGCCACTGCGCCTGACCTCTTTATTTTATCTTACCAGTTTTTCTTGCTCTGCTGATGATTTCTACAAATACATAAATTAATTCTAATATTTCTTAACTTAAATATCTATGAACTTAAAATCTTCTCTAGTTAATAGCCCATTTTTTTGTCCTAAAAATCATCTGAAAAGTTTTGCCATCACATGTCACCTCCAATTACTTACATTTCTCCTTTTTTTTTTTTTTACTTTAGACCATTAAAACCAGGCTTCTATCCACATTTTTGAACTAAAGCTTTTCCTGTCAAGGATATCAATCATCTTTATATTCTTTTACACAACCTCTACATCAGTGCTATTCAAAATGTGGTTCAAGGTCCAGCAACATTAACAAAGTAATAGCAACTTCTCTGGATCTTCTCTGTTGTTATTCATCCCCCTCTTAATAAAGGCATTCAGGTACTCAATCCAAAATCTTAAAAGTCATTCTTGATTTATCCCTTTGCTCAATCCCCACATTTGTTCTTTCAGCAAATCCATTTCTGCTGACATATTCCTTGTACAAAACATTATTCTCTCTTATCAGACTACTACAATGACCTTATACAAGTCTCTCTATTTCCTCTTTCACTAATACAGTACATTTTATTAATAGCAACCAGAGCAATACTTTTAAAATGTAAATCAGATCATAATACTCCCCTGCTGAAAACCCTTCAATGTCTTCTCATTGCACTTAGAATAAATTCAAACTTCTTATTGTGATCAATGTGAGCCTGTGACCTCACTCCGGTGTACTGTTTCCATTTTTTAAATTGCTGTCATCCTTTTTGTATGATACAATTGTCCTCCATACATTAGCCTCATTGGTATCTATTAATATCTTTAACCCAGTGTTTCTCAAAGTGTGGTCCCTGAACCAGTAGCATAAACACCACCTGGGAAATAATAGAAATGAAAATTCTCGAGTACCACTCAAGATCTATTGATTCAGAAACTCTTGGTGTGGGACTAAGCAACTGGATTTTAATGAGAGCTCCATGTGATTTTGATTATGCTGAAATCTGAGCACCATTGCTAATACATAATATTGATGCCTTGGGGGCTTTGTCCTTAACCATAAGTAGACTATTCCTCTCTGTCTCTTAGTTTGGCAGGTTCCTCGAGGTCCAGCATGAGTTGCTGAATCTCAAGAAGCTTCAACTCCCATTAAACATGATTGAATCACTTGTTTACTGTATTGTCTGTCACTCTCTCTAAAATGCAAGCTCCAACATGGCAGGAACTTGTCAGTCTTGTTCAATACTTTAATCATACTTCTTGTGCAATGTCTGACTCAGGGTAAGCACTCCATAAATGTGTGTAAGGTGAATGTATCCACTGTGAAAATCTATAAATAATAATTTGATTAGTGGGTAATTTTACAAACTCTAATGATTTATCTGACATTTACCATTTGATTGAAAAGAAAAATCTTCCATTTCCCCTCAGAATGACAAAAGATAAAATTCATTAATGTATATGAAATGTGTTTTAATGAAAGATTTTATGCTATCCATTTCCTCAATTATAAAATTAATCAACAAGTTTATATTTGGTATTTACTGTCTAGCAATGAGCTATATGTTATGGATTATAAAACTATGAAGCCATTTTCAATTTAATATGTCAAATTTGTTGTAACAGAAAGATATTCATGTTACCTACATGATATAAATCACAAATGTAATATATATTACTGATTTTTTAAAAAGTTGTAATCACTTTGGCTTGGGATAATTTAAAATTTCAGTATATAATAACTTAGAAAAAAAATAAATGTGTGCTACTTTCATCTGGCTATGATTCACAGAATATTTACGAATTGGACTGGGCAAAATATAGGGCCAATGGTAACTTATTTAGAATGAATTGTGTGTGTAGATTGAAGCTGAAGGAGAAAAATCTGGTTTGGACTATCTCAATAAAATCTGATGTGATTGGGAGGCTGAGCTGGGCAGATTGTCTGAGCTCAGGAGCTCAAGACCAGCCTGGGCAAAACAGTGAAACCTCATCTCTACTAAAATACAAAAAATTAGCCGGCTGTGGTGGCATGCACCTGTAGTTCAAGCTATGTGGGAGGCTGAGGAAGGAGAATCACTTGAACCTGGGAGGTGGAGGTTGCAGTCAGCCGAGATTGCACCACTGCACTCCAGCCTGGGTGACAGAGCGAGACTCCATCTCCAAAAAAAAAAAAAAAATTCTGATCTGAGAGGAGACATAAGCAGAAAAAGTATTTCATATTATAACACAAAAAATATATTCATTAATTGAGGGTAGCATAGAATGAATGCAAGTTTGACAATACAAACAAATTGACCTTCAGATGAAAGAAAAGCTCCATAGAGAAAGAAACCTAAAGATGATATCATAGTGTAGATTCTAATCAGGAACAATAGAAACTTTATGTAAGTATTATATTAGATGTTCCTGATGTGTTGAGCTGACAGTGAGAAAACAGGTTGTAGGTGAAGCCAGCAGTTAAGTCTATCCTCCTGCCGCATGGTGGCCAAACAGATTGGAAACTCAAGGCATAAAATAATCACATAAATTCTATCATGTCTATGATTTGTTATTGTTATTGTTATTACTTTTAACATCAGATTTGTCGAGTAAGATTATGTGTTTCCCCAAATCCAATCCTGACACTTGCCTAATTAATGAAAACATGCTTAAAAAGAAATGTATTTCTTAAAATAAAAAAATGGAAATGTTTTCTGTAATTTTGGACTTACCCAGAGTCCCCAGGTTCCTTGATATAATAATATCTCAATCTCTAAGCAGTAAGTTGATGATGCCATAAGTTTTCCAGCAAAAAGACTCTACCACCACATCATAATTAGGATCCTATCCCCACCATTTTGTTGAAAGTGCTTCCATTATCTTGACCAACCAGCTCCATCTTACCAAAACCAGGGACACCTTTTGTTTTAATTTCATTTAACCTCTTAGCAGTGTTTGGCATAATTAACTATAGCCCTACAACAATCTTATATATTTTTTTGTTATATATCATTTACTTCCCCTTATCAGTTTTCTTTATAGAGTTATGTTTTTATTTGTGATAATTATTTAATTATTCTTTAAATAATTTCACCTCAAGTTTCTGGCCCAGGCTCCTGTCCCCTTTTGCCATTACCCTTGGCAATTTTATCTACTTTCACAGATTCTATTTTAATATAGACTTTGATAACTCTTTAAAGTATTTGTCTACCATAGCCTTCATTACTCAGGAATACACCAATATACAATCAGCTGGGCATATCCACGGGACACAAGGAACCACCGATTCAGCATGTCTAATATGATACGGAACTCCTTTAACTCACCACTGTTTGTGTGAACTCCCCACATTCCTGTGTTGGATTCCTAACCTCCAGTATTTCAGAATGTGACTCCATGTGAAAATAAGCTCTTTATAGAGGTAATTAAGTTGAAATGAGGTCTTTAGTGTCATTAAGACTTAATCCAATGTTACTGGTGTCCTTATAAAAAGAGAAAATTTGGCCGGGCGCAGTGGTTCACGCCTGTAATCCCAGCACTTCGCGGGGCCGAAGCGGGCGGATCACGAGGTCAGGAGATGGAGACCATCCTGGCTAACACGGTGAAACCCCGTCTCTACTAAAAATACAAAAAATTAGCCGGGCGTGGTGGTGGGCGCCTGTAGTCCCAGCTACTCCGGAGGCTGAGGCAGGAGAGTGGCGTGAACCCGGGAGGCGGAGCTTGCAGTGAGCCGGGATCGTGCCACTGCACTCCAGCCTGGGCGACAGAGAGAGAGACTCTGTCTCAAAAACAAACAAACAAACAAAACAAAAAGAGAAAATTTAAAGGTAGATACACACACACACACACACACAAAGAACATAACATAAGACAAATAGAGTGACAAGCCAAGAAACCCCAAAGATTTCCAGCAAAACACCAGCATCTAGTGGGGAGGCATGGGGTAGATTCTTCCTTATAGCCCAGAGAGAACAAGCCCTGCTGACAGCTGGATCTCAAACGCTAATCTCCAGAACTGTGGGGCAATCAATTTCTCCTGCTTAAGCCACTCAGTTTGTTATACTTTGTTATTGCAGCCCAAACAAAATAAAAGAATCACCAAATCCAATAAATATATGGACAAATGATGGGAACACATACTTTGTCAAAGAAGATAGATGATAAATCGGTACATGAGATGATGCTCCATATAATTTGTTATTAGAAAATGCAATTAAAACCAACGTGAGATACTGATACTGTAACACACCCAATAACGTTTCAAAGAAAGTAAAATAAAATAAATGTGAAAACTAATAAAATCCCTGAAAATACCAAGCGCTAGCAGGGGTGCAGAGCAAATTCTCACACATTTCTAATAGATTGCACAATATAGACACTTTGGAAAATAGTTTAGCAGTTTCTTTTAAAGTTAAACATATGCTTATATGACATATCAATTCCACTGTCTTTTCCAAGAGGTAGCAAAACTTATGTCCATGAAAGGCATATTATACTCATGCAAGTTTGATTAATAGCAAAAAATGGGAAAACACCCAAACATCTACTGAAATTTTGGTATATTTACATAAGGTTACTTTGTTCAACAATACAAAAGAACAGACTTATATGTACCATAGCTGTATTTGTTTCCTAAGGCTGCTGCAATTAATTACCACGAATTTCGTGGCTTAAAACGAGAGAATGTATTCTTTCACAGTTTGGGAGGCCAGAAGTCCAAAATCAAGGTGTTAGTAGTCTCACTGTCTGGATGCTTTAGAGGATAATCTATTCCTTGCCTCTTCTAGCTCTGCTGACTGTTAGCATGCATTGATTTGCGGACACATGTCTCTTAGTCATTATTTGTATTCTTTTGACATGTAGGGCACTATTTTCAGGTCCTGGCATTAGGACGTGAACATATTGGAGTGCCCTCATTCAGCCGACTAAAACCAACAAACCTTAAAAGTCTGTGGTAAATGAAATGTCAGTAACAAATGGTACATGTTTCCATTTATATAACATCCTTAAAAACAGGCAAAATTGTAATGACAGAAGGCAGCTCTGTGGCTTCCAGGCACTGAAGGTGGGTGGTAGGAGGAGGGAGAGGTGCACTAATTGCAAAGGGATATGAAGAAACATTTTAGGAATATGGAAATGTATGATAATGATTATGTGGTTGTATACATTTGTTAAAATGCACCAAAATGTATACTCATAATTGATAAATTGTATACTATCTAACTTTACCTAATTAAAAAAATGTAAAGTATAAACTTGAGATGTTTTGAAATTTTTCCTTCATGAAATTTCCACCGACTTCTTTCTTTTGTCCTGCTCTCTTCATAAGTTAGCCCTGTTGTCATTAGTTATGGAAATGCTCTATTTTATATCGTGAATTTTCTGCTAAACATTGCTCTTTAACAATGCATAAGAACACAGATAAGGTTTCCCAGACATTGGTATCCAGGTTGGGAAATGGCTAAGGTATCCATTTATCTTATTACTAACAGCAGAATAATTGTTAGCTTAAGAAAAGGAGAGATTATTTTTAAAAATAAGTATTATTTTATTTTTTGTCTGTAACTATGGTACACTGCTTAGTTACTGGTTTTTGAGTTTAAGGACTCGTCTTTGGAATGAATGTATAGGGAGCAGGCCTATGTGAGAGATGGAAAGAGCAGAGAGGATTAACAACCATGCCAAAGGATGAGAAAAACCACTTCAAGACTGACTTTTTATATTTGCATAAAGTATTTCATCTAAAGATAGAGTAACTTGATTAATCTAATTAACATACAGGAAGTTATTTAAATCATGTAATGCAACATATTGGAAAGAAGGTAACATATATGAAATAAATTAAATGAAATAATGTGGAAACATATACGATAGTAAAACACCTAGTCAATAAATTTAGATTAAATAAGGAAAAATTATACATATTTAGCTAAAGTAGACAATTTAAAAAGTAACACAAATAGCTAAATATGTAAACTCAGGTAACATCACATTAAACAATTAATTGTGCCATTTTAATATTTATTTACTACTTGCCTCTCCAGCCTCACAAGTTGCCATATCCCTGTGCTTTATTCTCTGACGTTGCCTAACTGCATATTTTCTAACATCCCTCACCAACATATAGTCATACCATGCTAGTTTTTTCTTTCTTTTCATGCTATCTACTCCCCTCACCCTCATATAAATCCAAGTTTCTACTTCCTCTTTATCCAGTTTCATTCTCTACACATTCCTTAAGTCTCAGACTCAATTTTGGTTTCAGGCTTTCAAATTCACCCTTGTGGCCCTCTGTTTTCCTTCTCTCTGCCAACTTGGTGCATAATTTTCCATTAGATTCTTTTTTTAAAAAGCAAGGAAAAACCACCAAAAAACAACTATGAATGACTCTACATTAACTTATACAGAGTTTTATAGCTGTCTATTTTCTTGTTTGCCTTCTGCCAGTACTTATGCTTCTTGTCTTTAGAACATTTTTTTCTTTTTTCTTTCCCATCGTGGTGAGTTAACACTGAACACAGTATCTGCAATATCTAGATGTTGTCAGAAAAATGTATTTAATTAATGAAAGTACCTAGAGGTGAAGAATTTGCTAAAACAAAGTGAAGCAAGAAGAAAGCATCCATTGATTTGAATATAGCAGCCAGAGTTTAGAGAGTGAAGCTCAAGCACCTGTTGGCAGCCCAAATTGTCACTGCAGGCACCTCAGCAAAAGTTGTTGAACACCCAGTAGCTATGGAGAGCTCCTGGAACCTCCTAAGAATATAATCTCACCACTCAGTCGTCCTCCATAAAAGTACCTCAAGCAAGAAATGTTTAAAAGAAGAAGGATAAAAAAAAAAATAGAGACAGAAAAATAATACATTCTTTAGGTATAGATTATTCTTAATCAATGTTGTTTCAGAAAATGAAAACTTCTTAAGAGAACGGTGACTTTTTAAGACTATCTCAAATGTTTATAAAATTTAATAATATTCTTAGAAATAGAAGTCTTAAAAAACAAATTCTTAATTTTAGACATTCTTTGCTTACTTCCCGAATTCATTAAGGTCATGACATTCTTCACCTGTAGAAAATCAAGGTTGATACTATCGCAAATAATGAGATGAGTCTACTACAGGAACACTGTAGCTGCAAAGAAAAAAAAGTAATTGTTGATTTACTTAGAGAAGTGTTTATATTATGGAAATATACATGAGATAAAACATGATATTTTATGGTATATGCATTTCATATTTGTTTTTTAATGTGTAATGCATATTAGAATTCATCACTTGAAATCTTATTAGTATACTTCATTTACCCCTTTCACTGCCCAAGGGAGTAAAAATACATGTAGGAAAACAAATTAACTGACTCATATTATACAATTTATCCATAAACAAAATCAGTAACATTAAAGGCATGCGATTAGTATAATAAGAATTAGATAAAAATTTAAATGTATTAAAATTTAATTATATTAAGAAAATGTGTCATATTAGTATGCTGTAATTTTAAGCCACATATTTAAATAAATATATGTATATTTATATACTTATATGAAATATATGAAATATATATATGTGTATATATTTATATATGTTAGCTTCTTTTTGAAATTGAGGAAATCCAACTAACACATGTGCAAGTCTGTGCAATTTAGTTCAGCGAATCAACAAATATGTATTCTGCACCTAATACATGCCTGAATTTCTTTTAGTTTCTGCAGAAATGAAAATCAAGATAGAAAATTTCTCTCAGCTTACATAGCTTATATTCTAATAAATCACCCTGATTTAATGTAGCCCAATCATTTTATAATGAGTTATCGATCTCAATTTCGTACCTTTTTACTTGAGCTTTCTGTTTGTTATTTTACTATATTATCACAAATCTGCAAATTTCAAAAGTTGACCTCAACATCTTCAGAAACTCCATTCCTCCTTAAAATGTGTTTTTAGACTACTATGTATCGCTATATTCAATTTAAAAATAACTTTTTTAGTTGAGATACATGATGTCTTACTCTTTATGTGGCTATCTGATTAAATACAAAAATAACCACATAATCAAATTTATTAGGATTCCAATAATACTGGTATACATCACATAACACTGATCATGGATTTCAATGATGATTTGCACCATGTTATTGGGCAAACCATTATTACAGTTTCTTTATTAATTCATTTATTATTTATAAATTAAGTATCAACTTGGGCTAGGCCATGTGCTAGTAACCACTTTGCAAATAGCTTAAGAAATCAGATTTTCCGTTTTTAAAATTGTTGCTTTGTATGCAAGAAAGAATCTTTAAAAACCTATCTTTTCCTAAATTGACCTATATTTGAACTTTTTTGGAAATATGAAATTACTGTTTTAAATGGGATTTGTCATGATGTAGCAATTAAAACTTGCCTATTTTAAGTGTTATGATTTATGCATCATTAATTATGAGATGCAGAGGTGAAGGTATGCATGTTGACTTCTAGCATTTTTATTTATTTTTTCATCCCTTCTCTCCACCTTACTGAAAAATAATCTTTTTTAATTATAGTGAAGTTTCCAGCCAGATCCTAAAAAGCTAAGACGTATTGAAGAAAACTGCCTTAACTCTCACTTTCTCCTTGTGGCAATGTTATCTATTAACCTCTTCCTTACCTTTTGTTACCTCAGTTATTCAAGACTGTCCACAATTTAAAAATAAAATACATGATTGCTCTCAAAAAATTGTAAAGATGCTGTTATTATAATTACATATTATATATCCAAGATTTAAAAATATAATGCATGACTGCTGTGAATAAAAATTTTAAAGTTGTTGTAATTATGTGAAACATCTTTACAATAAAAAAGTTTATTTAATATCTTCAAAGAACCTATGTGACTATTTTGAGAATATCTAAGCGGTTGATTTGGTCTCTTACTTTGCCTAAAAGAAAAGTTTGGAATTATCATCGTCGTAGGATGCCAGTGGTAAAGTTATGAGAAATCAAATGCATCCTAGTTCCAAAGGCAAATTCTCACATAACTTTCTACCTTTGTGGAGTTAATGGCTCTGATGCATATTTTCTGGACCAGTCTTGTTCCATTTGGTTGTAAGCTATTTTTGGAGAATCCATATTTGGAAGCTGGAAGTAAAAAATAACCCACAGGGCAACTATTCAGCTAGATAGACAGAACTGTAATTTCTAAGGAACTATTTTCCCGGATAAGCACCTTGGTTCCTTCAAACAGTCCTCATAAGAGATGTACTCATACCTTCTCACCATCATTTGTAGTGGCTGCAAAGCTTAGTTTATTTCTTCAGAGGCTTGTAGCTTCCACTACTCTTCTTTATCCACAAATAGCAATCTGCTACCTGTATTCTAGAAGTGTGGTCAAACTTCTAGTTTGTTTATATGTTTCTCTCATTCTTTACGGAGTTGTAGTATTATGAATGGCATTTAATAGATTGCTTGAAGGTAACTATATTTAGTCTACCATCTTTAATTCATCAGCTTGGTAAAATGCTCATTGATGATCATCTCCTCTTTAAAAACCTTAATTTGACAATCATTTAATCATTTATTTCTGTAAATTCATACATCTCATAATATCATAGGTTAAAAAATATTTTTCATTAATTGTATTATTTTCATTTTATTTGGCTTTTATTGCTCTCCTTTTTTACTCCTTTTCCCACAGATAACTCTTAGACCCACAACCAACACATGCACACAAAGACATGCTGGACAACCCATGTAGGCATCTTTTCTTCCATATCTTTCTCTAAGTTGTATAATTTTGTACATATGTAAACACAAATATTATATTTATATGTAATTTGTTTTCTTTTTATTAAATTTGTATATAAAGGGATTTTATAATTGTGTGAAGCTGAAAATTTATGTCAACATATTTGTCTTCATTTTTAATTCAATTATAATTTATCTTGTTATATCAAATGACTTAGTACATCTCCAATTCACTGTTTTAATGCATGCATAATAAGATAAAGTGTGGATATACCATAATATCACAATTTACACAATTATTCTCTTACAAGTAGAAATCCATTTCATTTCATGATTCTTTGCAACTCTAAACAATATTAATATAATTGTCCCCAGTCCTTATAGATTGATGCTTTCATATCAATGAGGTTGATGGGTTGAACAACACAAATTTATATATCTGTATATATTTCCCAAATACTTTGCTAACAGGCTGTAACAATTTATATGTGCATGGACAATATATTACAGTACTCTTGAACATAATTTTCTAGCAGAAAGATGTTAAAAGAATTTTTCAATTTTGACATCTGGTTCCTAAAATGTGATCTAGCTCATTGTTCCTTTTCTTTGCATTACCCTGAAAACTAATGAGTTTGAGCATCTTTTCATTAGAATTTGTTCTTCTATTAATTGCCTCTTCAAGTAATTTGCACATTTTCTAACATTTAGCACTCTTCTTGTCATTTATCAAGTACTATTATAAATTACAGGTAATAACTCTATCTTTAGCATTGCAAATATTTTTTATAATTTATTATCTACCCATGTATTCTGTTCATTTTTTTTTCCATGTTCACATTTTCTTAATAAAATATGACTGTCTTTTCTTTTTTTAGCTTCTGATTTTTTTGTCTTGGTTAAGAAGTTCTCGCCAACACCTTTGCCATTCATGTAGTTTTCTTATTATATTTTTTCACATTTAATCATCTAATATATATGTAACATTTTCACCTATGATGAAATTATTTATATAATTTTAATTTTTTTCAGTGAATGTAAATTTGTACTTTCACTTGTTATTAAGACTATAACCTTTCCTAACTGACTTCAAATCATCTTTGCCACATATTAAATTAAAATATATATTGAGGTCTCTTTTCAGATTCCTTCTCCTGTTCCTTTTTTTTTTTTTGATACCTCAGCCAATACAATTAATAGATTTAATATGTTTTCTAACACCTTAAAACAAAAACATCTGCCACTAATTTTATCTGACTATCCTAGGGACATTTTATCTTTTATAAAAACATTAAAATAATTTTATCCAATTAAAACCAATAACAACTATGATGGTATTCTAATTAAAATTGTTTAAGTGAATATTTTATTTTTATAATAATTAAAAATTTTAATAATACAGTTTTGTATATAAGTAGATGGATTTCATTCACATAGTTCAGATAGTTCAGATATAATTTTACATTCTTCAACTAGATTTTATATAAGTGGCATTTTTTCTAGCAAAATGTTCTAAGTTTAAAATATATTACTGTTGTGTGACATATATTATTTCCTTTCTTTAAGAATTTATTACTAAAATGGGGAAAATCATTTATTAGAGTACAAAATAAATATAAAATCAAGTTACCATACTTCAATTTTAATTTCAGTTGTTATTTAACTAAACAAACATTAGCAACAAAACAAAACATGTTTCCTCTTTTTGGTGATTATGCCATTTTACACAATTTCATTGTATTTACAAGAACATTTGAGTAAACAAGTGATGATAGTGATAAAGAAAAATTCTGTCCAGATCTTGGTTTTAACAGAAATTATTTTAATACTTCATTATAGTTTATTTTTATTCCAATTTACCTTGAATTTTATTCGTAATGACTGACCTTTTAGTCAAATTAATTTTTTATTGATAAACAATAGTTGTACATATTTTCATGTTACATATGGTAATTTGATACATTCATATAATCAAAGCAGGGTAATTGGGATATCCATTACCTTAAATATTTATCTTTTGTTTATCCTAGGAACATTTGAATTATTCTCTTTTAGCTACTTTGAAATATACAATTGATTAATGTTAACTATACTTACCCTACTGATCTATGGAACACTATACTTGGTTTATTTCATTTAACATAATCACCTTCAGTTCTATCCATGTTCCTTCAAATGACAGATTTTATTCTTTTTATGGCTGAATCGTATTTCATTGGGTATATATACTCAATTTTCTTTTTCCATTAATCTACTGATGAACATTTTGGCTATTTTGGCTATTCTGAATAATGCTGCAATAAACATGAGAGTGCAGATATCTCTTTGACATATTGATCTCCTTTCTTTTAAATATATACTCAGTAGTGGATTAGCTGAATCAGTTGGTAGTTTCATTATTAGTTTTCCAAGGAATCTCTATTTTTTTCCATAGTTGCTGCACTAATTTACATTCCCACCAACAGTGCAAAAAAAGTTTCCCCTTTTCCACATCTTCTTCAACATCTATTATTCCTTATGTTTTTGATGTAAGCAATTTTAACTGGAGTGAGATATATCATTTTGGTTTTTATTTTCTTTAAATACCAGTGTGACAGTATCATTGTAGTTTTGATTTTCATTTCTCTGATGATTAGTGATGTTGAGCATTTTTCATGTATCTGTTTTCCACTTTATGTCTTCTTTTCAGCAATATATATTCAGATATTTTGATTTTTTAAAATTTAATTTATATTTCCTATTGAGTTCTTTTATCTCCTTATATATGCTAATTATTAATTCCTTCTCTAATAGAACTCATGAGTGGGAATGATCTTTTAGTCATTCAGGGAGATATTTAAAGTAGGCAGGCAGGCAGGCAGATCTCCCGACATTCAGATCTCCCACTTGCCTGGATCAGCAGCCTGAGCCACTTTGTTCTTCTGGTTCATAAATTGTGGTACAGCAAGGCCCTCTTCACACCACAACTAGGCAGATCTCCAGGCATTTGAAGCACTCACTCCCATGGATTATCAGCCTGAGTTACTTCACCCTTCCTGTGCAAAAATTCTGATGCAAGGGGGCTCACTTTGCCCCATACTCAGGCAGATCTCTAGATATCTGGAGCACCTGCTTGCCTAGCTTGATAACCTGTGTCACCCCTCCCTTGTTGTGCATAGATCATAGTGCAGTGGGGCCCTCTCCACACCATACCCAGGCAGATCTCTGGGCATTCAGAACAACTGTGCACCCAGATTGGCAAACTGAGTCATCTCACCATTCCTGTGCAGAGATCTTGGCATAGGGCAGGGGTAAGTGGCCTCTCTGCTCCATGCCCAGGCAGATCTCCAGGCATCTTGGGGTACTCACTCTCTTGGAGTAGCAGAAGTTCAGGCTGCTCTTCCACTCCCTACCCCCTGTGGAGAGAATTGGGACCAAGGACTTTTCCCATATACACACCTAGGCACATGTCTGGGTAATTGATGGCTGCCCACAAAATACCACCTCAGTACTTGTGCTTGTTTTGCCACTGGGGTATTTACAGGTGGCTCTGTGTGGTCCACTTGCCCATTTTTGTTCCTCAATCCAGGGCTGAGGAGGAAGCTCAGACCACTGTGCGCTCTATGGATCAGCCCATTGCCTGAGGCAGTAAAGAACTTCTTCAAGTTAATAAGGATCAAGTCTATACCCATCCACATTGGCCACCATCAGCTCTTACCCATAAGTGCCATCTAATGACTAGTAGGTCGAAATGCACAGGCCAATATAAAACATGCCAACAGAAGTGCATAGGTCTATAGAAGCAAAGCCAAAAGATGCTACACAACATTCTTTAAAGTCATATCCCCTAAGAAAAGGAGAAAGAGAAACAATAAAATGTGATTCACATGAAAATTAGTACCAAAATTAGAAGTGCCAGTGTCTCCCAAAGAAAATTAACCAGTGCAGGAATTCTGGTACCATGAAAAATATGAATGGTGTAACACTGCGAAGGATCACACTAGCTATCCAGCAATAGCTCCTAACAAAAAAGGAAATTCAGAAATGACAGATAAAAAATTTAAAGCATGAATTTCAATAAAGCTCAATGAGACCCAAGTCTAGGATGAAAATCAACCCAATGAAACTTTTAAATCAATTCAGGAAATAAAGGAATAGACAAACATCTTAAAAAGAAATCAGAGCTTCTGGAGTAAAAAAATTCACTTAAGGAATTTCAAAATATAATAGAAAGTTTTATTAATAGATTATACCAAACCAAAGAAAGAATTTCAGAGCTTGAAGACTAGCCTTTTGAACTAACCAAGTAAGAAAAAATAATGAAAAAAGAATTAAGAAAAATGAACAAAGTCATCAAGGAATATGAGATTATGTAAAGTGATCAAATCTACAAACTATTGGAATTCCTAAGAGAGGGTGAAAAAAATTAACCTGGAAAATATATTTGAGGGAAGAATTCAATGTTGGGAAAAGGCCCCCAGATCTGGCCGTAAACAGGCCCCAAAACTGGCCATAAACAAAATCTCTGCCGCACTGTGACATACTCATGATGGCTATGATGCCTATGCTGAAGGTTGTTGGTTTACTGGAATGAGGGCAAGGAACACTTGGCCCACCCAGGGCGCAAAACCGCTTAAGGCGTTACTGAACCACAAACAATAGCATGAGCGATTTGTGCCTTAATGACATGTTATTCCTGCGGATAACTAGCCAGAGCCCATCCCTTTGTTTCTCCTTTTAGTTATTCTATAATCTGTAGAAACAATGCTTATCACTGACTTGCTGTCAATAAATATGTGGGTAAAACTCTGTTCGTGGTTCTCAGCTCTGAAGGCTGTCAGCCCCCTGATTCTGACTCCACACTCGATATTTCTGTGTGTGTGTCTTAAATTCCTCTAGTGCCGCTGCATTAGGGTCTCCATGACCGAGCTGGTCTTGGCAATTCAAGAAAGTTTCCCTAATTTTGCTAGAGAGATAGATATCCATAGAAGAAATCTGGAGAACACCTGCAAGATAATATACAAAATAAACATCACCAAGACATATAGTCACAAGACTATCTGAGGTCAGTGCTAAAGAAAAACTGTCAAATGCAGCTAGAGTAAAAAGGTCAGATCACATACAAGGAGATCACCCCGTTAGGCTAACAGTGGATTCTCAGCAGAAACCTTACAAGCCAGAAGACATTGGGGATCTATTTTTAGCATTCTCAAGTAAAAGAAATTTCAAAGAATTTCATGTACACCAAATTAAGCTTCATAAGTGGAGAAGAAATAAAATATTTTCCAGACAAGCAATCACTAGGACAATCCATTATCACTAGATCAGTCTTACGAGAGCTCCTTAAGGGAGTTATAAACGCGAAAACAAAAGAACAATATCTGTCACCCAAAAACACACTTAAGTATATAGTCTACAGAACCTGCAAGCAACTACATGAAAGAAACTACAAAGCATTCATCTGAAAACTTCATGATAGTATCAAAACCTCACATATCAGTAGTAACCTCGAATGTAAATGGCCTAAATGCCCCCCTACAAGGCACAGAGTGGCAAGTTGGATTAAAAACCGAGACCCATCCATCTGCTGTCTTCAACAGATCCATCTCACATATCACAACACCTACAGGCTCAAAGTAAATGGTTGGAGAAAGATCCATCACACAAATGAAAAACAAAAAAAGAACAGAAATTCCAATTCTTATTTCAGATAAAGCAGGCTTTAAACCAACAACAGTAAAAAAAAGGACCAAGAAGGACATGACATGATAAAGGGTTCAATTCAGCAAGAAGACTTAACTATCTTAAATATATAGGCAACCAACATTGGAGCACCCGTATTCATAAAACAAGTACTTCCAGACCTACAAAAAGAGTTAGATAGCCATGCAATAATAGTGAGGGACTTCTGCACCCTACTAACAGCATTAGACAGGTCATTGAGGAAGAAAACCAACAAAGAAATTCTGAACTTAAACTCAACTCCTGACCAATTAGCCCTCATAGTCATCCACAGAATACTGCCCCCAACAACCACAGAATATACGTTTGTCTTATCTGCACACAGAACATACTCTAAGATCAACCACATACTCAGCCATAAAGCAAATCTCAAAATATTGAAAAAAATTTGAAATCAAGTTAATCATACTTCCAGAAGACAATGGAATAATAATACAAATTACCAAAAAGATCACTCAAAACCACACAATTACATGGAAATTAAACAGCTTGCTCCTGCATGACTTTTGGGTAAGCAATGAAATTAAGGGAGAAATAAAAAAATCCTTTGGAATAAATAAAAACAGAGGCACAATATATGAAAATATCTGGGATGCAGCAAAAGCAGTGTTAAAAGGAAGGTTCATAACACTAAATGCCTATCTACCTCAAGAGGTTAGAAAGATCTCAAATTAACAATCTAACATTACACCTAGAGGAACTAAGAAAACAACAACAAACTAAACCTAAATCTAGCAGGAAAACAATAAATACAATCAGGATACAACCACATAAAAGTGGGACCCAAAAATCCATACAAAGAATCAATAAGATAAAAAGTTGGCTATTTAAAAAGATATAGAAGATCAGTAGACTGCTAGCTAGATTAACAGAGAGAGAGAGAAGATCCAAATAACCACAACTGGAAATGACAAAATGTGATAACACAACAAATCCCACAGAAATACAAAAGATTCTCAAGACTATTATAACACCTATGCACACAAAGTAGAAAATATAGAGGAAATGAGTAACATCCTGGAAACATACAACCTCCCAATATTTAATAAATAAGAAATTAAAATGCTGAACAGATCAAGTTTTGAAATTAAATCAGTAATAATGATACTTACCAACCAAAAAGGGCCCTGGATCTGATGGATTCACAGCTGAATTCTGCAAGATGTATACAGAGCTTGTATGAATCCCACCAAAAGTATTCCAAAAAATAGAGAACTTTCATTCCCCAATGCATTCTACTAAGGCAGCATCACCCTAATACCCAAACCTGATAAACACAACAACAAAAAAGAAAGCTACAGGCTAATATAAACATAGATGCAAAAATCCTCAGCATAACAGTAGCATAACTCATAGATAAACATAGATACAAAAATCCACAACATAACACTAGGAAAATGAATCCAGTAGCACATAAAAAACTAACCACACTGAAGTAGGCTTTATTCCTGAAACGAAATGTTGGTTCAATATACGCAAATCAATAAATGTGATTCACCACATAAACAGAATTAAAAACAAAAAACATATGATCATCTCAACAGCAAGACAAAAAGCTTTCTATAACATTCAATATCCCTGAATTATAAAAACCCTCAAGAAACTAGGCAGTGAAAGAACATACCTTAAAATAATAAGAGCAATCTATGACAAACCCACAGCCACCGTCATACTGAACAGGCAAAAGCTGGTAGCATTTCCCTTAAGAACAAGAATAAGAAAAGGATGCCTACTCTTACCACTCCTATTCAACATATTGTTGGAAAATTTACCAAGAGCAATCAGGCAAGAGAAAGAGATAAAAGGCATCCAAATAGAAAAAGAAGAAGTCAAATTATCTCTCTTTGCTGGTGATATAATTCTATACCTAGAAAATTCAAGAGATTCTGCTGAAAGGCTCCTAAAACTGATCAACCAGTTTAGTAAAGTTTCTAGACACAAAAATCTGTGTGCAAAAATCAGTGGCATTTCTATAGACCAACAGTGTTCAAGCTGATATTCAAATCAAGAATGCTATCCCATTTACAATAGCCACAAAATAATAAAATACCTAGGAATATATCTAACCAAGGAGGTAGAATATCTGCAAGGAAAAATAAAAAGCACTGATGAAAAAAATTATAGATGACACAGACAAATGTAAAAACATTCCAAGTTCATGGATCAGAAGAAACCTTCTCATTAAAATGGCCATATGGCCCAAAGCAGTCTACAGATTCAGTGCTATTCCTATCAAAGTACCAATGTCATTTTTTAAAGAATAAAACTATCCTAACATCCATATGGAGCCAAAAAAGAATCCAAATAGCCAAAGAAATTATAGGCCAAAAGAACAAAGTAGGAAGGATCACATCACCTGAGCTCAAACTATACTATAAGGCTACACAGTAACCAAAAAAGCATGGTTCTGATATAAAAACAGACACAGAGACCAATGGAACAGAATAGAGAACCCAGAAATAAAGTTGCAGACCCACAACCATCCAGTTTTTAACAAAGTGGACGTAAGTAAACATTGGGGAAACGACTCCCTATTCAATAAATGGTTCTGGGATAACTGGTTAGCCATATGCAGAAGAATGAAATTAGACTCCTACCCTTTATCATATACAAAGATTAACTCAAGATGGATTAAAGATTTAAATGTAAGTCCTCAAACCATATAAATCTTATAAGAAAAATACAGAAAATACCCTTCTCAACATCAGCTTTGACAAAATAAATTATGGCTAACTCCTCAAAACCAATTGCAACAAAGACAAAAATTGACCCATGGGACTTAATTAAACTAAAGAGCTGCTGCACAGCAAAACAATCAACAGAGTAAGTAGACAACCTAAGCAACAGAAGGAAATATTTGCAAATTATTCATCCAACAAAAGTTTAATATTCAGAATCTATAAGGAACTTTAACAATTCAATAACCAAAAAACAAATAACCCCATTAAAAAGTGGGCAAAAGACATGAACCAACAATTATCAAAAGAAGACATACAAGTTGCCAACAAATATATGAAAAAAATGCTTAGCATCACTAATAATCAGAAATATGAAAATCTAAACCACAGTGAGATACCATCTCACACCTGTCAGAAGGGCTATTATCAAAAAAATTAAAAAATAACAGATGCTGGTAAGGCTCCAGAGTAAAGGAAACACTTATACACTGTTCATGGGAATGTAAATTAGTTCAGCCACTATGGAAAGCAATTTGGAGAATTCTCAAAGAATTTAAAACAGAACTACCATTCAACCCAGCAATTCCATTACTGGTTATATACCCAAAGGAAAATAAGCTATTCTACCAAAAAGACACACGCACTTGCAGGTTCATCACAGCACGGTTCACAATAGCAACAACATGGAATCACCTAGGTACCCATCGACAGTGGACTGAATAAAGAAAATGTCACTCATAGTCACCATGGAATACTACACAGCCATACCAAAATGAGATCATGTCCTTTGCAGCAATGTGGATGCAGCTAGAGGCCACCACCCTAAATGAATTAATGTAGGAATAGAAAACCAAACACTGCATGTTCTTGCTTACAAGTGAAAGCTAAATATAGGGTACACTTGGAAATAAAGATGGTAATAATAAACACCAGTGAGTACTAGAAAGGGGAGAGAGAAGAGGCTCAGGGCCTGAAAAACTACCAATTGGGCACTATTCTCATTGCTATGATGGGATCACTCATCCCAAACCTCAACATCACACTGTAAACCCATGTAATAAACCTGAACATGCTACCCTTAAATCTAAAATAAAAGTTGAAATGAAAAAAATATATATATATATAATAAAATAGGCCAATAGATATATTAGTTAGAATGCAGAGAAGGATGTCTGGTTGAAAAAATATTTGTGTAAAATTAAGCATTAATACAATTATTTATTAATACAATGATATGTGATGGTGGCAATGTTCTACTCTGCGTTTTTCAGTATGGTACTTAATAGGCATATGTGGCTATTGATCACTTGAAAGTGAGCACTACAACTGAGGAAGTTAATTTTAACTTTGCATTAAATAATTAATTGACATTTAAATAGGCATAGGTGGTTAGCAGCTACAATATTTGGACACTGAGAATATGGACAGTGTAAAAAGATATAAGATTGCATAAGATCACCTAGTGCAATGGTTTGTAACTGATTGGTAACAACATCCTATATTCATAGAAAACATGTTGCAATACCCCTTATTGTTCTGAAATACAATTCATAATACAGCAGTATAACCTGCCTATAAATACAGTTTAAAATGTTAATATAGTATCCTAACCATGGTATAAAGAAGAAATAAAAGAAAAACAATTTATTTATTTATTTTTTGGAGATAGGGTCTTACTCTGGTGCCCATGCTGGAGTGCAGTGGTGTGATATCAGCTCACTGCAACCTCTGCCTCGCAGGCTTAAGTGATCCTCCCACCTCACCTTTCTTTGTAGTTGGGACTACAGGCACATGCCACCAGGTAAAAAATGTATTTTGATATATAAATGATCATGAATTACTACAAAAAAAGACAGAATGAGATAATCAGATACTGGAATGTGTAGTTTTAGTAACCATGAATATGACAGCTACTAATGGGATTTCATTTAGGTGTATTTATCAACAATTTGAGTACCATGAACAGTGCTGCTGTCAGTGATATGCACTTACAAAATGCAGCACAAAACTTGGAAAAGTTCAAATTAAACACAGTGTTTCTTCAATGGAGAGAATAGTTAGTTACATTTTAGTAAAATAAAGTCATTAGTAGCCTTGTAAATACTATTGTTTACATGTTAAAATGGCATCTGGTTCTAAATTCAGATCATATACACAAATGTTCACCTTGTCAGTTCTTAGCAGAATATTCAGAAGTTGTGGATGATGCAGAAAATAATATTGATGGAAATGGCTTGTCATATACATTTCAGTAGAACTAGTGGCCCTTCATATTGCAAAGGTGAAATGTACATATTTGTGCAGAACAAATGTGCATGAGCCAAGTTAATGGCTGAGGTTCAATGAAAGATCTGATATATACACTATGAAGACATATAAACTTTATGCATATTGATTTTTATAGGGACTTTTTTCCTACAGAATCTAAATTCTATTCATGTTAATTCAATTTAAAAGGGAGAATATTTAATATCATTATTTCAGAATCAGAGATAATTATTATAAATTATCACTAGCAGACAGGACATGTACATTACGAAGTATATATTAAACTTTCAATTTATCATTTTCAATAATCAAGGATTATTTAAGTAATTTACTTCTTAATATCCAAAGACATTAGTGGAAGTAGAAGTGAAAGAGGCAGTGAGTTCTGGGTGCCATATATATGTCATTGATAATTGAGTACATCATATTGAAAATAATTATTAATATTCCTACTCTGTATCAGGTGTACATTAAATTTTTATTTTATATTTCATTTTTTTCTCGGTGGAAATTCACTTCTAAAATAAGATTGGGATCATTCATTGTTTAGTTAATGAAAATGAGTAGGTTAAAGCAAGGATTAAAAATAATTGTTTTTAAATATTATGTTTTAATTTAAAATATATACATGTATTTTTATTCACCAATATATTGATAGGTCCAATAATTACAGAAAACAATCATAATAAATAATCTACTATTACATGTTTTTTTCAAAATAAGATAAGAACTCAAGGAAATGTTTATAGTAGTGTGACCCTGTAACTTCTTTGGGAAAAGATAAGTGGGACATGGAATAACTATAAGGCAAAGATAATATTTGCGTAAAAACATCTAAAGAAGGCAAAGAACTCTTGGAAAAGAACTTGTAGCAGAAAATAGAAGAAGTGATAGAATTTGTATTGCTCAGCTTGAGTTATGAGAAGCCCAGAAAATTTTTTTGAATAAGTTATTTTTAAAAAGGTTATATAAGTATGTTAAAAATCAGTTGTTAAGTTATAAATAAGTAATATCAAAGGACAATTGTATACTTATAACATATTTATTAGAAAAGTACACATTCTTTTATCTGTAAATCTATCTATCTATCTATCTTTTGTTTCTTATATCTAGGCTTTTTTCAGTTATATTGAAATTACTTTTCTTGGATTGATATAAAATATTGTACATACTCTATATATTGCCAAATTGTAAACTTTTTCACATATTCCATCTATTATTTGTGGTATTACCTGGCAAGCCATGCAATCAAATAAATTAGTGTCATGCGCATCATGGTCTAAATCTAAGTGAAGTTCTCTCTTGAGGTAAAAAAGAATCATGAAAATTAAATCTACTAAACTAACTGGGATGCCAGCATAATTACAAATGCATACATTATTATTTGATAATAATTACCTGGATTATAACTCATTTAAGTATGTTTCTGAATTTGGTATATTTGCTTAAAAGATTCTAAGACAAATTTTAAAGTTACATTTTTTCTTATTTTTCCACATATCTCCAAAAACAGGACAAATATTCCTTTATAATAAATACACTTAATAATGCTGAATCTTACTATTTAATGAAAAAGTCTTTTGTTCCATCCTTTATTTATTAGATCTCACTACTAGTTTTAGTATATAAAGCTTGGCCTATGTGTGTTAATAAAATCATATTTATAATAACTTCTATAAGTCATAGACCATGTAATAGATTAAAATTACTTTGCATGGTTTTTGCAATGATCTACCTTTAAAGTGTGTGTTATATCTGACTCTATTTACTCAGCCAACTATCTAGTTCTGTTTAGCATCAGCTTTTTCCTTTTCTTCTAGAATAGGCTTCAAACTGATCTGCTTCCTCTCTTCTAGCATATTAATCCACTCTTTATAAGTAGGCTGAGCTTTTAGAAATTAAAAATTATTTCCATGAGAACTTTCATTACCACAAAAAATGGGGTAACATGAAAGAGACTTACTCATCTTCTTGGGAGAACACTCACAAAACAACAACAACAAAACCACCCACAAAATATATAAAACAATGGCTTTCAAGACATTAGACGTCTACTGAAGGACAGTAATCCCTGGAAAATGGCAAAGGAAGACCTCTAATTGCTCCAGCTCAGTGCCTTGAGAAAGCATTCAGGATTCATGCAGAACAGGAGAGTTGAGTGGGAGCTCAGCAGACTCCCTGGATTGAGGAGACAGGGAGACCAAGAGAGTTAGATTTCAAAGGACAGAGTTCTAAAGAAGAAAGAGCTCCACAATGTTCTAATCAGTACATGCATAGGAGGAAACTGCTTGAAGCCAGGAATAGAACCATCTAAAATGATTAAAAGAAGTAATGCCCAGTGCTGGCACAGTGCCTGTTTCCACTGGTCAGACAAAAAATACTCATGATTCATAGGACTTGGGTTCAGTACTGGGGAGTAATTAACTCGAGATAGAGCACTGCTCCAGACCCACATAAGAAGTCATTAAAGCAACACTCACATAGATGAAATTCTTTCCAAAAAACTAACTACATTCCAGGAGAAAGATCAAGATTTATAAGAATATGAAAATATCCACAAGCCGACAAGGTAAAATTTACAGTGTCTTGTTTTCAATCAAGGATTGTCAGGCACTCAAAAAGGCAGGAAAATGTAACCCATAATGATGAGAATAATCAGTCCTCAAACTGGCAGCCAATAATGGAAGAAAACCTTCTCCCTTACCTGATGGGGGCTTATCTAAACAGCTTATAATGACCTTGTCTTAGGGAGATGCCTTGGAAAAGAATGGCAATTTTCTACAAGACATTCCTGCCACCTATATAACTAACAAATTAACTAACCAAACTAACTAACCAACTAAAAGTGAATATACATATGTGCATACCAGTATATATTTATATATTTTAGAAATCCTTAGTCCTCAGGTTTCAGAAATAATTTGCTTTCTGTCAATCATATGTAATACTTGGTCAACACCTGTTACTGAAACTGAGGGAACTAGGAAAGGGAAAGGCAGCAAGTACATTTCATTCTCTTACAGATGGTCATAAATGAAATGATTCTTTTTTTAAATTTTATTATTTATTTATTTATTTATTTATTTTTCATTATACTTTAAGTTCTAGGGTACATGTGTACAACGTGCAGGTTTGTTACATATGTATATATGTGCCATGTTGGTGTGCTGCACCCATTAACTCGTCATTTACATTAGATATATCTCTTAATGCTATCCCTCCCCACTCCCGCGACCCCACAACAGGCCCCGGTGTGTGCTGTTCCCCACCCTGTGTCCAAGTGTTCTCATTGTTCAACTCCCACCTATGAGTGAGAACATGTGGCATTTGGTTTTCTGTCCTTGCGATAGTTTGCTGAGAATGATGGTTTCCAGCTTCATCCATGTCCCTACAAAGGACATGAACTCCAACTTCGAACCAACCCAAATGTCCATCAATGATAGACTGGATTAAGAAAATATGGCATATATACACCATGGACTACTATGCAGCCATAAAAAATGAAATGATTCTTGAGCTGGTAACCACAGCAGCAACTGCCTGACTGAGAAAAGATAGTTTCTTTAGCTTTCATTGTTGGCATGTGTATTTGTCCATTCTCACAATGCTAATAAAGACATACCCAAGACTGGGTAATTTATAAAAGAAAAGGGTTTAATTGACTTACACTTCAGCATGGCTGAAGAGGCCTCAAGAAACTTACAATCATGGTGGAAGGGTAAGCAAATACATCCTTCTTCACATGGAAGCAGCAAGAAGTGCCCAGCAAAAGGGGAAAAGCCCCTTATGAAACCATCAGATCTCATGAGAACAGCCTGAGGGTAACCACCCCCATGATTAAATTACCTCCCACCGGGTCCCTCTCAGGACATGTGGGGATTATGGGAACTATAATTCAAGATAAGATTTGGGTGGGGAAAACAAAGCCCAACCATGTCAGCTATAGCTTTCTAAGTGATGGGTCATGCATGCCAGTTACTACAAATAGTGTATGGATGCCTAAATATCAATTCTTCCCATCCATTGAACGACCTGTTTGGGCCTCTGCATAGCAGGTCAGAATCCTTGAGATGGCCCTGCTTGGACATGAGAAGCCTAAACATCCCATGTGACGTAAGTTTATGAAGACCAGATGTAAACCACCTAATTACATGTAATAAAACTCTTTCCTATAAAACTAGCAGGATTGGATTCTACTGTTTCTTCCATCAGACCACTCATTACTTCAGTAGCAGTCCCTGGAACAGGACTGCTATATCATGGGCTATCCAGAAACTAAGTCAGAGGAATCTGTGGAATTGCTTCATTAGGGAGTAAAGGCCTCAGGAGCAGCACAAAAAGACGGAAGGAGGTAGAAAGGGAGAGAGTATCAGGGTTTGTTATTGAGCTAGACTCCATCAATTGTGAGTAATTTCTGGATCCTATGGGGCAAACATTAAGGAGCAATTTAAACTGTGTTTTAAGACCATGTATGGTGGGAGATAAAGGGGGTAGAAATTGAATCATAATCTCCTTGTTCCTAATGGTGAAAGCTTTGCCCCAGAAAATGTTAAATTCTCTGCACTTAAGATTTTGCATGTATAAGGTTCAGGTATTGTCCGAGAGCATAAAAAGAGAAGCAAAGGGATGGAGAATTGGAAGCAAGACAGGTGGTATTAACATGATGTGAGTGACCATCAGGTTGTGCTTGCATAAGGGCAGTCAGAACCCACATAGACCTGCTCCTTACAGGGTCAGGTAGAACAAGAAACAGATGAGCCAAGAGAATTTGAAGTGGTGTGTAAGAGGCACTCTTTTGTCGTGGAGCCCTGATGTAGGTGGTTCACTCAGCCTGGAAAACACTTCCTCTCATACTGGCCAATTTCTACTCATGCTTTGGGATTCATCTCAAAGGTTACTTTCTTAAAGAAGTCTCCCATGACTTTCCCCTCTTCCTGTTTGGGAGCCTTAACAGCTTTCTTATCAGACCTTTATGTCCTCTCCTCTATCTAGCAAATATCAGAATTTGTTTTGATGTGTGCATTTGTAAAAATCTTTACTCAATATAAATCTCATTCTTCAGTTGGAAGATCCTTGAGGGAAGACATCATTTTTATTTAACAATATAGCCACCATAGCAATAAATGTTTGGAATTTAACAGATGATTAATGAATATTTGTTAAATTAATAAGCTAATTATATTTATAATAATTATACCTTTACCTTAATCTTCATAAAGAAAATAAAAAATATGTATAAAATATGTTTATATAAAATAAATTGCCTATTTAGCTTCACTTCATGTACAATATCAGGTGAATTTGGTACACAGTTAAGGCATGACTACGTATGATTTGTTTACAGGTAAATTCTGATAATTACATAGTACTTCTTGATGTCTTATGAAAAAAAGTCTTCTCACACAAGCATTCAAAGATTATCATTATGTTGATGAACATTATAGTGGCAGCAATCATTTTGATTTTTAATATTGTTATCAAAGGTAATTGCTGGCATTCTTTCAAGTTCTAAGAATAGAACTAATAACAAGATATATTATTGATTCAAATGAGAAAATAAAAATGAAAATACGTTTTCCTTTAATAGTATCTGTTGTTAAAATTAACTATTTAACTGCAGGTAAAACAATGATAAAATGATTATTGTAATCATTACATAAGTTGTAATGTTGAAAATATTACATACAAATAATATGTGGGAAAGTATTATAGGATAACTCGTTAACTTGTATCAGTGTAAAGATATCACAGAGTCCTCTGTTGGAATCTTCGTTCTAAAACTTGTTAGTTATTTCACTTCAATCAGGCTTATTAGCCTCTCTGATATTCTTTTTTTTGTATGTACAAAATTCACACTGCTGCATTTCTAGTACTCTAAGATGCCATAGAATGTAGGCCACATCATTGTTTTACACATCATTAATAAAAAACAAAAGGCCAATAATTACACTATGGTATTCCATCAATTTTAACATGAATCCTGATTTCAGAGATGTTAATAGAAAAAAGAATAAGAAATGATTACTGTATTTAAATTGATGAAATACGGTAGGCTTTTTTGATAATTAAATGAGATAATGAATGCACAAAGCTTAACACATGCCTGAAATGTCAATCTCAGTAATATCAGCAACACAAAAATATTTGGAAATCTCTACTATCTTTAAAATAACTGGGAAATATAATATAACCTGTCTAAATTTGGGGGTTGGGCATTCATATGTATTTTTGAATATTTTCTTTATTACTGGGTATATCAGGCATTGGTATAATCATTTTGCTTTTGATCATTTAATTTCTTTTGTCCTTTTCAATTCATTTCATTTGGTTTTAGAATTCAATTGTAGTGCTTTTGACTTAACAATAAAGAGAAGTAAAAGATTACAAAAGTGAAAACATTATCTAAATGGGTTTGCATTCAAAATGTTTGATATATAAGTTTATTCATTAAGTTGAAACGTGCTTACATATTTAAATAAATCATCCATGCTTATATTCTTAATTCTTCTTTGTCATTTATATTTCTGTCATATTTGTCAAATACTTTCAAGATTCGATCTTGAGATACAATTCTACTATGATGATCATATGTATATTTTTAAGCTACATGAATTTTTGAAGATCAGTCAGTATCTAAATGAAATAACAATTCACCATATATAATTTTGTGAAGTGTTTATTATTGTAGCTGTCTAGCTGAATAAATCAGTTAGGTTTTAACTCATTGTAACAGCATAGACTGAATGACCTACTTACATTACAATGAATTACTTTTGTTTTACAAACCTTTTTTGTAATATATCAGATGTCTAAACATAACACTTTCTGAATTAGCAATAAAACAAGATAGATGTCTGGTCCCTATGAATGACCAACAAGAATAACCTTTGTTGCCAAAAATAATAACTGGTTTTACTTTTAGTGTTTTATGTTGCATAGACCACATAGATCACTTGATGCCATAGGTCAGTTCTTCATCATCTCCTTCTACTTCTATTTTTTTTTAAATTTAGATGCCTCCTCTCCTCCAAATAACTGTAGAAAGTAAATTTTTAAAAGTGTGTCATTAGAAACAAACTCTGCAGAATAACACATTTATATAATAGTATAATCTCTGTGTTTACAACCAAAAAAATCTTTGGAGCTACAATGACAAAATGCTAACCTCCATTGGAGTTATTAAAATGTTGATTATTTCATATTTGTATATTGAAGAAAATAATGACAGTTTCCATTAAAAATGAGTAATGGCTTCAGTATGAAAAAGCAGAATAGGAAAAATGAATTACCTAATTGGGGTAATATTTGTTGTTATTATCAGACTCTAGCGCCAGCATTATAAACATAGTAAATGTGTTAACCTACACATATCTAAAAACCTCACATAACATGCACTTAAATAGATTCATATAAAACGTCACATACGAAAGCATTCTTATAAATAAGAAAAAGATATATCTTTACATTTTACAATGTCTGAATGTTCTGAAAGGATTTTTATCTCAAAATGAATATTCTAAAGATCCCCTTTTCAAATGTGTTAGTGAAATAATTGGGAGTGACAAGAACCAAACGCTGTCTCTATATTTCTGTAATTTCCTTCTTTCTTGACAGTAGGACCGTACATTAATTTCTTTGCTAGGGATGTAAATCCTCTAAATAAAGACAACCAAATAGTCTGAAATCCAAAGAGAAATGGGTATCTCCAAGTAGAGATATGATGTGAACAATGGCTTACCCCTAGCAGAGTATATAAGGAGTAGACACTGAGCAATATAGAAGTAAGCAGAAAAAAAATCCTCTTTAATTAATGGCCAAAGTATGGGCAGCATAAAATAATACAATCTACTCAACAGAAGTCAATAACTGAGATAACTGCAAAATATTCCAAATACTTAGAAATTAAACTACGCTTCTAAAAATCATGACCCGAAGAAAAAAATTATGCAATAATTGAGAAAATATCTTGAATTGTAAGAAAATTAAAATGCAATATGACAAAATGTTTGAGGAGCAGCTGAAGAAATACTTAAAGATAAATTTATAGCATTAAATACTTACATAAGTAAAAGGCCCTGAGTCAGTAACCTAATTTTTTACCTTAAGAACCTAGATAAATAAGAGCAAAGTATACTCAAAGCAAGTAGAAGGAAGAAAATAATGAAGATGAGATCAAAGATAAAAAGCAATAACTTCTGAATCCGGTTATTTTTAGATCCACTTTCTTGAGATATAATTTATACACAATAAACTGCACATTTAATGTGTACAATTTTATACATTTTCATATATGTATACACCTGTGTAATGATCACCACAGATAAAATAATGAGCTTATCTGCAGTGAACAATGATCTCTTCAAGATTCTGGTTTCAATACTTTTGAAAATATATATCCAGAAGTGGAATTGTTGGATCATATAGTAGTTCTATTTTTAGTGTTCTGAGGAACTTTCATACTATTTTCCATAGTAGCTATGCCATTTTACATTCCCACAATGTACAAGAGATACAAAATGTATCTTTAGTTTTTTTGACTTGTCCTAATAAGTGTGAAGTGATAGCTTGTTGTGGTTTTGATATCTGCACTTCCATGTTTACTGCAGTATTATTTACAATAGTTAAGATATGTAAATTACACAAATGCCCACTGATGAATGAATAAAGAAAATGTGGTATGTATCTGTGAGTGTGCATGGTGGTGAGTGGGTGGGTGTGGGGGTATGTGTATATAAACACACACACAAACACATGCACACACACATACACAATGGAATACTGTTCAGCCTTAAAAAATAAAGAATTTATACCATTTGTGACAACGTGGATGAACCTGGAAGACATCATACTAAGTGAAATAACCCAGTCTCAGAAACCCAAATTTTGTGTGATTAACCTGACATGAGATACAAAAAATAGTCAAACTCATAAAAGCAGAGAATAGATTGATGGTTGTCAGGGATGTGGGAAGATTGTGATGTTGCTCAATGGATAAAAATTTTAATTTGTAGGCTGAATAAATTCTAGAAATCTGCTGTATAGATTGTCTAAGGTAGATCTCATATTAAGTGTTCTTACCACACACACACACACACACACACACACACACACACACACACACACACAAAGGGACACAAATAAACTTTTAAAGGTGATGGACTATGTTTATTACCTTGGTGTGTGAAGCATGAGCTTCAGTAGAGCTGTTAAAAATTGTGAGGATACCCGTAACTCCTAAAGTTTTTTGTGCCCACTTATAATCTGTTAGTCCCTCTACACCATATTTCCATACTCCCACATTTCCAGACAACCACTGATTTTCTTTCTATCACTATAGATTCATTTACATTTTCTAACATGTACACTAACAGAATTATACAGTATATATTTCTTATGACTCCTACTCAATATAGTCATTTGGAGGTTTATGCTGTTGTATTCTAATTCATTCATTTTTATTGCTGAATAGAATTCCATTATGTGTATATAACACAGTTTGCTTTTTCATGCCTGCTGATAGACATTATGTTGTGCCCGGGTTTTGAGTATTAGCAATAAACTGCTATGAATATTCTTACGTAAGCCTTTGCTTGGATATAAGAATTTATATTTCTAAGATAAACATTAAGAGTGAAATAACTGGGTCATATGCTAGAAGTATTTTTAAAGTTTTATGTAATTTCCAAAATGGTTTCCAAAGTGATTGTACCATCTTACATTCCTACAGCAGTGTGTGAGAGTTTGAGTCATGCCATGTTCTCAGGAACATTTAGTGTGATCAGTATTATTAATTTTAAACATCCAAATTGGATTTTCATTATATTATGTTTTGATTTACTTAAAATTTTCCTAATGATTAGTAAAATGATGTGGGAAGTAAGTGCGCTTTGCCTATTTTTATGTGCTTATTTGTTACCCATATTTTTTGTGAGGTATCTATTCAAATCTTTCTACTTGTTTTAGGTTTTTCTTTCTTTATTATTATTGAGTTTTGAGATTTCATTATCTAGCTTGGATATGAGGCCTTTATCAAATATGTGATTTTTCAGATGACTTCTCTGAGTCTGTAGTTTTTCTTTATTTTAGTGAAGTTTTATTTTGATTTGACAAAAATAATTGTATATATGTGTGGGGTACAATGTGATGTTTTGATATGTGTATACAAATTTAACATTACCTCTCCCATTTATATGTTTTATGATTAGAATGTTTAAAATCTACTATTTAAAAAAAATTTAAATATATAATGCATTATTAACTATGGTCACCAGGCTGTTCAATAGATTCTCTTAAACTTATTCCTGGCGTCAATTTGGAACTTTGTACCCCATGACTAGCATGTGCTATTTTCCCATCTTCCCCACCTCCCAGCCTCTGGTAACCACGAATATAATTCTCTGCTTCTTCTACATGTTAAACTTTTTTTTTTTGAGGTGGAGTTTTGCTCTTGTTGCCCAGGCTGGAGTACAATGGTGCGATCTCGGCTCACCGCAGCCTCCGCGTCCTGGGTTCAAGTGATTCGCCTGCCTCAGCCTCCTGAGTAGTTAGGATTACAGGCATGCACCACCATGTTCTGCTAATTTGATATTTTTAGTAGGGACGCGGTTTCTCTGTGTTGGTCAGGCTGGTCTTAAACTCCCGACCTCAGGTGATCAGCCCGCCTTGGCCTCCCAAAGTCCTGGGATTACAGGTATCAGCCACCCACCCAGCCTACATGTTAAACTTTGAAAGATGTCATATATAAGTGTAATAATGCAGTATTGGTCTTTCTGTGCTTTGATTACTTCACTTAGCGTAATGTCCTTTGGGTTTATTCATACTGTTGCAAATGGTAGAATTTTCTTTTATTTTAAAGGCCATATAGTACTATATAGACAGTATCACTTTTCTTAATCCATTCATCCATTGATGGACACAGGTTGATTTGGTAGCTTGGCTATTGTGAATAATGTTGCAGTGAACACTGGAGTGCAGATATCTCTTCAATATATCAATTTCAGTTCCTTTGGCCATTTACTTAGAGGTGGGATTACTGGATCACAAGGTAATTTAGTTTGTCTTTTCATCCCGTTAATATATTTTAAAGAATAATAGCTCTTATTTTTTAATGAAAACCAATTTATTCACTTGTTTATGTTTAAGGTTTTTACTTTTGGTGTTATATTTTCACTTATATACATGGTGAAAATTCATAATCTACTTTCATTGTACAACTTCTTCTATACTTTGTACTATATTTAAATTTTAAGCTTTAAAATTGTGAATACTAAAGGAAGAGAATAAATCCAAAATTTTATTATCTTTTTGTTTCTTGTGGACTTTATTTTTATATAGCCAAACACATCCATAGGGAAAACTGTCATTATGTCACTATGTCACCATTCTTTCTTAACTGGCATATTAGCTGGTATCTTTTTATTTCCAATCATGTATTTAACCGACCAAACCTCAAATATTACCAAACCAAGCTCCAACTTTCCAACAGAAATGTAAAAATCAAATCTAATATTACCCTTCCACCTAAAAACTTCTATGCCCATCCCAAATTGCCTAAATTCTGAAGCTTAAAATTTAAGTGTCATGACATAGCATTCTTTCTCTTTGCTTTGTCTGAAAAGCTTTGTCTGAAAGAGGATATTATGGATTGATTTACTTAGCCTGCATTCCATACTTCTGGGATATTGTTCTTTATAGAAGAAGTTGGCAATATTAAAAAAAGATCCTGAGAATCTGGATTCTGAATGGTAGTTAAGTTTTTTTTTTTTCATTCATATGTATCCATTTGAGAGTTGGAAGGTAGAAGTGAGGTAGGTAGCATTTCCTTACTGCTATTTCTGCTAGCATTAGAAGTCTTAGAGAACAGATGATCAAGTGGCTGATGTGGCAATGCCTGGACTCAACCTCTCAGGATCTAATAATTAGCTTCATGAGTATGTCAATGGCAGCTATTGTTTCAGCCAGAGATCATTTTCATGGGAACTGTCAATCAATGGGTATCAGGTGGTGGTTATGCAATGGTTAGAGCAGTTACGGCATCTCAAGATTTGAATTGCAGCTACATTAAATTGGTTGTTTTTATATTAAACCCACTTAAAAATAGACTTCAGAATTTACTTTCCTCATCTCTTCACGATTTTTGCTTGCACATAATTTTGTGCAATAAATCAATTTTTCTTTAAAACACCTTAGAAAAGTTTTATTTACTGCATCACTGTCATATCAGAAGTTCAGGCATTGATTATTTGACCTGGTTGAGTATGTGGGAGCTGAAGAACAATCCTGATGCCACCTGAAAATGAGAAACTGGTAGTCTAAGAACATGTTAGCAAAATTGTTCTGTAATCAATCCACTGTGGTCACCTGGAATAAGGTATCTAAAAAACCAACTTTGAAAAAATAGGTCAATTGCAAATTAGAGCAAAAAATATGGAAACAAATATTTGGAGACTTTGTATTTATATGAATTTTCTGGGTATATTGTGTTCTGGTGCAAATAACCCCTTCAAGGAGCACAAAGTTTCAGTGCCTGGCTCTTCCTAGCACTTAAAGATAAAGTGGCTTATAAGATTCTGGATGTTGAAGGTAGTGTCATGCATTTGATTTGTTGCTCTGACTCATTCACTGAATGACAAACAAAAGTCAGAACAAGAGAAGGCCAGCTCATCTAGATTGCAGAGCTCTAGTGTTTGATGTGCCTTTTATTTAGGAGAACTAGAAGTTATCAACACCATCTGTGATCTCATAATCATTTGTGGAAATAATGAATGCAGTTGCTCCATAGATATGCAGATACATAAACACTTCAGTAATTTTACTCTACTATCCTTCATTATTTAAGCAAAGACGTACTTTAAAGATTTGCTTCATAATTTTGTTATAGCACCCCAAGTAGATTTTGACCAAACTAAAAGATGAATAATCTTCATCTGGAGTTTATAAAGGTGACTGATAGGACTGTGAATCTTTGTTATTGTGGAGAGGGTAAGTGAACCTTTCTTTATAAAATGGGTGGTTTTATAATGCTGAAGATATTACATTGGTACTATTGCTAAATTTGAGAAGTAAAAGTACATGTGGAAGTGTATATATGGATACTGAATACTGAAAAAGATGATCAGTGGAGAATATTGTGAGTTTGTTCAATTGTTTGTCATGGATAACTTCTTATATTGAAAGGTAATTGTCTTAAAATTAGGTTCTATTAATTAAATGATTTTTTATGATATTTGATGGAAAAGGTAAAATCCATCTTTTTGCTGCCCTTTCAGTGGGCAGTAGAAGTCACAGCAAGGTGAATAGTAAGTGGAAAACTTCATTGGTTGGATTCAGCGTTCCAGTATCTGGTGACTGCTTTGTGGATATTGAAAAGTCAACACATGAGCAGTGGCTCCTTTACTTCTGAAGCACGGCTTCAATAAAATAGTTTGCCCTGGCTGTCTATACCTCCTGGGGCAGTTTCATGATATATACTTCTCTAGCCATCTCAATGAACCTGTAAACTCTTAATTTCTTTTATTAGATCCCTCCCCCTTAAATGCCAAGAGTTGATAAGTTTCTTGCACTAATTTCATCTCTTCATTTCTGAATTCAAGTCTGTCTTTACCTACACTGTCTGATTCTTCAAGTTTTGGCCTTTTCCAAAGACACAATATTGTTTCATGGCTCAAGTTTTAGCACATATTTTTACAACTGCCTCAGTATTCCTCTTTACCATCTGTAAATTATATTCTCGCTTTTAAACAAAAAATTCTTTGGTGAAGTCTTTCCTGCAGAGTTGCTATTTGTACTTTGATGTCCTTATGGCTATTTTTACACACTCATATAGCACATATATAGCTTATGCTGTCATTATTTGTTCAAATTTTTTCCCTATATTACATTTCAAATTTCTTGAGAAGAAAATCTGTGCATTATTAGCTTTGTATCTCTCAATATCTAGCACATGTCCTGGCACATAGTAATAACTCTATATTTATTTTTTTTCCTTTGAGTACCTGAGAAGATACAATTTTTAACTTTATTAGTTTTAAATGGTATTCATATGATTGTTTTTAACATTTAAAAAAGTTTACTATATTTTACTTCCCTGTTATTTACTTACTACATTATTATTCTATCTTACTTAGATATCTCAGTGATTTACCTAGAATTAGAAATTAAAGAGTTGAAAGAAAAAAAAATCTTTCTAATCAGAACCCATTTCTAATTCCAGTTAGGTCAGATGGCTAGGGTTCTGTAGGTATTATGGGGTAGGAGAGGGAGTTGTTTTGAAAATAGAAAGTAACCACGGTATGCAAACTATTAAAGTCATAGCTAGTAGGGAGTCATTCAGATGGGGAAAGGTGATTTTCTGCCAATCTCCAGTGAGGTTTTCAAGTCCTCTCCCACTGAAGCCACAGATGGTATTTATGGGCAACCACAGGAAACAATGACAGACATATTGTGAAAAGCGGATAAGAGCCGCAACTCCAGCATATTCAGAGGTGTGTGAAACAGCAAATTTGTAAAGGAACTAATTGTAACAGGCTTACCTCCAATGGACAGTCTAGGCCTCAGAGATCCTAACTGCATACATACAGATAGTATTTCATTTAATTCTCAGGCAAGAGCTATTGAGTGGGGTTGGCCCAAACTGGTCTTCTTTTTCATGATGTCATAAAGAAGGGTCTTTCTCTTTTAGTGAAATTGCGTAGGCCTGTAAAGGTGAATTTAAGATCATCTGAGAGCAATTACTGAGGGATCACATTGAGAGGCATGTCAAAGGGATCCCAAAGGCAAGCAAACCTGAAGCAAGTTTTGAGAAGCAAAATGCAAAGCCAGAGGAGAGTTTGAGAATCATGAGGCATGAGAATAAGAATCAGCTGATCAGGTCACAAAAACAGGAATCATTGTGGGTGAATGATGCAGAGAGTGGGTCATTTCACTCCACTGGGGTTTTGCGATGATTGATAGGTCCATTTACGGGAATAGCAACTTTGCAGAGTCATAAAATGTGTGTTGGAAGGAAGTGATCTGTCTGCTTTGGAAACAAATAAACAGCTTCCACACAGAAAGACCCTAACCAGAATCAATACTGAAATAATTCTCTGAAAACTTTCTGTCAAAAGGTATATCAAGTGGTTAGCATAAAGATAAAAAGCATAGCCTATAGGTCAGCTCTTTCTGTTTTTGAATTCTATATTTGTTCTGTAAACTTTGTCAAGTTGTTTAACTATTCTAAACCTCTGTTTCCTCTTATAGAAAGTGTGCTAATGCCATTAATTTCTGAATATTAATTCTAATTGCTGAACATAAACTATATATTAATGTATACTTATGATTTATCTCACAGTGTCAAATCACATATTGGCAACAATTTATTTTTGTTATTTTATAAGTTTTTGAGCTAATAGAACTCTATCAGCTAAAATCAATGTACAACTTTTTAACTGACAGAATGTGATCAACTGTTGCAGGCAAATTCCTGGTCCCCACACATGAAAAACCAGCCTAATACTATCCTTTACAAAATGATTCAAAAAAACTGTTCTTGTTTTCAGGTGCCCTTCATTACCTCAGCCATTGACCCTCAAATTATTATCCTCCTTATCTATTTAAAACTAAATATTTCTGTAGTAGCAAAATGTAATTCTAGTTACCTTTCATTACATAGTCACAGAAAATTTAATCCCTATTAAATTGAGTTGCCACTTCACTTGATGGTTCTTTGAATCATATTTACTCAAGGAGGAAGGCTAAGTTTTTCTAAGGCCAAGTATTTTCAAGTTAATTAAACTTAAATTGCAGCAGTAGAATCTCTGAGAGAACTGGAGTCATGTGAAAGAAAGTCACCATTAAGTTTAATGTTTGCTCAGACTCAAGATTAGCCCGATTTTTGGCTTTAACAAAGTGTTACAATTCAGGAACTGTGCTGTTGAACTACTACCCAATATCCAATAAAGTAAGTGGATAATCAACCAAATTCATGAAGAGTAATGGTATATTGATTAAGCAGTTCTACAATCTTTCTTTAGATTATACTCAAACAGACATTCTGAAAAGTCAATGACAAAGTGGGAGTCAAATAAAGGAAATCTTTATAGTGTTTCCATTGATTCTAGAAAGGGCTTGGAGGCTTAACGTCCATCAGAGCTCCCAGTTGGATACTTTGATCCTGGCTATCAGAGAAGTAGATCAAAATTCAAGTAAAAGTAAAATATAAATTTATAAAAGATTATCTTATATTCAAGAAATTTAAATATAAGCATAATTATTTAAGAAACTGCTTTTTGCATTTCTAGTATTTTTTTGTCAATGTGATATTACGGTATGCACAAATTGTGTTTGTTTTACAAATCAGCTGTAATTCATGCATATTTATATATAATGCATTTAAATATATATGTGTGTATGTATATATACACACATACATATAATTTATATAATATATAAAGACATGGCATATATCTTTACTCTCTGTGTCTTCTCTACTCAGGAAAGTTTGCACTGCGGAGGTCAAAACACATATATAGCATGGCATCTAGCTCTAAATACAACATACATTTGTGTCCATACTATAGACAAATATTAATGTTTACTGTTAGTACATGACAGCTCTGCAAATGCTGAGGAATATATGATATATGTGCTTATACAACACACATATACATGATCTAAGTTTCAACCAAAAGAATATAATTTGAGTATTTTCAATAATGTTTTATTTCATTTGAACTAAAGTAGAAAATATTGTGAAAATATATTTTCTGCATTTAAATTTCTAAGAAAGCTTACAAAAATCTTTTCAAAATTTGGGGGAAAATTAATAAAAAGACAGTAAACACAAGAAAAAATGGTCTATTTTCTGCTTTCTGTGTGTGTGCTACTATATGCTACTGGAATGATATAAACAGAGCAGGATTGAGATTTTAAGATGATATCATAAGTGCCCTCTGGAGATGGCACTAGAACGACTGCCCCAGCCCTCCAGCTCTTAATGGATCTCTTTTTCTAAAGATTTCTCTAGTCATGCTGATTCCAAAGTACAATGACCCAACATAGAGCCAGTTACAATAAAAGATGAAGAATTTCTACCATCCTCCATTAAATCATGGGCCAACTCTCTGCAACCACGGCAGTGTCTTTCTACTCTCAGAAGCGAAGAGAATTAGGCTTCTCATGAATATGTGTGCTGGTTAACGTAGCAGAGCTTTCTTCATTGTTTCTTAATGTGGTCATTACTATTTCATTTTAAAAAGCAATTCACCACACTAGTGACTACAATACAGTCACCCTCAATTGAAATACAGCCCATAATCATACAGATTCAGATACAACAGGAGTTAAGTCATTTCTCTCAAAACTGGTATAAAATAAAAAATGCACTGGACAAGTTAAACAGGCAAGAAGATTTTATTTTAAATTATTGCAATAGGGGTTAAGACTATTGCAATAGAAAAGAGATACTGAACTCAACTCCACTAACGGAAAAAAAGGCAGGAGAGTTTTTAAGCACTGAATGTAATCAACTGTTGCAGGCAAATCCTCCAGTGGAAAAGCACTGGAAGATGTAAGAATGGAGGGTGGTTAGTGTGATTGAGTCATCTGTATTTGTGACCTGGCACTTATTGAAGTTAGGCATCTACCTTCCCACAGAGACTGAGATAGAGACACTATCTTTCTGATGATTACTTTCAACGGGTTGGCTCTCAGGTCCTTGAGAAAGACATCACTGGGTTGTAAAACTGACAAGAGGTTGGGAGAAGGTGGACATCTCAAAGAGGCAGAGAAAGAATTTATAATGGTATGTTTTCTAAATTAAATGCCCTAACAAAGAAAATCGGGACCTATACTCAGGAAGAAAGCTGTCTGAAGTATAGTCAAGCTGAGGAGAACTTTAAGACCCTCTAGGTAACCATCATGTGAATAAAGATACTAATCTCTAGCCATAACCTAGGTAATACCTAGAGAAGGCTAAAACAAATGGAGCATTAAAAAGCCAACCTTAAACCTTCCACAGAAGATAAATGTTTTTATTTATTGTCTTATGGAATTTACTTTACATTATCCCATGCCTGCCCCCTACATAGAGTTCATTGTACCACACTTCATTTCCTCTAGATTTTTCACTGTATTCTCTCTACTTAGTTTGCACCGTAGAGGTCAGAACACACATATAGCACATAGCATGGGTATATAATTGATCATTATTACTGTGATAGGATATTGGTGCAAATCTTAAGTAATTTCACATAATGAAGTTATGGGGAAAAAGGAAAATATGTGAATAATTTTCTCAAAGTCAAAGTAAAAAAGAACAAAAGAAAAATATGAAAATTACAGTAGCCAAGTAAATGAAGAAATCCACAGGTTTGTTTGTTTCTTTTTTTTCTGAAATTTACTGGTAATTGAGGGTAATTCTTGTTTTTAATTTTGTTTTAGTTAATTAGAAAATTGTTGTAATTTGCCAATTCATTTATTTTCTTCATGTAAACAGAAATTAACTCTGCTTTAAGTTGTAAATGGAGTCAGTGAAATGAAAATTACAAAAACTTTGTCATCAACACTGTTTATCCAGTAAGTGTAACAGCTGTCAAATATTATGTACTTCAAATGTCACCCCAGAACCTAAAAAGAATTGTGGCCATGAAGAGATCTGGTGATGACTGACAAATCATGCTCAGAAGTTGTGAGTACAGCAGGTACCATCTGTGAGAAACTGAGCCTCGCAGACTTTAAAGAACATAATCAGCAGCTTATGGAGTAAATGCCCCATAAGCTGCTCTCTGAGTGAGCCCCACCTTGACATGGCAGTAGAAAGGGAAGATATTGTAATGTAAAACCCTGTATTTATATAGATCATTCCTTGAAAAGCTCTTAAATCCTTAACAGATTCTGAGCTCATCAATCCTTAAATTCCAATGGAATAAGAATTATAGACGCATGTAATCCTCAAAATAATTATTTAGTGATCCAAAAACCACAATTTTCTAGTGGCCCCTCTGTTTTATGAATAGTTATGTGATCCTGATAAGGGGATTACTTTTGTTAGAAAAACTCGATACCCAGGGAATTTAGAAAAAAAACAAAAGAGTACAGAGATTTATCCTGTTTTAATATACGTATTTGTGTAAGGTTCTTTAAATCCTTTTTTGAACTCTGTAGTAAGTAAACAAGCACACAATCACAATGGGGAATTACTACGTTTAGGTGGAATTCATGATAATTCATACACAAATGATAGCACAACTCTGCCAGACATGCTTACTGGGAGTAACACATTTCCTGAATAACTGATTAGTCATATGCAATGTTGCTAATTTGTCTTTTCTATATTTTCATTTATATCCATTGCTTATGTCATTACCGTAGCAGAGGCCCACTTAGCATCCTCATACAACACTCAGTCTCCACTACCCCGGGAATGGAATGCAAGATCCAACATACCAGAGATCTTTGTGTTTTGTTCACTAATGAATACCAAGGTGCTAAAATCATGCCTGGCTTACAATAGAGACTAAATACAAATTTGTCAAAGGAATGAACAGATGAATAAATAAGAAATGAATAAAATAATTTCCTAACATTCTGTCTTGCAACTCTACAATGCATTCTACACCTTGAACTAATATCTTCACTGTATTTATATCAAACCAGAGTCAGTATTTTGTAAGAAATTATTTTTGTCATTTTGTTTCTTTTGATTAGAATGGCTTCCCAATATCTGTTATATGTAAAAATCCAAAGAAATCTACAAGAAAAAACTGAAATTTTAAATAAACCATAATACTTTCTTACAATATAGCCCTTAAGAATCACTTTCTCTTGTCAATTTTTATTGGAATTTATAATTTATCTTCCAAATACAAATTTAACATTATTAAATTGAATATAAGATAAAGTATATGCAAATTAAAAATTATTTATATAAAAACACAAAATAAATTTTTTTCTTTGTCTTTTCTGTTTTTTAAAATAAACATGGAGACGGGGTCTCACTATGCTGCCCAGGCTGATCTCGAACTCCTGAGCTCAAGTGATCCTGCTCGGCCTCCCAAAGTGCAGGGATTAAAGGCATGAGCCACCATGCCCAGCCTCAAAATAATTTGTATACAACATCAAAAAGCCCACCACTAAGAAATTATCTTTATTAATATTTAAAGATCATCAACTTATGTGATATGCAGATGACATTTTTAAATAGAAAAAATAAGCAAATGAAAGAAAGGAGAAATTGATCTATACAAAGTATATTTTAGAAAACATTAATCATATTTTAATTTTAGTGAAAATTATTGAATTTAATTTTGCTTGCATGTAAACAAGCACCAATTAACAAAACAAAATGGAGTATATTGTGGAAGTATAATTATTTCATTGCAACGAAGTATTAATTCCTCAATCTTGTCTGCAAGGCATAGAAAAATAACTCTAGAGCCACTAATCTTTGCAAACTGCATGTCCTACATTAGAGAATATCTATTTTTCAATAAGAATAATGATGCGAAATATAGAAATTAACTATTTCCTAGTTTTCAAATACTCAATAACTTTTTCTTCTTTGAAAAACTCTGATGTCCATAATTGCTTGTCTCTGTTTCTATATGATTGTCAGTTGCTCACCCATGAATGGATAAATAGGTAGATGAATGGGTGAAAAGGATTGATGAATGCATTGATAGATATTGGTCATCCATACTTCTACCTGGATTCTATATTTCAGAATTTGTTTCTTTGATTTACCCTTTGACTGGCTAGATTTCATCATTATTTTATTTTCAAAAATGGCTCAATATATTTTTTGTTGGTTTCTGGTTTGTAAAAGGATACATAGACAGGGATCATGCTCTCCCCCTTCAGAATTTTGTAAGTAACTTTTTACTACCTTCAGATATTGCATTGTTATGCAGAATCTGAAATCCAGCTCATGAAAAAATATTTGAAGTGGCAAAAAAAAATCTTCAATAAACTGGGTAAGTTGGTTATATGAATGCAAGAATTAATATGTAGGTTTAGAAAAAAACATAAAACATAAACAGAACTTAATTTTTCTGTAGTGGATAGCATGTAGGTATATAAATATTAAACAGAGTATATAGAGATAAAGAAGACCTTATAAAGAAGGCAGAGTGGACAACTCAAAATTTTGTTTTTGAGAGAGAGAAATTTGCATAGAAATTGAGATAATAACAGTGATGTCATCCTATTAATCTTTCACAATCTGCAGAGGATAAAAACAGGCTATCAATATAGCAAACACAATAAGCAGAAAGCTTGCACCGCAAGACTTCTTTCCAAGTACACAATAGAGCATTGTTAACTATCATCATCATACTATGCATTAGATCTCCAGAAATTATCCAGCTTGCATAAGTGGAAATTTGCACCCTTTGGCTAACATCACTCCTTTTCCCTTTTCTTCCCCCATACCCTGACAACCACCATTCCTCTTTCTGCTTCTACAAATTTGACTCTTCTACTTTCCACATACAAGTAATATCATTCAGTATTTCTCTTTCTTTGTCTTGCTTACTTATAATTTGCTAAGAGGATAGATCTTAAATCTCAACACACACTTTACACACACACACATGCACACTGGTAAGTATGTAGAGAAAATAGATATGTTAATTAGGTTGATTATGGTGATCATTTCACAAGGTATATGTATATCCAAACGTCAAATTGTATATTTTAAATACATACAATTTTTATATGTCAATGACATCTCAATAAAAAAATTTCCTAAGAATTTCTTCAAGGGTTTCGTCAAAAATAGTAAATAACTTATTAGCAATGATATACAAAAACACTGTCAGGAATTCTGGCTAATCTAAGAGTCAAACTGATTTAGGACTTAAGAAAAACTTACGAGCTATAGGGAGAACTCAGAGAAGCAGAAATTTTACCATGATTATCTGCTTTCCTTAATCTCTTTACTTTTTCAATATGTAATTCTCTTCTTATATATAACAGGATTCAAAAAGGCTGAAATTAAGAGGACGATATATCTGTCACTTAGATTTTTCTATTCTGATTTACAATATCCAATATGTATTTTTTATTTAAAAAGCATGATAGATAAAAATAGTCAATTATCACAAATGTTTCGGCAGAGTGAGACAGTTTGCTCAATTTCTTGTGAGTGGTTTTGAAATATAAAAGACAAAAGAGTAAGTTTTTCACATACGACAATGTCTTTGAATTGAATAGCAACTGCCTATTGTAAAATGCACCACAAACTCAATAGTCAGATTACCTGATTTTAATTTTGAGGTTCAATTACTAGTTGCGTACTCTGCCAATCATTTAACCTTTTGGGGGTCAGTTATTTTTCTATTGATTTTTCTCCCAGTGTAACTCTGAAGGTTGAAAAATATACTGGAGATGAGAACACTTGGAAAGCGTAAAGCACTTACCAGTATACACAATAATTATGAGTATTTTTTCAGTAAAATTGTGTGTTGAGAAATGAAAATAAACTGGAATATTTTTGTAGGTTTTAATATTACTGTAGCTCAATAGAAATTTCCTATATGTTTGCTATTTAGGGAAGTTAAAGATTAAATAAAATACATATTGTTCATTATTTTTTATTTTCTATTTGATCTGTCAACAAGAGCAACTCTGCTAATAGAGAAACAGAATTAGTTGCATGAACAAAGTTGTATGAGATTTTATATTTTCTAAATAGAGATAGAAAAATTTCTACAATTGTATGAATAATTTACATGCCAGAAAGTTGCTATAGATTTGTATCCTAATTATTCAAATAATCAAGTTATTGTCCTCCAAAATGTTGAGTTTTTAAAAGTTGGGAAAAAAATCCATTCAGATTTTATGAGAAAAAAATTCTAATTTTCCTCCTTACCGATCTTAAGTATCAGCTTAAATCACATAAGTTAAATGGAAAGTTTACGTTATCTTTTACCTAAATATTGCATAAGTATCAAAATATAATTTGTGATAAATTAAATTGAAAATGTCCTAAACAGAATTATTTTCTCTCTAGTTTTACACATACATCTTTTTAATTTTAATGTGAAAATGAAATAAAGCAAAAGTCAACTAGTATTTCTATGTATACCTGTCAATTTTGAATACAGTAAACGTATAATATTACATAAAATAAAATATCTTAGCGAATTTAACATCAAGGAAAAAATGAACTACCTACCAATAGAACTGTTTTAGAATTTAATGTTTATGGAGCTTTGTTTCATGTTCTGGGGAGAATATAAAATAATTGAATTCAAGTATTCTCTCCTCAAGTAGATTAATATCTAACTAACTATATCAAACTGTTTGAGAGCAATTGAATAGATGCATTATACTATGAGAGAAAAAAGATTAGTAAAGCATGATTTAATCAAGTGCAATCTTATAGAGTAGATATGAACTGAATTTTAAAGTATTGATGTGATTTAGGCAGAAAAAGAGAAAAGGCACAGCGCATAAAAAGCTAGCAAATTTATTGGGAAATAATGAGGAGGAATTTCTTACTGGAATCGAGGGTAATATTGGAGATTCAGGAAAAATTGATTTAGGGGAAAGTTAGCATAGAAAAGATGGTTAGCCAATAAAATTCATTGAATTCAAAGGAATATAATAATGAAAATAATATATTAAGCTCTTTATCATAATGGTGAATATTTCATGTAAAATGATTATATGAAGTACGTGGTAAGGAAATGGAGACAAGCCGGCTAGGTAGGAGCTTCTGTCTCACTAGACAGCAGAATGAATACATCAATTGTGCCATTACACATAGCTCCTATTAATTTAGTACTTATAATGTGTTATGCAGTGACTGAACACATGCATGTTAATTATTTTTTTTTAATTTTTTCTAAAATTGGAAATGTAGAGGTCATTATCTTCATTTATAAGATGAGAACACTGAAAATTAGAAAGGTTTTAAGATTTTTCCGAGACTACACAGGGTTAGGTCTTAGATTTTAATCCCATCTGCTTAGTTTAAAATGCAGGCTTTTTATATCACACTTTCTGCTTCTTAACATGATAACCAATTTCTCAGTGGAAAAGGAACATCTAAGACATTTTGGAAGAAGTAAAGTAGAATATGGTGATGAATTAGATGAGGGAACTCAAACACTGGAAAGTTAAAGATGACTTGAAATCTCTCACTTTGGCTTAGAATAAATGAATGGAACTATGGCAGTAGGAGAAGAGTTGAAAAAGATATATATTCCAACAATTTTGGTAACAAAGCTTTCCGTAATATCTTGCCAACAACAATTGATGGCTGTAACTAACAATCTCTTTTAGATCCTCTTCCCTTAGAGATACAGATTCATGTGATAAATCATCTACTTCCAAAATTGCTCTGGGACAAACATTAATCAAATATTTGCCACTGGATAACAAAAATTTCCATTCTTCTAGTAAGTACGTCCCGTATTTCGAGTTATTAGATGATGGCTGCCCTAGGAAGTGTATCATCTTAGATAAGGCAGAGACCGTTCTTTCAGTTCAGGAAAATTATTGGTCAAGTCTAACATCTGAGGGCTGTCATATAGTGACACCTTCAGTGGCTGGACAAATACATCTTTAATCCTGAAAGAGAATTTGGGCACATAACACAGTGTCCACCACACTTAATATGCATTAGCTATTTTCATATTTATAACTCTTAACAATGTCAGGTATCATCATTTTCAAATTTTATACACAAGAATATTTACATTTAGAGAATTAATTTTTACTTGTTTGAGCTGTTTTAGCTAAGTAAAAGGATGAACATACATTTGGATCTTTTTTATCCAAAACTATAACTGCATTCCCAATATTTATTCTACTATATTATGTAGTCAGATACAGTCTAAGTCTGCTATAATCTATCTGTAAGATTTGAGAAATTAGGAAGGCTATGTTGTAGCATCAGATCTTATTCAGTCATGTCTCCCAGAGGGTGAGTTTTGTTGTTTTTTTTTTACTATTGGCTGGGTTCTATTGCTATTACACTACATTTTGTGATGATTTATCCATCAAAGCTAGAGTAAGAAAGAAAGCTATGGTATTATAAAACTGGCAAATTAGAAGTTAACCAGTGTTTTCTAAGACAGGCTCACAATAAAAGAATATCTAAAAGTAGATTGGAGGTTTCTTTATTTCTCAAAGACATAGACCTGAAAATTAGGGTAACACATTTCTCATGAAGTTTAAATGAGGTTTATTCTATTAGATCAGTTTTTGATGCCTTTAAAACTATTTCTCCTACTTGTAGCAGAAGGCATTCAGTTGGCCAGTCAGAAATAATTACAGATCAACAAATAGCTGTAACTATACTTTTAATTTGAGCTCTCTTTTAGACCTAGGGCTTCTTACTATATGTTTCACTATGTGACCTTTTTCTTCTCTTATTATTACCTATTTTACTATTCACCACTCTGCTTACAATTTGCAAAAACCAAGCTCTGAAGATTTTCTCACTGTGTTCCCCTAATCCTAGAATAGTATTATCCTCTCAATTAATCACACATTTTTATTCATCTTCAGATAAATTTAGAAATCTTAATAATTCCCTAAAATTATTTTGAGTAGTTCTCCAAAGGACTCATCCTTTAAAATCAACTCTTTCTATGCCAACTACTAGTGGGAAATTGTGTTCAAAAGGCTGTGCTTCTGGTTTACACTGTTATTCAACAATTTTATGTACTGTATATCTGTATGTATAATACATATGTATTAAAAATAATCTGTTTCATTATCTTTGAACATGAGGCCCTAAAGCATAATTTCTCTGTAATTTCTTTTTGCAATGCTCAATAAAAAAGAAATAATAAACAAAGAAATAATTTTAATGATGAAGTAAATTTAGATTGTATTTGAAAAAACTATACTTCTAAACAGAACATGATTATTAGAAGTACCAATGATCTGTCAAAAGGAGTATTGATTAATATAGTTTCGGCACATACCTGGAGATGGAAACATAAAGAAACTGAAACATCACAGAGGCTATTTAAAAAAAGGGGGCATGAGGTTTGAACATGGAAAGGATTGGGAGAGGAAGGGAAGATATTATGATATATTTTAGCTGTTAAGACCCTGAGGGAAAGGTTAGTATTATGGGTGAGTATAACATGTAAGGAAATTGAAAAAAGTCATGCTGTTTTAGAGGAAGGGAAAATACTAGCTTACTGGTGGATAGTTAAGTAGTTCATGGTGAGTTTTTAAGTATTTTTTAAGAAAAATTAGGAAGGTGGTGCATAAAAGAAAGAAGTGATAAGTGCTATCATAGGTAGGAAAATTCTAAATACAGTGATGGCGGGCAGCTGTGACATGGCCAAAAGCCAAATGTGAGAGCCACAATGAGGAACACAAACTTGAGACCTAGACTTTCTGGCTTCAAATTCCACTTGTGATATTGGGCATGCACTTAACTTCTTTGGCCATAGGTTCCTTATGTGTTATTTAAGAATATTAATAGTGGTACCTTATAGATACGTTCAGATTAGAGGGTAAATTATCAAATAAGACTTAGAACAATATGTGGCAAATTTTAAGCTATTTAGAAGTATTTGTAAATATATAATCAACAAATACATAAAAATAGGCAGGTAAATACATAGGTTGATGATACATAGAAAGTATCACAAATGATTCAAAAGTTTTCAGCCTAAATTTCGTATTAGATAGGAAAATGTACTGCTATGGAAGATAAAGTGATAGACTGCAAATAGGGCTCAAGGTTCTTCCCTTCCATTCCCATGACCCGTTAATTCTGTGATAACTCTGAGACTGATTTTGACCCATTTGATTTGGAAAAAAATGAGAGAAGCTCTAGCTTCTCTCAAGCTAGAGAGAGCTCAAGCATCAAACGTTCATGTGCACTAGAGCTTGCTCTTGTGGTGTGTTCATGCATTCCTTCTCGCACTGCTATAAAGAAACGCCTGAGACTGGGTAATTTATAAAGGAAACAGGATTAATTGGCTCATGGTTCTGCAGGCTGTATAGGAAGCATAGCAGCATCTGCTTCTGGGGAGGCCTCAGGGAGCTTTTACTCATGTTGGAAAGCAAAGTGGGAGCTAGCACTTTAAGTGGCTGTAGCAGGAGGAACAGAGAGGGGGGAGGTGCTACACACTTTTAAACAACCAGATCTCATGAAAACTCACTATTACCACAACAGTGCCAAGGCGGGGTTGTGTTAAACCATGACAAACTGCCCCCATGATCCAATCACCTCCCACCAGGGCCTACCTCCAACATTGGGGTTTACAATTCAACATGAGATTTGGGTGAGGGACACAGATCCAAACTATATCACTTTGTAAGCATTGGACCGTAATGTAAACAAACCTGAGCCATTCTACTAGAGTACGCAAAACTGCATGGGAGCAGAACAAACACAGCTTAGTTGTCAATCTGTCAGAAAACAAGCATGTGATTAGATGATTTTTTGTTTGTTTGTTTGTTTTTGAGACGGTGTCTTGCTCAGTCGCCCAGGCTGGAGTGCAGTGGTGCCATCTCGGCTCACTGCAAGCTCCGCCTCCCGGGTTCACGCCATTCTCCTGCCTCAGCCTCCCGAGTAGCTGGGACTACAGGCACCCACCACCACGCCCGGCTAATTTTTTTTGTATTTTTAATAGAGACGGGGTTTCGCCAAGATGGTCTTGATCTCCTGACCTCGTGATCCACCCTCCTCTGCCTCCCAAAGTGCTGGGATTACAGGCGTGAGCTACCGCGCCCGCCGTGATTAGGTGATCTTATACCACCTATCTGTAGGCTGACCAGTTGGCTAGCCAAAAACAAATGAGCACAGCAGGTATTTTTTTTTTCAGGTGGAGTCTCGCTCGAGCACAGCAGGTATTACTCCAGCTACCTCTGAACAGAAAAACCTCCTGATCCTTCCAAATCTCCCACAGAACATGAGCTAAGTGATTGTGATTTGTGGTGATTTTAGATAGAGGCTAATTGATTCAGGAACTGATGCCTAGCAGGGTAATACCATAACAAAAACCTGGAATATGTAACATTGGCTTTGTGACTTGGTAGCAGACAAAGGCTGGAGAAGTGGTGAGAAAAATATAAATCAAAGTATGAAACAAGAGATCACACACCAAAGAGAGGGGAAGAGAATTTTCAGGATGACAGAAAAGTAAGCCCAGGATGAGAGCAGTGCAAAGGACCTAGTGAGCAAATAGGTAAGACTACAGTAGGAAGTCAGAAGGCTCCAGAGGGCCACCTCCAGGAAAAAAAGTAAATAAATGGAAATGATAAGTTATCACAACAGATTTCTCCATATATCAATTTAAATGGAGATAATTTGGGTGAGTTTTTAAAAGTATAGGGAGACTATTTAGATGTGAAATTATAATTAATAAAAGAGAGGTGGTATATAATTAAATTACAATTAAACATTTTTTTGGGAAAATTTGTGTGAGAAATTTAAGAAATGGATAGTGTATCACTTGACCCAGCCGTAATGATATTCACATAGACACAGTAATTAAAATATGAAATATAAATTTAATAAAATTTGAGAGATAATTACATTGGTAGGATGAAGGATTTTATGTATAAGTAAACTAGTGTTCTTGTTTACCATCACAGAGAGTCAACACACAATGTCAAAATTGAATCTACATGTAAATGCTTATGATAATTTATAGTAGCCTGACATTAACTCCAAAGTTTAGGTGAAATGACTAAAATACTGATTTCCTCTTGGAAAGGAGATAAAATGGGAAAGCTTGGGGAACTTTTAAACATTACTTTAATTTTTAAAGTTATTTTCCTATGATACTATAAAATAAAATAAAATTGTAATTATCTACTTATAGCATATGCTGTGGATTGAATTGTAGCAATCATGCTGTAATTGAATTCATCCCTAAATTCTTATGTTGAAGCCCCATTGTGAATCCTATGTGATGGTACTTGGTGATGGGGCTTTGGAGAGGTGATTAGGTTTAGCCGAGGTCATGAGAGTGGGACCCTCATGATGGAATTAGTGTCCTTACAAGAAGATACATCAGGCCAGGTGCGGTGGCTCATGCCTGTAAACCCAGCACTTAAGGAGACTAAGGCAGAAGGATCGCTTGAGCCCAGTAGTTTGAGACCAGCCCTGGCAATATAGTGAGATAGCATTTCTATTAAAACTAAAACAAACAAAACACCACAAAACAAAAACTCAGCCAGGCATAGTGGCACACATCTGTAACCTCAGCTACTTGGGAGGCTGCAGTGAAAGGACTGATTGAGCCTAAGAGGAGGGTGAGGCTGCAGTGAGCCATGGTTGTGCCACCTGCACTTCAGGCTGGATGACAAATCAAGACCATGTCTCAAAAAAAAAAAAAAAAAAGAGAGAGAGAGAGACCCCAGAGAGAGCTTGAGCTTGCTATCTTACTCCACTAAGTGAGGAGAACCAAGGAAGAAAGTGTCAGTCTATATAACAGAGGAAGAGAGTCCTTAGCGGAATCAAACATGCTGGCATCCTGATCTTGGACTTCTAGCTTCCAGAACTCTGAGAAAATAAATTTCTGTTGTTTAAGCCACTCAACTTATGGAATTTTGTTATGGCAGCCTGAACTGACTGAAACAACATGGTAACAACATTCTAATTCAAGCTCCCCACCAAAAATAGCCAATAAAGCTAGATAAAATACAAAAATAGGTATTGGAAGGCAGTTAAGGTGGTCAGATTTGAGGAACCAAGATATTAGAAAGAGGTAAAATTTGTTGTGGTGAAGCTGACATTTTCTGCTTTTTTTTTCTTCAGTGTACTTGCTAATATATAAGGAGCAAAGAGGAAAGTCAAGAAGAGGCAGGGGCTTGGAGATTTTGTCAGTCTCACGGGTTCAGAGCATTACAGCTTGTGTTCTTTAGAGACATACACTCAGAGTTTGGGGGCAAGATACTTATAAGACTTGATGCCTGTGAAAGTAAGGTGGTGGAAGCAAGATATGTCAGAGAAAATGGTCAAAGTACAATGCAGTCTAAAAAAAGCATGAGTCAACCCAGTAGAAAGTTCTGGAGTAAGAAAAGACTGTTATTTGTTTTCTGGCTCTAGTCGAAATGGCTAGATCTCTACCCATTGCATTGCTTAGTCCCCAAAATGGGCTGCTTTGGCAAGGAGGTGATTTGCTGCTTTTCTGAAGGAAAGGTAGACACCGAGGGAGCTGCTAGCTAGAAGATAACTGCCAACAATCCCCTTCCCAAGTCTGGGCACTCGTCCTTCTTTCAAGGGGATCTTGGTACTGCACTCCCTCTTCTTTCACATTTCAACTTTTGTGCAGCCTGAATCCACTTCTCCATATACAGTGACGAAGCAGCTCCTCTCGAGGACCTGTTTTCCTGAGCAGAAACTTAGAAAGGTGAGTTTAGGCAGAAGAACCACGGTTCCTACCCCTTAGGTAGATCTGGGATCCTCAATTGACACTCATTATGTCCCAACTCCACTATCCAGTCTCAATTTTTCCTTACTGGCTTAACTGTGACCCAGACACACATCTTGGAGAGGGCTTACCTCCTCCTGGTTACCATATCCTGTTCAGGATATCCTTTCCTGAATATGGTATCAACACAATTGAGCAAGGTGATACCAAGAGGCACCCAAGTGGATCATCTTTTTTGCATACATATTCCTTCTTGGTCCTTCCCTCCTTCTGATGATCACGGTTAGTTGCCACTGCTAGGAAAGTGATTCACTTGTTGGCTTCTGGTCCATGAACACAAGGAGCCCGAAGTACTCAGTGGCAGTGGGAGTTCATGATTCATTTATATCTCCTGGACTTGCAACATTGCAGAGTCCAAAGTGGCTCACTGGGAGAGATGCTGAGTATGACCATTTCTCTTTCCACTGCTTGGTTCCTGACCCATGTATTCTTTTTATTGGCAACAAGGCCATACAATAACTTTTGACTCAATATATGTAATATCCTGGAGGATGATACCACATCCTGAGAGAGTATTGCCTTCAGTTGGGCTCCTCATTTGTGCTTTCAGCAAAGCTATCTCAACATTTTATCAAGCCAGCAACTTTTTGTGATGTGAAGGTAGAATCTTACCAGGGCATAGACACCAAATTCAGGGTTAACTCTTGCATATTCTTTCATTAAGAAGTTGATTCCCTAGTCTAACATGATATTATGTGGGAGCTCACGCTGGAGGATCAAACACTCTCTATTGCTGGTAGGTTTGACATTTTGTGATGTAGCAGCTAGATCAGGTTTGGTCACTTAAAGTTTATGCTTTTGTGCGTGTACTTAGGCTCCAATTCTGCCAGAATTTCCACTCTATTTATGGGCCCATCATGCCAGCACTGGTGGACAAAGATAAACATAGGCTGATACCAACTGGCATGGTCATTTTCTGTACATGGCTGTTTAATGCCTCTTCCACAGTAAATGATCTCTGATGGGCATTGATATGAAATGCAAAGATCATCACATTTCTAGTCCAATTTCATGGGTTTATCCATAAACCTTTCCTTTAGGTTTCCATCTCCTTGACTATCCTGACTCTCCTTTTTTCGTTAAAACTTTTGGATCCCTGACCAGCCTGCCAAGCCATTTTCCCACTGCTCATGAATCTATATATTATAATTTCAGGCCACTTATTTTTCTATTTATTCTTCCAAACCAAGTTAATGACCAGATCCACTACCTGAATTTCTGATGATTCTGAGGATTTTATCTCACAAATGTCTAAAACTGTACTCTTTAGTTGAACCGTAATGCAATGACCATACATTGTTATGGTCTGAACTCACACACTGAGGTGACAGATTTGTAAACCAAGATTGGGCACTTTCCTCTTCTTTCTCCTGGTCATAGCCATGAACAGCTTGAAGTGTGCCAGTGCTGCAGTGGTCTAGGCTGCCTGCTTATGCAGCTTGCTCATGTTCCCTGTCCCTGCTAGTGCTTGATCCTGCATATACCACTCCATCATACAATGGATTGTATGTGGACTTCCCCTGCCTTAGATCTTTGTGAGTTTTGCAGAATCCAGTTCATGACAGGTGATTTTTGCTGCATGGTTACTCAGTGTCCTGTGGTTAGAGAGTCTTTCTCTTCCAGAGTTCAATAGCACGAGGTATTGTTTTTCAAAAAGTGACAATGGCTTACAGATGACATGGACTTGCTCGAGAACCCCTGCAATGGGATTTTTCCCACTAGATCTTGCCACAAGCATCTTTTATCACCACTGATACTTCTAAAATCATAGGGTCAGTGAGATTGTACGACAAAGCTGCCTCCACCTTATTTTGGACCCAGAACAAAGTCTTTCTTGCTCTGAGTCCCATTCAAACAAAGCTGGCAGATTTTTGTGTCATTCAAAAAATGGAGCAGGTAAGTGTCCCCATGCATAGAACAGACTGACTCTCATCATAAAGAAGCACACCTGGGACTGTGATTTGTTCTTTGGTTTAGAAACTGCAAGATTTAATCATTATCTTTACTATAAGGGGATGTTTTGGCACACTCTGACCACCAGAACCCCTACATTTTATGAGTGTGGCAGGCTTCTGAATCTTCACCAGATTTATGTTTTTAACCTTTAGAAATGCATGTATCTTTTCAAGTTCTAAGTCACTGCTTTCTCATTCTGCCCAACTGATATAATGGTATTGATATAATGATTCAATATGATATGCTAAGACCATCTGAACAGTCCAGATTTTTTTGAACTATATTATAAAAGAAAGTGGGAGAATGTACATAGGCCTGGAACAAAACTATAAGTGTATAATTTGTCCTTTTTATGTTAATTAAAAAAATTCTGACTCTAATTAGGATAAAAAAGAGCACATTTTCAAAATCAATTGTTGCATATCATTTATCTGCGACCTTACTACATATAACACTCACCTAACACATCTGTCACTGTCACAGTCATTGTGATTGGGGCTACTACTGGATGAGCTTGAGTTAGTCTTTAGTCACCCAGCATCCATCCATTTCTGCAGGGGCAAAGTTGGTAAATTAAACCAAGATATGATGAGTCCACTATCTCTATATAAATACTTAAGGATGATTTTTTATCTCCATCGTAGCTTGCAGGAAATTATGTTGCTTTTATTTTATTAAACGTTGGTCACTTCCACCTGGCCTTTTCCATTATGATTAATAATAAAAAATTAAGAAAATAAACACAGCAAACTAAGTTAACCAAGACAAATTTAGTTCCTTTAAAATATTCATAAAATTGTATAAATGCTTAGAAAAGAACATTAAAACAGACAGAGGGAGAGAAAACTCAATATCAGTAAGGGGGATAAAAAAAGAGACTAAATAAAGATATTAAAATCAAAATAAAATATATGCAACTCTGCTGAAAAAATTGAAAAGTTAAAGGAAATGAGAAAATTTCTTGCAAAACACTCAGCAAAACTGACTCAAGAAGAAATATAAAATTCAAAAAGTCCTATGTTTCTTAAAGAGATGTAGTCAATAATTCAAGCATTCCCTTAAAGTGAACTCCATATAGGTTTACCAGAAGATTGTTCCAAATATTTAGGAAAGAATATTATAATTATTATACAATTATTTCAGAAAACAGAAAAACAAAGAATAATCTATAAACCTGTTTATGAGACATCCATACTCTTTATATAAAGCTTGGCAAGGACATTACAATAAAGGCAAAAATCAGGCCACCTTCTCCTATGAACAAAGATGCAAAAAACTAATAAAATATTAGCAGATGTAGTATTGAAATACATGAAAAAGATGGTATATCACAATAGCTTAGATTTATTTGAAGAATACTAGGTTGACTTGACTTATGAACCAATGTTTCAAAAAGTTAAAATAATTTTCTTGATTTGATAAGAGTTAGCTACAAAAAAATATGTAAAGCATCATGTTTTAATAGTGAAGTAATGAAAACTTCCCCTGACTTTAGGAATAAGACTGGAGTGACCACTATTAATGCTTTTGTTCATCACTATCCTGGGAGAACCTTGCTGATGCATCAAGGAAAGAATAATAAATGTCCCAAGGATTAGAGAGAACCTTGCTGATGCATCAAGGAAAGAATAATAAATGTCCCAAGGATTAGAGAGGAAGAAAATAATATTATGTGATGATGATATGATTGTTTAAGAAGAAAATTCAAAATAATCTACAGATAAATTATAAAATAAACAACTGAATTTGAGAATTTTACTCAAAGATGACCAATATACAAATAGCAATTTTATTTCTACATACTAACAACAAATGATTAGAACACTTAAAAATAATATGCATTTAATGCATAGTAATTAATCTAACAAACATGAACAACCTACGTATTAATGTAACAAAAGCTTTCAAGACATCTATTTGTCAGTGTCCCCAATATTATAAATATGTTAAATTCCCACAAATTTATTGGATTTAATGTAAAACCAATCAAAATATAATCAGTGTTTCTAAAATTGATGAAATAACTCTTAAATTTATGTAATTGCAAATAGGCAAGAATAGGCAAACAGATCTTGAAGGAGAGCAATGAAGTTGGAGAATTTGGTCTATCATATATCATGAATTATTATGATGCAAATGAAATTACGATAATAGGGTAATATCACAGGGAAGAAAAATAGACTAATGTAGCAAAATAGAGTCAAGAAAAAATATTTTAATGCAAAATTTATGAAAATATTCAATAATGCAGTACAATGAATAAAGGGTGACATTTCAAATTAAAGATGCTGGACCAAGTGGGTATCAATGTGGAAAACAAATAATCTTGACCCTCATCTCCTCAACTACACAAGTACCGATTTCACATCAATAAGAAACTAAGCTTCAAATGTAAAACAATAACTCTGAGAAAATATTACAGAAAAGTGTTTTTATGATTTAGGCTAGGCAAAGATATTTTAATATTAAAATCACAAATAACCAATACACACCTACAAAAGAAGAAACTAAAGAAGACAATAAGAAGTGGTGTTAACATAAAGTAAATGGAACTCTCATACCTTGCCAATGGGTATAAAGCTTGGACCAACCATTGTGGAAAACCCTTTGATAGTAAATACTTAATAAAGTTAAACATACGTATAATCTCACTTATAGGAATTTCATTTCTTTCTATTTACATAAAATAAACTAATACAGCCGAACCTCCAAAGACATGTATTAATATGAATGTATTCACATGTATTAGTCTGTCTCATGCTGCTAATAAACCCGAGAGTGGGTAATTTATTAAAAAAGAGTTTTAATTGACTCACAATTCAGCATGGATTGGGAGTCCTCAGGAAACTTACAATCATGGCGGAAGTGGAAGCAAACATGTCCTTCACATGGCAGCTGTGAGAAGAAGAATAAGTGCCCAGTGAAGGAGAAAACTCCTTATAAAGCTATCAGATCTCATGAGAACTAACTCACTATTATGCTATTATGAAAACAAGATGGGAAAACTGCCCCCACAATTCAATTATCTCCACCTGGTCCCTCCCACAACACATGGGGATTATGGGAACTACAATTTGAGATGAGATTTGGATGGGGACACAGCCAAACCATATCATCACGTACAGCAGCATTTGCAATCAGCCCAATCTGAATTCTGTTTACATGTTCATCAACTGTAAAATAAGCAATGCAACTGTGGTATATTCACAAAGAGGAATATTACATAGCAATGAAAATGAATGAAGTTTTGTTGTGCAACCACAACCTGTTGTGCAACCAATTCTTCTTGTGTAAGAAATATCACATACTAATGATTACTGGAAAACAGCAAAGAAAAAATCCCACGGTATTTGTAATTCAATTTATAACGATCAAAACAGGTAAAATTAATTTATGACATTAAAAGTCAAAATAGTGGTTACCTATGCTAGAATTTTTTTTTTTTTGTGGGAAGGGTCAGAGTCTCACTTTGTCACTCAGGCTGGAGTGCAGTGGCATGATCTCAGCTCATTGCAACCTCTGCCTCCCAGGTTCAAGCAATTCTCCTGCCTCAGCACCCTCTAGTAGCTGGGATTACAGGCACGTGCACCACACTGGACTATTTTTTGTATTTTTAGTAGAGACGGGGTTTCACCATGTTGGCCAGGCTGGTCTTGAACTTCTGACCTCAGATGATCCACCTGGCTTAGCCTCCCAAAGTGGTGGGATTACAGGCGTGAGCCACTTCACCCGGTCTAGAAAATGTTTTGACAGTACAGAAGCACATGGGAGGCTTCTTGAGTCTAGATGACATCCCCTTTTCTCAATCTATATAGTTATATGAATCTATCAGACTACACACTTATGAGTAATACATTTTCTTCACTTATGTCACCCTTCAATAAAAAATAACTTTGAAAAGAAACTAACAAAAGATTTTGGGCTGGAATTATTAGATTTTAAAATCAATACTGGCTCAATAAATGAAACGGTAATGCAGCATCTGCTTAGTTGACTAAATCCTTGGAGGAGGAATGGCTAATCAGATTGATCTCATTCTATGACCTTGATCTGACCACACTTTTGTAGGGTTGGTCATGGTGTGTTACGGTGTTTTTCCCCTGCCCTTCTTTCTTCCTCACGCTTTCCTGTTTATATGTAAAGTTTCACAACTTTTTTGTGCTATGTAATCTTCAAATGTAATAATATTTAAACATTTATATTCATTAAAAAATCTTTAATGTAAAATTTTATTTTCTCAGCAATGAGATTTCTTTTTTCTTGGGTCTGCCTACAGGTGGCAAGATATTTGGTTTGAGTTCAGACTGACCAAAAATGTCTATTTTTTTCAGCATTCTGGAGTTAAAACACACACTGAGTTTATTAACAGAGACCTTTCTGCCAGGATTGGAACACAAGCTTTGCTAATAATTAAGGAGTATTTATATCTTTCAGCATGGTCTATTAAGTGCATGTTTCTTTCAGAAGTTCGCTAACCTACAAGTAGTGGCTAGACCAAATGATTATTCAGTTACCCCTTGGCACAGTGATGAAAATAACATCTAACAGTGTCACAAATCAAGAAAACACCAGTTAATATAGTCCATACTGCAATGGCAAAATCTGAAACTTGTATCCTTTGATTGATGTAAAACAGAGAAATCTTATTTTAACAGTTACAAGATAACAGCAAGTGTCCTAAAACAGTATTGCCATTCTAGTAGTTTCCTTTGGACAGATATTTTTTCTGCTAATTGAATTATAGTCGAGTTTGGACCTGTAGCTGGATCTTATGGTAATAAATAAAATTAAACATATAAAAGGCATTGTCCCTTAATTCTCTGTAGACATGGCTATGAAAGCATAAATAACAAATGCTCAAAACCTTGTCTCTAGTAATATCCTGCTTTTCAGGTTTATCCCTATGTTATTTAGATAAACAGAATTTAGAAACAGGAAAGAAATGGAGGGAGAAGACCCTTTTCAGCACTAGAGCTCACCACAAAGTAAAAGCAAAGAAATCAACATCATGTAGTATTTAAGAAAGTATTTTGGGAGGCTGAGGTGGGAGGATCGCCTAAGCTAAGTAGTTTGAGGGCGCAGTGGGCTGTGATGGTGCTACTGAACTCCCAGCCTGAGCAACAGAGCAAGACCCTGTTTCTAATAAATAAATAATAGAAAAATTATACAACTCTACAGAATTGCATTATGTTACTCCAGCACTACTGTAAGTAGATGTGATGTGGATACTATTTGACCATTTTTCTATCTCCTTCAATGACTTGCTGTTTAAACATCATAATAGCAGCAAGTAAGCACAGAGTAAGACCAATTCCAGCCCAGAAGAGAGGAAATACGTAGTGTGAGTCTTCTGGGGATGTATGACTCAGGCAGGAGGAAAAATTAAGTTTTTCTGTTTGGTCTGTTGGAAGTATTCATCTTCCTCACACAGGACTGAATTTTGTTCTGTTTGAATGTCATTATGTAAGGTCCAATAAGTCTGTCATTGTTTACAGTAATTTGGTCAAGAAGGATCCAAGTTTTTCATATTTCAGAGAGTGAAACAGCATTCAAATAGCAAATCACATCAGAATAAATATTATGAAAAATACAATATGACAAGACACAATACAATATGACTAGACTGTACATTCTTTAGAACAAAAATATTCTGATGTTTTTCAGACTCTTTCTCCAGAATTCACTGGGCTGTATTTTGATCAAAAGTTCAAACGTTCCCTTAAGAGAATCTGTGTATGCCGCTTCACTTGGAATTTCATCCAGCAGTGTGGTCACCTTTCACACAGTGTGCAAGGTCTTAGGAGCATGGTGCTGGATACATAATGTTATCATCTGCTTTTGATCCATTAGCCTTTGGGACCTGTTGGCCCTTCAGCACCATGGATCATGGTGCTACCCCTGACCTTACGTGCTCCACTCCTCATCACCATAAATTCAACTTATCCCTACATTTTCCTGTGTAAGCGTATTCAAATAGAAATATCAGCTGAATAATTGACCTGTTAAATCCAAATATAATTCTGGTTCACATATATATTGTCACATCCATCATTTCTCCTTATGTCTATTGGAAATTGTTTTGGAAGGAGGCTCCTTTGAAGACCCAAGTTACAGGATTTTAAAATTTGAATATTATTTAAAAGCCTACGAATACATGCCAATTATTAAAATTGACAAATGAAGTTACATACTTCTTTGTGTCAGCCACTCTCTTCAATACTCAGATATTCTACCCTTGACACAATAAATAGAGTCCTTGGCCTAAAAGGGTGCCTATGGAGAGAAAGAAATTTAAAATTCATGTAGCCAAAGCCTTTGAGTTTCCCATATTTATCCAGAGAAAGTGTCCTGGTAGAAGACACTGGCAGAAGGAGATTCCTGGAGACCAGTGACATTTCTACAAGGCCCCTTAAAATGTAAGAGAAATAATCTGATAGTGTTATAGATTTCTTCTGACTGTGTCAATGAAATCTGACATTACAATCAACCCTTGACACTGTTCTATATGATCTAATACATTGTTCTAAGAACAATGCCTACAAACTTTCCTCTTTTTGTATTTTTTATTTGATAGTAACATATCCCACTGACTTGTTCTTTGATTGTCCCATGCACAGGGCTGGGATGCAGTGGTTGTATGGTAAATAGCACTAAATATGAAGTTTAAAATGTGGTTTAAAGTTCTGGCACTTATTATGTCCTATACTAGAAAACTGCTTACCCTCACTAAATGGTAGTTCTTTTGTAAAACAGAGAATAAGAATTTATTCTCTTTAAGTTGAGCTTTTGTGATGATCATATGAAACAATTTATATGGAAGTATGTTTATAATTAAAAATTTTTGTCCAAAATGTAATGCAATGTTATTAATATTTTTCATAATCACTAGTATCTTGTATCATTGACTTGAATGTAAGAAAGATATAGAATTATAGGTCAAATAGTACAGGTCTCATAAAGTAGATTGATATTAATAATTTTAAAAAATTATAAAATAAGAAATACGTAGGATGAATTCAATTTCCAGTGTATATATTTTTAGTAGGAAGGTAGTATCAACAGTTAGTGCTCTTAGTGACAAGTATTAATTCCAGGTAACTTAAGGCAAATGAGGATTTTCATAAGAAATGGGAGGTAAATTGGGGAACTTGCAGAATCAAACAAAGTCTGGGAGGGCAGTCTTGGGGACTGCTGAGATTATGAAAGCTCCTGAGAGCTACGAAGCAGAAAGCAGGAAGAAAACCACCATCTATAGCAGGAATGACTAGTCAGTTTACCTTGAAAAGTACATCTCTGTTGCTGTGATCATCTCCATGCCTTCAGCTCCCACCAGTGATAATCACTTCATTATGATAAGGATCTCATTATCAGTTGGTCACACACCAGCTACAGGCTGTCTCAAGTATGGATGGATAAAGGATCTGGCCCACCAGGCATCTAATGAAAAAAGTGGGAAGTAGAATTAGAGAACTAGACGGTACTTTTCTAGCAAGACTACACTCTGTGGAAGAGAATCAATTCCCTTCGAAAATATCAGGTGCTATTAGAAAATAATAGTGCCTAGAGACCCAAGACTAATGATGGTCCCCTTTAGACAGTCACTATTTTCCCTGGTATGTCATGGGAATAAAATTTCTATGTAATGGAATTTATAAACTGGAAAGTCATTAATAAAAATTCTGTGCCAGTATTCTAATTGTGAGGGCTTTCAGATTCTTGTACTTTTTGTTTTGTTTCTTCCCCCTCTAAGCTACTATAATTTATTATTCAGAATAAAGACAAAACATTTTCTCATCTAAAAGATGAAGAGCTTGACTACTGCTTATCAACTTAAAGCAGTTTGGGGAAAATGTGTGAGAAACTTTGGAAATTTATTTCGTTTTCTAAAGAACGCTATCTCAGTACCCATATTCAACTTCCTGAAAATCTAATCACATTAAATATTCTCTATTGATTTCAAAATCATGAGTGTTATTTTCTCTTATTTTTTTTGTCATGAGAATAGCTTTAATTCCTGATATTTTGGGCAGTTAGAAAAGTAACTTTCTAAATATAAAAGTTAACAATTTTCCTTTTTTGTTGTTGAGTAAAGCTGGACATAGATATAGGGTCAATTATGGTTGATTGAAAAATGCCAAGTTACATTTCATTACACTAACTCTGATTATTATAGAAACTATCCAAAAAATGTAAATAATGCCTAAAATGCTGATTAAGTAAAATACTAACAGGGACAGTTTTTCAGGAGAAATGACTCAGGAATGTTTGGTATCAGAGGGATTAAAGTGAATGTTCTAGAATTAAGTTTTTAAATGCAAATCCATATTTAAATAGATAAAAGACATTATTTAGAAGAGGTTAAAAATCGAAGCTTTATAAGTTATTGAATTTAATAATAATAAAAGTTACTTTTTCCATGAGATGACTTGGTTTTTTCTAAACTCTAAGCCTTTTCCCAATGAAAAATAAAGTTCCAGAAATCTTACTTGGAAGTTGTTAGTGCCATTTTGCAAACATTTTGAGGATTTGGAAAAAAAAACAAGTCCCCACTACTTTGGCTTCCTGTTTTCAAATCTGTTCTTAGGGCTGCTTTTCAAATCTTTTAACAAACAAAACTATGTTTGATTCCTCAAGTCATGTGTTTATCAAGTAAGGTTGCTATTTTTTTCTTAATGACACAAAAAGATTTTAAGGTTGTTGAAGACAATTGATATATGAAACATTAATGAATAAATCAGGGAAGGGCTTCATTTATATCACTATTAGTCTTGTCTACTGAAAAATTCAGATGCTTTAAAAATATTTCAATATTAAGTATAGTCATTTCTTCATATGTTTTATATTTTTTGTGAGAAAAGATGATCTGTTATTAGTGCTTACAGGAATGCTTATTTATCACGTTACTCTGGCATAAAGTCTTATGGAATAAAGATATTTTGTCCTGTGTTTGAGAATAATTTTTGAGGATGGGAAATAACTGCTTTTTTGTTTAGAAAGGAAAATAAGAAATAATTGATGACATGCCATCAACTTAAAAAATGAACAGGGAAACAAAACATCAAATTAAAAATAACTAGATTACAATCAAAATACAAACAGAAATAATCACATTAAAAATGCTACCATCATTATTGAGAAGAAAACTGCTATATTTAATAAGAAAAGGACAGTTGGTAACACCAAACATACAAACGACTTTGTGGAGACAGCTTTACAAATTATCTTTAATTCACCATGAAATCTTGGGTCAGAAAAGGTATATTCTTGAATTTCAGGATATTGGAAATAATTCTTAATGAAATATTGGTCTTGTATTTTATTTTAATTAGTCAACTATTTTATACTATTTTAATATATTGTGTTTTTTCATAGTATGTGGAAATACATTTTTAAAATACGGTTCCAAAGATAACACCATAATAATTTTCCCATAATATGTATTTTCTCTTAAAAGAATGTAATTCTCTACAAACTGGCATCCTTCCACATCTTTTACGAGAACATATTTCAATTTTTAAAAGTGTTTGATTATTTGCTAATGTATCCAAGAGCTTAGGCAGAAGTTTCTTCATCATCTTAACTCCATCTGCTCTTGTTCCTGCCATGTTTGGCAAAATTTTTAAGCACTAAGTTTAACTAACAGAAAATCATTAATACTTCACCATACTATTGATATTTGGGTAACCTAACTTTAAAAGGAAATGTTTTATTTCACATATTAAACAGAAAACTTACTTTGCCTTTTAGTAATTTTTTTGTGACTTTAGAAAAGGATTTTGTTGGTTGATTCTTAAAAGTATTTCTGCTAAGTATTTTTTCCTCGTTTTAGAAATCAAAACCTTACACATTGCTGATGTTAACTTAATAGATTGATGAGCTCTGTAGCTAGTAGCCAGAAGAGTTCAACTCTTTTTTTCTACTAAGTCATTAATCCTCTTGCATAGCATCTAGGTTTTGTGATACTGAACAACAGGTCTCCATGAAGAAATATATTCTATTTCTCCATCATAACTGTAGGTTAGCATCATTAAAGTGGAAAAAAAAGCAGCCAGACTCCAGCTTGACACTGGGTCAAGTATTGCAGCTCACTTTCTGGAACACTTCCCATCGATGCAATTTGTCTCTTTCTCACTACAAAGATCTGAAGATCATTATCCAAATGGAAAAAGCCACTAGGGAATGGAAAATTTGATCATTCAAAAATAAAAATGAGTATTTTGCTTCACCTATTGGGAAAGTATGCCAGCTTTGAGTTTAAAAGTAAAATAAAAAAAGAATGAAAGATTATCTGGCTTTCTAGTGTTTTGAAATTGTCTCCTAAATCTCTTAAAATAATGGCCAGGAGAGCACAGCATTATTGCTAGTCTTTCAGGCAGCTTTTAGGACACATTGTCTTCGTGCTAGGTCCTAGCAGGTATTTCACTAATGTTGTTAGAATACCAATTCATATCTATGAAATATTTTATATTTTATTTGAAAATTCTTTTTATGTTTGCTTATGGCATCTTTTAGAAGTAAATACAATTGTTTTGATATTATCAGAATTTGTTTGCTCTTAGTCATTGTTAGAGCTCTTGTAAGAATAAGTTATATAGTCTCAGTAAAATAAACTAGTGGATCACAATGAACAATAACTAGTGGACAACTAGTGGTCCAAATATAAAAGAAAACCAAAAATGCATTGACTATATAGATACAATTTTTTATTTTTAAAAGTTTTCTTAATCAAAACTCACCCCATATTATTTTAAACAAATATATTGTAAATTATGTGCTTACACATTATTTTTAAAGCTGAAAAGTTTTTAACATGTAAAAATATTTTCAATTAATAAAATCAAATACATTATTTCAGAAATCAATTAATTGAGGATACTGAACTATTACTTTATAGGGGCTACCATTCATTATAGAAATAGAAATTCATAATTAGATTTATGCCTTGATTACATAGTCTTTGCTTATAATCTATTTTAAATAAAAAAGAAATGCTCTACAACAGTTTGACCTTATGTGTCTCCAGAGTTAACCAAACTGCAAGGTTACCGGGCAGTTCTCCAGGCTGCCAAGTCTACCCAAGACTTCTAACACCAAACATAAGTTCAGGATTTTTCTGAGACCACATTCAGATATGATAATTCACTAGCAAGACTCACAGGACCAACTGAAATGGTATACTCACAGTATGTTTATTATAAGGAAAAAGATACAAATTAAAACTAACCAAAAGAAAAAACACATAGGGCAGGGTGCGGGAGGGGCCCAAACAGGAAGCTTCTGCTTATTCACTCACTGTGGAGACACAGACTGTCTCACCTCCTCTTCACTATTACATGTGATAGTATGTACAGAGTTTTGCCAGCCGGGGAAGCTCACCTGACCTTCAGAATTTTTATTGAGGCTTCATTACCTAGGCATGATTGGTTGATGCATGACTCATTCGGTTGAACCTTAACCACCACCCCCAAAAGGTGTGACATATTATATAGCCTCATGGGCCTACCTGAGTGACCTTCTGAGCATAAACTTTCAGGTACCCAGCGTTAATAACAAGAGATGGTCCTGTCCCTTGGAAAATTACAAGAGTTTGGAGGTTAGCCAAGGACAAGGCCAGACCTCTCTTTGGGCGAGATCAAATTCCTTACTACATAAAGGAGCAATAGTTTCATAGCATTCTTTACCTACATGACATGGGTAGAGAGTTACAGCAATCTGTCATATGATTTAGGCCTAAATAAGCACATTTTGCAAGAAAATAACCAATAACACCAATACTGTTAAAAGATACTTTTCAGAATTGTATATTTATATATTTGTTTCTAATTTAATAAAAATAAAATTAACTTGATACTAAAGCTTTTAAGATGAGAGCACAGCAGAATTATTTATGAAACTGATTATAAAGTGTATTTTCCTCATTTTCACTTACTTCATAGACTCAAAATTAAGACTCTTGATTCACCTTTAGGAAAGTAATATTTATTCATGTGACACTGCACAATTACTGTTCTCTTTATTTGATTGGAAGAAAGGAAAGAAAGATTAGTTTAGAAATCCATATACTCACAAATAACAGATAAGTGCAAAGAGGATACGTAAATCCCACCAGCAGATTGGCAATCAAGCAATGCACACTGTTGTAAATATGGATTGTTTACAAGATCATATTTTCCATATGTATGTTCTAATTTATTTGGTGTCTTTCCAAATGATTAAACTTACTGGGAGTTTACCCAAAACAGTTCTGATATGTAGGATCAGGCATAGCAAATTTTATCAATCTGTCTTTTGACTGAGTTCACTATTATTGGCTTTCAGTATTTTTTGCCATATGAATATCTCTGTCTTACTTTTGGAGAAATCAACGCGCTAATTTTGTCATAAATAGAAAATTAAATTTATTGATGATTCATGTGAGTTTTATAGTAAATGTAAAAATGCTAGCACTTCGAATGTATTAATAGTAAGTAAGATCTGGATTAGAAATCCTTGTCAAGCAGATTCAGTGTTTGATGACATATATTAACCAGAACACTAACATCTGGATAAGTATATAGTGGAGACAGTTTGTAGAGGTATGTATCAGATGAATTTTCATGTCATTGCATTGTTTTATACCCTTAAGTTCATGTAACTGGGAATTTATGCCCTTATGTTCATCTGGGAATACAGATGACTTAGAAAAGAATGAAATATTTGTCAGTGTGAGAGATTCCAAAAAGGAAATAAATGGTATTTATTATGTATGGTTTAAAATTTCAATTGATATTAAACATTAAATATAGCAGAGACAGGATTTTAAAATATTATTAAATATTATGTTGACTAATATTTCTTAAGAAGGAATAAATGGGTAATAAGTAAGTTAGTACAAATGGCCCCCAAAATAATGATCAATAAAGGAACAATATTTTGCCATTTTGTAAGGATAACAACTAAATTACAGAAATTCTATTGCGTGTTTACTATTACAAGTTAGGTTGGGTAGCTCTTTATTACTGGATATTTGATAATTTTTTTTTATTTTTAGAATTGGATTTATATAATAGTCACTTTCCTTTAGTGTGTTGTCTAAAACTAGCTGCATGCTTACTGGAAGAAATAAGGAGTTTTTCCCTTTTACTGAATAGGTTGACTTCTTCTGGATTTATCTGTGACTTTCATTTAAAAAGATTGTCCATAGCCTAAATAAGCACACATACAATGTGTTTGACATTTTATTTGCATTTTCTTACCCAGATAATACTGTATAAAAATATGGACAGTCAAAATGGTAGTTTTTCATACATGATTCCTGATATTTTAATTTTTAAACTGGTTAAGTTAGTGTTAGGTAGAAATAAGTGTAGAATAATGGTGTTTATTAGAAAAGCACAATATTAATTCTGTATTATGTAAAGTTAAAAGGTATAAACAGCCATGAGAACGAAGCAAGGGGTACACAGACATCTTGGCTTCAGCTAAGTAAAGATGGTGATTTCTGGCTTTGAGTAACTGTGAGAAGAAAACAACAACAACAAAAAAGCAGATATATAAAGGCGTAAATAATGACAGGCCTGTGAGAGTATCATCCTGCTTCACTAGACCTAGGGGTTTCATTAAGCATATATTTTTAATATGGTTTAGACATACATAAAACAACCATAATTATATATTAAGAAAGCAAGATGTTATTCCAATTCATAGGCATTATTAGATACTTTTACCAGTAAGATAAAGAAATTAGAATAAAAGACTGTTGGAGAATGTTCAAATAGAGCTCATAAAATGGTGCTTTATTTAATGGAACAGATGAAACATTACTGGGATAGAAATTAAACTACTTGATTATTGGATCATTCTTGGTCAAATTTCTTTTTAACAATTCACTGGAAATTACATCTTCAAGCAGTTCAACATAGAGTCTTATTTCTGAAACACCAACCTTTCCTTCATTTCTTGAAAATGAAGTTTCATAATGGATCAATACTATGTGTTTTCTAGTTTGTTTAGTAATTTAAGGTTTATATTTGATGGCTAACTGAAGCTCTTTGCTCTTCCCTTCCCTTTGAATATAGATTGACTGAACTATCAGGGTAAAAATAAACATAGTATGTTATCCAGCCAATCATCCAATATATGAATGATAATTAGTTGGCAAATGAAGTTTAACTTCAGTTCTTATGAATATTATTTCTAGGTACCTGATATTTAAACAACCAGAGGAGAAATTTTAATTTTTTAAAAATAAATTATCGAAGCAGTATTTTCCCTTCAATAGGATAACAATAAAAATTAAAACATCTTATTTACTTTCATAAGTAATTTACATAAGTAAATTTCAATCATAAAATCCAAAGGAGAAAAATGACCTTGAAATTAATCTAGTATACTCAGTCATCCAATACATGAATTTTTTCCCACATATTCGTATCAGACTGTCATTCATCCATGTATACTGTCTTCAGTAGGAACAAAAAAAGGATAGTATAATTAGTACTGCTTAAGTGACTGTCTTTCACAATAATATTTAATGGCTCCACACTGCCTAAACAATATAATATAAATTATTTAAGACCAAATTACTTAATATCATGTGTCTCACACACAATTTGTCTCCTTCAGCCAAATTTCTTCCCCTTCAGAACCAATTTTGACCTTCTATAGTAATGTTCTCACATTACTATAAAAAATACCTGAGACTGGGTCATTTATAAAGAAGAGATATTTAATTGGGTCATGATTCTGCAAGCTCTAAAGGAAGCATTGGAGCTTCTACTTCTGGGAGGCCTCAGGAAACTTAAAATCATGGCAGAAGGCAAAGGGAAAGCAGGCATGTCTTACATGGCTGGAGCAGGAGCAAGAGAGAGAGGGCAGGTGCCACATACTTTTAAACTACCAGATCTTGCAATTACTTACTCATTCACTATCACAAGAACTGTAACAAGGAGACGGTGCTAAGCCATTCATGAAGAATCCACCCTCATGATCCAATTAGCTCCCACTAGTCCGCACCTCCAACACTGGGGATTACAATTTGACAAGAGATTTGGGTATGAACACAGATCTAAATCGTATTATTCTGCCCCTGGCCCTTCCCAAATTTCATATTCTTCTCACATTGCAAAATACAATCATCTTTTCTCAACAGTCCTCCAAAATTTTAACTCATCCCAGCATTAACTCAAAAGTCCACAGTCAAAAATCTCATCTAAGACAAGACAAGTCCCTTCAATCTATGAGCCTGTCAAATAAAAACATGTTAGTTACTTTCAAGATATTATGGGGGTATAAGCGTTGGGTAAATACTCCTGCTCCAAAAGGAAGAAATCATCCAAGAGAATGAGTGGGGCTACAGGCCCCACTCAAATCTGAAACTCAACAGGGCTATCATTAAATCTTAAAGCTCCAAAATGATCTTTGACTCCATATCTCATATCCAGGGCACATTGGTGTAAGGAGTGGGCTCCCAAACTCTGCTCCTGTGGTTTTGCAGAGTTTAGTCCTGTGGCTGCTCTCAAGGGCTGACGTTTAACGCCTGTGGCTTTTCCAGGTGACAGGTGCAAGCTGTTGGTGTATCTACCACTCTGGGGTCTGCAGGACAGTGACCCTCTTCTCACAGCTGCATTAGGAGGCAGTGCTCCAGTAAGGACTCCGTGTGGGGGCTTCAGACCCACTTTTCCCCCTTTGCACTGCCCTAGTAGAGATTCTCTATGAGGGCTCTGCCCCTGCAGCAGACTTCTTCTTTGACATCAAGACTTTTCCATACATCCTCTGAAATCTAGGTGGAGGCTCCGAAGCCTCAACTCTTGCACTCTGGGCACCAGCAGGCTTAACCCTATGTGGAAGGTGCCAAGGCTTACAGCTTGCACCTTCTGAAGCAGCAGCCCAAGCTGTACCTGGGCCGTTTTGAGCTACAACTGGAGCTGGAGCAGTTGGGATGCAGGGAGCAGGGCCATGAGGATGCTGAGGCTGTGCAGGGTAGCAAGGCCCTGGCCACGACACGAAACCATTCTGTCCTTGTAGGCCTCTAAGCCCATGATGGGAGGGGTTGCAAAGAAAGTCCATGAAATGCCTTAGAAGCCTTTTAACCATTGTCTTGGCTATCGGCAATTGGCTCCTCTTTACCTATGCAAATTTCTGCAGCCTGCTGGAATTCTTCCCCCAAAATGAGCTTTTCCTTTCTACCACATGGTAAGACTGCAAATTTTCCAAGCTTTTATGCTCTGCTTCCCTTTTAAATGTAAGTTCTAGTTTTTTTGCTCACACACGAGCATAAGTTGTTAGAAGCAGCCAGTCCACCTGCTAAAAGCTTTGTTGCTTAGACATTTCTTCCACCGTATACCCTATATCATTTCTCTCAAGTTTAAAGTTTCACAGACCCCTACGGCAGAGGCACAATCCGAGCTCTTTGCCAAGGTGTAACAAAAGTGACCTTTGTTCCAGTTCCCAATAAATACCTCATTTCCATCTGATACCTTCTCAGCCTGGACTTTGTTGTCCATATCACTATCAGTACTTTGGTCATAACAACTTAGCAAGTCTCTAGGAATTTCCAAATTTTTCCTCATCTTCCTGTCTTTTCTGAGCACTCCACACTCTTACAACCTCTGCCTGTTACTCAGTTCCAAAGCTGCTGCCACATTTTCAGGTATCTTTATAATAATACCCCACTCTCATTACCAATTTTCTGTATGAATCCAGTCTTGCATTGCTATTAAGAAATATCTGAGACTTAGTAATTTATAATAAAAAGAGGTTAATTGGCTCATGGTTCTTCAGGCTGTAAAGGAAGCATAGTAGCTTGTTTCTGGGGGAGCCTCAGAAAACTTACAATCATGACAGAAGTCAAAGGGAAAGCAGGCATGTCTTACGTGAACAGACCAGCAGCAAGAGAGGGGAGGTGCCACACACTTTTAAACAACCAGATCTCACAATTACTCACTCATTCACTATCTCAGGAACACCACTAAGGGGATGGTGCTAAAGCATTCATGAAGGATCCACCCCAATAATCCAATCACCTCCCACCAGGCTCCACCTCCAACACTGGGGATTATAATTCAACATGAGATTTGGACAGGGACACAGATCCAAACCATATCATGTTAATAGTACTATTAATAGTGTATTATATGCATATCAAGTTTTTATATAAAACTCTAAGGCTTTTAAAATTTTCTTGTGCAATGATAAATGATAGGTTTCTCGTTTAGGTAACTCATTAATCAAGTTATTGTTATTTGCATTTAGTAGTATATTATGAGTGGTATGTTATATTCATTTAACTTCATTACATAGGAAGGAATTGAAATATTCAAATTTTTAGAAGTTTTCCAGTATGTTTATATGCTACAGTTTTTACTAGTTTTTTTAAGCAGCTTTTTTGAGGTATAATTGATACGCAAAAAACCTCATATATTTAACTTGATACAAGCTAGTGTCTTTGGACATACCCATGAAACTATCAGGACTATCAAAGTAACAGACATAGCCATTCCCTCTAAGAGTTTTCTTATACCTCTTTGTGTTCTGTTTTTATTTTAATTTTAATTTTTTTATTTTAGGGACATTTAACATGAGATCTATCCTATCAACAAAATTTAAAGTAAACAATCTACTATTGTTAACTATAGGCGTTTTGTTGTATAGCAGATCTCTAGAACATATCCATTTTTACTAGCTGTATTATTAAACAATTCAAGAGCCTATTCATGACTTTTTTCCCAAATATTTGAATAAGTGATTTTGTTATGCTTTGAAAATTTGTGTTACAATTTTCTTCTTGGTGTCAGAATAATTTATATCAATTTCACGCAGAAATAAAGTAAGTTTCTTATATGGTGAATTATGATTGTACATGCCACGTTGTTAAGTATATTTGTGACAGAAGAGAGTTGATGTTTCTACTAGATTTTAAAATCCCCTGCTTAATTGTAAGTTAAGTGTGATTATTGGAAGAATTTCCCACACGCTAGCTTCTTATTCCATCCTTGTCAAATCTACATTTTACTTCAATATTCCCATATAGCTCTACACGTAGTGCTGGGGAGAAAAAATATGTCCACCTTATTTTTTGATTTCTGGCTTTTGCCAGAAGTTCTGAGTTTGTAGACGTGCCACGCAAGTTAAAACAATAGATAGTAGAAATTTTGCTGGAAAACTTTCATGCCTTAAGGTAACTTCATAATAAGAAAACAACAGTGAACCATATAAATATCTCTCCCTTTAAGTCAAACCAAGTGCATTTCCAACTCAACTTCCCTTAGACAAACTCCAAATTGCCAACAGTCACTCCAAGGCCACTAATACAAGGAAGATTAAGATGGAGGTGAAGTTGAAGTGAAATATTACAGTTAATTTCACTTAATAAAATTTAAAATGTCACAAAAATATGTGATGATGGGAATACAGTGTTAGATCCCTCATCACCACCTCTACCAGGGTCTTGGACAGGATATATGTAATGGATTCCTTTAAATTTAAGCACTATTCTATGCTTAATGATATTTTATGATACATGGTAAATTCACTTCTGAATATGTTCTATCCCCAGGTTGGGTGAAAAAAACATCTCTTAACTTTATTTGCTTATTTATTTATTTATATACATATAGACTCAACCTGCTCTTCTGTCTTTATATTCCTAGGGACATGATTTAACCCTTTGTAACAATATATAATAGTGCTTCCTCTAAATTTAATTTTCCATCTCTATTGACAGTCTGTACTTTGAGGCAATGCAGGAGAGCTTGTCTATTACTTTGAATGGTGGTTGCCTTAGTATTACATTGCATGCTATTCTGTCATTCAAAGAAGACATTGTGTAAATATCTCAGAATCAGTAAGGATTTGGAGCCCTCACCAAAACCAGAATAGTAAGGTAAATTTCAGAAATGAACTAGGGAATTGTCCAAACTTGGAAGGAAATGAAAACAAAATTATAAATTTTCATAGAATTTTATTTGGGTCATGGAAACAAATCTTAAAGGTATTTCTAGTATCAATTCTCATAGCGTTACAGATATAAAAGATGCTCAGTAAATGTTTTAATTGTTAGTCTAAAAAAATCTATCAAAAAATAAATGGAAGTAGTAAACATTTTGTGTTCTACCACAAGGCAGAGAAGACCTTTCCTGCCCTTAAGTTGATTCTGGCTTTCTCTTTTGTGTTCCCTGGAGTGAGTCAGCATTAAGGCTGATTAAGCCAGTTGTTAAAATTAAATTGCACTTGTCAAAATAAATGAACTAAGTACCAACAAAGGAATTTGAGGGTTTTTTTCTACCTCTTGCTTTGTTTTTTCTTTTTTGTAAAGTAATAGCATTTGGTAACCTTCAGTGTGTATATTAATAACAAGTAATCACATTGATAATGATAAGCTGAGGATAGGTATTGATTATTGATTACTAAGAAAGTGTAATACATGTGCTAGTTATTTTCTACATATAATGCACAAAGAAAAAATGCTTCCTATTAAAAGGCTATTTTTGATATAAATTTTTCCTTGGAAAATAATTGGATATCTCAGAATAGACAAGAATCTCTTCTTTTAGTAGAAAGCTTTCCGAATTTCAGGGTGGAGGAAACATTGTCTACAAATGAGGTAAATGTAATGATAACCTTAAGAAGTTATAGTACAGAAGGAATAGCAGTGTTAAGACTTGTTTTAATATGATGATTACTGCCACTAACAAGCTCTATGAATTTACCCAGTCATTTCAAATCTCAAAGATTCAATCTCATCACTTATTAAATGCAAGTATAAACACTACATAGTATTTAAAAAATAGTACATCCATTAAAATGCCTGATATTGTTATTATTATTATTATTATTTGAGACGGAGTCTCACTCTGTCTCCCAGGCTGGATTGCAGTGGCACTCCATGCACTCTGCTCACTACAACTTCCACCTTCCGGGTTCAAGCGATTTTCCTCCCTCAGCCTCCCGAGTAGCTGGGATCACAGGTGCCCGCCACCATGCCCAGCTAATTTTTGTATTTTTAGTAGAGACGAGGTTTCATCATCTTGGCCAGGCTGGTCTCAAACTCCTGATCTCAGGGTGATCCACCCACCTCGGCCTCCCAGAGTGCTGGGATTACTGGTGTGAGCCACCACATCCAGCACCTGATACTATTTTTGATTCAACCTTCTCTATCTGCTTAAAAGAAATATGCTTACTGTTGCTGCTTCTGAGGAAGACAGTCTGCCTTATTTCACGTTTGGTCTTTCTCCTTTATATGTGACAGTGCAACATGCAAAGTTTATGGGCTTTATGTGAGTTCTCCATTCTTTGGATTGGTTAGACAATTTCCCTGAAAAGGAAAGGGTACCAAGAAAGGAATCCTCAAGTATCTGAAAAATGTATTGGTCCCTAGAATAATAAATGTTGCCCCAGGTCTATTGATTCTAAGGGGAAAGGCATAATGAAAAAGGTAGGTGTTTTATTTATTCAGAGGCCGTTAAAATGTTCTTTTAAAGTAAATTTTGTTATTATTCCCTAAGAACTTATATGTGGCCAGCCTTTCTAAACTGGTAGAAAGAATCATTCCCAATATATGGGTAAGTTATATTTTCCAATTAGTAATTTAAATATTTAAAGAGTAAAATTAATTTTAAGACTTTCTCACTGAATGATGCCCCCATCTATATGTCCTTCAAACATTTATTTCTTCCTCAACAAATCACAGATATTATAGCTGAAAGCCAATAATATTTTTAAATTAATAAACGTGTTGGCATTTATATTTGCTGTTTCCTGTGCATAAGCACTTTAAGCAAATCATTATTTAATCTTTCCAAAAGCTCTATTCAACAAATATTCTTTATTTGACTACTAGACAAGGTACTGTCCTGGGCACTAGGGTGTGCAATGATGGATAAACAATCAAACAAAAAATAATAAATAACTCATATAGTTTATTTGTTACATGGGAATGTGATTATTCACATTCTCCAGAGCAAGAAACAACAGGCTGACAGGGATTAAGTGTGTTCCAGGGAATTAGTGACTGAAACCATTTGAATCAAGATCTATGGTGACTTGAAAGCTCTTGCACCTTACTACTTCCTCACCATGTAAATCTAGTGTACCATAGAAATTCAACTAATTTTGATTGATTTTATTAATATTATTCATTTTGTGTTTTTAATTTTAAAACAAAACATTTATTTTTGTATTATACAGTCATTTCAGCCTCCTTAAAGGCAGAGACTATGACTTATTAAATTTGGATCTTCGAGTCCTGGAAAAAAAGCCTGGTGCATAGTAGGAGTTCAATAAATATTTACTGAATTTTTTTTTACCTTTGATGAAACCAAAAGCTTAAAGAGGTAGAGTGATTTGCGCAAAATTGTCCAACTAGATGTTGACCATCATATTCTATGACCTTACTATGTATATCTTTCATTTTCCTAATCTGCTGTTAATGCAATCCCTCCTTCTTTGTTTCTTGGGTTCCTCAGTCCCCTATTTATGTCCATGACCCATTAATTTCCACCCCTCCACATTCCTAATACTCAGCTCTCTCACTCACCTTGTTCCTCCTCCTCCTTGTACTTTCAGCTACCATCTCTTTAACGCCTCCACCTATGACACTCCACACCAGACCACAGTCACTCAAGGGTCAGCAGCTGTCACACAGCAGAAACAAAGATTTAAATTTATTAAAGTCATCCCCAGAGAGGTAAGAAGGTAGCGTCTGAAACCTATAGTACCTTACTTATGTCTTTTCTGTGGTGTGCATCATGTTTTGCCATTTAAATAAATAATTATTCATTTATATGGGTTTCTCACTGCCTCCTAGATTGCAATACAATTTATAGAGTGAGATCGTGTCTTACTTTTTGTCTATGCTTTGCAGCATATAGCAGAGTGGCTCATTCACAGTAACTGCTCAACAAATATTTGTTGACTATTCGATTTTCTTGTTTAAAAAGTTAGTGTTTGTGAATCTAAAAAGGTTCCCCTAACCCATCTAGTTTGGAATCATCAATCATTTTCTATTTCCTTATCTTAATAAATTTGGTTTTCCAAATCTCTGAAGGGCTAGTGACTTTCTTGTTTTTTCTTTCCAACAAAAAGGATAGCTAAAATGCCACTGTGTATCATTATTCATAATTTTTATATCTACAACTTAAGATTATTCATAGGTCTCTACCAGTCCCAAACTTTTTAAGTAAAGGTTTATTGTGATTTACTGCATCTTATAAATGATGCCCATCTCTACATGAGGGAAAAAACATTTCAGAGAAGTAATATTTTTAAGCCTTGTCAATTCTTCTGAATAAATGACAGAGAATAAAACCAAGGAAATAGTGAAAACATTGAAATAAATAGAAAGGATATAATGTATAAAACATTTGTTCCTAAAGCTCTATTTTCATATGATTTAGATAGCTGCTTAATTAATGAAAAGCTTAAGCTAAATATCTGTAAATTACAAGGTTAGCCAAAAAAAATTATTTATGTTATCTCTTAATGCTAACACCCATATTTTAAAATAAAATACACATAAAAAAGTGTTCCTAAACCTTCAGCTCTTTATATTTTAAAATTCTTGAATGCATTATCCTAAAGCACATGCAAAAAGAGATGACAAGAAAACCCTTAAGTCTAACCTCTAAAGAATAGACGATCTAATTAAAATCAAGACATTCATACAAACATGGCAAGAGACATATTGGTTATGCATTTATCAAATTGTAAAAAATAAAATGATTAATAATGTACATGTTTCTCAATATTTTATAAATGAGTGCACTCTATTTATTTCAAGACATCACTGTACTATGCTCAAGTCCATGAAGCTCTACTCAACAATTGCTGTTGAATCTAGTTCAAACACTCAACTGATTATCTTCCTTTTTCATCCAACCATGCAGACCTGCCAATTTGATGAGCAGCCACAACCTCTTTTAGCCAACCATAAGGAATGTGAATCAGTCAGAAATGATTCTGATTGATCAAATATTGTTTTTACAAACCAGGATTCATTAAATAATTATTTCCCTTTACTATTTTATTTATTTCATAACAAATTTTGGAGCAGATTTGTTGTGAACTTTAAATCATCTTCCTTATCATACTAAATTCAATACATTCCTTGAAATATATAAGATTACTTCTTGATTTCCGAGTGATGGTAATACTCATTAGTTATCTGAGGGAATTTGGTTGAAGTATCTAACAACTTTATATCTTAGTTTTAAAATCAGTTAGTAAGAGAGACATGAATAAGACTATTCCCAGTATCCCTTTCAGCCCTAGATTTCTATTACTTAATTTCTGTTATTTGCTCATGATCTATTCTCAAGAGCTACTCAATGAAAGAAAAAAGACCTGAAATAATGGAATTTCTAGGCCACATGTTTGTTAAAGGTTAGAGGAATAAAAGTCTTATTCTTAGTTATTGTGGGAAACCCAACGTACTTTATGTAGTAATATCACTTTTTCAGAAAATGTATTCAGTCAACTGAGTACCCAATTAATTAGTTTTCACACTGTGCCATTTGTAGATCCTCTACCATTCAATTATTTCAAAGATTTTCAGCCTTCATAGGCATATTGACACTTTTTCTTAGCACCTGGATGCTGTACTGTACCCTTTATATATCATGATGAAGGAAGGGCAATTGATTGTTATGATTATGTGGTCCAGAATTGATTCAGGGCTGAGTTTTGTTGCTCTTGTGTCCTGAAATATCTAAGGAAGAAAAAATCTCTATAGCAAACTAAGGAATCAAATGACCTCTAAGGATTTTCACTGTTCTATAATTCTATGAGTAGCTGCCTAGAAATGGGAAACCCTGCCCCATTTTCCCCAGGACACTAAAACAGTAGGTGTGATTATTTCAGGAAATCAGGTGATAGATTTGAGGTTAAACAACAATCCGCAGTGTTTTTTCACATGTCTACCCTAGGAAACTAAAACCGAAAGCAAGGCAGCCAAATAGGTCAAATAAATTAAACTAAATCTATAAAAAGAGACTTAGGCTTCCAGGTTTCCAAGTTAATTTTTTTCCAAGTTAATTTATTTGAATAAATATCACAGGGAGGAAAACCAAGAAAAAGGAAGACAGAAAATAACAAAGCAAATACCCTTTTAGTTGAAAAGATTGTTCTGAAGATTATATGAAGTGTGCTGTCATGAGCCTTAAATAAAAAGAATATATCAAGTATATGTTTTACAGGACCTGAGCCAAATGAGGAGTATGTTTGGTTGCACCCATATTCTAGTCACAGAGCATAGTACTGCTCAAATTTACAACCCAGGGACAAGCTTGGCCCAATAGACTATATTTACACCGAAATATATTTAAAACTTAATTTTAATACTTTTGATCTAATACTGAACTTATCATACATATTATTTAATAACTTTCTCTTGGATCTGTGGTGATCAAATGATCCAAAATCTTAAATATAAGATCAAGTATTTAATATTAAATATACTTGAGAATATAATTATGGCAAATATCCAGAACAGAAATCTTATGAAAAGAAGACAAGATCTACCTTTTCTGTGCATCAGACTTTGTTGAAATCAGGGTTTAGGGTCAGAAAAGGGTATAAAGGATAAGACATTCAATCTTTCTGAAGAAAATTTTTATGAATTATCAGGTAGTAAAGCAATGATCAGGGATGGTATTTTTCATAAAACATCAAGGCTCTTCCATAAAGGGATTGTTTGGAGGTAAAATTAAATATTTGTGGATTTTTAAATATTGGTTTATGTATTGTTCCTCTGACACACTATTTTATTTATTACTTGGTTCATTTCTTATATAAAATCCCATGTCATCTGGCACTTACTAGCCTTTGACAGTAGCCATGGTCCTGCCAGGTTCAGTATTTCATGCTAGCTTTGCTGTTTTCTCAAATGAGCCTATATTTTTTATCATTGACTTCCCAGAATCCAACACAAGACTCGTCATATTACAGCTACTCAATACTTTTTTATTTAGTTGAATCTATCACTTTGATAAAGTTTTTATATTGCACTTAGAAATTTGTGAAGTAGTCACTAAAAGCAGTTCAGTGATCCAAGCAGTGTAGTCAAAAATCTGAAAATTTCTGATAACTCTGATCCAAAAAATTTTTGTAAGTAAACAACAAAGTATACCCATGTCCTTAAAACGGAAGTGACTGGCATCCATTGGTTGACATTATTTTCTACCAAATATAACTAATCTTGAAGGTGGATGGACAATTACCCATGTGCAAGAGTGCATTAAACAAAGTTCAAACTGGTTGATTTCTTGTAGGGACACTTTTCAACCTGAGATAAAAGATAAATAGCTTATTAAAATTTCATCAAGAAATATACAGTGGGACTATTAGTATTTATAATGTTTTTAAAGTTGTCTGCATTAGAGAATATTCAATAATTACACTGTAGATTTGAGAGCATTTCTTTGATAACAATTATATTTAGAATTGCTTCTTCTGTTCCCGTTGCCTTTTGCACATATCTGAGCTACAGAAATATTTACATTGTATGTATCTACTTCTCAGGTTTGCTTCTTTATTTAATATTCAGATTGAGAATCTGAACATTTCTTGCCTCTGAACAATCAATCTAAATAAAAGGATTCAATGAAAATTCTTCTAGGATATAAGATAAAATTATAACTTTGATGCTCCATGTTTACTTGACCTTTTTGTTATGAATTCTCAAATATTTTATGTAAGTGAGCTTTTTCTTTCATTCTTCCAAATTAGCACAATTAAACCTATATTGAGTCAAGATTTCTTCAATTATAAGCATTAACTTGAAAATGGGATTACACATGTAGCCATTTTTTGAGATTTTATAATTCGTTGGTTACAAACATTAAACAAATGTTTCCAGTAATTGCAGTTAACCCTGCCGTTTCACCATTGGATAGTAGTTTCCCTTAATAAGAGCTGATTTTATTTGCATAACTTTTCAGTGATTCTTGGATTTTTTAGAGGAGTCTCATTCTAGCTCTTAAAAGCTCATTCCTATTCATTTTCAAAAACCTTTCTCATACTTTATCTAAAGCCCATCTCCTCTCCCTTAATATCAGACTAGACTTGTGGCTCTGGTGAACGTAAGTTCTAGGTATTCTCACTCTCTTTCTCCAACTTCCTATACTAGTTCCTCTAGGTCTGGATTGGTTGGAATGAAGAAGAAGGTCTGAGACACTTCGTTAGTTGACCTACCATGATCAAGTTGCAGTCTTCTTTTTAGTTGGCTGTCATTTCCATCTTTGATTATGGTATATGGGTTTAGTGTATATAGTTAATGGCTTCAATGGGCCTCGGTGAAGTGGGGCTGCCACAAATGAAGCTCATCTAGATACATATCGTCCCCAAGGGTGCTAAACCATATCCTTGGCTAGAGTTTTCTGGAAATTAACACCACTTTTCTCTTATGCATACACTTTTGGTCCCATCTGTAGTATTCCCAGGAAAGAAAATGGTCCCAAACTCACGTACAGCTTACACCCAGTCAGTGTAGAGTTTCCCTGTGAATAAATAAAACTTCGTAAATCTATGGAACTGGGAACCAAGTGCCTTATTTTCTAGCAGCCATGAGCTGTCATCATTTGTCCTTGATTCTCATTTTTCTCATTTTAATTTCACAAGAGAAGATCAGAAAATGTCAGTTTCACTCTTTGCAGAAATCTCTAAATTTTGTGATCTCTCTCTCACTCTCTTAATTCCTGAAAGGGGATGAAATATTCTCTTTGTAGATATAGAATAAACCCAAAAGGCTCCCTTTTCTTTTTAACCCTTTTGCTAAATTGACTATAATCTATGAGGGATGTAGTGATGATTTTGTAGACTGCTGCTTTTCAGCAAACTTAACATGGCTTCATTGAAAACACACTACACACAGACACAGACACACATACATACACACATGCACACACACACACACACACACACACACACACACACACACACTTTTCTTGGGACTCTCAGTTTCAAGATTCTACCATTTCCAAACTTACTCTCTAGCACCTCCATACCTTAGGTTCATCAGTTACTGTCATCTGCTTTAGTCACTTTATTTCCATGATTGTAAATATTTGAAATTGAATTGACTTGGAAAATTAACTTGTGTAGCTACAGATGAAGAATATTAACACATTTTTGACATTTTGTATTATTTTTCTAAGTCTATGACCCTGACACTTAATGGAGAACTATTGCCAACAGTACAATGATTAGTTCAGGGTGTGTCAAAATAGATTTTTGTACACATTTCTCCAAAGAAAGATAATGGTTAGATATTATATTAAATAATAAGGTTATTAAAATCCAAACACATGATGGAACAGGCTGAGAAATCAGCTCCAATTATTATGTTATTTCAACATAACAACATATTCTAACTTAAAAGCAAAGACATAACATATCATCTGAATTCATAGTGTTTTCACAAGTTAAAGCCGACCCATAGTGAAGGCAGGCTTTATATTCTACATGTGGTCACTGCCATCCTACCTAGTATGATTATGATTTCTCCTTTTATTTATTTGTATAGAATAAAACTCACTCTTTTTGGTATTCAGTTCTATAAACTTTGACACAGACAACTGAGTTACAACCACCACAACATGATATAGAAGAGTTCTCCCACCTTCTAATGCATTGTACTCCGTGTCTCCTCTTCCCACCTAATGGCAAATACTAATTTGTTTTCTGTTTCTATAATATGACCTTGTTCAGAATGTCATATAAATAACATAACATAGTGTATAATTCTGCCTTTTGAGTATGGATTCTTCTACTTAGCATAACATATTTGAGATTCATCCCTTTTGTATATATCACTACATTATTCCTTTTTAGTGCTATGTAGTATTTCATCCTATGGACCAGAATTTGTTTATCTATTGAACAATGAAGGATATTTAGATTGTCTTCAGTTTGGAGAAATTATGAATAAAGATGCTATAAACATCTGTGTTCAGTTTTTACATCAACATAAATTTTCATTGCTCTTTGGTTGGGATTGCTGGGTCATTTAGAAAACATATGTTTAACTTTATAGGCAATTGCCTAAATATTTTCCAAAGTGACTTTAACATATTGCCTTCTCACCAGGAACATATGAGAATTATAGTTGTTCTGACCCGTGAAATAACTTCATGTCATCAATCTTTTTCAATTTTAGCCATTCCATAGGTATACACTTGTATCTCATCACAGTTTCATGTACATTTGTCCCAGTGACTAACTATACTGAGCATCTTTCCATGCGCTCATTTATCATCTGCATATTGTCTTTGGTGAATTGTCCAAATATTTGCCCATTTAAACAATGATGTTACTTATTTTCTTATTATTGCATTTTAAAAGCTCTTTATATATTCTAGGTACACATTCTTTGTCAGATATAGATAGATAGATAGATAGATACACACACATATATACATATATGTATATATATACATATATATATATATAAACATGTTCTCAATTCTGTGGCTTGTTTTTCATTCCTTTATTTCAAGTGTCTTTTGCAGATAAGTTTTTAATTTTGATAAAATTAAATTTCTTATTTCAAAACAATATCGTGATTTTGGTTTTTTATTTATCTTGTAGCTATGCTTAACGTACGATAACATTTTCACACTTAGGAATGTATGTTGTAACAACTTAAATGAAAAAATATAAAAACAAATTTTATAATAAGTAACAATGTTTTAAAGTAGTCCAAACAAATAATTGTGGATATAGTCAAGATGAGTTGCTTTGAAGATGATTGTGGCATCATAAAATGTTTTTCAGGGTAAACCATGTAGCCTCCCTTCCTTCATTTGGAAATAGTCAAGGGATATAAGTAATAATCCACAATACACTTGCTTAAAAAAAGCCTGGATAAACCTAATGTTCTTCAAAGCCTCCACTTGAAATTTTAAAAAAAAGTTCTGTCTTGACTATATTTTTTCAACAATTGTTATATGTAATGCCTTATTTTATTTATTGTTACAGAGAAGATAGTTTTTACTACATCATCTTAAGAGTACATAAAGACTTTTATCATGGGACATACTGATTGGAATTGTATTAGTATATCTCAAAAGTATGCATTTATTGCACAGTTACCATAATCAGGGCACTTTGTAAGGAAACATAGGAGATCCCATGGCTTAACTAGATATTGGCTAGGGGATATTTGAAAGGAACTTCAATGTGGGAAACCAAAACAGATGGAGAAGTGTGAAAAAAAAAAGGTTGTTAGTGGGAAAATATGATATACATAACAAAAAAGGTGAAAATAACTAATGGATTATAATAATAGCATATTGTACATGAATAGACAGAATGAAATATGCCACTTATTAACATGTTTTGGATTGAATGTAAATCACTATCATGTTATCAAGGAGTAGATAAGTATATTTCATGATTATGTTTTGGTGAGCCCTTATCTCATAATTGTGTGTTGGGAATTTTCATTATCAAAATATTTTGAGATACCAGAGGGAATAATGAATCAAAAAGAAAGATTAAAGAGTAATAAAATTTGATTTTTGATTATGGGTTTCAAAATTAAATACACCTAAGTGGGTGAAATATAGCTGCTTAGGTAAAAGATTAAACTATCAAAACAAAGAGGAGTATTTGTTTTTTCATCTCCATAAGATTGCATAATCAGCAGAGATAATTCATCAATCATTCTGGATACCCTAGAAACTCAAAAAATTCTAAATTTATATAATAAAAAGTAATTAGAAGAATATACGTTGTATTAGAGTAAAATACACTTAATTTATCAGGTGACTTTTTTTTTATCGCCCTAAGGCTTTATCAATGCCTTGTGAGCCCTTTAAGCTTCTTATAAAACGTACATTTAAACTTTTCCTCTTCTGATGGGCAATCTGTTCTCATCTCTAAAGAGTAAATTAATTTTAATGCCCTGAGTCCTGAAATTATGATTAAGGATTACTGAATAAATAGTGTGCTTAGTAGAATTCAAAGACATGTTCCTTATAATTAAAAACTAGTTGGTCAATAATTACTGAGTTCTGAGGGAGAGTAATTCTAATGGGAGGGTTGGTAGGAATGTTAGAAATTAAAAGCCTATTGGGAAGGAGAATTACATAAATTTTTTCACCTCCACACATGGAAGAATATTCCTGTTGCTATAACATGATATATCAGAGAACTGTCATTTGAGTTTACAGGGAAAACAGAAAAAATTCTTAATTAAAATAAATTAATGCCAAACATGTGAATTATGCTTATTTCTGACTAGAATACCTATGTATTTTCTATTAATACGATATCATTATAGAAAGGTTATTGAAAGTCTACCTACCAAGTATTAAATGACTTGCTATTGAATCAGCATTTTTTAGTCAAAATTTTAAATTTAATTTTTATTTTTATATTACAGGTTACATTTACTTATGCATATTAATTATTTGGACATTGTTCATGAGATACAGCAAAACTTATTTTTTTCATGTTTATCCCTGTCTTGGACTTTCTGATACTGGCTGTGATTCAACATGTATGTCTTAAGGATACTCAAAGTTAATGCCCCAGTATGGAAAGTCACCGTCCAAATTTACATAATAATAGACTCTAAACATGCATGATATTTATAATTATTTTCATTGAGATAATATAAAATCAAAATCATAAAATCTGTATTATTTTTGTTTTAGAGTAATAATATATATAGTTTTGAGACATGGTCTCACTCTATTGCCCAGTTTGGTGTTCAGTAGAGGGATTATAGCTCACTATAACCTCATACTACTGGGCTCAAGTGAACCTCCCACCTCAGCCTCTTAAGTAGCTGAGACTACAGGTGTATACTGCAATGTCTGGTTATTTATTTATTCATTTATTTGGTAGAGATGGGGTCTTGCTGTGTTGTCCAGGCTGGTCTCAAACTCCTGGTCTCCAGTAATCCTCCCATCTTGGTCCCTTAAACATCTTGGTTACAAGTGTGAACCACTGTGCCCAGCCTAGAATAATAACATTATTAAAATTTCATTAAATTTGAGTCAATAAAAATATAGGTTGAATCAAACTGAAGCAATAAAGTATTAAACTTTGATTTCATCTGCTGTTTCTACCATTGTTGTAATGATGTAGCACTTTTTTACCCAGCCACAGACTCTGGAAGGGGAATAAGTGGGAGTTCGAGAATGGTAAGGCTAAATAAGTCACAGCAGAAATCAGGAATATGTCTTTCTCTTACTATATCTTATCTAATTTTGGAAACCCCCTAAATATTTCCATTCCCTACTCTTTCTGCTACCTATTAATGACAATGTCAGAAGTAAAGAGTGACCAGTTGGCGCCCACTGAAATCATCATTAGTCTTGACAGTGACTACTAATATCTTTATTAACAGTGCTGGACAATGAGAAAGGCACTAATAGCTACCTGGGGTGTTGTGTTCTGGAGATGCCAAAGGTGAAAGTTCTAACCTTTTTGCTTCAGAAATTGTCAGAAATTCTGACACTACTTTGTTTTTTCAAAATTGCATAAAATGCACACTGCAATGTGTAAAAACCATTTTTTCCCCTTACTTTTGTTGTTTACAGGCTTCTTGATTTAAGATTAATTCATGACTTCAGGGGATTAACACAGGAAGATCTAACAGGCCCTGTGATGCACTGACACCTTTCTAAAAGTGTGTTTCTTTAGACATGATTTTTCAACTACACTTGTGCATCTACAGTCTACTTTAGGTGATGTAGCCCAAGAGATCCTTTATTCCTTTATGGAAAAATAATGAGGCTGAAGATTGGGCAGGAAGACATGGCACTAATCCCCATATGTATCTAGACATGACTAAACCCTGGTAAATATGTAGATTAGAATCAATCTGACATGCCATTGCAATGAGTTTCTTTTCCAAGACCATTTACTTGATATTTTAAACATCAAACATTTAATCTATCTTGAAAAATGGCAATGTAATTTCCATAAATTTAATTTGCAAGGTAGAACCTTTTCAAGAGCGTTATCAGGCCGACTAGATGAGAATTATATGATCACAGAAATCCACACTGAAACTTGAAGGGCCAACTGTCACACATGCACTATTCTAGACTTTTCAGACCATCTGGATGTAATTCTTAAGTATTCATCTGCAACTGCAATTTTTGTTATGGTTTAAGGTCAACTTTAAGACCTAAGCTGGCCAGGCATGGTGGCTCATGCCTGTAATCCCAGCACTTTGGGAGGCTGAGGCAGGCGGATCACGAGGTCAAGAGATCAAGATCATCCTGGCTAACATGGTGAAACTCCATCTCTACTAAAAATACAAACATTAGCTGGGCGTGGTGGCTTACGCCTGTAGTCCTAGCTACTCAGGAGTCTGAGGCAGGAGAATCACTTGAACGTGAGAGGTGGAGGTTGCAGTGAGCCCAGATCACGCCACCGCACTCCAGCCTGGCAACAGAGTGAGACTGTCAAAAAAAAAAAAAACAAAAACAAACAAACAAACAAACAAAACCTGAGCCAAGATCTAACATGTATTAATCTGGAGATGGATCAATCTTTTTTAATGAAATTGTAAAGATTACATATATGGAATAAAACATTGTCTTTTTGATACTTAAGTGATACATAAATATGGAGTTAAAAGCCTGTTAAATATTAAAGCTCTATTGTCTGGAAATAGCTTATATATCATTAGATAAATCCAGAGGTTCTTTGTAGACTGGTACACAAATAAGAATGAAGACAATTTTCTTCCTCTGATTTTTCACGTGAAGTTTGTAGAGAAGAACTTGGCTTTGTATCACAGAAAAAACCTCAGATATCTGAACAATATTGGTGATAACTGGGAGAAAAATATCTGAGAACCAGTATCTCATTTACACAAAATTGTGTAAATGAGAATGCAGCTGGTAAGTGTTTCAAGAATGATTTCAATAATGTTTCAAGAATGATTCTAAGAGGTTATAACAATTACACACATTCAAAATTTAGATGCCATTTAAGATATCTGTAACAAAATACATTTCCTTAGAATTGTCACTAAGTGCTTGATACTGTGTTGTTTCATATGGAATGACCTAGCACTAATAGCTAAAATATGCACATAAAGCAAATGTTGGCTTAAAAATGATAGAAGAGATACATTTCATATTACATTAGAAATACTTTACCTGAGTTCAGCTTTTGTTTTTAGTGGATACCTGTGATAAATAAATTTGAAACAATTCTGCTTCAAGATTAGATGAGATGGCTATTTATCTCCAAAGAAAATAAATATTAATTAAAATTATCATTTATTATTTAAAATTTTATTTACTTATACCCTTAAAGTTGAATATTTTATTTTCCACCTTAATTCCAGTCTATAACTGCAAGGAATATTTGTTTTAGTGTTACAGTTTAATCATTTAAAACCTGAAATATATTTGCAAGGCTACTCAAAGTATGGTGTTGGACTGGTTACTCATCCCAAATTTTGTTACCAGTCTATGACCCGTTAAAGAACTTATGGTAAAATGTAAAGCAACATAGTCACTCAGCTCATTGTTTAGTTTATTAGAACTTTCTTTCGCTTTACTTAACAAGATATTCTTGATGAAGGAAGCAGTGCATCCATTTACATACTACTTCTAACTTCTTATCTCTTCGTAAGTTCTGCACTTCCAGTGGAACCGCATGTGTTCTGTTCACTTTTCCCCCTACTTCACTTACTTCAGTAGTGGTGTACTTCCCTTTGACGACTTGCAAGAAAGCTTGACTTCTACATAGACTTCATTTCTTATTATTTCTAGTAGATTTCTCCTTTTCAGTATGCTTTGATATATGGTCTATAGAGTAAAGTTTGGAATTCAAAAGCACCATTTCTTCTTAGGGGCTCTTAGCTTCTTTTCATGTGGTATGATAATGAGACTTTGATTTTATTCAGTATGCCGTTCATACTAGCTTAGCCACTACATTTCTCATAATTTATTTTTGAAATTTACTATTGATATAAAGAACTACTGCTGTAGTACCCTAAAATGATCTTGAAAGCTTAAAATAATTTGTCTGTGGTTAAATAAAAATAAGAGACATATGGGATAAATGAGCCTTCAATACAGTTTTATGCATATAAAAGCGTAGGAGCATTCTCTTGGATCAGAGTTCTGCCAAAACCAAGCTCATGAAGGCAAACTTGATTTGTAGCATGTTTCTGGTTTTATATGATTATTTATTCTTGTCATAGATGATGGAGCAATAGATGTGAGCAAACCTAGTCACTAGAATTACTGTGGACAATGAGCCTAAAGAAATTAATTTAAAAAATAACAAAACTTGAAGCACTAGATAATATATCCAGCATTTCCTCCTTATTTATACATATTACATGTATACAAATGCAGAAATGCATTGTACAGATATAAGAAATGTATTTGTGTATTTATTATTTTGCTTTCAATTTTTGTAAGTAAAAACTGTATATAGAGTCAATTTTGTTCCTATATCAGAGTATCCTTTCAAAAGATTTATCATGAAGTGAATTATTTGCATAATTTTTCTGATTTTTTCACACAAATTTCAGAATTAGGAAAAGAAACTAAATAAATCAGGCTATCCTATCTCTATATAATAGGATATTTGGGTTATGTTGCTTTCATTTTACATGAATATAGAACAAGGGAATAAACCAGTTCTATAATTGATTCTTATATCCAATGCTTCCAACTATTATTGAAGACAATGAGTCCCATGGTAAGAAAGCTTGACTGTAGTATAGCCATTTAATGTGTACACACACATGCACATGCACCCACACACACACAGAGACACACACTCCCAGCAGTAATTACTTCCTATTGTTGAGATAATTTCTTCCTGTCTAAACAGAAGCTGCTGACCTAGTGAAAAATTTTATTGGTTAGATGATTATATTCCCATATATACACACATATACAGTCATCAAACCATAGCAGATCCTCTTATTTCATATAGTTTTTAAGAAAATGGAGACTAAGAATTCCAAAAGACAATAAACCATTTAGTTAATTTTATGACATATCTGGTTTTAGCATTTGTAGCTTCAATAAAACATATGTTACACCCCTAATAAAACCTGAGTAATGCTGTATCTGTCACCTCTTTCTGCACTTGGAAGTAGTGCACAAGTTATTACCTCGAGAACAGTTGTTCCTGTCTCCTGTGCAGATCCATATCATTCTCAAATTTGCATTCTGATAGAGAAGCAACAAATGTTACTTAAATCTCATGAAGTGTGCTAATTATGCCAAGCTCCGTGAAATTATGGGTGAGAGAGCCAAAAGGAATTCTACAGCTGTATCTTGGGTCTCTTGAGCATATCTTGTCAGATAAATGTCTTTATTACTTATATGATAACCTTAAAATTGCTTTTTTCCCCTAAGTGGTATTCCCTAAACCTCAGTGATATGGAAATTCTCACACAAGGCTAAATAGCAAATACACTTTGTGTTATTTATACAAATAATGGTGATATCTTTAGAGAAACAAGTTGAAATTCACTTTTGAAACTGAATTGAACACGTTTTATCAGTTTTACTTCATTATAAATATTTTCTCTTGTTTTCTTTGCACAGGGTCTGAAAGATAGAGAAGGAAATAGGAAATAATCTTATATCCTTTCCCTCTAATTATAAAAGGAAGAGACTTTGGAGCATGACTGTGTACATGCCCATCTCTGGCCTCTACTGGAAGAATTGAGGATGGTCTCCTCATATATGCAAAGCATGGGAATGTAGAAGTATTTGCCACCAAGGTTTTCTAGATTACATGTACCCCAAAAAGCACAACTATATGTGGGTAGGGAGCATTTAATATGATTCTTCTTCCTCTTAGTTAAAAAAAACTTAAAGTGGAAAAAAAAAACACATATGAAAGTGCAGCTTTTAACTGGTACCATTTCCTCTTTCTTTTTGTTTAAATCATATCTGGCCCCGTATGGGAGTGTAAGATAGTTCTGGGCTCAGTTTCCAGAATTAGACAGCCTGCTTGGGTTTGAATCCCTGCTCAGTCACTTGCTGGCTGTGAGAACTTGGACAAATTAATTAACGTTTCTATGTCTCAGTCTCTTCTACTGTAATTAGAATGATAATAATAGTTACTTCATATGGTTGCTGTGAGAATTAGAAGCATTAATATATGTAATGAGCTTAGACCAGGGCTTGGCACATAGCAGCCACTGTTGAAATGTTATCATTGTTATTACAAGAATCTTGGAGCATCAGTTCTGTACAGAAGAAATGGAAATGTTCCTATTTATTATATCCCAAATGTTCTCATGTATTAAGCGTACAGTTTAATCTCTGAGAGACTGTCATTGTCAGAGAGTGAGCTCAACAGAGAATTTCTTACTGAGAAAGGCATTCCTATGCAAAATATTAAATTTTATTTCCCCAATAGGGGCCATTCTCCACCCTCAGAAAGCAGCAACTCGGAGAAAGTCACCCTGTGACTGGGAAAATCTCAATCCATTGGAAATCCATATCACATGTCAGACCCATCGAAGAGACAAATCTAATCCTTTTGGCTGAAAAATAGCTTGCAGCAGCCGGTTGTCCTTAGTTTACTAATATTTGGAAGAATGGTTTGGTTTGGCAATCAATGTCCTAGAGCCACCCAAGACCTTGATATTATCATTTTTCTTTGAAGCCATAAAGAGGATTACTGCAGAAGCAGATAGTCTGTAATTTTATACAATAACTTGCAGTTTTACTTGTCACCAAGTTTATTGTGCTGGAAGCACACCGTCTCTGTTTTCTAAAGATCCTTGTTGAAATTTAATTACTTGGAGTCGATTTTTTAAGTCTCAGATTTTATATATGCTTGCTAACCAAGATTTCATTTACAATAAAAATGTGTGCCCTTTAAAATAAAAAGTTATAACAAAAAGTATATACTGCACCAGTTAATACTTTATTATTTACCAAGTGCTTTTAAAAACATCATTCATTTGGTTTTAAAAATAAGCCTGCAAGATAACAAGAACAGTGTTTTTCAGCCCTTTTTAATGGATGTGGATCTTATTTTACAAGATGCCCTCACTTGTTTAAGTTCACAAAGCCAGCATGTGGGAGAACAAAGTCTTGAACCCAAACTGCCACCAAATTCAGTATTAACTATATGAGATATTTGAGAGAGAGAGCACTTAAAGATAAACTGAAAATCATCATTTCTTTTTTTCTTATTATACTTTAAGTTTTAGGGTACATGTGCACATTGTGCAGGTTAGTTACATATGTATACATGTGCCATGCTGGTGCACTGCACCCACTAACTCGTCATCTAGCATTAGGTATATCTCCCAATGCTATCCCTCCCCCCTCCCCCAACCCCACCACGGTCCCCAGAGTGTGATATTCCCCTTCCTGTGTCCATGTGATCTCATTGTTCAATTCCCACCTATGAGTGAGAATATGCGGTGTTTGGTTTTTTGTTCTTGCGATAGTTTACTGAGAATGATGATTTCCAATTTCATCCATGTCCCTACAAAGGACATGAACTCATCATTTTTTATGGCTGCATAGTATTCCATGGTGTATATGTGCCACATTTTCTTAATCCAGTCTATCATTGTTGGACATTTGGGTTGGTTCCAGCTCATCATCCCTGGCCATCAGAGAAATGCAAATCAAAACCACAATGAGATACCATCTCACACCAGTTAGAATGGCAATCATTAAAATGTCAGGAAACAACAGGTGCTGGCGAGGATGTGGAGAAATAGGAACACTTTTACACTGCTGGTGGGACTGTAAACTAGTTCAACCATTGTGGAAGTCAGTGTGGCGATTCCTCAGGGATCTAGAACTAGAAATACCATTTGACCCAGCCATCCCATTACTGGGTATATACCCAAAGGAATATAAATCTTGCTGCTATAAAGACACATGCACACGTATGAAAATCATCATTTCTTGATGGCTGTTCTAAAAATCTTAGTCCATTTTAGATATCACAGATACTAGAATTAGGTTATTTTAATTTTAAAAATGGATCCACATAATGCCAATAATTTAAAACTTATTAGTTTTAGAAGATCTCAAAATTACAACAATATTTTAGAGAACAAAGTGAATTAAAACAATGTAGTGATTGCATGATAGATTTCTTACTAATAATTTTCCAAGGACATTACATTTTCCTTAAAGAAGATCAAAAAGTGGGTGAAGGACATGAACAGACACTTCTCAAAAGAAGACATTTATGCAGCCAAAAGACACATGAAAAAATGCTCACCATCACTGGCCATCAGAGAAATGCAAATCAAAACCACAATGAGATATCATCTCACACCAGTTAGAATGGCAATCATTAAAAAGTCAGGAAACAACAGGTGCTGGAGAGGATGTGGAGAAATAGGAACACTTTTACACTGTTGGTGGGACTGTAAACTAGTTCAACCATTGTGGAAGTCAGTGTGGTGATTCCTCAGGGATCTAGAACTAGAAATACCATTTGACCCAGCCATCCCATTACTGGGTACATACCCAAAGGATTATAAATCATGCTGCTATAAAGACACATGCACATGTATGTTTATTGTGGCACTATTCACAATAGCAAAGACTTCGAACCAACCCAAATGTCCAACAATGATAGAATGGATTAAGAAAATGTGGCGCATATACACTATGCAGCCATAAAAATGATGAGTTCATGTCCTTTGTAGGGACATGGATGAAATTGGAAATCATCATTCTCAGTAAACTATCGCAAGAACAAAAAACCAAACACCGCATATTCTCACTCATAGGTGGGAATTGAACAATGAGAACACATGGACACAGGAAGGGGAACATCACACTCTGGGGACTGTTGTGGGGTGAGGGGAGGGGGGAGGGATAGCATTGGGAGATATACCTAATGCTGGATGACGAGTTAGTGGGTGCAGCGCACCAGCATGTCACATGTATACATATGTAACTAACCTGCACATTGTGCACATGTACCCTAAAACTTAAAGTATATAATAATAATAAATAAAAAAGAAGATCACTTAAAGTAAAAAAGAGATATGTTCCTTTTAAAATCACAGTTATTCAGTTTCAATAGCATTTTGTCAGATTATGAGCATAAACAATATAAAGAATTTTAAATAATCAACTCATTTTATAAGATGTAAAAACACATTTATTTGTGATTGTAGGAAGTCCTATAAAATAAATATTTAATGCTGAAGATGCTAAAGATTTGCCCTTTTATGAAAATGTAAAAGACTTACAACAGAAAGAGGAAAGAAAATACAGGTTATAATAAACCAGAATACTCTAAATGTACCTAAACTAAGAGAGAGAATATCATTTCCAGGAGAAATGGATGTAACTAGCTTTCTGTCAGAAAAAAAAAAAAAAAAAAAAAAAAAACTACACATGGCTCAGTTTCTGATTACTCTTCTCCTTTTGGTAATACAAACTAAAATTTCCATAGCAAGCTTCTAAACAAAAATTTATCAACAAGTAACGATATTATTTCTCATAGTGTTTAAACCCACAAACACTTTTCATTCATTCATTCTTCCATTATTTATTGAGAATCTCTTATATGGAGATGTTCTGCTGGTATTCAAGAAAAATAGATAGATAAGTAAAGTCATAGAACATGAACACACCAGGATAGAGAGTGGCACAGACAGATGAAGCATATAAAACTAAGTACATGTAAAGACACAGAGATAACAGCATGTTGAAAGTACAAAGAACACGAGTACTTAAAATCCTAGGGGAAGAGCTCAAAGTTTACTGAAGACATTGTCATTAGAACAGAATTTGAAAGCCTGAATAAGAATTACAGAGGTCAAAGGAGAAGCAATGCTGACAGATGGGGACATTTCAAGCTAGCCTAAGCAAAAACATGGAAAAATGAATAATTTCAAATTTTACCTTCATGCTATTTGCAAAGAATTAAGACCAATATTGTCTAGCAGGAGAATGAGATGAATGGCATGTAATGACAATGTAGAACAGTGGAGGTAGATCATGAGGGATTTTATTATACAAATATATAATGGAAAGACAGAAGGAAAATAAAGAATTTTAATGAACATCAAAAATATAATATTATTTTGGATTTAAGGTGAGTACTTTGGTAGTTATTGACAAGGTGGATATGAAAGGAATAAAACTGACGGTAGATGGGAATGCAGGGTAAAAGCAGTTGAAATACAGTCATCTTGAATGGGACTGTGGCGGTCGAGATAGTATGAGGAAACTGATTCAGGAAGTATTTAGCATTTCATACCAATGACAAATTGTTAAAATGTGAGAGAAGAGTGCTAAACCGTGGATGAATTTTAGTTTTCTAGTCTGGGGAGAGTAGAGGTGTTCTTATTGACGCCTACTTTAGAAAATCCACAAAACGAACCTAACGCAGGGAATGATATGATGTGTACTTGTTAAGGATTTGTGGTATCTCTGAGATAATCCTGAAGGACTGCAGTCAGCTCCTCTATGTGTGAGTCCAAATTTTTTAAGATACATTGAGAATGGAGTTTGGGACATAGTGTCATCAGCATCTACAACAGAAATTTTATAGGTATCTTCCTAGGAGGTCTGAATGAGAATCACCTACAGTGCTTATTAAACATGCAGAATTCAAGAACATCTCACCCAGAGATTCTGATACAGTAGTCCTGGAAGAGAGCTTGGTAGTTCTAAGTAACAGAGATGCCTCAGGAAGATAAGATAGAGTGAAATGAGACTGAGAATGACAATACCACTGGTATGCACTAACATTTAAAGAAAAATAATAAATTAGAAAACAGAAAAGAAAAGAATTCTAGGCTGGAGGTTCATAAAATAGATCATTTAGATTTTTAAGGGTGAGTGTGTCTCTGTGTTTATGCTTATGTACAGAAAACATATTTACACTTTGTAGATTATCCTATATAGTCCAATGGACATACATATATGATATAAAGATATACAAGACTATATAGTATAAAGGCATTTTATGTAATTTGTACAGACCTTTTGTAAGAGTGAAAAATTACATTTTCATTAGCTTCTGCACTTAAAGATTAGATTTCCCCTTGGACAACAAAGTATTTTCTTTCCTAATAAAGTGATTTGTATTTATTTAAGTTCTGAGTGAGTGGAATATTTTGAGGCACAAATGTGAAATGCCATTTCAAAGTGTGAGATTCTTAGATTCCTTTTTTAAAAATAATGTAAGTAGGTAATGGGAATGTTCTTATTCTTAAATATTCTCATGGTTGACTGACATAAAATTTCCCCAATCTATAGTAAATTATAAAAATTTAAAACTACATAGGTAAAGTAAATGTGGTTTGGGTTCAGTTTAGAAGGCAGTGAGGTAATTGAGTGCAATATATATCATTTTTTAACATTTATGAGAAAGACATAAGGGAATGAGGAGTGAAGAAACACTTTACCTTCAAAAATAAACATTACCTTAGATAATAATATCGTTGCAAAATTACCATTTAAATGCACATTGTATGGCAATTAGCTGACTAAAGTTTAACAAATATGCTACTCTGAGATAATAATAATGTATTGTTTTGAAAGTTATACATATCATTTATAATTTTTAAGCCATCACTGTTAATCCACTGAAAATATAATCATGCCTATTGAAACCCCTGCTACATTCCTTTCCCCTCACCTAATTAAATGTGACATTGAAATATTTACTACTCAGTCAGACACATGGATATGTGATCTATTAATACTTGAAAAACATACATATTTTTAAAAATTATACAGTACTTGTCTTCTGACTGTGTATGTATATGTTTGTGTTTGTGTGTGTGTGTTTGTGTATCTGTCAAAATGTGCTTCGCTCTTCCTAGAACTCACTGTATAGTACAAAAACTTTGTGTTAAAGCCCTAGATATTCTTTAACTTATGTTATTACAACTGTACTATTTTTTATCCCTAAACTGAATATGATAATAATAGCCAGATTTGGGAATCTGTGCTGTCAACGATAAAGATATTATAAATTTACCTTATGCTAGATTCACATCCTCAGGGCTTTGCCAGAAGTGAGATTCTTTGCTTTCAACTGACCATCCAGCCAACCACTTTGCTCTAAATTCCTGAGAGATTAGCACATGAGTACTTCAGTCAAATACATGCTGAAGTCTGGATTGATTTCTGCAGCAAACTCCAAATATTTCTCATATTATTTAACATAGTTCACTTTGACTCCTTTACTCTCTCCTCTTCTCACCTAAATTCAGGTCAAGAGACAGATGGCAGAAAATACTATGAATGCTGTTTCTTAATGCTCATTCTTGTTCCAAGTAATTTCCCAAAGCAAAGAATTGCCATAAGGCAAAATCAAAGTGCAAAACCAAACACATTTAAAAAACAACAAAAGAGATCTAGGAGGAAAAAAATAATTTTGCCCTAAGTTTTTTCTCATATTATGCCTAATACAGATTCATCATTTTGTCTTATTTTTTTCCCTTGGCACATTATCTGAAGCAACAGTGAGGTGAAAGGTGGTTGATTGTAGTATTAATCAAGTGAAATGATATAGGAAAGTATTTTATAAATTGCAAAATTTTAAAATAATATGAATCAAAACTATTTTGAATAGTGAATAAAAACAGCACTCTCATTCAGTTTGGAAGTATGCATATCCTCTACCATTAAATAATAAATTAGCTTGATATGGACCACTCAGAAACCATAAGTAGTTCCAGAGTTTGAAGATAGTATACAATTAGGAAAAATCAATACATTCAGTTTGATTTTCTCTGTCTTGCCTTTTCTAGCAGAACATCCTATTAATCAAGCCTGATTGCTGGGGGCAGGGATGGAGTTGTACCAGATTTTAAAGATAAAATTTCTTTGAGAGAAATAAATTACTTGTTTTCTCATATGACAAAGTAAATGGAAATGAAAAAGAGAGGTAAACAAAATCTCATTTAAAAAAATGTACTGAGTAATATGACTATTCTGAATGATCTTAAACATTCTTTTCTGAATTAATTTCCATAGTAGAGAAAATCTATGACAATGTTCCACTCTCAATGTTCAAAGCTTTCCTGTAATGGTAAACTCTACAGTAGTGACCTATCTCATATTTAAATGTTTTGATTCTTGCAGTTAATGGTGACATTATTGTCCATGCCTCATCAAGTGAATTGGTATTAGACTAGGTTCCATCAATACTAACAAGAAAATTGACAGCAGATCTGTGAATGAAAAGATGACTAGGAGTCATACCGACAAATCTCAGAACAAAGCTAAAATCACCAATACAGCATCAAAGAATATTCGAGAAACAGTTGAAATAAGAAAGAGAAAGGCTATTGTCTGAGACAGATGTGTAACACCTGTGATGGAAACTCCCTCACGCCAGCATTTATCAATCAAAGCCTTTTAAAACATTCAAACACATCCTATAGTCTACAAAATGTGCCTGGATGAGGAAACCCATTTTAAATATAAATTTAATGCCTTCAAATAAAGTTTTTTTCAAAGTATAGATTTTATTTAACTGATGTTTAAAAGTATCATTCTTTACAGACTTCACTGAAAATTTCATTTATTTTTTTAAAAATACTTTCATTGGGCCCAGAGAGGGGACTCATACCTGTAAATCCCAGCATTTTGGGAGGCTGAGGCTTGCAGATCACTTAAGGTCAGGAGTTCAAGATCAGCCTGGCCAACATAGTGAAACCCTGTCTCTCCTAAAACTTTGAAAAAAAAAAAAAAAAGAAAGAAAAAGAAAAGCTGGGCGTGGTGGCCGGATCCTGTAGTCCCAGCTACTCTGGAGGCTGAGGCACAAGAATCACTTGAACTCGGGAGGCAGAGGTTGTGGTGAGCGGAGATGGCGTCACTGCACTCCAGCCAGGGAGACACAGCAAAACACTGTCTCAAAAACAAAAAACAACAACAAAAATGAAATCAAGTCAAAATACTTTCATTCATATAGTTAAGTTATAATATTTTTGTTTTCATAATAAACGTTCGAATTTCTGGTATGTAAATTAAGCTTTAATAACTAAACTCCAAAACATAACACTGTATTTTCAAGAATAAGGGTTTTTTACTTAATCAGATATTAGGTAGGAAATAAATATGGTTTTATCTTTCTGGTATCATTTATAGATGTTATCAACTCTATTTTTCATCCAGAGTCATTAATTCCCCAAAGGAAAAAAGTACTTCATTTGAAAGAATTATGCAAAATAGATTTATTTATTTGCACACAATTCAGGTTGTGCTCTGGCAGTGTGATTAATTTATGCAAATATGATAATTCTGAAAACATTGTATTACAAAATATCTAACCATTCCCTTAAACTCTCTATGCATGTGGCCACATACCTTAATAAATTCATCTAAGCAATCATCCTGTTGGAGAAATATTTTGTAAAACCAACTTTCAAAATAGCAAAACTACTTGTAAAATTTGATCACATACCTACCTTATTTTTTCTTATTTTTTCTCTTTTCGCCTGTAAACTGTTGAATCATTCTGGAAAATCAAATTCTTACATTTTTATTTTTATGCTCAAAGTTAATTTTAGATCATTTTTAAATAAAGGCCGTTTATGTTGACTTTATTGCTGGATATATACAATTTAGCTTCTGATGAATTCTTTCTAAAACTCAACAAATAATATATTCTCTGTTGGATCAAAATCTACAAGCTATATGTTTAACTTTCAGGTAAAATACACATTATTATTTGAGATTAATTTATCAACCTTCTTCTGTTTGGGAAGATTTAAGATTTAACTGAAACCCTTCTTCTAAAAAAGAAGCTTTTTGACCTGCCTGTTCCCCATGATTCAAACCAGAGACTTTTTTTATCCTGAAATCTCAATTCTTCCATGGGAACAAATGAAGTTCCCTACATTCTGCTCAATTTAAGAACTCACTCTCAGCTCTGCCAATACTACATTACATTTCTTGGTAGCCTTGCTGACTGGTTAAATTTGGTGTACTTCATTTGATGTTTGGATTGGAACTGATGACAAATTATTCTGTATCTGAGAAGATTAGCAAGGCCTCCTTCAGGGGAGATTTTAAAAAGAAAGAAAGAAAGAAAATGAACTTCAAATTACCATCAATTTCTTTCTGAATAATGTGTTTTATTCCTTTGTTGTTTCTGTGTTTGAACAAATTTAATACCACATTTTCTATCTTTTGCAGTTATGGTAAAATAAGGCAATATACAATATAATGTGCTTGTTATTTAGTTGTCAATCAACATCCACGCCTACAAAGATTATCATAGAGCAATATTCATTAAAATGCACATTTTCCCTATGCTATTCAGAGATCTTGATCTGCACTAATATTATAACCTGATATTTGTGAAAGATAATGATTTGTTTTATCGTCTTTCTTCTAGAGTCACTGTAAGAGCTGCTCATTGCTGCAAGCTAAGGTCATATAGCACTCACAGTCTTATTATAATTGACAACTACATCTTGGTTTGAACTCCAATTCAATTTACACAGGTTTTCCTTTACACATTTTTCTCATATATTAGGTAAATAGAATGTTCACAAAGCCTTAAATCAGTCAAAGGGCAGATAGATGTTTTGTTGTACAAGCTCTCTCCAAATAGCTTGGCAAACAGCTCTGCCTTGGCAGTGAAAAGTCTGATTTCCCTTGGGCAAAAACTTTCCACCATGTTTCACTGAAGAAATGGTTATATGTTTAATATTCTATATAATTATCATCATTTATCTGATACGTGTTGCAGTAATTAGTATCAGATGCTGCCCTCAGAATTGTCATACAAAAATAATTTCAGAGGTCCCACTAAAGAGACTGGATGCTTATGTTTCAAAAAAAGCATGCAAATTTGCTTGCATCAATTTGCCTCTCAAATCAGTGAAATGATCATTGGTGCTCTCACCTGTAGACATATTGGTGGCCTCTGGCTCCATTGACTCATTGTGCTGCTTGCCTGATTTTAGTGTTCTAAGTACATTGTCTCCCCATAAATTCTAATCTATAGCCCCTCAACAGCCTCATTTCTACGCTCCCTATTTCACTTTAGCTCCTTGTTAATATACACATTTCCCCTATAATATTTGTTTTGTTATTTGCATTATTCTTTTCTTTGAACAATATAAGTCCATTTTTTTTTGTTCAGTCACTTTTTGTTCATTAAGGACCCGTTGAATTTTCTGTTGGAACTTTGTAGTAACAGATATCACTGGGATGGTGTGAACCATCAGGCCTTTAATGAGGGGAGTTTGGTTTCTATGAAAATAAAAGAAGAACGAAAAAATAATAATTGGAGCAAACTATAAACTCAGTTTGTGGGTCCAGAGAGCAGCCCATCAAGATTTCTAGGATCTGGGCTTTAAGTATCTTCAGTTGGAGTGATGAAAGGCAGTGGCGATCACCCAGATTTTCCTGGTTTGCCGTTTAAATGTCATAAAGATTTTCCATACATAAGCTGCTGTGATGTATCTGAAGTTTATATCAAATCATCCAGCTTCAGCTTGCCATACTTCAGAAAAGAGGCATTTTAATTTCAGTAATTCCAATCCAGAAGGGCAATAGAAAAACTGGAAATATTGGTTTGGAGAGTCATAGCCGGATATTGGAGAAAAACTAGAAGAATTCAGAATCCAGATTGCAGGTAGATTATAAAACCCCCAAAACAAAAGTGAACAGGGCTAGAATCTAATATTTGGTGCACTCTAATTCTCTTCTGAAACATAATATTTCTGTCTGCAGTTACTGCCATTTCTACCAAAGAGAATCAAATTAAGACTAATTTGTTTTTAAAATAAGTTTAGTCTCAATGAACTTGAACTACTATTTATGTAAGTGCAGCAAGACTAGTGACTGTTTATATAGGCTCTTTTAAGTTTGCTTTGCAGGAACTTTTGACAAGCAATCTCAGATTGGACTTGTATAAAACCTCTTGAGGCCAGGAAGTCAAACCAAAGACTTGTCATTGGTCTATATTTGTAACACCTATAGAATTGGGTGAATTTGTTTCTTGTCAAGGTTCTCCAAATATCCTATGCTTCTCGGGCTTGTGAGGAAGTGACATTCTTTACTCACCTCTGAAGCTGGGAAACCTCAGGCAAGTTTTTCCATGGGGGACATAATTGCACCCATAAAGTCAACCTTAGTTTTTTAAAGCTGTTTAGTCATACCTGAAAATACTTCATTCCAGTCAAAACCTTGGTAATATAACCAGTGTTTCCAATTCTGTCTTGTTACAAGGAGAACGGCTTCTTATTAAACTTGTGCAAATAACTACATTGACATAAAAATAAGAATACTTACAAAGGCTTTTGAATTATGAAAATATCAGGTAAAGAGCAAAAGCAAATGTTTCAATGTTTGCTCACAAACTATACTTTACCAAATTGCTATAAGTTATAAATAGCTTAAAAGAAAAAAAAAAAAGGTTTCCTTTAATTAGGAAAACAAAACACTTAAAGAACCATCTATGTTTCAAAGAAAAATCCATTAAAAATTATGCATACTTGTTCATTCAGCCACATTTAATCTATTTTTGTTTTGCTTGATCTTGGGGTAGCAGTTTTGGGAACCCATCAGTTACATTAGAATTCTGAAAATTCTTACTTATGCCTTATCAATGGCATGATCTTAAAGTTGTCAGAAACTTGTACTTATCAGAGTGCTTTCATGAATCTATTTGAAGAAGCCGTCTTGAAATTTATCTGATAGCAACACTTTTAGAGAAGAATTAAAGTAACAGAATAATTGTCTATGGATGACAAAGCCTTGAATGGCATGGTTACAAATCTGATGAGAATTTAGTATAATAAAACAACTGACAAGGAAATTTAGTTATTTTTGTGATATACAACATTTTATCAAAATAATCAAATTATGACTGAAAGCATATCATATTTCTAAGAATTCTACACAATAAGAATAGTTATGTGAAACACATAGCATATACAATAATAAAGCACATATACAAATTTAACCCAAGGAAGGTTAAACATATTTTCTTATTTGACAATGCTTCCCATGGAATTTAACAAATCAAATAAGCCTAATTAGTTTAATATCTTTCTCTTATAGGTCCTTTCAGACCTTACAGGAGCCCTCTGGACTGTCCCAAAGTTAGTCTGAGGTCAAAAAGAACTAATTTCAAATTTGACTTTGAGAAGTTTGTCAAAATGTGAAAAAGTTTAAAACATTTGCTTAAATATTATCTTGGTTATCTATTTAATTAAAATTACTAAATGAAAATAAATATTTTTAATAAAATATTTTAAAATGGCAATAAAATATCTTAAAGGTAAATACAGAAGATTACACAGTTATGACTCAATTTTCCTAAGTAATCTAAAACCTAATGAAAGACAACAACAAACACAGAAATTATCCTGATAAAACACAAAAGCTCTATTTTCTAGGCCAATTACTTAAAAGGAAAAAAAAAAAACCCTTCACATTCTCAGATCAATACTCCATGAAAACTTTGTAATTTTAACAAAGACCGAATTTTACTTTTGCATTAATATACAGTTGACCCTTGAACAAAATGTGGATTTTAGAGGCAGTGAGCCAAAGCACAGTTGAAAATCTGTGGATAACTTTAACAATTAGTAGCCTACTGTTGAACAAAAGCCTCATTGATAGTCTAATCTGTCAATTAATTCTTAGTTTGTATGTTATAGATATGACATACTTTATTATTACAATAAGGGAAGCTAGAGAAAACAAAATGTTACTAAGGAAATCTTAATAAAAAGAGAATACATGCACACTACTATACTGTATTTATTAATAACATATGTGTATGTCATCAGTTTGTAGGATAAATTGTTTATCTAAAATGGTGGGCAACCACAACTGCAGACCTCAGTCTATGGTACATATCAAGTAATTCAACTTTTTCTTGAAATGTCATGACTTTTCTCTGCTTCCTGGGGGCACTTTCAGCATCACTAATGGCACTTCAAGAATCTCTTGAGAAATAATATAGGTCCTATAGTGTTATTCAGGGTTTTCAGTATTGCACTTAGCATCATGAAAAATACACAAGAACTAGAAGAGATTACTTATACTGTGATATTCAATATACTGGAGAGTTGAACAGCTCGTGCAGAGATAATTAATGTCACATGTCTTTTTAAGTGGATACAACACTTGAGCTCATGGCACTAGCTACAGGAGGTGGCTATAAAATTATGACACCAGTACAGTATGTACTACAGTTAATTGTATGCAGTCATAATTTAATGCATCATTACATTTGTTTACTCTTTTCTCAAATGCAAATGGCACCATGTACAGTCTGTGTTTGTGTTAATAAATTTTGATTAATTTCAACTTTTAATAATAGATGCATATATTTTATGGTAGCAAATAAAAAATAGACTACAATATACATATAATTTATGCCTTCATGACACATCAATTTCTTAACATTTTCAATGGTTTTAGGCTACATGGTTCATCTGTGAGTTTTTTCAGATTGTGGCAAATCTCAAAAAAAATTTTCCAGTATATTTACTGGGAAAACTTCTTCATATATATGGACTCATACAGTTTAAAACTATGTTATTAAAGGGTCAACTATACTATTAAAATTAATTTAAATAAAATCATATAAATAAATCCATCCAATTATAGCCAGCTTTGACCATACTAGGCAAGATTACTTTTCCATGGTTGGGTCCATCTATATCCATATCTATATCTTTATCTGTATCTATATCTATATCTATCATCTATATATATGTATATAGATGATAGATATATAGTTTTTTTTGAGACAGGGTCTCACTCCATTGCCCAGGCTGGAGTGCAGTGGTGTGGTCACAGCTCACCGCAGTCTTGACCTCCTGGGCTTGGGTGATCCTCCCACTTCAGCCTTCCAAGAATGTGGAACTACAGGTATGTGTCACCATGCCTGGCTAATTTTTTGTATTTTTTGTAGAGACAGGATTTCACCGTGTTGCTCAGGCTGGTCGCAAACTGCTGAGCTCAAGAAATCCACCCACCTCAGTATTGCCAAGTGCTGGGATTCCAGGTGTGAGCCACCGCACCCAGCTGGGTCTATATTTGTAATGAATACCTATTATTCAGTTTAACTTAACACAACTTTAAGGTTGCAAGCTATCTAAAAAATAAAAGGTTTTTGAAATTATTTTTAAGTAGAACTTTTAAAGTTGAATTTTTTCTGAAATGTTTACTTATAAAGTTTATTCCTTTTGCATTCATCTAATTTATTTTCAACAATTGTGTTTGAATTGTTTGTGAAAAATTCCATGAGAAATTAAACAAATCTAGCCACTGTTTTAAAGCATTTTCCCCATTAACAAATCAGGTAATTATAAAAAAAAATCTAAAAAGCAAAGAAACTAAAAAGTTAAACATGGTCTTTTACTCTCTCTCTCTCTCTCTTACTTCCATGACTGACACACATTGAGCAATTGAGCAATTATTTTTACTGTGCCTTTTGTTCATAGGTGGAATTCATAGTTTTATGGTCATAAACATCAAGCAGAGACAACACAAAATTTTCTGGCCAGAAAATCCAGGCAAGAATGTATGTATGTATTATATTTAATGCTGCCAATTCAGGCAATGGTCATATTTTTATTTTACCAACAAGTTCAAAACTATAATTTATTTACCATAGATTATTCAGGTTCACAGAAACTTAAAAACATCTTTTGAGGCAGTTTTGTTTTCCATGAATTTTAAGAGTACTTAAATTATGTAAGTGTTCATTTATCTATTTTTTTAAGAAACAGGAATTATTATTTTTTTAAATAGAGATGGGGTCTCACTATGGTGCCAAGCTGGTCTCGAACTACTGGGCTCAAACGATCCTTTCGCCTCAGCCTCTCAGAGTGTCCAGATTACAGGCATGAGTCACCAAACCCAGCATGCTCATTTATCTTCAGGCCATTTGAATGGCACTCCTTTAAGGGGTTTTATAAATTTGTTTGTTATTACTACCAAAAGAAATTATCACATATACATAAGATAAAACCACACATATATACATATATACATTATACATACATAAACATGCAGACAGATGCAACTAAATATTATGGCTATTTATTTTAAAATTTGTGTTGTGAGGCTGTAGAAGAGAGTAATAAGAGTAATACAAATTCATTGGTTTATCTATACTTTATATTTTTAAATTCAAATTATATTGCTGACGAAAATGGGACAAGATAAGGTCATCTACTCAATAAGGGCTAAAAGCTCTTTGTCAATATTTGTGGAGGAGACCTTTAGGATTTTTCATTTGCTCAGTTTCCAAACTGTTCCTATTTTTCTCTCTTTTTAGCCTTGGGTGATTGCTTTTGAGGGGCCACTATGTCCCTCCAGAGCCCCCAATATAGGTTAGGGATAATAAAGTTCAAGTGACTGAAAAGTTCAGCTTGAAATGGGAAGGAAAAGCGTCTCGCAGGGGTGAACAGAGTTGAAAGAACATATAGTCAGCAGAGATTCAGGAAGACTGTGACAGACAAATTCCCATAGGAGAAGCAGAATCCAATAAAAAGAATAGAGTTGTCTCACAGAGGTTCAAGAAGCAGAGATTTCCAGCCCAGGGAGTCAGGGAATAATCCCTACTTAGATCAGGAACCAGGTAGAAGAACTTCCAGCACAGGAGGTGCCTTTATAAAAAAGCCCGGGACTCTAACCCAGCTTCAAACACTTCACTTATGGCTTAAGAATCAAAATATGTCCTTACCAGTTTCAATGACAATTGTTTGGAGTGGAGCAATAGTTCAGGAATCTGACTTGCCAATGGATTCCCTATCATTCAGTCAGGAGTGAAGACAAAGTCTTCAAAGCATGCACTTAGGATCTAGGTAAGAGTCCTGGAGATCCATGATGAATCTGATTCAATCCAAGTCTGCACACCCTAACTGGTAAAGAAAAATGTTATTCATTGATACTATTTTCTTTTCCAACTTTTATTTCTGAATTGCTTTAAAGCATGGTTTAAAAAAAAAAAGACTTTATTCAGGACCATCATGATAAGTGCAGGAACCACTGCAATGGGGTTTTGCAATGTGGGAATTTTGGCTCAACTCCAAATACAGCATGGGCAAGTGGGAATTTATAGCCAAGGAGCAGTGTGGGGGTCAGTGGAAGGAAATTACAAACAAGAAACATCAAGTGTAAGGAGTATTCTGGCTAAACTGACCTAACAAGATTCTTGCTGAAGACAGACCAGGGTGATCAGACATTACCTAAGGGATGATGAAGGATGAGGAACCTGATAAGACGTCAGTGATGATCAGATATGATGAATGAGGGGTTCTGGCTAGACTGACTTAGCAGGGTTCTTTGCTACAACTGGATTTTACAGGTAAGAGCACAGGTGGACATAGAAGAAGATTCAGAAGTCTGGCTAAATTTGGCCAAGCAAAGAATCTTTTTCCATCTTAACTCTTGGCTTTGCATTTTTCCTTTTGTTCCCTTTATTATCTCTTTCTGTTTCAAAGAATCTCTTGAGAAATAACAGTAAGAATAAGAGATATTTATGAAATATAATAACCTAATCTTACCTTTTAATTTAGCAAGAAGTGGTCATTGTTATAGATTGTAGGAATGGACAATATTTAGTCCTGACTTAACAATGACTATATTGTTTAATATAATATTAATTTATCTGTAAAATATGAATGTGCACACTTAACTTGTGTTTCTCTAGAGCATGCATAAAAGCTGGGCTTCAATAAAATTATTTCTCCGATTTGTTCTTAACATACTTTTATTCTCACCCTCAAACCTTTCCCTTCAATGTCCCCACATCAGTTTATTATTTATTGAAATATCTAAGAGTGTTCGAGATACTTTAACCAAAAACTATCCTATGAGCTACCAAAAGGTAACTATCATTTTAGTTTCTTCTTAATTGTTGTCTTGATTTTTCTATCAATCATTTATTGTTTCCTTGGTTAGGCCTTCCCTGAAAATGCCTATTTAATTTCCCTACCCACTCATCCTCTAACCCACTCTTCTAATATTTAATTAATTTTATTTATAATGATTACAGGTGTCATATCTAAAAATCACATTAATTCTTTATCTATTTCCCCTACTAATGTATAAACTTCATGATTCATCTTGTCCATCATGTTCCTGGTCTTACAAATCAAATGGTAGGCACTAAATACATACTTGTTGAATGACTTTTAGCAATAAATAGATTGCTGCAGAGGTAGTTTCCTTGATTATTTCATTTAAGTATTATCTCTGTCTCACCAATTTTAGCACATTCATTTCCATGTGTTCTACTAATACTTATTTAGCACCGCCTATGTGAAATGCTGTATTATAGGAATTAAAAGCATGGTGCCTTGCACATTGTAAGCATTGAGCAAATACTTGCTCAAAACTATTTCCAATGATTACATTAACAATTGACTTAACTTCAGAAAAGAAATTTTCTATGGGATAATTGTTGCACCCTGAAATTCATAGCATCCCTTATTTGTTCCTTATTTGCCCTTATTTCTTTATATTTTAATATAAAAAATGAATGAATGATGTATTAAAGACACTGCAATTCACAAAAGAAATAACATAAAACTTACTTATTAAGTAAACCTTTAAAAAATATTTGTATCTTACACCTGCAAAATCAAAATTGAATTGGTTACTGCCTATATTCTTTATATTAATTTCCTCACATACAATTACCATGAATGTAAAACTATAGATGAGAAATGATGTTCTTGTATTGTGATTTGTTTCTTAAATACTACGAAAAGAGAGCTTTCATCTTCCAATTTTGTCTACTTTTTTAGATATTAGGAAAATTCGACTGAATATAAATTATGCACCTATTTAAAGATAAATAGAGAACAGGTGCAATTATCTGGAAACATTAAGCCAAAAGTTTCCTTTTCATTAGTTCCCTGTATATTTTAAAGGACAACAATGTGTTACATTTTGCATCTTTGCATTCTTACTGCAAATAAAATATAAAGGAAAATATGTTAATTGTGAATGATTGTCTTAATGTGATAACTCTTCATTTATTCAATTACATACAAAACATTGATTAAATACTTTTTGAAAGTCCAATTGCTTTTAAAATTCTTGAAAGTATACAAAATCTTTAGAAGATACAGCAACTGGTTTGGAGTTCAGAACACAGTTGCGTAAGTCAAAAATTTACAGGATCATGAAACTACTAGAGAATTCTAAATCCTTGTAGTAGAGATAGTTATAACATGAGCTAAGTGTTAGGATACTTTGTGGTGGGGGGGCACAACTCATAGGCAATGTCAATTATGACTTTTATTTTTTAATTGGAATATCAAGTACATAGAGAACTAAAAAAATGACTTTTCTTTTTTAATTGGAATATCAAGTACATAGAGAACTAAAAAAAAAAAAAAAGGAAAAGTGGCAGAGGTAAAATTAACTTGCCTGTTGAAGCAGATGTTTTATCCAAGTAAACAAGGAGATGAGAGAAGTGGTACATTCAACTGAAGATCCTGAATTATATAATGGCTTCTTTCAAATATGTTAACAGGGGAGAAAAGGGTCAATATAAAATTTTAAAATCAGATTATAAAACCAATTATGTTATTATGTTTTCAATGAAGAAAATAACCTGATTTTGTGGGACAATCTAAATGTCCTAGGGTAGACAGGTAGTAGTAAGAATGAAAAGAAAATAATATTTGGAGGGAATTCTCAAAAGAAGAACCAGTCGTATTTAGTAAATTACTTGTTAGAAAGCCTAAAAGGCACCAGCTCAACTCTCTAGAGATCCGTATTCTTGTTGCGTTATATATAGATTCTCTTTAGTATGCTGTTACATTCTGTCATATCATGATAATATTTACACTGATTTAGATCCCCGAACTAAATATATTATTTCACTGAATGGCAGAGTGAGTGTAGTATAATGACATTGGCAACCGTGAAGAGATAAGAAAAAGGCTCTTAAAAAATATGCCTTTCACTTGCTGAATTAGGGTCATTTGCAGCGGAAACTAGAAATAATCTGTTTGTAAACCAGTAAAATAAAAATATGGCACTGAAGAAGGGTCAATGTCCAAGTTAATGAGTATTAATTGGATCTCTCGGGGGCTGGATATTGAATAAGACAATAGTAAATTTGAGGAAAAAATAAATTTAATGATTATTCATGTACAAGAGGTAAATCAGTACAAACAAGGAAGAAATTGAAGTACAGAGAATGTTCAAGAAAAGAGAGGCTATATCATTACATAAGCAAAAAGAGGAAAATACTGGAAGAAATCATAGTTTAATTTTTTTAACATGTCAAATAGAAAAAAAGGGTTTTTTAAACGACTTCTGAAAGACCATTACATTTGGACATATGAGATTATTAGCTATTCTTTTAAAAAGTCTGTTTTAGTGAAATAAAAGTAATAAACAGTAGATTAAAGGAATTGAAAAAAATAGTGATTCACCATACACCAAAATCTACACTAAAATGACCAGAAAAAAATTTACTAAAGCAAAAGCATTAGAAAAGTATAGATAAAGTAGAAATGGAAAAAAGAATAAAGGAAGAGCAAGGGAGAGGCAATATTTAGAATCTTCAAAATCTGAGACATTGATGGGGGATACACTGAATGAACCTGTTCCATGCCATATTTCAAGGAGAAGGTCTATAGTTAACAATTACTCATGGGGTAGAAAGGCGGAATGAAATTCAGATGTATGTTTTCCACCAAGACAAAAAATTTGAAATCTTCATTGCTAGGGTTTGTTAGAGCAGATGTCTAGGTAATTAAATGGTTCCATGTGTATCACTTTACGTTATCATATTTAATTGGCCACAGCAAGCCACATAAATTTAAAGTGTAAAAACCACATTTCTGTTATGTGTCTAAAAGTGAGGCGAACTGAAATTTGATGACCTATAGTAATGATTAGGACACCAGCTGATAATAAATCAACAAACCACAATCGACAAGACAAAATTTTTAAAACTATATACTATATGAACCTCACCTGCATTATTAATCTGAAAGTTTTCATGCTAAGTCATAAGTAACAAACTTAGGATTACCTTTAGTTCATATCCCTCCCTCCCAACCCTCCTGAGTCCTAAGGATTCAATGCTATAGTTCCACCTTTGTTGAAGTTTTCTTTTATATTTGTTTCTGGAGAAAAATCCATTCCCCTGAATTTCAACTTACTACTTTTTTCTTCTTCAATCCATTCTTTGGCAGATGCTGTTGTTTCCCCACACATCTCTTTTTCCTTTTCCTCTTCTGTGCACATTGGCTCCAAATCCAGCTGCCAGCACAGGACTTCAGTGTCTGGAACCCACTTTGCCACCTTCATGCAAGCCAGAAGTGAAGGAATTAACATACCCAAGGAGAAGTCTTCTTCTATAAATAACATAGCTGTGTGATCTTTAAATATATTAGCTTCCTTTTCTCCCAGTTGAGATAACAATGGTGTGCCTGTTTTACACATGGAGAGCCCCACAATTTCCCAGCAGGATCAAGATCCAGTTTTCTACTGGAAACTGGATATAGTAACTTAAGCAATAATTTTCAGATAACAACTCCTTCATTGCTGCATTTCATCCCTATTTCAGTTTCTCCTCACCTATCAGTATTTCCTAAAATCGTCTTCCAAATTAGCTACTTGAATTTCCTCAGCATCTGTTTCTAGAGGCAACCTAAACTAAGATAAAATCTTTCAAGTTACTGTTCTCCATACAAGTTTTTATTCCTTTGTTCTCTAACTCTGTGTATACTACTGTCATCCATGAAGTTAGCAAGATGGAAACCTAACAGGTATCAAGTATTTCTCCCTCTTTCAACATTTAAATCTCATAAATCCATGCCTATTCTCTGTGACACCTGCCACATCATTATGTTACGTCAAGAATCAACTTTGCCTTAGATTGCTAAAACAACCTTCACCTCCTCTACAATTATGCCCCCTCTATATTTATTATCCACACAGCAGGTTAAATACCCCCTTAAAATATCAACACTAAACATGCCACCAAAATATTATTATTATTATTATTATTATTATTATTATTATTATTATTATATGAGATGGAGTCTCACTCTGTCTCCCAGGCTGGAGTGCAGTGGCGCGATCTTGGCTCACTGCAACCTCCACCTCCCGGGTTCGAGTGATTCTCCTGCCTCGGCCTCCCTAGTAGCTGGGACTACAGGCCCCAGCCACCACGCCCAGCTAATTTTTTTGTATTTTTAGTAGAGACAGAGTTTCACCATGTTAGCCAGGATGGTCTCGATCTCCTGACCTCGTGGTCCGCCTCCTTCAGCCTCCCAAAGTGCTGGAATTACAGGCATGAGCCACCGCGCCTGGCCACCACCAAAATATTATTGATTTTTAAAATTTATCTTAGAAAAAATTAACTCATAAACGTGTCTTTCGTGTGTTTTTATGTCCTGGCTCCTATGTACCACTCCAACCTCACTTTTTTCCCATTCATTTTGTAGAGTATGTTCTCCAGTGTTACTGAAATAACCAAAGCGAAGTAATCCTTGGAAGGGGGAATTTAAGTTGGTGGAGGAAGGCATTTTTGTAAGTGTAAAATCCAATGACAATAGACCAATAAAGGATTCAGAAGAAAGGGAAATAACTTTATTGAGAAGGAAACAAAAACCATTTAAAGCTATACACAGGAATAGATGCATATTTGTAAATGTGGATACATGTATCATGATACACATTTATAAAATATAATCATATATTTATTATACAAATTACCTGAAGAATAATCTTCAATATATGTTGACTACATAGACAGAAAAAAATTGACTTAAAAAAATAAAAGCAGGAACAAATTGTTTTGCCCCTACATGAAGAGAAATTGAGATGATTTTGCTGTTCTTAGTATACAAAATAAATTCTCCAAGAAGTGATCACATAGAGAGTCTTAGAATACTTCACAGGAAATATAGTAAATGCTCTATCATATTTTTTGTTTTGTGCATTATTATTTGACATCAATATATTGCCAATAATTACATACACTTTGTAAGATCAGGACTTGTGTGTCCATGACTTTACCGTTCCTGTGTGTGTCTAGGAATAACTGGAAACATAATGTGGTTTCATAGGAAAATTCTTCTCTAACCTGGGAAGAATGGTGCACATTGAGATAAGACACACACAGTGCTATTAAATTTGTCTTTTTCTTCATAGAAAAGGACATGGTCTTTCATATGTACTATACATTTATTTGCCAACAGTTCCTATTAAAAAATAAAATACAATAAAAAGATCTATCTCTGTTTAATGCTACCTCTGGCAAATAGTAATAGTTTTTCAGGAAGATTTAAAAAGGGACAATTAAGAAATTTTTGTGGAGAGAAAATGTAGAGAAAAAATGTCCTGTCATGACTAAGCATTTGTAGACAATCTCTTCTGAGAGTTGCCGTGTCCCACCTCCCATAGCTATCATTAAAATTAACATTTATGGCCGGGCGCGGTGGCTCACGTCTGTAATCCCAGCACTTTGGGAGGCCCAGGCAGGTGGATCACGAGGTCAGGAGTTTGAGACCATCCTGGCTAACACAGTGAAACCCCTTCTCTATTAAAAATACAAAAAATTATCCGGGCGTGGTGGCGGTTCGCGTGTAGTCCCAGCTACTCGGGAGGCTGAGGCAGGGGAATGGCTTGAACCCGGGAGGCGTAGACTGCAGTGAGCCCAGATCGCGCCATGGCACTCCAGCCTGTGTGACAGAGCGATACTCCGTCTCCAAAAAATAAAAAATAAAAATAAATAAATAAATATAAATAAATAAATAAAATTAACATTTATTTACCAATGATTTTTTCACTTTTAATGTCAGTCATAGGCTAGACAATAAAGATATATAACTCAAAGACAAACTGCTTAGAGTCAAACAGCAGATATGCAAGCAAGTATAAAACACTATAAAATTGTTATTCTCTAATATTATATGCAAGATAGCGTGAAAATCTGGGGTAAGGATTGTGTAGAAAAACGCCAAGAGGATTAGTGAAATAATTAATTTTAGAAAGATAACTTCACTAAGGGCCACAGAAGCAAGAGGAACTGTTAAGTCAGTTCCTTGGTATTACATGAATAAAAAAAGAGTTTAGAGCTTTTTTCTTTTTTTCACTTTTATTGGGTTGGAATGCCATATTTACCTTTATGACACAGCTAATTATTTTAAACCAGCAAACATGATGGGGATTAAAATGGTTTAAATGATAAATTTAGATATTAAATACATGAATCAAATAAAAATTTAAGTATTTTTTATTAAATTTAGTCAAAGGAACATCATAGTGTAATACTGATGGTATGATGGTATAGATGAGATTCTGACATTCCCACCAATGGAAATCACTAATATTATTAAGTAAAATGTCTTGAATAAAATGTTTGCTTTCAATCCCACACTGAGCCATGTATTCTACATATGTTTCAATTTTTTCATATCTTCCATTTTTGCTCTTTATTCCTTCTCCTGGATAAAATTTCCAATTTTTACCTTATGATTATTGATCTAAATATAATTACCAAAAATGAATTATTACTCAAAGATCTTAGGGGAAAAAATCAAGAGAGAAAATACAATAGAAACTGAGTAATAATTTTTTTCTCATTCATCTTTATTATTGAACATAAAATAAACATTTGACTAAGGAAATAATCCATGAAGTAAAATGTGAAATAAGCCATTAAGTCAAACAGTACAATTGATTCCACAAATGTGTGCTATAAATGGTATTATATGTAAATCCTACCACTGACTTAAGTGAGGAAGGCGTGGAAAAAATAAACCATTTTAAAAGAACTACAATTACTCCTAGTACAGATTTGTAAGTAAGGAGCAAAATTCTTACCTTTGTTACTGTATTTAGAAAGACACTAAGAGTATAATAGTTAATGAAAATTATTGCAGACATGGGTAAGAAATGGTAAGTTGTTAAATATTCCTCTTTCGTTTATTTCTATTTTGGTCTTTTCCTTATTATTCTTTAAGAATTTTCCTTTCAGATTTCAGGATCCATATTGTTTTCATTTACCTAAAATACTATTCTTTGCTTTTTGATGGGTTGAATGAGATAACTAATACTTTGCAACTCGCACATCTTTCAATGATGGTCCCTGAAGACAATCAAAGTTAGAAGTAAAGAAATGTTACATTTGACTCTGGCAAGAACTCTGAGTAAAGAGCTGTGTCTGGCCAATACGGAGCCTATTAATTTTGATCCTGGCCTGATGATTGTTGCTTCTGCTTCCTCCCCAGAGCTAAATTACTTTGAAACAGCACAAAAACTACTCAGAAGTCTTAGAAACCATACAAAATGTTTTCTTTCTAACAGTCCAGTTATCACTGAGTTGCACACAGTGAAGAGATGAGAATTTGGTTTTATAGTATATATTTCCTTCCATAGGCACCCCTTAAAGTGCTCTGTAATGTGGATAAATTTCAGTCTGAGTAATTCTAAAGCTGTTAGGTGAGTGCTCTATGAGAGTTTGCCTTTGGATATTAGAGCCCATTTTGTTGATAGGAAGAATGTTGTTTGGGACACCAAGCTCGTTTTTCACTCTTTTCTGGGAAGATGCTTGGTATTGTTTTTTTTTTTTCTTTTTCTTTTTTTCATTTTAACTGGAAAAGTCACAAGCTCAGTTTTTTTCAATGAGTAATATCTATTAAGTGCCTGCAATGGGCACATAGGACATACAAACATGATTTTTAAATGATTCCTGTACTCTAGGTGTTTACCGTCTAGTGAGTCTGCCTGCCACTTAAGCATATAGTTACTGTCAGCTGTGAAAATTGGAGATTGCCCTATCCTGTTGGGAAAATAGAGGTGCAGAACTGAATTGGTGCAGTGCTATTGAAAACACTACAGAGGAAATATGACACTTGAATTTGAGTTTGAAATAGGTGTTTATCATATGCGTTCATCAGATTTACCAAATTTAAAGAGATATATCAAGAAAAGACAAAGGACTCACAATTTAAAAGATACATAAATCATGGCACATGTGAGAAAATTGCCACTAATTCAGTGTGGCTATGTTTTAGGATGGGGAGATAAAGGGAAGAAAATGAGAATAACTTAGTCTATGCTAGGTAGAATCCTTTTAATTTATTCAAAAATAATTAAGAAAAATGGAAAGATTTGAAGCAGAAAAGCGACAACTGAATCTGGCATTTTTAAGTGAAAATTCTGGCAGCAATATGGTGAATGGATTGAGAAGAAATAATAAAATCACAGCTGTAAGACGGTTATGTTGCAATTATTCATGAGAAATACAAAGGATCTGCTAAGGGGGTTAGGGATGCTGAAGGGAGAGAAGACTTTTGCAGGATATGTTTTAGTAAGGGAATATAGTTAACATTTAGTAAGGGAATATAGATAATTGAGTAACTTACAATTTTGGAACTGACACATTTGGACAATTATTTTTGCTTCAGCCAATGAATAGCTGATAATACTCTTAAGATGGGAAAGATAAAACTAGGAATAGATTTGGCAAAAGAAATGGATATAATTGTGAATAATGTCGCAATAAACATACGTGTGCATGTGTCTTTATAGCAGCATGATTTATAGTCCTTTGGGTATATACCCAGTAATGGGATGGCTGGGTCAAATGGTATTTCTAGTTCTAGATCCCTGAGGAATCGCCACACTGACTTCCACAATGGTTGAACTAGTTTACAGTCCCACCAGCAGTGTAAAAGTGTTCCTATTTCTCCACATCCTCGCTAGCACCTGTTGTTTCCTGACTTTTTAATGATTGCCATTCTAACTGGCGTGAGATGGTATCTCATTGTGGTTTTGATTTGCATTTCTCTGATGGCCAGTGATGATGAGCATTTTTTCATGTGTTTTTTGGCTGCATAAATGTCGTATGTTTATTGCGGCATTATTCACAATAGCAAAGACTTGGAACCAACCCAAATGTCCAGCAGTGATAGACTGGATTAAGAAAATGTGGCACATATACACCATGGAATACTATGCAGCCATAAAAAATGATGAGTTCATGTCCTTTGTAGGGACATGGATGAAATTGGAAATCACCATTCTCAGTAAACTATCGCAAGAACAAAAAACCAAACACCGCATATTCTCACTCATAGGTGGGAATTGAACAATGAGATCACATCGACAAAGGAAGGGGAACATCACACTCTGGGGACTGTTGTGGGGTGGGGGGAGGGCGGAGGGATAGCATTGGGAGATATACCTAATGCTAGATGACGAGTTAGTGGGTGCAGTGCACCAGCATGGCACATGTATACGTATGTAACTAACCTGCACAATGTGCACATGTACCCTAAAACTTAAAGTATAATAATAATAAAAAAATGGATATAATTGCTCACTTTGAATTTGAAATTACCTGTAGGGCATTTATGCAGCAATTTATTCTCTCTTATTTACATTCTGCCTAAATTCATATACTGGAGATAGGAGGAATATCAAGGCCATGAATAAAATTTTAGCTGTTCTAAGTATAGAGTATTGAATGGTTCAAGAGATGATAAAAGCCCCCTTCAATAAGGAAAGAATATAAAATGACCAAGAACAGAAATATGAAGGATATGAAATGTGTAGGATTTGGCAGAAGAAAAGAGAGAGAGTATTGATTTACTTATCTGACAAAGAAGAGAACCAGGGGACAGTATTCTGGACACCAAGAAAAGGGGGATATTCTATGAAATATTAACTTACACCTTTCCTCTATGTCCTTAGCCTTAGCCCTCTTTTGAGAATACATTCTTTTTAAAATATTTCCCTTTTTTAACTTTTACTTTGGGTTCGGGTTTACATGTGCAGGCTTGTTATATAGGTAAATTGTGTGTCATGGGGCTTGGTGTACAGATTATTTTGCCACCCAGGTAATAAGCATAATTCCTGATAGGTAGTTTACTTTCAAGGTGTCAGCCAAACACCCAAGCTTTACCCTCTAGTTATGTCTTCTTCAAATTTTTCACCTCTGAAATTGACATACTGGGGGAAAATGTTATCTTGTATTATGCATTACTTATGCAACACAAATATTAAAAATCATTTCAGATTTGCAAATAGAACCCTGTATATGACTTCAACTTTTAAAGGCCAGTGTATAATAGGCTTCAAAAGTCATAAGATAAATTCATTTATTTCGTATCAGTGACCTGGGGTAGCAGAAAAGAATAGCAGATGTCTACAAACGTTCCACATTCTGGCTTGGCACTCCTTTCACAACCACCTGCTCTATCTGGATGTGCCAATTGCCCACTCTTCATGTAGGAGGAGAATAGAATGTAATGTGTACTGCTGATAACTTCTAAGATTCATATAGAATGTGTCACAGAATATATTTGTATGTATTTATGGCCCATTTTATAGAATAATGTAAAATTAAAATAATTCAGTGCAACTTTATCACGACTGACGTGTTTATCTCAAGACAGCCATTTTAAATGTGAAAAACCATAGAAACAGCCTTTCAGAATAGGCTAAAAAAAAAAAGCAGTGATGTTTTTATATCCACAACACATTTGTCCCAGAGAGAATCTAGTCATTATTTCATCATTCAGTTTTATTTACTTGTAGTTTATTTTCTTGAGACATATATTGGCTTAATTTGAACAGATGGATTAATGTTTTAGATAAAGCATTTAGCCACAAGCTATTTTGTATTTAGGTTCTTTTTAGAGCTATTCACCATATCATACCATCAATCCATATACGGAATTGCCCATTCAAATCAATGATGCATTCTGAATAAAAATACATGGCAAGATGCAGAAATTACAAACACTGACATAGGCTTTATAAACTAAAATATCTCCCATTTTGTCTAACTTACATACTTGGGAGGATTGTCTATGTTTTTTGTTATACTAAACAGAAGCAGACTGAAGCTGACTGAAGATGCGTCACCATAGCTATTTAATATATCTTTAGCTAATATTTCTCCCTTTTCCAAATGGGAAATGACAGTAAAATGTGCATTAGTGGAGATTTTTCTAACTATTCTTTATTATTTGAATTAATTTTTAAGAGGACTCGGAGCAATGATTATGAAAAAAATATTGTCTAGCTTAACATGCTTTAAAATCACAGAGAATTTCAAGAGTACACAAAATAGAACAAAACTATGAATGAAACCAAGTTACACAAACTATTACTAAATAATGTAAGTGGTCATCTAATGAGCATAATTCTCACGTTTACTAAATGATGTTAAATTGTAGAAACACTTGAGAGGTAACAAGTGAAGGCAGTTATCGGCCTCCACCATAACTGTAAGAGTAAAGCAACAATTTCTTTTTACCTCTCTCTCTTTCCTCTGTCCCAATCTGTTCTACTTCAATAACACTGAAACCTCATTTATCCATATCATTATTTTTGACATTAAGGCTGAAATAATTGTCAAGCAAAAATGCATACAATCAAATACAATTATTCTTTTTATTTTTTCTAAAATATGTATTAAACACACATTATAAATAAAACTGCAGATGGGACAATGATAAGACATTCATGATACCTTTTCATGACATTCATATTAGATCTTCAGAGCACCTAATTGTTTGAAAAAAATGTTCATATGTGGCTTATATATGGAATCATAAATAATGCACTAAAAGTGTATTAAACATTTGTATTACAATATAAATATGTTTTCATGTGGCCTTTTCTTGTTGTCAAGAAAAATGTTAATGTTTCCCCACCAAAAGGCAAATCTGTTGGTGAATTAATTTGATTAAATAACCATATTTAAAGAACATAAATTTATATTCCAAAAAAAGAGATTGCATATACAACCACCTTTCATAAACATTATTTTTGTCAATCAGATTTTTTATAGAACTGCATGCTTGATGATTTGAAATTGTGCTTTCAGTGATGTTCTTACTTATAACTTATCTTGTTGTTTGAAGGTAAACCCATATGCTTAACACAAAAAATAATCAAGTGGTACAAATCATAATGAAAATTGAAAAGTTTAACTTGAAGCCTCAAGTTTTTAAAAAAACTCCGGGGAAGTTCATAAGAACGAGAGAATGCAAACCCCAAATTTCCTATAGGAAGCAGTTTTGAATCTACTGTATACATGAATACATTTCCCGTGGTGTCTTTAAAATGTTACACTAAAAATCAAAATGACTTAGACCCAGTTAATTTTTTAAGCAATTGTCTACAAGAACTGCAAAGAAGCATTATAGCGCTCCCTTTGAGCTCCTATTTATATGCAAAATAATTTCTTCTTCAAGCCAATGAGATGAAGTAATGTCAAAACATACCCATAGATAACTACATTGATTCATAAGCTATGTGTAGTTATCTGAACTAAAGAAATACAATTTAAAAACTGATTACCAAATATAATTTGACTTTATACATTGATCTTTCTGACAAGAGTTGTTTTTAGTATTAATTATCAACTGAGTTCAATGATATTTCTTAAATGTAAAAATGATTTTCACAGTACAACTTTGGAAAAACTCTAAATATTCAGCATAAATAATAATAGATGTATATGCTTATTGATATATCTCTACGGAAGAATAACACTTATTTATTAAAACAGTGTTATTCAATTATTTTGTTCACAAACTTGTAATTATACATCATCAATTGAAATGCTGGTTATATAAATTTTATTAGCTACATACTGTATTAGCCTAAAAAATTATATTGGAAAGTAAAACATGGTCTCACTGTTTGTTGGCATATATTAACTGTGGTAACACTGTGGGTGAGAAGGATCAACTTTCTTAGATTTTCTGTATTCTTAACTTCCAAAAAATAATTAAAACCAAGTATTTTTATACTCAGAAACAGATTTTTAGAATCAGTCTCTAAACAATATCTCTTCTCTTAACATATCTCTGAAAAATCTGTTAAATGCTCATTGAATCTTCTACATAATAAAGGATTTGAACAATGGATTTATCAAAAAACTACAAAAGTATATTGAGCGAAGATTTGTTATTAAGTATGGTAGATTAAGCAAACATATTTACCTCCCTTCACTTACTGAAACTGTCCTAACATTATTAAATGTATTTACATTAGTAAACTATACATCAGTAAATGTACTTTTAAAAAATACCATATAAATACCATCCAGAGATTGAGAGTGGAAGAGGGGACAGCAATAACAAAATAATGTAAACCAGAAAATCCTTAACCTACCATACAAAAAAAAAAAATGAAAACAGCATAACTTTCATCTTAGAATGCCCTCCACCAATAAAAAAAGCTTTGTAATGAACCATACCATTTCCTCTGAAAGGAGAAGTATAGAAATAAATCAAGATAATTGAATTAGAGTATTTTTAAGAATCCCTGAATTATTTATCCTTTCAGCAGGTTAACTGATCTGTCTCCTCCCAGGCAAAAGATTTTTATCCCCTGGATAGGGTTAAAATAAAAATAATTGCAAGAGAGATGAGAGGAAACAAGAGCGACTGGAGAGGAGAGAGTAGTTTATAAAATCAAAGGATTGGACAATGCTCTCGTACCAGATGCTGTGACTTAGGTATTCTTTTTCTGCTCATCTCCAGTGTGCTAGTGGCATACCTAGCAGTCAGTTGTGTGGAAGAGGCTTCCATGGGGTATCAGAAAAGATAAGAAGCTTGTACATACTAACATATAGGATGTTCCCAAGAAAAGACTCTGACTAAGTTGCCTAAAAAGTAAGATCACAGTGACAGGTCTGCCATATCAGATTTCTACTTTCCACTTTTAAGTAGGAACAGATAGCAAAGAATTGCCAGATATATGTATAAAACATATGATAGGAAAGGAGAACAAAACAATTATCTAAAAAAAGCAATTTGGAGGATTCTGATATTATGTCAGTGGAAAAGCATGTTTTTTAAAAATAGATTTTATTATTTACCTAAAAGAGACACAGGAGATATTACATCAATAAGAATGGGATGCCATAGAAAAGAAAACTTCGAATTTATCCATATCTTTCAAGTTTTGTTTTCTGTGGCATCCCTAGAATGCATAAATTCCTGGACACACACACCTTCCCAAGACTAAACCAGGAAGAAGTCGAATCCCTGAATAGACCAATAACAAGTTCTGGAATTGAGGCAGTAACTAATAGCCTACCAACCAAAAAAAGCCCAAGGCCAGACAAATTCACAGCTGAATTCTGCTAGAGGTATAAAGAGGAGCTGATACCATTCCTTCTGAAACTATTCCAAACAACAGAAAAAGAGGGAATTCTCCCTAACTCATTTTATGAGGCCAGCATCATCCTGATACCAAAGACTGGCAGAGACATAACGAGAAAAGAAAATTTCAGGCCAATATCCCTGATGAACATTGAGGCGAAAATCCTCAATACCGGCAAACTGAAACCAGCAGCACATCAAAGAGCTTATCCACCACGATTAAGTCGGCTTCATCCCTGGGATGCAAGACTGTTTCAACATACACAAATCAATAAGTGTAATCCATCACATAAACAGAACCAATGACAAAAACCACATGATTATCTCAATAGATGGAGAAAAGGCCTTTGATAAAATTCCACACCCTTTCATGCTAAAAACTCTCAATAAACTATGTATTGATGGAACTTATCTCAAAATAATAAGAGCTATTTTTGACAAAGCTACAGCCCATATCATACTAAATGGGGAAAAGCTGGAAGCATTCCCTTTGAAAACCGGCACAAGACAAGGATGCCCTCTCTCACCACTCCTATTCAACATAGTACTGGAAATTCTGGCCAGGGCAATCAAGCAAGAGAAAGAAATAAAGAGTATATAGGAAAAGAGGAAGTCAAATTGTCTCTGTTTGCAGATGACATGATTATATATTTAGAAAACCCCATCGTCTCAGGCCCAAATCTTGTTAAGCTGATAAACAACTTCAGCAAAGTCTCAGGATAGAAAATCAATGTGCAAAAATCACAAGCATTCCTATACACCAATAATAGACAAACGGAGAGCCAAATCATGAGTGAAATCCCATTCACAATTGCTACAAAGAGAATAAAATACCTAGGAATACACCTTACAAGGGATGTGAAGGACCTCTTCAAGGAGAACTAGAAAACAATGCTCAAGGAAACAAGAGAGAACAAAAACAAATGGGAAAACATTCCATGCTCATGGATAGGAAGAGTCAGTATTGTGAAAATGGCCATACTGCCCAAAATAATTTATAGATTCAATGCTATCCCAATCAAGCTATCATAGACTTTCTTCATAGAATTAGAAATAAAACTATTTTAAATTTCATATGGTACCCCAAAAAAGCCCATACAGCCAAGACAATCCTAAGCAAAAAGAACAAAGCTGGAGGCACCACACTACCTGACTTCAAACTATACTACAAGGCTACCGTAACCAAAACAGCATGGTACTGGTACCAAAACAGAGATATAGACCAATGGAACAGAACAGAGGCCTCAGAAATAATGCCACACATCTACAACCATCTGATCTTTGACAAACCTGACAAAAACAAGCAATTGGAAAAGGATTTCCTATTTAATAAATGGTGTTGGGAAAACTGGCTAGCCATATGCAGAAAACTGTAATTGGACCCCTTACTTATACCTTATACAAAAATTAACTCAAGATGGATTAAAGACTTAAACGTAAGACCTAAAACCATAGAAACCCTAGAAGAAAACCTGGGCAATATCATTCAGAACATAGGCACGGACAAAGACTTCATGCCTAAAACACCAAAAGCAATGGCAACAACAGCCAAAACTGACAAATGGGATCTAGTTAAACTAAAGAGCTTCTGCACAGCAAAAGAAACTATAATCAGAGTGAACAGGTAACCTACAAAATGGGAGAAAATTTTTGCAGTCTATCCATCTGACAAAGGGCTAATATCCAGAATCTACAAGGAATTTAAACAAATTTACAAGAAAAAAAATAACCCATCAAAAGTGGGCAAAGGATATGAACAGACATTTATCAAAAGAAGACATTTATGCAGCCAACAAATACATGAAAAAAAGCTCATCATCACTGGTCATTAGAGAAATGCAAATCAAAAACCACAATGAGATACCATCTCACACCAGTGAGAATGGCGATCATTGAAACGTCAGGAAACAACAGAAACTGGAGAGGATGTGGAGAAATAAGTATGCTTTTACACTGTTGGTGGGAGTTTAAATTAGTTCAACCGTTGTGGAAGACAGTGTGGTGATTCCTCAAGGATCTAGAACCAGAAATACCATTTGACCCAGCAATCCCATTACTGGGTATATACCCAAAGAATTATAAATCTTTCTACTATAAAGACACATGCACACGTATGCTTATTGCAGCACTGTTCACAATGGCAAAGACTTGGAACCAACTCAAATGCCCATCAATGATAGACTGGATAAAGAAAATGTGGCACATATACACCACGGAATACTATGCAGCCGTAAAAAAGGATAAGTTCATGTCCTTTGCAGGGACATGGATGAAGCTGGAAATCATCATTGTCAGCAAACTAACACAGGAACAGAAAACCAAACACCGCATGTTCTCACTCATAAGTGGGAGTTGAACAATGAGAACACATGGACACAGGGAGCAGAACATCATACACCAGGGCCTGTTGGGGGCTGGGGGCTGCTGGGGGATAGTATTAGAAGAAAAAGCTAATGTAGATGACGGGTTGATGGGTGCAGCAAACCACCATGGCACGTGTATACCTAAGTAACAAACCTGTACGTTCTGCACATGTATCCCAGAACTTAAAGTATAATTTTATAAAATACTAATGCAGGAAATTAAAATAAAAAAAATTGGTGATCACAAAAAAGAGCTCTTCTTTAAAACTGGAAACGAAATTGGAAATTAGATAAAGTACATGGAAGTGATAAAAGAGAATGCTGAGAAAGTATCCTGGAATAAAAAAAAAAAAAAACAAATGGATAATGAAAATGAAAAGACAGTTTTAGGACCAGTCCAGAGGAATACTATGTAAATAATACTTTTAGGAAGAGAGAAGAAAGAAAATGGAAGAGATGAAGTATGAGGTATAGTATTTGGAGTTAAATAAGTGTTAAATACACAGAAGACAAAGAAAGCGCACAAACAGAATACTAATTTCAGAGAAAACAGGAGTGCAAGAAAAAAGCATACTTTTGATATACAATATGTAAATTATGTTTGCATTGTCATGAATTCTAATTTTAATCTAACCAAAATTAATAAATAACTATATTGTAAGGATAAGAGAACAGAAAACATGTGTGCCAGTGGTGGAGTGGTATAAGCAATGAAAGTAAAAGAAAACCATTTCGTTTCCACAAAGAGAAGATTTATCTAAAATGGAAAAAAAATTATTAACATAATTATAAGCATGCTATTTAACAATACGGTTGGATATCCCAAAATGAGTAGCTGAAAGATTTGAAAATCTCTGTCCTCTAGAGAAAAACAGGCTCTGGATTTATTTGACTCTACTTTATATGTGGAAATTTCTGATATTAATGTAACTATATTTAAAAATGGGATACACTGGCCGGGGCTGGTGTCTCTTGCCTGTGATCTCAGTATGTTGAGGCCGAGTTAGGTGGATTGCTTGAGCCCAGTTCCACATCCACCATCTCTACAAAAAAAAATGCAGAAAATTAGCCAGACATGGTGGCACATGCCTGTAGTCCCAGCTATTCGAGAGGCTGAGGTGAGCGGATTTCTTGAGCCTAGGAGGTCAAGGCAGCAGTAAGCCATGATTATGCCACTGCCCTCGAGCCTGGGTGACAGAATGAGTCTTGTCTAAAAATATATATATATACCTATAACCAGCTGTGAATAATAGAATAGTATGACTGAAGAGTAGTAGTCAGTAGTAGTATAGGTTTTAATACAGAGAGAGAGAGAGAATTTGATTATTAAAAATCAAAATTGATGGTGGCACACACTTGTAATTCCAGCTATTTGGGAGACTGAGGCACAAGAATTGCTTGAACCCGGGAGGCAGGAGTTGCAGTGAGTTGAGATTGTGCCATTGCACTACAGCCTGGGTGACAAAGAAAAACTCTGTTTCAAAAAAGTATATATTAGAAGTATCTGTTTGAAAATAGTAGTTGAACAAAGCTGACAAATGTAGATTTTGAAATCCAGTGGAGAAAATAATCTACAAACTACCTGGTAAAGCAGGAGAAAAATGCCCATAGGGAAAATTTTAAATTTCACTAACCATAGCAACAGAAAAGGTACTACCGCATGCTTTTATTAGAGAATGCATTCTGAAATGTTACACCATACAGTGTGACTCAGACAGCAGTTGAGAAATTTTCAGATTGGATTTAGACTAAATATACTCTGTATATTTGAGATAATCATCTAAAGGGCCCATTGTCAGTGCATTCAGAATCATAAGCTCTACTTCCTGTCAATTTTGCTACATTCTGAATACACTTTACAATCTTTATTGCAATATACTGTGAACAATCCTTCAATCCTGCAGCAACTCAGTTAGTGTTATCAACAAAGATGTGAAATGCTCTATAAAGGTAAACCAGATAAAATGGATCAATATGGACACTGGCAATATAAACTTTCTGGCATATGAGAAATGCCATGATGATGCAGGCTCAGTGGCTGATATTGTGCTACTGAAAGCCTCTCTATAAAAGCTACAAAAAAGCAAAACAATCAATCTGGAAAAAAAAAATCACTGCAGATATTTCAGAATTGAATAGAAACATTGCTGTCTGAGAGCCTCTCATGATGACCCTTTAACATTCATATGCAGGATATAGAATGTCTGAGCCTGTTCTCTCCAATTTTCCCAACTACTGTTTGAAATTTTACCTCTTCAGCTGTGACATAGTTACACACAGAATGACTGGACTGTGTTAAATCTATATAACATTCTCAGGCTATCCTCAGCACTTATGGTTTTCTTACCACTCCATCCCACAGAGCTTCTACTATCTTCATGTCATCTTTCATCAAAAACTTCCACTCTGAATTTTTCAGGTCTATCATGTAAGGAGCTTAGAAGTTGCTACTCTAAATAAAAACTCAACAACCTGAGAAATCAGCAACTCTTCTGAGAGCTGTCAGAGAAGTGAGAACACAGTGCAAATTGCTGTGCCCCAAATTGGAGAGACAGACATACAGATCCAGAGAATCATAACTTGCTGGAGCAGAAACCCAGGAAGAAACTTCAATGGGAACAAATGCTAGGATAAGGAATCCTAAACTGTAATTGGTGGATCATAATTTAGAGAGTTAAAAACTCCAGGGGATCACAGTCATAGGAGAGTCCCGACAATTTTCTGAGTTTTACTTCCAGTAGTTCTACCAGGTGTTCACAGTAAATATTAGGGAAAAAATCCCCTCTTACTGCTTGGAGAAGGAAGGGAAAATGAATCATTTTGAAATACACTACAGCATTCTATTCTTTTTAACAAGGTCTGCAGGAGAAACTATTTTTACCAGAGGCTAACCTACTAGGTTTTATCAGCCTGACCTAGCTGGGAAGAGAAATGCCCAAATCTAGCCAGCTCTAGCTTTCCATGTGGGGAAAGGGAAATGCCCAAATTTTTTCCCCTTTAGCCATCTCGTCGCACCAAAGGATGGAAAAATATCTGCTCTCAGACAACAATGGAATTAAATTAGAAATCAATAGCAGAAAGATAGCTGGAAAAGCCCAAAATGTTGAAAATTAAATAACACATTTACAAAATAGATGGGCCAAAGAAAAACTATCAAGATAGATTTTTAAAATTTTGAACTACATAAAAATAGAAACAAAATTTATGAAACTTATAAAAATTTGGGGGATGCAGTGAAAGCAGCATTACAGAAAAATTTATAGCATTGAATGAATATATTAGAAAGCAAGAAAGACCTGAAATCAATAATCAAAGGCTTCTCCTTTTAAAAATTTAGAAAAAAAGAACAAATTAAATTTAAAATATGAAGAAGAAGAGAAATAATAAAATTGAAGCAGAAAACGATAAAATTGAAGTCAGGAAATCAGTAGAGAAAATCAATAAAATGAAAATCTGTTTCTTTGAAAAGATCAATAAAATTGATAAGCCTGAAAATTGACAAAAACAAAGAACACAAGTTACTAATATTAGACATAAAAGAGATGATATTCCCATAGATCCTGTGAAAATTAAAGGTATTATAAAAGACTACTAGGCACCACTTTAGGTTCACAAATTTAATAACCTAGATGAAATGGACAAATTCCATAAAAGATACAGTCTTCCAAAAATAACACAAGGAGAAATCAACAATTTGTATATGCCTGTATCTACTTAAAAATATAATCAATAAGTAATAACCTTCCAAAACAAGAAATAGTAGGCCCAGATGGGTTCAGCAGTGAATTTTACCAAATATTTAGGAAAGAAATTATACAAATTCTCTGCAATCTCTTCTAGCAGTTGATAGACGAATAGGGCATATTTCCTATGAGGCCAGTATTACCCTATTACCAAAACCAGACAAAGATTTTATTTGAAAGAAAAGAAAACTAAATACCAACATTTCTCATAATTATATATATGCATAAATTCTCAACAAATTATTAACAAATCAAATCCAACAGTGTATAAGAAGAATTGTACACCACAGCCAAATGGAATTTACCTCAGGCATGCAAGACTGGTTCAATATTTGAAAATCAATTAATGTAATCCACCACATCAACAGGCTAAAAAGTAAAAATCACATGATTATATCAATAGATGGAAACAAAACATTTGACAAATTCCAACACCCATTCATGACAAAAACTGTCAGTAAACTAGGAACAGAGGGAAACTTCTTCTACTTGATAGCAAATATCTATACACAAAATGCAGGCAACATCATACTTAGTGGTGAGAAACTCAAAGCTTTTTCAGTAAGTTCAGGAGCCTGGCAATGATGCACCCACTCATTACTACTTTCAACATCATAGTAGAAGTCCTGGCTAATGTAGTAAGTCAAGCAAAAGAAACTAAAAGTTTGTACATTGGAAAGGAAAAAATAAGACTTTAGTTACAGATAACATCATCATCTTTGAGGAAAATGCAAAAGATTTGGAAAAAAGCATACATACACACACACACACACACACACACAAAACACACACACAGACACACACGATCCTGCCTGAACTAAAAGGCAGTTACAGCCAAGTTACAGAATAAAAGGTTAATATATAAAACTCAACCACTTTTTTATATATCAGCAATGAACAAGTGAACTTTTAAAATAAAAACACATTACATTTACATTAGCATTTAAAGCATGAAATACTCTGGTATACATCTAACAAGATATATACAATATCTGTATAAGACAGACTAAAAAGTCATAGATATCAAAGAACTAAATAAAATGGGGTAAGTTGTATGTTCATGGATAGAAGATCCAATATCCTCAAAAAGTCAGTTCTTCCCAACTTAATCTATAGATTTAATGCCATACCAGTTAAAATCTTAGCAAGCTGTCCCGCAGCTTATTGACAAACTGATTTTAAAGTATATATGGAGAGACAAAAGATGCAGCTTATTGACAAACTGATTTTAAAGTATATATGGAGAGACAAAAGATCCAGAATAACCAACTCTGTATTGAAGGAGAAGAACAAATTTGGAAGACTGACACTATCCGACTTCAAGATTTTCTATATAACGACAGTAATCATGGTAATATGGTACAGCTAAAAGAATAGACAAATAAATAAATGGAATAAACTAGAGATCCCAAAAGTATACCCATGTAAATATAGTCAACTGATCTTTCACAAAAAAAACACAGATAATACAATGGAGTAAAGACAGTCTTTTCAACAAATTGTGGTGAAACAACTGAACATTCACATGCAAAAAAAATGTAGATACATACTTTATACCAATCACAAAAATAACTAAAAATGAATTATAGATTTAAATACGAAACTACAAAATGCTAAAACATAAAATGGAAGAAAACCTAGATGATCTTGGGATTGCCAGTGACTTATGGTTTGGATACAACACTGAAGGCATGATTCATGAAATAAATAGTTGATAAGCCAGACTTCATTAAAATTAAAAACCTCTGCTTTGAGAAATGTAATGCCAAGATAATAAGAAGACATGCTGCAGGCTGAGAGAAAATATTGGCAAAAGATACATTTGATGAATGACTATTATCTAAAATATATAAAGAACTATTAAAAACTTAACAATAAGAAAGTAAACAACCCAATTAACAAATGGACAAAAGATATGAACAGACACCTCTCCAAATAAGATATACAGATGGCAATTATGCATATGAAATGATGTTCACTATCATATGTCATTAAGAAATTTCAAATTAAAACAATAATGAGATGCCACTACATACCTGTTAGAATAGTCAAAATCCAGAACACTGACAATACTAATTGTTGTCAAGGATGTGGTTCAAGAGGGACACTGATTCATCCTGGTAGACAGCAAATGGTACAGCCACTTTGGAAGACATTTGGGCAGTTCTTTTCAGAACTATACATACTCTTACCATATGAGTCAGAAATTGTTCTCCTTGGTATTCACCCAAATGAATTGAAAATATATATCCACACAAAAACTTGCACACAAATGTTTATAGCAGCTTTATTTCTAATTGCCCAAACTTGGAAGCAATAACTTGTTCATTAGTAGGTGAATGGATAAATAAACTGTAAGGCATCTGGAAAATGTTATGTTACTCAGCACTAAAACATGTTATCAAGCCAGGAAAAGACAGGGAAGAAACTTTTTGCATAATACCAAATGAAAGGAGCCCGAATATAAGGAGGTTACATACTGTATGATTCCAACTACATGACACTCTGAAAAAGGCAAAACTATGAAGACAGGAAAAAATTTGTGGTTGTCAGGAGTTGAGGGGAAGGAGGGATGAACAGGCAGAGAACAGAGGATTTTTAGGGTGGTAGAACTATTCTAATTGATGCTACAGTTGTGGATACATGTTATTATACATTTGTTCAAACCTATAGTGTGTACAACACCAAGAGTGAACCCAAATATAAGCTATGGACTTTGGGAGATAATAATGTGCCAATGTATTTTCATTTACTGTAAAATACAAAACAAAACATAAAACAAACAAACAAACATAAACTATACCACTGAGGTGTGGGATGCCATAGTGGGGGAGGTTGTGTTTGTGTGTGGTGAGGATGGCAGTTATAGATGAACTCTGTGCTTTCTGCTCCATTTCTCTGTGAACCTAACACTACTCTAAAAAATAAAATGTATTAATTTTTAAAAATCTTCCCCAAAATCCTTTCGCTTTTTGACCAAAATTGTCCTCGAGAATTGTGATGGAATTCTTTGACAAAATATTGGGACTCCTTACAGATTCCCAGTATTTACAATATAAATAAAATTCACCAAATGTAGAATCTAGATTTCTGCATTTGACTTCTCTTTACTTGGCAGAGTAGTCTGGGCAGGCCTTTTATGTTTTCACCTTGATAAAAGTTTATATAACATTCTGACCACTCCTTGTGTTAATTTCTTTGAATAGTATAGATCTATCTCAATACAAAGACACCCGTAATTTAGAAGTACTTTCAGTCTCTACCTGAAAAGTTCATAATTTTAAAATATTCAATAGAAAATGCCTCAACCCCAAGAGAATGGTGTGAACCCGGGAGGCGAAGCTTGCAGTGAGCCAAGACAGCTCCACTGCACTCCAGCCTGGGCGACAGAGCGAGACTCCGTCTCAAAAAAAAAAAAAAAAAAAAAAAAAAGAAAATGCCTCAACCCTACTTCTTTTGCCTTTTCCCATCCAAGTACTAATCAGGCCCGGCCCTGCTTAGCTTCCAAGATCAGAAAAGACTGGGCGCGTTCAGGGTGGTATGGCCATAGACCTCCTGCCTGTTAAACTAGGTTTGAGAGGAAAAGGGGATAACTTTATTCCTAATCTTAGCCATCTGTTCCTCCATCATATCATTGCTGACACTCTACAAAGAACATGTGTTGTATGCTGGGAGTTCCAGAAAAATCAGGAGGAAAGGCATATATTCAATTTAAATAAGAGGGTGCAGAAACCATACGAGGAAGGGTAATTATAGATAAGGAAACTCTTCCTACAAAATGAATTAGACAGGGTCCTAAAACCTCTGCCTTAAACGAGCTTAAGTGCTGAGCTAGGGAGACAGATACATAAATCTTAACTTTAGTATAAAATGATATATTTTATAATAAAGATAGGAATGTGGGACTGTGAGAGGTTTTGCCTCTTGGGTATTCAAGTTTCTCACTGATGAATGTATAAGTAAATTATTGTAAATAGCAATTTTCTTTTTAGAATTTCATCTTTTGGAGGTAATATATAAGTATGTAAGATGTATTTGCAAGTCAATTATTGCATCCTTATTCATTAAAATCAAAATTGACTAAAATATGACAGAATTATACAATGGAATATTATGTTTACTAAAATTATATGGTATACATACATTTCTTCATATAACACAGTATTTTATGATAGAATAATTAGATAAATAGCATACATTTAAACAATTTTAAAGTATGGCACGACCCTTATTGTGTGCATGTGGTGTGTATGTAGCACATGTGGGTGCATGCATATAAATCCTGGTTTACAATAATAATATGAATTTTGGGTAACCTTGCTTTCTTTGCTGTTTTTAATTACTTGAGTGTTCATGTATTAATTTTTGAGCCTATTTTAAATTTTAAAACACATATTTGAATATTGTAAAATAAATAAGAATATTAAACTATATGATTTTAAGTTCCATTATAAAAAGCACAGTAAAATACCACAAAATTGTAATTATATATAAAATAAAATGTAATTATATATAAAATAATATGATAACAACATTAGCTGGCGAGGGAAACATGAAGGTAAAGGCAGTCAGAGAAGTTGGCCATACTTAATTTGATAATTTTAGTGATTATGGAAGTAATATAACCCTCAAATGGATGAATGTCTTCATAGAATATAGTTAACAAAAGATGAATTAAATATATTTTGTTTGTTTGTTGCTGAATGGGAGCTTTCCAAGGCCATCCTTTTTTTAAATAAATTACATCAAATGTTCTCCATCATTAATGACTTTTTTGGAAACATTCAAATAATCATAGTCTTTCTAACATATTTAAAAGAAAAGCCTCAGAGTTCAAAATTAGTACTTAATTAAATATTACATATAATAAATCAACTATGTTGAAAATAATAAATTTTATAAAACTGTGTCAGACTAGAATAATTAGTTGTGTATGATAATCATACAATAATGTAATATTCAAGAAACTCTGTTTAACATAAAACTATACTATATCCTTTTACTTCCTTAAAGGAATTAGGGGCAAATTTTGTAAATTTACAGTAACTATAGCTTTCTATATGTCTAAACTTGGTATTTATTTTTTGAGTTTTTGTACTCTAATTTCTAGAAAGTTTTTGAGTATACACACATGCACCCATGCATAAACATAAATGTTTTATCAATACCTCAAAAATTTTTCTTAAATATTCATTTTATATTATTAGATTATAGACACACCAGGAATTCTATAGAATTCTAAAATTTTTGTCTTCAACTGTGGGCTGTTGCCTTCTATGATGACACAGAAAATGTAATTTCTTTGAGCTAAAATGTAATAACGGGTTCCCCATTTTAAAACTGAATATTGGCATTATCATTTTTCAGCAAAGTAGACTTTCAAGATACCAGACAAATTATTTCATGGTTGGTTAATTATATGGTACTTAGCATTTCTGAATTTGGCTATCTTGGTCTGTAGCTGTTACCACACTAATGATGGACACAACTTGTTTCTTTATGCACAGCATCTCTTTAAAAATTTATATGGCAAACTCCCAATAAAACACACTCTACATTACAGGAACAAGCTTTATATTATACTCTCCATGATTTTCTAATAGGTGGTTAGAGTTAGTCCTTTCAAATGCCTGACAAAAGGTTTTGACAACTTTAAAATGGGAAAACAAATTGTCTATTTTTTTTCTCATTTGAGAATCAATATTTTACCCGTAATTCTCAGATGAATAAGACTTTTGTTTATATAATTAAGTGTGCTAAAAACAAGAAGAAATTCAGATAAAATGTTAACATCTATATTTTCCTATTAAGTCTACAGGCATGCCAATTAAGTTTATTACCTCAATCAAGTACTGCACTCTTCTAACATTTATTACTCTTAATTTATGAGTAATATTATCAGATCATGTTATTACTGGTTAAGTGCTTCTCCCATCTTTGTGGTCAAGGCCTAGTCTTACTTTATTAACTCTGAGGGAATGGATATAGAATTATATGTCCAAAATCTTTAAATCTATGGTAAATTATCAGTCCTATCACCCTAAAATGAATAATTTCCTGAAAGATGTCAGTTACGTTAAAATGCTCATTGACGTTTAAGTTGATCACAGAACCTAAACTTGTAGCCTAACAAAGAAACACTAGAAAATATATATGCACAGGTGTGCACACACACACACTACAAAGCTGAATATTTATTATCATTATTCATACCAATTATAATAGTGAAATATTTGTGAATATGATATTATTTTAGACTTCTGAATAGATTTTGATCTTAAGCATATTTTATGTGAATATTTCTTTATACAATAATATATACACTTTAAATGCATAATCTTGAAATCTCTATCAGCAAAGATCCTAGTACAAATCTTCAAGTTAATTAAATTCAGAGGTATTATATCTACAAATTGGAGATATTATGTGTGCAAACAGGACATCTGCAGTTTGTTACCGATGACAATAAGTAGTTGCTCTCCAATATTAAACTAAATAAATGGAAGTAAATCATACTGCATTACTTACAAGTTTTTAAAAAGAAAATCCCTTTCTAAGCTATAACATCGGTACTTACTGATAAAACTGAATAAATTAGAACAGAATTCTATTAGTTAGTAGAATTCTACTTGTTAGCAGTATAACAAGCCTACTTAAAATTATTAGTTAAAATCTAGCCAACTAAAACATTAAACTTACATAGAATGTGTAAGATTTGTAAAATGATACTACTGTATATTTTTATTTTTTTACTTTTAATTGATGTATAATTGTACATATTTAGGGGGTCAGAGTGACATTTTTATACATCTGTACAATGTGTAGTGGTCAATTCATGATAATTAGTATATTTGTCACCCCTAACATTTCTCATTTCCTTATGTTGGGAATGTTCAAAATCTTCTCTTCTAGCCGTTAGAAAATATACAAAAAATTATTGTGCATTCATTAAGCAAACTTTCCCTACTCTCCCATCCTACCCACCCTTCCCAAACTTTAATAACCATACTTCTAGTCTTTACTTCCATGAGCTTAAATGAGCTTAAAATTTTTAGCTCTCACATATGAATGAGAACATGTAGTATTTATCTTTCTGTGCCTGATTTATTCTATTTAGCATAATGTCCTTTAGGCTTATCCGTGTTGCCCTGAAGGACAGATTTTATTCATTTTCATGGCTTAGTAATGTTCCATTATCTATATACACGACATTTTCTTTATGCATTAATCTGTTGATGGACAAAGAATGATGCCACATCTTCTCTGATGTCAATAATCATGGGGGAGCAGATATCTCTTCAATATACTGATTTGCTTTCCTTTAGATAAACATTCAGTAGTGAGATTGCTGGATCATATAGCTCTATATTTAGTTTTTGGGAAACCACCATACTGTTTGGTATAATGGTTGTACTAATTTACATTTCCACCAATGGTGTATAAGAGCTCTCTTTTTTCTACATAATACCAGCATTGGTTTGGTTTAGTTTTTGTCTTTCTCATGGTAGCCATTCTACTGGGTTTCTTACTGGGGTGAGAATATATCTGATTGTGGTTTTGACTTGCAGCTGCCTGATGATTACCGATGTTATTTTTTATTATATCTTTTGCACATTTTTATGTCTTCTTTTGAGAAATGTCTACTAAGATCCCTTGCCAACTTTTAATAGATTTCTTTTTCTGTTGAGTTGCTTGAATTCCCTGTGTATTCTGGATATTAACCGCTTTGCAGATGAATAGTTTGCAAATATTCTCTGCCATTTTGTAGGTTGTCCCTTTACTGATTGTTTATTTTGCTGTGATAAAGCTTTTTGCTTTGATATATTCCCATGTATTTATTTTTTGTTTTGTTACCTGTGCTTTTGAAGTCACACCCATAAAATATTTCCCTAAACCAATATTCTGAAGCATTTCCCTATGTTTTCCTCTGGTAGTTTTGTATTTTCTTCAAGTCTTTTTTTTTTCCTTTGGTGGGGGGAATGGGTACAGGGTTTTGCTCTGTTGCCCAGGCTGGAGTGCAGTGGCATGATCTTGGCTCACTGCAACCTCCACCTCCCAGGTTCAAGCAATTCTCCTAACTCAGCCTCTCAACTAGCTGGGACTACAAGTGCCCGTGACCACGCCCAGCTAATTTTTGTATTTTTAGTAAAAATGAGGTTTCACCATGTTGGCAGGCTGACTTCGAACTCCTGACCTCAGGTGATCCACCTGCCTCAGCCTCCCAAAGTGCTGGGATTACAGGCATATGCCACTGTGCCTGGCCTTCTTCAAGTCTAATATTTAATTTTTTAAACTTTCATTTTAGGTTTGGGGGTACATGTGAAGACTTGTCACATAGGTAAACTCACGTCATGGGGGTTGGTAGTACAGATTATTTCATCACCCAGGAATTAAGCCCAGTACACAATAGTCATCTTTTCTGCTCCTCTCCCTGCTTCTACTCTCCACCCCTAAGTAGACCCCAGTGTCTGTTGTTTCCTTCCTTGTGTTCATAAGTTCTCATCATTTAGCTCCCACTTATGAGAACATGTGGTATTTGGTTTCCTGTTCTTGCATTAGTTTGTTGAAGATAATAACCTCCAGCTCCACCTATGTTCCTGCAAAAGACACAATCTCATTCTTTTTTATGGCTGTATAGTATTCCATGGTGTGTATGTACTACATTTTATTTATCCAGTCTATCGTTGATGGGGATTTAGGTTGATTCTATGTCTTTGCTATTGTAAAGAGTGTTGCAATGAACAATCATGTGCATGTATCTTTATGGTAGAATGATTTATAGTCCTCTGAGTATGCACCCAGTAATGGGATTGCTAGGTTGAATGGCAGTTCTGCTTTTAGCTCTTTGAGGGATCACCATACTGCTTTCCACAATAGTTGAACTAATTTACACTCCCACTGACAGTATAAAAGTGTTCCCTTTTGTCTGCAACCTCACCAGCATGTTATTTTTTTCTTTTGACTTTTTATTAATAGGCATTCCAAACATTTAAGATTTTAATCCAATTTGAGTAGGTTTCTGCAAATGGTAAGAAATAGAGGTATAGTTTCATTCTTCTGCATATGGATAGTTTTCCCACAACCATTTATTAAAGAGGGTGTCCTTTTCCTCATTTCCCAATATATATTTTGGGCACTTTTATTGAAAATCACTTGACTATTGGCCAGGTGCGGTGGCTCACACCTGTAATCCCAGCACTTTGGGAGCCGAGGCAGGTGGATCACGAGGTCAGGAGATCGAGACCATCCTGGCTAACACAGTGAAACCCCATCTCTACTAAAAATACAAAAAAATTAGCCAGGCGTGGTGGCGGGCGCCTGTAGTCCCAGCTACTTGGGAGGCTAAGGCAGGAGAATGGCATGAACCCAAGAGGTGGAGCTTGCAGTGAGTGGAGATCATGCCATGGCACTCCAGCCTAGGTGACAGAGCAGGATTCCATCTCAAAAAAAAAAAAAAAAAAAAAAAAAAAAAGAAAGAAAAGAAAGAAAAGAAAATCACTTGACTATTTACATATCTGAATTTATTTCTGGATTCTCTATTCTGTTCAATTGGTCCATGTGTTTGTTTGTTTGTGTAACAGCAGTATCATGCTGTTTGGATTACTATACCTTTGTAGCATGTTTTGAAGTCAGGTAGCGTTATGCCTCCAGCTTTGTTCTTTTTGCTCAGTATTGCTTTAGTTGTTCAGTCTTTTGTGGTTCCATACACATTTTAGAATTTTTTTCTATATCTATGAAAAATATCATTGGTATTTTAGTAGGGATTGTGTTGACTCTGTAGATGGCTTTGGGTAGTATGGTCATCTTAACAATATTAATCCTTTCAATCCATGAACACACAGTGTCTTTTTATCATATATGTATGTCCTCTTCAATTTTTTTCATTAGTGTTTAGTAGTTACCATTTTAGAGATCTTTCGCATCCTTGGTTAAATTTTATTCCTAGGTTTTTTTTTTTGTAGCTATTGTAAGTGGGATTGCTTTTTTAATTTCTTTATCAGCTAGTTTATTACTGGTGTATAGAAAGACTACCGATTTTTGTTTGCTGAGTTTATATCCTGCAACTTTACTGAATTCATTTCTTAGTTTTAACAGTTTTTTTTTTTTTGGTGGAATCCATCAGGTTTACTAATCATAAGATCATGGCATCAGCAAACAGTGGCAATTTAACTTCTTCCTGTTTAATTTGGATGCCGTCAATTTCTTCCTTTTGCCTAATTGCTCTGGAAGTGATTTCCAATGGTATGTTAAATAGAAGTAGTGAGAGTGAGGATCCTTGTCTTATTCCATATCTTAGAGGAAATATGTTCAAGTTTTCACTGTTGAGAATAATGTTAGCTGTGGGCATCTTAGATATAGGCTTTAGTGTATTGAGTTACATTCCTTCTATATCTAAGTTGGTAAGAGTTTTCATCATGAAACGATGCTGAACTTTGTCAAATGGTTTTCCTGCATCTAATTAGATGATTATATTGTTTTTGCCCTTCATTCTGTTGATGTGATGTATCACATTTATTGATTTGCATATGTTAAAATATTTTGCATCCCAGGGATAAATCTCACTTGATCATGGTTGATGATCCCTTTAATATGACACACTAGATTTGCTAATAGTTTGTTGAGAATTTGTATATCTAAAATCATTGAGGATATTGGCTTGTAATTTTTTTAAATAATGTCCTTGAGTGGCTTTGGTATCAGGGCGATGGTAGCCTTGAAAAAGAGTTTGAAAGTATTTACTCTTTTTCAATTTTTTGAAAGAATTTGAGTGGAATTTATATCAGTTCTTCTTAAAATATTTAGTAGAATTCAGCAGTGAAGCCATTGGATCCTGGGCTTTTCTTTGATGAGAGACTTTTTATTAGTGATTCAATCTTCTAACTTGCTGTCGCTCAGTTTAAATTTTTTTATTTCTTCATGATGCAGTCTTCATAGGTTGTACAGTTCTAGGAATTTATCCACTTCCTCTAGTTACCCAGTTTGTTGGTGAATAATTGTTCATGATGGCCTATTAGCATCCTGTGTATTTCTGTGGCATCAGTTGTAATGTTTCCTCTCTCTTTTTTTTTTTTTTGTTTCCTTTCCCTTTTTTTGCCTTCTCTCTTTTTTTTAGTCCACCTAAATGTTTATAAATTTTGTTTACATTTTCAAAAAATCAACTCTTATTTTTGTTGATATTTTGTTTCTTTCCTAGTCTTATTTTATTTCCACTTTGATCTTTATTCTTTCCTTTATTCTGCAAAATTTAGGCTTAGTTTGTTCCCCTTTTTCTAGTTGCTTGAAGTGAAACATTAGATTTTTTTTTTTGAGATCTTTGTTTCCGGTTCTTTCTGATGCTCACGTTTATAAGTCAATATACACCTCAAGTTGGCTTTCTTATGATAGCAAAATGGCAGCAGTAGATCAAGAAATTATATATGGACAAAATATCACCTACAGAAAGAAGAAACGTTTTCCCCTCAGATTTCCCATAAAAATTTCTTGAACCTATAATGCAACTCATATCATATGCCCTCTCTTTATTGAATTATTGTATCCAGGGATTTGGCAATTTAGTTTCTTCTTGAATTTAGCTTTCTTTGAAACATAAGAATTCCCCAAAATAAAAAAAATGCAGATCAAAAGGAGAAAATAAATACTGGTAGAGCATAACAAATGTCCTAAGAGTTCACCATTTTAATCAATGTGTATATACATCTTTCTTATCGAATATAAGCCACTAAAAATGGTCATGCTTATATAAAAATATCCATATCCTCCCACAAAGGAATATATATATATATATATATATATATATATATGTATGTATTTCTTATCAGAATCCAAGTCTCCAAAGGGGTATCCTAGTTCAAGTCATTGGGAGAGTCTCCATTGTCTGTCATTTTTCACTGACACTCTTGCTATAAATACTGGAAAGATTTATGGGCTTCTCTGATTAGAGGCCTGCTTCCTATTTATGGAAGTCTAAAGACCTGCAGATTATCAAAGGACACACAATCACCTTTCTTTTATTTTTGTCATTCTCTAGTAATGTAACTCCATAAAAACAGTAGATCTATGTGCTGCTAGACAATTTTATGGGCTGCAATCCAAAGATAAAATTATTGGATACTTAAGTTTGAACTCAAGAAGGTATCTGGAAATCTATTTCTCAGACTTCATACTCTGTATCTTCATAGAACTAAGTTGACTCAGTGTAATCCTCCGTCTAGGAGCAACTTGAAACAGTTGGGATAGTGAGGCACCAAAAATTTACAGCTAGTGTACAAGATGTTTTCCAAATGCATCTGCAAAATTATGGTTATTTACTCTGTAAGTATATGAAGTCATGTGTACCTGATGAAAAGAGGTTTTCCTGGCCTCAACTTTTTTTTAACTCAGTTTACCACTTTCTTGTCTTTACTAGCATTGGCTATATGTTAATCCACATAGTTTGGTTCTCTAATCTTGGGAAAGAAAGTCAGCTAATTGTACCGTAGTCAGTCCAACAACTGAAAGGGCATCTCTTGAAAAGAAATGATGGAAGAATTTAAAAGCACTCAGCCATAAATGTTCCTCCTCTGTAGTGAATCAAGTTATTTTGGATGACATGAGAGAATTTACGTACTATTAGGAGAAGAATACAGTACATTGGGGAGTAAATCATAAATGCCTAATAGAATAACTATCACTTACTAATTATTTTGGTATCAGCCAAATTAAGTTCAATTGTATTGCTTTAACACTAATAACACTATCAACAACAACAAATGTTCCATCATCTTGGTGGGTTGAAAACAACAAAGACTTGTTTCTCTTTCACTTCACATGCTCATCAGAGGTAGCCATGTCTCCTTCACTGTAATACTCTACCTAGCTTGAAAGCCAGTTTGGAACATAGTCAGTTGTCATGACAGGATAAAATGACTGCTTAGTAAGAACACACATCTCTTCAGCTCATAAGTCATGGGCTAAGCCTGATTTCAGGGGTTAGGTTGTAAAAGCCTCCCATAAGGATACACCACCAATTACTGGGGACAAACTAATCACAGTGTTAGGAGTTTTATGTTAGTGTTTATATTTAATTCTTATGACATTGCTCATAAAAGAGTACCTTTATATTTTACATACTAAGAAAATGAAGCTCAGAACAGCTACATAACTTGTGAGTAATATAATACGGTGTGCAACAGCTAACATCAGAGCATAGAGAACTTTCTGATGCTAAAACACATATCCTTCCACTATATCACACTATCACTACTTTGCAATCTGATTTAAGGACATGCTTCAAAAATGGAATTGATTAAACCAATATTAAAATTAAGGTCTCTCAAAATATGTTTCACTATAAATGCTAGGTCATAACTATGTTACTTAGGACTATGATTCAATATACAAATAATTTATGTTGAAAAGTTTTTCAAAAATTTTTGTCATGTATAAAACTAGTTAATACTGTGTATCTTTATAGCTTAATAAGTTGAAAACAAGACTTTCACAACAAAGGATATAATTTAATAAAGAATTTAAAGCCTGATTAATGACAAGGTATGGGTGACATAGACTTTAAGCAACTTGTTTTTCACTTTTGAACATGAAATTTATTACTAAAAAATAAAGATTTTGAACAAACAGACTTCCAATATTTCATACATATTTTGAGTAATCATTTGCCAATCAAGTCAAAATGTTTGGAAATGAGTTTATAATTTGAGTTTATAGTTCAATCTGATCTCATTAAAAGGGAAAATTTTACATCTAAAATATACTAGCAAAAAGTTTATCCATTTTTCCTGTTTGCTTTAGAACAGGGTATGGCCTTCTTATCATAGATGACTGAGAATCCTCACTGAGACACAGAAGAAGAGAGAAAGATCAAGAAAGAAGGCAATCCAATAGTGCAACTTATCCTGTCTTATACCTGGTACTTGATTCGTGTGAGGAAGATTGATTCCCCCAAAAAGGTACGAGCGAGATCATGTGGCTTAATGGAAAGAGCAGAATCTTAAACTTGAAGGGATCAAAATTTAAATCTACCTTTTCCCCTTATTTTTAACTTTGAAAACCTAATACCTCTCTGGGCCTTTGTTTCCTTATTTGCAAAATAAATATAATAAAATTCTAACTCCATTGCTGTGAAGATTAAACATAATTTCAAGAACTCAGGCGGATAATATAGGGCAAAAAATTAATGTTTAAGTATTATTTATATTATTATAATCATTAATATTTTAAAGAGATTTGCAATGCAAGAAATGAATGAATAAGAAACAGAAATGTGGACGATTGGGCAAAAACTGAAATGAAATATTATCAAGACAAATTTAGAAGTTTGGATAGATGGAGATTGAACTAGAGGAGAAAAGAAATTCTTTGACAGAAAGACACTGTCAAAACGTAAGTGTCTGACACAGAACTACTATAACAGTTAGAATCAACATGCATGCATTGGGAAATTATTTCAACTGTAAAGTTGAAATATTTAATGTGAAACTTTTCCTCCCAAATTAGTTGTTTGTTCTATGAATTTTATGCACTGGTAGTATAAGTGCAAACATTTTATTATTTGAGAGTTTTTAGACATGATATACTGAGATCTTTCTAAATATATTTAAACATAAATTTCTGTTATATTTTTTCTGAATGGTCCTTTATATTGACAAGCTTACTGTAAGAGAAAAACAACTGGAGACATTAAACAGATGCTTCAAATATGTGTTTAGTAAAGTGTGTTCCCTAGCAATATAAACAAATTTTTTACTTCTGTGTAAAGGTTTTTTCTATTTTCTTAATAATAAATTTAAAATTAACTAAAAAATAGTAATAATAATAATAATCAAAATTATAATACCTATACATGCTAAATTTAAAACAAGAATTTAGGCATTACTTAATGTAATAACTCATGTCCTAAGAGAAAAAAATATTTTATTTAGATACAATCATATCTTAGTCATTGTATTTCCATATGAATATATATATATATATATATATATATATACTCCCATTATAATGTTGATTGACTAGCATAGGAATAATTTTTCAACTTGAGTCATCAATTGACCAAAGTGTGCTCTTATCCTGAATCTTAATTAATCAATGCCATGAACAAAATTCCAATTTTTTCATTTAAAGAAAATTCAATAACACAAACTTGCTTCTGGAAGACTTTATGAAAAAAGTTTACTGCAAACTCAGCTACCTTGAGCTACCAGCCAAAGCAACATTAATATACAGAGAAAATGAAATAAGCACTTTGGCCAACATTTAGTAATTATACTCAAATAATTGGGAAACTGCCTCCAGTAAAAAGATAATTTTCCTGTGGAATATGTAGTTGGTGTTTGTTCCCAGGTATGGCAATGGGTTATGCTGATTCACTCACTCGCCTACTTGTGAATTTTTAAAAAATGGCTGACAGATAAATAAAGCTGGTCCAGATTAGTGATAGACCCTCTAGTCATTGCACAGAATTGTTCTTCTATTAAAAAAAAAAGCTTGACTCATAAATCGTACATGCTCCTAAGCATATTCCTACTAACAGTGTCATATTAAAACCAACTGAACTAAGCAATATTGCTATCATACACTATCCTGTAAGAGAAAAAGAGAAAAGCAAAGAGTTTGCTAGAGATTGAGATCTGATCTTTGTTTTTATCTTAAACAGTGACAGGGAGAAAGATAATTAATCATATATCTTTAACTAAATTGTCAAGATTATAATCTGAATTTACTCTAATTGTATAGATGATATTTTTATTATTGATATTAAATAAAATTATAATGAGAAAAATTTGTAGATGTAAATCATGACTCAATTCTCCATTATCTTTTGGATGATAATGTATAACTTGTATCTGAATAATTTATTGTTATAAGCCTATATTCATTTTACTTAATTTGAAAAATATTTCAACATATTAATTGGGTAAATGTAATAAAAGATTTAAAGAGGGAAGTTTTGTTTGTACCTGCTGGTTAGAAGGTGTCTGTATCTCGTCCATTAGCAGAACTCTTTGAAGCTAAATTTTTGCAGGAATGGAGCTCTCCATCACTGTAACAAGATAAAATAGGTCAAGCCTGCATGGGGCCAAAGTAAAAGAAACAAATTTTCTAAATAGTTTCCCTAGCTGGAGGACAAACTAGAGCAAAAAAAAGAAACTGTGCCTTTCTAAAAAGTTGCAATAGGTTGTAACAGAGTGAGGGAAAAGAAGAAATGGACAAGCTTTGCTTACAAAATGGCAGCGTCTTTCAGCAGGTGTAGTATATATCCTTCTTCATCATCATTTTCTTTTGGTATTTAAAAAAAGATGCTTCGGTCAAGGCCATTCTAGGCATTACACAATAGATAGGAACTAAATAGGTAAAGTAAATGAGGGGCATATTTGATAATTATATTAAGTTATAGTCACTCTAGAGGTAAATATGACTACACGTTTACTTTTAAGCAGGTATTTAAGTTATAAGCTAAAATGAAATGGCAGAATAAGGTGATAGTGCCTAGAAGCATTTTACAATGCTTTCAGTGTTGCTATCACTTGTATTTAAAAGTCAATTGCCAGGTAAATTCATTAAAAAAAAATGCTACCTCTTCATCTTACCGTACATTTATATTATTGGCACTCTAGACAGGTTAAGTTGATTTTGGAATACACTTCCATTTGTAAGTTCTAATCACATGACTGGAAAATGATGTTATACCTCTTGGGATAATTAAAAGTGTCCCATGTGTCTCAAAACCAGAATTGAAAATCACAGGTTTATGTAACTGGCAATGAGATATCTGTGGCCAATTCTTTTAGCTAAGCCAATCAGCATAATGTCATTCTTCTCTTGAGTGATCTTTGAATTCTATCACTAATATTTATTCATTTTGCTTTATTTCAAGTTCACATGAAGCCCATTCATCCATATTTATGTTCATTGATTTATACAATATTGCTTACTATGTTGTATTTGGCCTCATAACCCTCTGCCCTCACTTATTCCACTCACCTCCAATCTATCTCTCTCCTGCTTTTCCCATCCTCCATTTTCTTAGCCTTCCTCATCTGCTCTTATTTTCATCTGAAATTCTCTTCCACAAGTTCTTTCCAGGGCTTAGTTGTTCATTCCATTCAGATCTCTGGTCAAATGTCACATCTCAAAGAACCTTTCTAATTATTCCCTATAAAACAATATCTCTCCATACACTCATCATTTTCTAGTCTTTTTTTCTTGATCTTTTTATAGCCTTTGACTATTTGAAATTATGTTTTACGATTATATTTTTGATATATTGACTTGTGTTTGTTGTCTTTCACATTAGATTGTAAACTCAATGAAAACAGCCATTTTGTTATATCAAAATTATATCATTTGCATATGGAGCAGTGCCTTGAACATAATAGATTGTCAATAATAATTGTTGAATAAAATAATTTTAAAAGTTTAATAAGACAGTATTTATATTTAACCATTCACAATTTTAGGTACAAAAATTATTTTTTATGTTTCATAGCTTTGTGTATAATCTGGGACTATGAGAACGGCATGATTTTTTTTTAATGAAAACAGTTTATTAGTATTGTTTCTTGATTAAATTATAAAAATGTATGTATCTATAAAGATATTAAGTATTTTGTGGTTTGGTATTGGTTGATAACTTTCAATTCAAATGACAAAACCAAAACACTAAGCACCCACCCTAGAAAATCATTGCGAAAAAAAAAAGTGTTCTAGAGGAAAGCTTGCCGTTATGTGAAGGTAAGAAGTGAAGTTAGCTAAATTCTAGCTTGATATAATCAGAGAACGTGGAGGTAGTCTTCAAGGATTAATTACGAAAGAATGAGCCATTTTTTAAATGTTATTATTACTCCAAGCGATGGAAGAGTTCAGCCATCAGTATTTATTTCAGCCATCAGTATTTATTTCAGCCATCAGTATTTACAGATTGGCTTTTCTCAGAGTACCTAAGTACTGTGGCCTTGTGATCTTAAAATGTGACCATATGAGTGGAAAAATAACTAGTTTTGTTTTCCATATGATCTTATAGACTGTTTTTAAGTCATTTAGGCTATTAGACAGAATGTGCATATAGATAGATAATATATCTTTCCCTGAATATTCAGATATCTAGCAAATTATACTTTGATAAGCAGAGACTTTCAAAACATGAAATCCCAGACCATATATATATATACAAATACATATTCCATTAGTTCTGTCCTTCTAGAGAACCCTGACTAATACAGGGATATCTACTTTTTTACTTTATTATCTCCTTAAAATGCTGTTGCCTTGCCTGACTTGATGAAATTAACCTGTTGAAATAGTCCCAGGTAATGCCTCCTCTTCTTAATTTGTTAGTTTCCTGAACTGTTTTATCCCTAAAAGTTAATATAACACGATTTAGTTTGCATCTGTTTTCCAATTAAATTTTTGTAGTAATTATTACTCTATTATTTTTTCTGTTATAAGCCTTTTAAAAGTAGAATTTATATACTGTATTCTTTCTATATGATTTAAGTATCAGTTAAAACATATACATATATAAAAATATACATTTAAATTGACATATATGTTGATTACTGCTGAAGCATTGCTTAAAAAATATAATTTCTCCCAGAAGTTTAGATATGCTGATATTCAATGTGTTAAATATTAAGCTTGTCATCTTATATAACCCTCAAAATCTCATTTACACTTCCACATTAATTTTTATTTTACATTTGTATATCTGTTACTGCTGAAATATTTTGCTTCTTTATTTAAGTGAATACTTTATATACTTCTTTTTTCTTTTCTATTTCTCCCTTAGTTCTCAAATCCAAGTAGCAGCCAGACGTTTGCAATTTTGCTGTATTTCTTTCAGAGTCACCTTTTGTTTTATTGCTAATCTCCTGGTCAGTATCACCATGATGGTCCTAACTGATTTTCTAGCTTCTAATTTCTATATTTTTCTATTATACTGTTCCTCAACCTGCTTGATTTATTTCTCTAAAATGGATTTTAGTCAAACAGAGCACAGATAAAAATGTACACTTGATCTCATTGTAAATGGATTAATGTTTAAATTTTACATCCTGTATTTGAAAGCAACCTACCTTTCAGACCTTATCTATAATTATTATTCTACATTATGTTCTCCTTAAATAAGAATACTTGCCATTTTCCACTAGATAATTTATCCTCTTGCTCTTATACATTAATTGTGCCAATCCTTCTCCATGAAATGTATGATTTTCTCCTCAGTGAAATAAAATAGTATTTATATTTCAAAATTCAGCTAAAATAACACTTTCTCCCTGACCACTTTCTTTATCCTGATAGTCACCACATTCGTTTAATGTAATATTTATGCACTACTTTAATTTAAATAACCACATTTTCCTTTAATACATTTATTGCATTCTGTTTTATCTCACTTGCACTTATTTTCTCATAAAATAAAAATATGTCTTATTTAATTTTATATTTACAGAGATAAACTAGATAATGTCTTACAGGTGGTGCAAACTCAATAAAAGAAAATTACTGAATTAGTCAATGAATGACAAAGTGAATGTAGTAAGTACGGAATGATGGGTTCACATAAATGCCAAATTAGGAAGTCATAGATGGTGAAGAAATAAACAAACATGCAAAGATCAAACTAGGAGTGTGATGTAGTAAAGCAATGAACTCACCAGTATGTGCTATTGCATCTTTTGGATATAAGTCATTTTAATTGAGGTGAGATGATATCTCACTGTGGTCTTGATTTGCATTTATCTGGTAACAGATGGTGAGTCCTTTTTTATGTACCTGTTGGTCATTTATATGTCTTTTGCTGAGAAATATCTATTCGGTTCTTTTGTATTTTTTTTAACTGGACTATTTGGGTTGGATTTTTTTTTTGTATTTGAGTTGTTTGAACTCTTTATACATTTAGTATTTTAATCCCCTGTCAGATGGATAGTTTGCAAATATTTTCTCCCATTCCATATGTTGTTCCTTCCCTTTATTATTTTCTTTGCTGTGCAGAAATGTTTTAGGTTGATGTAATCCTATTTGTCAAGTTTTGCTTTTTTTCCCCATGCTTTTGAAGTCTTACTCAAGAAATATTTGTTCAGACCAATCTTCCTTAAATATTTCCTCAGTTATTTCTCATTCCCATAACATCTATTAGCACTTTATAATTTAATAGACAGGAGAAATTGACTATTTTATTGCCTTTGTAGATCATTGTAGGTTATTTAAGCTGTTAAACCAGCAGTATTGTGTGTGTGTGTGTGTGTGTGTGTGTGTGTGTGTTCTGTGTCTGTTGGACATGGCACGGGGAATTTCATTCAAAGTCTTTATTATGAAACTTTAATTGTTCTATCTTTCCTCTACAGAAATTTAAAATAATACATTTCATATGATGAAACTGGTGTCTAAAGAGGTAAAATGACTTGACCAAAGGCATACAATTAGTAAGTAATAAGATCTTTGTAGTTTTTCAAATTTGACTAGGTTCTAATTCAAGGTCCCTCCTGCTACAACAATTTGTCAACTCATTAAACATTGAATAATAGAGAACCATTTAGGTTCCATTAACTATTGATATGATTTGACCTGTGTCCCCACCCAAATTTCAAACTGTAGCTCCATAATTCCCCTGTGTTGTGGGAGGGACCCAGTGGGAGGTAATTGAATCATGGGGGTGGGTCTTTCCTATGCCGTTCTTGTGATAGTGAATAAGTCTCACGAGAGCTGATGGTTTTATAAAAGGGAGTTCCCCTGCACATGCTCTCTCTTGCCTGCCATCATATAAGGCATCCCTTTGCTCTTCCTTCATCTTCTGCCATGATTGTGAGGCCTCCCCAGCTATGTGGAACTGTGAGTCCATTAAACCTCTTTCCCTTTATAAATTACCCAGTCTCAGGTATGTCTTTATTAGCAGCATGAGAGCAATACAGGAAATTGGTACCAGTAAAGTGGGGTGCTGCTTTAAAGATACATGAAAATATGGAAGCAACTTTGGAAATTTGGGTAACAGGCAGATGTTGGAACAGTTTGGAGGGTTCAGAAGAATATAGAAAAATGTAGGAAAGTTTGAAACTTCCTAGAGACTTTGATAAAAGTGCTGATAGTGATATAGATAATAACTTCCAGGCTAAGGTGGTTTCAGATGGAGATGTGGAACTTGTTGGGAATTGGAGTAAAGATCACTCTTGCTATGCAAAGACACTGGCACCATTTTACTCCTTCCCTAGAGATCCATAGAACTTTGAACTTGAGAGAGATGATTTAGGGTATCCAGGGGAAGAAATATCTAAGCAGCAAAGCATTCGAGAGGAAGCAGAGCATAAAAGTTTGGAAAATTTCCAGCCTGACAATGGAATAGAAAAGAAAAACCCATTTTCTGGGGAGAAATTCAGGTCAGTGGCAGACATTTGCATAAGTAGCAAGGAATCAATGTTAACCACTGAGACAATGGGGAATATATTCCCAGGGCATGTCAAGTACATTTATGGAAGCCCCTCTCATCACAGGCCCAGAGGCCTAGGAGGGAAAAATGGTTTTCTGGGCTGGGTCCAGGGCCCACCTGCTATAAGCAGCCTTTGGAGTTGGTGCCCTGCATCCCAGGCGTTTCGGCTGTGGCTAAAAGGAGCCAAGATACAGTGTGGACTGTGGCTTTAGTGGGTTCAAGCCTCAAGCCTTGGCAGCTTTCATGTGGTGTTGAGCCTGTGGGTACACGGAAGTCAAGAACTGAGTTTGGGAACTTCTGCCTAGATTTCAGAGGATGTATGGAAATGCCTGGATGTTCAGGCAGAGGTGTGCTGTAGGGGTGGAGCCCTTATGGAGAACATCTGTTGGTCAGTGTGGAAGGGAAATGTGGGGTAAGAACCCCCACATAGAGACACCACTGTGGCATTGCCTAGTGCAGCTGTGAGAAGAGGCCCATGGTTCCCCGGACCCCAGAATGGTAGATCCACAGACAGCTTGCACTGTGCACCTGGAAAAGCTGCAGACACACTCAATGCCAGCCCATGAAAGCAGCCAGGTGGGAGCCTTTACCCTGCAAAGGCACAGAGGCAGAGATGCCCAAGGCCATGGGAGCCCACCTCTTGCATCAGCGTGACCTGGATATGCGACATGATGTCAAAGGAAATCACTTCAGAGCTTTAAGATTTGACTACCCTGTTGGATTTTGGACTTGCATGAGGCCTACAGCCCCTTTGTTTTGGCCAATTTCTCTTATTTGGAATGGCTGTATTTACCCAATGCCTATACTCCTGTTGTATCTAGGAAGTAACTAACTTGCTTTTGATTTTTCAGGCTTGATATAGTTTGGCTGTGCCCCCACCCAAATCTCATCTTGAATTGTAACTCCCACAATTCTCACATGTTGTGGGAGGAACCCTGTGAAAGGTAATTGTATTATGTGGTCTTTCCTGTGCTGTTCTCCTAATAGCGAATGAGTCCTGTGAGATCTGATGGTTTTAAAAATGGGAGTTTCTCTGCACAAGCTCTCTCTTTGCCTGCTGCCATCCATGTAACATGTAACTTGCTCCTCCTCAACTTTCACCATGATAGTGAGGCCTCCCTAGCCATGTGGAAATGTAAGCCCAATAAACCTCTTTCTTTCGTCCAGTCTCAGGTATGTCTCAGGTATGTCTTGCCAGTCTCAGGTATGTCTTTATCAGCAGTATGAAAACAGACTAATACAAGGCTTATAGGCAGAAGGGACTTGCCTTGTCTCAGATGAGACTTTGGACTTTGGACTGTGGATGTTGAGTTAATGCTGAAATGAGTTAAGACTTTGGGGGACTGTTTGAAGGCATGATTGGTTTTGAAATCTGATGACATGGGATTTGGGAGGAGCCAGGGAGGGAATGATATGGTTTGTCTCTGTCCCCACCCAAATCTCGAATTGTAGCTGCCTTGTGTTGTGGGAGGGACCTCGTGGGAGGCAATCAAATCATGGGGTTGGTCTTTCCTCTTCTGTTCTCATGATAGTGAATAAGTTTCATGAGATCTGGTAGTTTTATAAAGGGGAGTTTCCTTCCACATGCTCTTTTTGCATGCTGCCATGTAAGATGTCCCTTTGCTCTTCCTTCATCTGCCATGATTGTGAAGCCTCCCCAGCCATGTGGAACTGTGAGTTCATTAAAGTTCTTTCCTTTATAAATTACCCAGTCTCAGTTATGTCTTTATTAGCAGCATGAGAACAGACTAATACAACTATCAAAACATATTTAAGCTTTGCTCACTTCTGTAAAACAGTCTGGTTTACTTTCAAACTGAGAAAGGAAGAAGAAAACAAAGGAATTTTTTCCATTTTCCAATATGCTGAACTGCTAGTCCTCTTCTAACACCACAGGCAACTTGATAGTATTGATGTGATATATTGTGGAAGTAAACTGAACTTTAATTGATCCATGATTTTAATCCATACTGTGCTGCTGGGAGGAAGATCTGAGGTACTGGAGTATGATGTGAAGTGTAACAAATGCCTTTGTGACTTTAAATATCTTTACAGTTTTGTAATAGTCACTGCAGACTTAAGCTAGAAATAACAGGAATAAAAATGTAAAGTGTATTTTGACAATCTCGTAATACTTTAAAATGAAAATAAAACCTGAATCAAAGCAAGTGTATAAAACCAAGAAACAAAATAAATATATTAAACCATATGCTGTTAAAGTATCATTACTCTCCTGAACTCTTGTAACTTAACAACGGAAATACATTTTTCAGACTGAATTATCCTGCCAGTTGTGCATCATTTGGTGACATAAAACCATCTTACAAAATACAATATAACCTCAGGATTTTCTCCTCACTACATCATGGACTTTGCATAACAGCTACTCTTTCTCCCACTGAGCAAATGAGCCAATAAGGTGAGGTAAGGGAAGAGGTGGAAAAGAAAAGAAGTCGAGAAGAAAGTCATTTTTCCTAGCCATGTAAGAGAACATGTAACGGCTATGTTATCTCATTCAACACAAAGAATCCCTGGATTTCTTTTTTTCACCACAAAGCAGTCAGTATTCCCTCCTCCCCAGCTATCTTACCCAACAATACTTCAGAGACAGTTTGGTTCTTTGGCTTTTAGTGTCTGTTAAAATGTAGAACTGAAAGCACACTATGGAGCTTTGATTTAGCATTTTTTTTCCTTCTCACAGAAACAAAAACCTAAAGGAATTTTAGGTTCTTCTAAAGTGATCCTGAAACCACAACTAAAAGTCAGGAATCAAAGGACAAACCATTGTCCAGGCATCCTATTATCCTGAGCAACGTTATGTTCACCAAGAACTTCAGAGGCTTCTAAGGGTGTTTATGCAAATTTCCTCATAGTGTGGGAGATATCTAGTGCTATCCATGCCATTTAAATAAGTACTTGAGCTCAAAGGGAAAAATGTGGTAAGCAAATGCTACAGGGTGTCAAGAGACTAAGAAAAATGTTAAACCTTACATAAAAATAAACCCAACCCCAAAGATTAATGACTGTGCAGAAGTTAAAACTGGATAAGAAAGAAGAGTATAATATGTAAATGTGACAGAATTCATATTGTCAACTCTTTTAAGATTCCTAAAATATGGGTTCAGCAAGGAGATTTATTTATAAATATTGTAATGTTTGAATTTTACTTGAAGAGACTATTGTTTTATCAAAGACCATAAGTGTAAAAACAGAAAGAATTTGTCATCAGAGGGTAGGAAAAAGCTCAACATCATCACAATACTAGGAAGTGTTTTTTTTTTTTTTTTTTTCTCTATTGACTTTAATTAATCTCTCTCTCTGGACTTCTGTGAGATGGAAAAAGGTTTATTTTTGTTTTTAGAGCTTGCTTGCCAGATGGAATTCTTTGAACTACTACTGCTCTAACTCTGCCAACCACAGCATTCACAGCTAAAGATTTTAATTTGTTTTACAACCCGACAAAAGTAGAACAAGTAACTGTGTATGTAGTGGAGTAGGGAGGTGAGGGTCAACCCTGAGGACACAGACATTTACTATTAGTAAGGTAGGCATGCAATGCCCACCTCTTTCTGTTTCTTTCTTCTAATTATTATAAAAGATCCCTGGCACTGAGGTCAAAATTTAACATTTTTAAAAATCTCTTTACCATTATCTCTAAAATAACAATGACCTAAGTAGAAGCTTGGTTTTTCTTCCTGTTACATTTTTTTTTACAACATACAAGGCACCACATTGCCTATAGTAGTTGATATACACAATTAGATGCATTGATTTAAATTTCAGTGTGATCAATTTAAGTCAGGATATATTGTTAAAAGTGCTACATATTAGAAAAGCCAGATAGAAATGCTTTTGAAAACAATTTTAAGCATCACAAATAATATATAGGGGATTTAATTCTAACATGATTCACCTCACTAAAACTTAATGCTTGCATACTAGTCAAAAAAGCAATTCACATGAAAACTGATGGTTTTCCTACTGAAATGTTCTTCCCTCTTCCATTACCCTTACATTGCATAAACGTTAGCTTACTAATGACATTCTGTGTTCTCTCTGATCTAGGGCAACATATGAGAAAAGGAAGAGGAAAGAAGAGGCAGTTGATTTGAATTAAGAAAAATACTTTTATTTAAATTCAATTTTTAATAGTAGCTCATATTGAGAGGGCATAGACAGAGGGGATTTAACTAGTTTCCCAGATAGACAATGGCAAAATCAAAGCAAAAAGCAATCCTTCCTTCTTTTCCTCCTTTCTCTCCATCTCTTTTTTTTTTCTTTTCTCTTCCTCTCTTTTTTTAATGAGACAGAGTCTGGCTATGTTGCCCAGTCTGGTCTGGTACTCCTGGACTCAAGCCATCCTCCTGCCTCAACCTCCAGAGTAGCTACAATTACAAGTGTGAGCCACTGGGTTTGGTTCCTTTTCTTTCTTGCTTGCTTGGTTTTCCTTTCCTTCTTCCTTCATCGTACATTTACTGATTAACCTATTATGTGCCTGGAAACATAAGTACCAAATATCTTGATATATGGCCATGAAGAAAAAAAATTATCTACAAATTTAAAATCCACAAATGTTGAATAAGAAACTGCCATTTTAGGTTCTGTGTTAAAGTTGAAAAACAACTGGTAAACAATAGAGATACCCCTTGATATGGTTTGGCTGTGTCCCTACCCAAATTTCGTCTTGAATTGTAGTTCCCATAATTCCCATGTGTTGTGAGAGGGACCCAGTGGGAGATAATTGAATCATGGGGAAAGTTTCCCCCACACTGTTCTCTTGGTAGTAAATATGTCTCACAAGATCGGATGGTTTTATAAAGGTAAACCTCTTTCGCTTGATTCTCATTGTCTCTCTTGCTTGCTGCCATGTAAGACGTGCCTTTAACCTTCTGCCATGATTGTGAGGGCTCGCCAACCACATGGAAAGTGTGAACCCATTAAACCTCTTTTTCTTAGTAAATTACCTAGCCTTGGGTATGTCATTATCAGCAACACTCCTTGTCCTCATGTAGTTTGGTACCCAACTTAAACTGTAAGAGTTTAGAATTCTGCCAAAGTTACTCAAAGCTACTCAGTGACAAAGACTACAATAGCAGTCATAAATATACATTTCCTATAAGTATTATTTGCTATATGCTAAACTAAATGCTAATTAGTGTTGCTTTAAGAAAAAATATTACTTATCAATGATTCTAATGCTAGCAGCAATTTTCAAAAATGTGTACATGCAGCAGTAAAAAAAAATCCCAGAAGCCAATAAAAATCAGTTGTATACTGTTGTTCTAGAATATTATATAGTTTGCTAACCATGTGTCTGTATCAGATTCCCCTCCAAAATTTTACTGCAAAAATTTCAAACATGTAACCAATTTGAAAAAAAAAGTTAATCATGTATAACCACCTAGATTCTATAAATATTTTTATATGTTTGCCCTAGACTCTCTTTTAAAATGTGTATTTTTACTCAAAATAAAATAATACTGTTCAAACATAGACAGCTAATCACACCAAGAACAATTCTGTAGCCATATGAGACAATCATTATTTCATAGAAAATCTAATGAAATCAGTGAGAACTTTGATCAGACACAAATGATAATGGCCTCATACAAAAGATGACATTCAAAGTTTTTATGCCCATTAGAATAACAGTATAGAAAAACAACATATGTTTTAGAAAAGTTCTTAAACTATCTTGGCACATAAAGGCAGAAACTAAATTAATAGTGTTTATTACCATTTTGATTAAGCTTTCATCATGTACTATGGCAGCAAATCCTGCAAAATCAAAATCAATTAAGTAGTTTAATGAAAATTTTGGAATTGACACACTCTCATTCCCCACCCAACTATTGTCATCAACAGCAGAGAAATTGTATTTTAAATCATTTAGTTTTTTATAAATGGCATTTACACTTGCTACTATTACACTTCACAAATATTAGTTAAGTGTCATATGAAAGAGGTGTAAAAAAGCATAGTTTGTGTAATACAAATAACAAATGCCTGGAAATTTGAAAGTTGCATTCTAGACAATGATATATGTGACTCTGGTTATGCATACCTCTGGGCATCAAATTTGTTATTGGTTTCTTTTTTACCTTTGTCAATTGAGCAAAATGACAAGACAAATCTCAATCATTTTAGGAGATTTATTTGCAAAAGTTAATGATGTGTGCTTGGGAGACAGGTCTGTACCTTTTTCCAAAGATGATTTTGAGGGCTCCAAATTTAAAGGAGAAAGGGTGGGATATTGAGAAGTACACAATTTTCATGTAAGAGGTGGGTAAGGAAAAATAGTCATGCATGCCTTTGTCTGGCTCAGTGAATCTGCATTTTTTACATAAGATGACATAAAAGAAGGGGGCAGAAGAAAAATGCAGGGAATCGAAGATAACAGATGTATCTTTGTCAAACATAACAGACAAAACAGGGCAGAGAAAATCAGATATGCATTTGTGTCTGGTGGGCTGGGGATGATCTCACCTGCAAAGATAAGCTATGACTTTGCACTGCCACGGTGAAATTTTAACAGCTCACTAGGAATTTCCTAGTGGGCAAAATATGGGGGAAGCATGTTGCTTTTCATCTTATAGCCATCTTATTTAGGAACCAAAAGGGGGAGGCAGGTTTGCATGACCCAGGTCCCAGCTTGACTTTTCCCTTTGGCTAAATAATTTTGGGGTCCCCAAATTTAATTTCTTTTCACACTTTTTTTTTTTAAAAAGAGAAAGATTGAGTATGTGTGTGTGTATTTATGTTTATATATGTGTGTGAGAGAAAGGCAGAGAGAGAGAATGAAGGAGACAAAAAGAGAGTGTGTGTTGAATGAAGTTCTTCCTAAGGTTTCTATAGTTGGTAATTGAATGACCTAACCAAACATCTTTAGTCACACTAAGGTAATTAGGGGGATTTTGGCCTTCCAATAATGGTTGTAGGAATTGATTAGGATAAGTAGTTGTTTTTGTCCATTTGGGCTACTATAAAAAACTACCATAAACTGGGTAGCTTATACAGAGCAGAAATTTATTTCTCACAGCTCTGGAAGCTGGGATGTCCAAAATCAAGGTATCAGCAGATTCAGTGTCTGGCAGGGGCCCATTTCCTGAGTCCTAAAACAGTGCCTTACTGAGGTGTCTTTGCATGATAGAAAGGGTGAGCTAGCGCTCTGGGCCTCTTTTCTAAAGGCACTAACCCCATTTATGAGGACCCCACCCTCAGACTGAATTGTCTCCCCAAGACCCTACCTCTTAATACCATCACTTTAGAGGTTAGAATTTCAACATCTGAAAGCTGGGGGAACTCAAATACTCAGACCATAACAATAGTCTTTTATTATCCTTACCTCAACTTTACTAAAATATAATTTACAAAGCCTGGCAAAGGTTTCTTCCAGGTGCTCTTTCCTTTTCACAGGATGATATAGCATACTTTGGCCCAGTTTAAACCATCACCCTGACCTGGCTCCAACACTACTGTCCAAATCTGAACTACATGACTTCTAGCTCCAACTAGTTAGGGATTAATTCCAAGACCCTGTGGTTTTAACTCACCCCTTTGATTTTAACTTAGGATGAAATCACCTCACTCTCTTTCTCAACTCCCACTTACCGAACCTAAAATAAAAGTTAAATAAAAAGATAAAAATTCCACCCCCATGTTCTCTAATACAAATGTTTGTGCCCCGTTTCTTATTGATACTGTAGGTATGTTTTTCATATATATCCATTGATTTATCTTATTCATTATTATACCAGCAACCCTAGGGCTTTTGGAAAATCTGGAAGTAAACATATAAATAGCACTGCAAAAGTAAAACAGATAGGATATCAAAACAGAGAAATCATCTCATAACTTCTGGACCTAAAAATTGTATTCCAGAATTATTTCAAGAATGCTGCAGGTGTGATATTCACAGATCATATAAGGAAGACAGGTTAGCTCAGCAGTCTGAACAACCAAAGAAACAAGAGTGCCTTTCACTCATGGGTCCCAACATGCAAAGGATCCCACAGTGCAAAAGTATTCTCAGTCTCTATATGCAGAACAAAAATGACAACTCAAATATTCAAAATTGGCATAGTGCTTACTATGTAGCGGGCCCTCTTCTACATGTTTTACATATACCAACTCATTTAACACTCAAAAATTCTTTCACACAGGGAACATGTTACAGTTGAGAAAAATGAGTCATAGGCAAGTTAAGTAATTTGCCAACTTACACCCCTAACTACTTGACCCATACCATTTGAGCCCTTTCATATTTGTCTTGCCTAGCTCCATTGCTCATCTTTTGTCACTTAACTCCTTTTATAACTGAATCCTCTTCAATATCATCCATTTACAAATTCATTTCACAAAGCATATCCTACAAGGCTTGGCCATTACTGTTGTTCCAGGAAATAGAATTTCTCCTGCTTCAAAAAGCTATGGATTCCTTTTTGAGACAGACAGAATGACCCACATTTAGAACAAAGGTAACTGATCTATTATTTAGAATGTCTCAGATCCAAAAGAATAGTACACAATCAATGCATGGCATTAGACAACATGTTCTTTTCTCCAAATATTTATTCGAGGGATCACAAACAGAATAAAAACAGAGAAAAAAAGTTTTGAGTCTTAGATATCTGTATACTAATTTATCCAGACTCCAGTTTTATCTGTGGCTTTAAAATATCTAAAAAAAAAACCCCTTATTTATCATTCTCTTCAAAAAAACGATCAACTGAAAAAAATATATGAAAAGTAATACAACTTTTATATTACTGAATATGTTCTTGACTATTCCTGAAATATCAAAAAAAGAGGACGGTTATACAACCAAAAATATAGGGATTGCTATTAAGCAACATTTATTCACATTTCATGACATTTCCTAAGTCTCTAAATCTCACATCCACAATGTGAAGTGACAGCCTCATGGGAGAGCCTGCACGACAGGGGTAGCTCGAATCCTAATTCTGTGTCCACCTGCTTGCCAGTTCTTGTTACAGCAGCAGTAACAGTTTATAGGCTGATACCCATGAACTTTATAACTCACCCATAGGAAAAATACCTAAACCTTCTCCAGATTAAACGAAACCAGAACAATCAGAAAAGTAGTGCTTAGAAACACTTTTATGTTCTTCAGCATACACTGTATAACAATCTTGTGACAGAGTTTTCTAATGTTTTTGCAAAGAGAAACAATCATCTCTGGCACTAGAAAGAACCCAAGACTTGCATTCTGCAATGCTAACCACCTAAAATAAAGTAAGGAATGCTACTTAATCTCAATGTCAATTATTTAATAATAAAATACAGTGAAACTTTCTCACTAACTTGAAATGATCAAGTAAATATTTCCCAGCCTCAGAATATAATTTATTTAGTATTTTATGAATAGAATCTATTTCCTGTTTCAGTCTTTTGATACAAATTATCCAAATATATTCTAACACCTCCTATAAATAATTCTATAATATAATAAAAATAGCTATCATTTATTGAGGACTAATATGAGGGCCCATTTTGAATGCTTTATATTTCTCATTATTCAGTAGTTTTGACCACCTTTAAGTGTAGGTACCATTGGAATCACTGCTTTACAAATGATAATATTAGGGCACAGAAAGAAAAAAGTGATTTTTCCCAAATTTACACAGTTAAAAGTGACAAAATCTATATCTGAACTCAAATAGTGCTAATTCATCTCTCCAATATAAAGTGGGATGCACTTAAAGGCATTCTATTAAAATGATGTTATTACACATTTTAATATATTTTACTACTATTTACTACAGTAAATTATATTTACATACTGTCATATATGTGCTACACTGAAGTAAAATTTATTTTGATTTTCTTAGGTCTACTTTTTTACTTTATCCTTATTTATTTATTTATTTTTAATTATTTTTAGTTCTGGGGTACATGTGCAGGATGTGCAGGTTTGTTACATAGGTAGACTTGTGACATAGTGGTTTACTGTATCTTTCAACCTATCGCCTTGGTATTAAGCCCAGCATGCATTCTATACTCTTTCTTCCCACCCTCCACCCCACAACAGGCCCCAGTGTGTGTTATTCCCCTTCCCATGTCCATATGATCCCATCGTTCTACTCCCACATATAAGTGAGAACATGTGATGTTTGGTTTTCTGTTCCTGTGTTAGTTTGCTGAGGATAATGGCTTCCAGCTTCATCTATGTCCCTGAAAAGGACATGATCTCATTCCTTTTTATGGCTGCACAATATTTCATGGTGTTTGCGTATCACATTTTCTTTATCCGGTCTATCATTAATGGGCATTTGGGTTGATTCCATGTCCTTGCTATTGTGAATAGTGCTTCAATGAACATATGTGTGCATGTATCTTTGTAATAGAGTGATTTGTGTTCCTTTTGGTATATACTCAGTAATGAGATTGCTGGGTCAAATGGTATTTCTGGTTCTAGCTCTTTGAGGAATCACCACACCATCTCCCACAATTGTTGAATTAATTTACATTCCCACCAATAGTGTAAAAGCATTCCTATTTCTCTGCAACCTTGCCAGAATGTTGTTTCTTAACTTTTTTTTTTATTTATTATTATTATACTTTAAGTTTTAGGGTACATGTGCACAATGTGCAGGTTAGTTACATACGTATACATGTGCCATGCTGGTGCGCTGCACCCACTAACTCGTCATCTAGCATTAGGTATATCTCCCAGTGCTATCCCTCCCCCCTCCCCCCACCCCACAACAGTCCCCAGAGTGTGATGTTCCCCTTCCTGTGTCCATGTGTTCTCATTGTTCAATTCTAACCTATGAGTGAGAATATGTGGTGTTTGGTTTTTTGTTCTTGTGATAGTTTACTGAGAATGATGATTTCCAACTTCATCCATGTCCCTACAAAGGACATGAACTCATCATTTTTTATGGCTGCATAGTATTCCATGGTGTATATGTGCCACATTTTCTTAATCCAGTCTATCATTGTTGGACGCTTGGGTTGGTTCCAAGTCTTTGCTATTGTGAATAATGCCGCAATAAACATACGTGTGCATGTGTCTTTACAGCAGCATGATTTATAGTCCTTTGGGTATATACCCAGTAATGGGATGGCTGGGTCAAATGGTATTTCTAGTTCTAGATCCCTGAGGAATCACCACACTGACGTTCACAATGGACAAATGGGATCTAACTAAACTAAAGAGCTTCTGCACAGCAAAAGAAACTACCATCAGAGTGAACAGGCAACCTACAAAATGGGAGAAAATTTTCGCAACCTACTCATCTGACAAAGGGCTAATATCCAGAATCTACAATGAACTCAAACAAATTTACAAGAAAAAAACGAACAACCCCATCAAAAAGTGGGTGAAGGACATGAACAGACACTTCTCAAAAGAAGACATTTATGCAGCCAAAAAACACATGAAAAAATGCTCACCATCACTGGCCATCAGAGAAATGCAAATCAAAACCACAATGAGATACCATCTCACACCAGTTAGAATGGCAATCATTAAAAAGTCAGGAAACAACAGGTTTCTTAACTTTTAAGTTAAGAAACTGGTGTGAGATGGTATTTCATTGTGAGTTTGATTTGCATTTCTCTAATGATCAGTGATGTTGAGCTTTTCTTCACATGTTTGTTGGCTGTGTGAATGTCTTCTTTTGAGGTGTATCTGTTCATATTCTTTGCCCACTTTTTAATGGAGCTGACATTCTTCACAGAATTAGAAAAAAACTATTTTAAACTATTTTAAAATTCATACGAAACTAAGAGGAGCCTGGTTAGCCAAGACAATACTAAGCAAAAAGAACAAAGCTGGAGGCACCACCCTACTAGATTTCAAACTATACAATAAGTCTACAATAACCAAAACAGCATGGTACTGGTACAAAAACAGACACATAAACCAGTGAAACAGAATAGAGAACTCAGAAATAAGATCACACATCCACAGTTCTCTAATCTTTGACAAACTTGTTAAAAACAAGCAATGGGGAAAGGATTCCCTATTCAACAAATGGTGCTCAGATAACTGGCTATCCATTTGCAGAAAATTGAAACTGGACACCTTCCTCACACCTTATACAAAAATTAACTGAAGATGGATTAAAGACTCAAAAGTAAAACCCAAAACTATAAAATCCCTGGAAGAAAATCTAGGCAATACCATTCAGGATATAGGCACAGGCAAAAATTTCATGATGAAATGGCCAAAAGCAATCGCAACAAAAGCAAAAACTCACAAATGAAATGTAATTAAACTAAACAGCTTCTGCACAGCAAAAGAAACTATTATCGGAGTAAACAGGCAACCTACAGAGTGTCAGAAAATCCCTGCAATGTATCCAACTGACAAAGGCCTAATATCCAGAATCCACAAGGAACTCACAAGTTTGCAAGAAAAAAAAAAATACTTTATAACTTTTTAAAATTCATAGTTTTATTTCTTTTTTATTTCAAATTAATAAATGTTTAATTTATAAACACAACAATAAAAATCTCTTAGGAAAAAAGTTGACATTACCAAAATATGACAATTTAAAATATTGTTTTGTATAGCTTTCTGACATTTTGCTCTATTGTATAAACTATTTTTTCATCATTACCACTATATTACACAAACAATTTGGAATGTCACTATACTTGAATATAAGTCCAATGAAGACAAGATTGTTTTTGTCTTCTTGATTATTTTTTGTCTCTTAGGTCTAAAACAATACAAGTTCAACTAATAATTTTTAAATTAATATATATTTTGAGTGACCTTCAGTCATTCTTTATATTATTTGCTATTCTTATTATTTTCTTCTTATTCCTTTGAATTTTACTGTCCTTTTAGTCATTACTTCAGAATTGTACTAAGAAAACTGATCCTTAAAAATAATCTCATTGTATACTTCCTTGTAATTAGAACTTTCATTTCTGAGTAATTTTTATAGGATTCATTTTTTTATGTCAGGGGACTAGGAGTCTGTTCATAGCAACTTATCATTTGTTCTCTTGGTTCATATTTTCACCTTCTTCCTACCAGCAGCAACCATTCTTATTTACTTAAAGTATATTATTTTGTTTGTATGCATGCTTGTGAAAGGTGTCATATTTTTATATGTATGAATACATTGTATTTTTATATTGCATTATGTTTCTTACTTTTTTCCAATTGGTTCCATAAATGAAAAATCTGTTCTCTATATGCATACATTCTAACCCAACATAAAATATTTGAATTGCACTGGTCCTATCACTACTTGTGTCCTTTGACTGCTTGTGTATTTCTTCTCCTCACCCATGATATAGACACAATTACAATCAGTTCACCCCTACAGAATAATACTGCATTGAAAATTCTTAAGCACTCTATACATTACAAATACATTTTATTAAATATTCTATATATGTTGCATCACAATTTGGAAGCTTCTTTTTATAGATTGCCTCTTAGTTTTCTTCTGTATCTTGGTTTAGTGTGCTATTATTATATGCTGTTAAACTACCCTCTGAAGGGCCACCAGAATTCAGTCATATGATATAATATCAAAAGGTTTATTAGGAGTTTCTAATTTTCTATTCAGAAAAATTTCCCTTACTGTATCATATAATCAATATCAATCGCCCTTTAATGACATGGAAAAGAGCAAAGTATATGTGCCCCTCGTTTAAAGCTGAAAACAAAACCAGAAACAAACTTATAGTCAAGTCAGTAGGAAGAAAGAATCGAATCACATCCCTAGAAGTTCATTTAACCTTCTTGAGGCATTGCAATGATGTCTGAGTGTAGTTACAAACTCATGTCCACTTTGAGACAAGCCTGTGAATGTCCTTGTGTCTCATAATCTGTGTCTGTAAGTTAGGGAAAAAAAAGTTTACCAAGGCAAGAATAATTTAAATATCCAGTTATTCATGTTTATCACACTGCTGTCAGTCTGTTGTTGGCTGACAGCAATAGTTCAAAAACAGCGAACTATTCTATTCCAGTTTCTTTCACATCATAAGACTAGTACATAAAGACAGGATGTACCTCCACTGACAAATTTTTGACTAGAAATAAAATGTTATTTGGGAGTAGGTGTTGGGGTGTTAGTGACTCAACGTGGGAAAAAAGTTTTAATCTGTGTTTTACAGATTACAAAACATTTATTTTCTAGCATATCTGGGATAGCTCTGCTTAAATGGCTCCTGTGATACATTCCTGGACAGGTTCACAGGCACAGGCCTACTGATAATCCGCCAACGGATCATTTTCCCACACAGCCTTATCTTTGATACCCTTCTGTCAATACTGTGCACCAATGACACCAAAGCAGAAAAACATGTTTGGGCCAAACAATACTGTTCATTTAGGTGAAAAAAATGGGATGAGGGAGAAGCTGTTATGTAGAAGTACGAATAAATTCAGTGGATGAAGGGAACTTCCCATTGAATTTTTTTATTTCAATATAATAGAAGCCAAGTCACAATTCAATTATAAAATCAAAAATGCATTTATTCATAAGCCAAATACAATGGCAATCAATTATTTTCCCCCATAAAGGGCTGTATTTGCAATAGTGAAAACAAATTACATTAGTACATGTGCAACTTACAATGAGCATGTTCACTGGGAATTATGAAATACAGAGAGAACCCTTTATATGCAGGAGCCTCTCTACAGTGAACTAGAGGTGGAAGTGGAAGTAGTGGATGTGGAACAGAGCAACGATGGAGAGTTAAGACCAAGACATTAAGTGTTCTCTCACCTAGCAATAAGTCCTTACTTGTGACAAAGCCATAATAAAAAATTACTACTTTGCATTACAATTGTACTTATAACTGAACTATTATTATAGTCTTTCCAAAGAGTATTTACAATTAAATGCTATATTCTTAATTTTGCTTTTATCAAAATTACTGATTGCTTACACTTGAATATATTATTAAAAATATTGGATAGTTTAATTATAAGCATAATTTATACCTCATTTAGACAAATGTTGAATTCATTTTTATTACATGCAGAATTGGGGGGAAGGCTGCTGATTTCAGTAGAGACTGGTGAGAGTAATTAAACAGGTAGATAATCCACAAAAACATATTAAAATTTTTTCATGTGTGATGAAGCCAGAGAATCTTCTAAATCATACAATTGACTATAATCCAAAAGACCAGTCTATACTTTAAAGCTGTTTATTTTTTCTAGCTCCAATAATAGTATAAGTCAAAGGAATAAAAAGATTATACTATGACTGGGCCAATGGGACCACCGGGTTATTGGCCACATTTAGGAGCTGGCTTCTTGAAACAACATAAGCTACGGCCACCAAAAATATGTGTTGAATTTGATGAATTTAGTAAAACATTTCTTGATATTAATGGATAATTTGAGTGAGGTTACGCCGTGTGATTGTCCTGCCAACCTAATGCACAATAATTCTGTTCTTACGAAGAAAACCAATGGGCAAGCAGTTATGCATAAAATCATCCAGTTAAAATTACTTTAAAATACTAAAATCTACTTAATAATGACTTTATTTAATGTGCTTTAAAGATTGTAACTTTGTAAAGCGTCATAAGATCTCCACAAAGATGATACTGATATCTCAATTTACAGATAAGTTCACTGGAATCAGAAAGTATAAATTGCAAAATGTCACAATTAAATGGCAAAGCTAGAATCAAATTTAATCAATTTAATGATAGTATCCAGGCTTTTAAACCATCACACTATGAATTGAGTTGAAAATATTTATCTAAATATGTTAGGGAAGTGAAGAGGTAGTATCCTATTTCTTCTATGTAGAGCAAGAGTTCACAAAATAGAAGCAGCAAACCTACCTATGTAGCTACTAAGTTTATTTACATATGCTCACAGAGGAGAAAAAAAGAGTTAAAGCCTTCTCTTTTTTATGATCCCTACATCATAGAAACTTTTACTCATTTACTTCTTCATCACCAAAACACCCCATTACACAATCATTCCTTGCTTCACCTCATCAGTGAAGTTTTCACCAACTCCTAGGTCAGATGCTTTTAGTTTCGGAGAAGCAATTTTCCAGCTATCAAAGTGCCTGAGAGCTTTCAGAATTTCTTTTTTGATAACACCTTCAGCGTTTTCTAAGTTATTACAAACAAAAAATTACGAAGCTGACTTTTCCTATCCGATCTTTGTTAAAATCAAGCACAGTCTTTATAATGCCTTTCTTAGATATAAAGCCCAGTGTTGACATTTACATATTTAAGTTCTTTAACATCTGTTTCCACATCTCATCAGTATCAACTGCTCTTTGAATATTCTCCTTCAACAGAAAGTACATCTTTCTTCTGTAAAAAGCTGATCTCAAACTCTGACCTCCCAAATTAGAAGGCCATTTCTCCCAGTCAACTCTTGCAGGTGTACCCCATTAGCAGTTGGTATCTTACTGGAAACGAGACAGTCTTTTCAATAAATGGTGCTGGGAATACCAGAGACCCATGTGCAAAAGAATAAAATTGGACCCTTGTCTCACCCCACTTGCAAAAATTGATTCAAAATTAATTACAGACTTAAATGTAGGCTCTGAAACTGTGAAGCTACTGAAAGAAAACATAGGTAAAATAGATACAAGACATTGGTCTGGGCAATGATACTTTTAGGTTTGACCCCAAAAGCATAGGCAACAAAATTACAGAGACAAATTGAATTACATCAAAACAAAAAGCAGCTGCACAACAAAGGAAACAACAGAGTAAAGAGCAAACCTATGAATTGGTATAAAACTTTTGCAACCCATACATCTGATAAGGGAGCTAATATCAAAAATATGTAAGAAACTTAAACTATTCTATCTATATGGAGAAAACAAATGATTTGATTAGAAAATGGGCAAAAAATGAATAGACATTTTCAAAAGATGGCTTTAAAATGGCCAACAGCTATATAAAAAAAATTTCAACATCATCAATCATTAAGTAAATAAGAATTGAAATGACAATAAGGTATCACTTCACACCTGTTAGAATGACTGTTATCAAAAAGTAAAAATAAGTGTGGGCAAGAATGTGGAGAAAAGAGAACACGTGGACACTGTTGGTGGGAATGTAACTTAGTACAGCAATTATAAAAAATTGTATGAATTTTCCTCCAAACACTAAAAAATTAAATGGCTTATGTTCCAGCAATTCTACTTCTGAATATTTACCCCTCAAAATTAAAACCAGTCTATGGAGGAGATGTCTGCCCTCTCAAGTTTGTTGTAGCACTATTGACAATAGCCAACTTTTAGAATCAACTTCCATCAGCATATGGATGGATAAAGAAAAGGATGCATATAAACACAATGTAATACTATTCTACCTTATAAAAGAAACTTTTTAATCCGTGAAAACATGAACAAAATTGAAGAATATTATGCTAAGTGAATTAAGACAGGCACAGAAAGACAAATACTGCGTATTCTTGCTTCTTTGTGGAATCTAAAACAATGGAACTCAAAGAAGGAGAGAGTAGAATGGTGGTTATCAGAGATCGTGTAGTTGGGGAAATTGGAGAGATGACAGAGGGTGCAAAGCCCCAATTAGACAGGAGGAATGCTTTTTATCTCTTTTGAGTTATATTGCAAAGCATGGTAAATGTAGTAAATAATAATGTATATTGTATTTCAAAATTACTATCAGAGTGCATTTCAAATGTTCCCATCTTAAAAAATAATATATATTTGAGGTGATGGATATGTTAGTTAGCTTTATTTAATTATTCCACTTTGTATTATAAATCATCACATCACTCTGTGCTCCATAAATATATATTTATATAATTTGTAAATATACAATTAAAAGTAAAAATAAATTCACAGAAAGGTCATTTTGATCATAGAGTGAGAGTGTTACCAGGGGTCTCAGTTGTCCCAAAAGGCGTTCTTTTCCATTTAGTGTTACAAAGTCAACACACAAAACCAAACATAAGTGTTAAGCAGTGCAGGCTTTATTCAATGACCACAAAATTGGAGAAGTGGGAGAGTATCTTGAAAATCAGCTCAGCTTCTGAGAACCTGAAAGTTATAGATACAGGATATTTTTAATTAAGAAATTGGTTATTAAGAAAAAGGGGAGGGACATTCGTGCTTTTGTTGGTGGGGGGAGAGAGATTTTCCTCGAATCAAGGTGCTGCCTCTTTTATGTCTTTCTTAGTCTCCTCTGGTCATTGTCATGGTAATTGTTAACTGTCATGGTACAAAGGAGAGTGTCATTTAGCATGGAAACTGGATTATACTGAAGCTATAGGTGACGTATACTGCCATCAGGGATTTTGCCAACCTTAGCTGGTTTAGTCCTAAGAAGGATATCTGACCACAGACATCCAAATTCCTAAAATTAAGCAGAATTAAAGCTTAGTAGTAATTTAGCTATGTCACATAGGCACTGCGTTGGGCTACAAAAACTGGATAGGGGTCCAGCTAAGTCATGTAGGCACTTTAATGGGTAATATGAGTATAGCCTGTTCATTAAAAATATGATAATTCGTGTTAAACTGCCTTAGTTTTGACAATTTCTAATTGTTCTATTTGTAAAGTTCAATTTTTCTGTTCCTGAGTTTCCATATATAAAAAATGAAGGTAATGACACCTACTGTCGGTGGGACTGTAAACTAGTTCAACCATTGTGGAAGACAATGTGGCGATTCCTCAAGGATCTAGAACTGTAAACTAGTTCAACCATTGTGGAAGACAATGTGGCGATTCCTCAAGGATCTAGAACTAGAAATACCATTTGACCCAGCCATCCCATTACTGGGTACATACCCAAATGATTATAAATCATGCTGCTATAAAGACACATGCACATGTATGTTTATTGTGGCACTATACACAATAGCAAAGACTTGGAACCAACCCAAATGTCCATCAATGATAGACTGGATTAAGAAAATGTGGCATATATACATCATGGAATACTATGCAGCCATAAAAAAGGATGCGTTCATGTCCTTTGTAGGGACATGGATGAAGCTGAAAACCATCATTCTGAGCAAACTGTCGCAAGGACAAAAAACCAAACACTGCATGTTCTCACTTACAGGTGGGAACTGAACAATGAGAACACTTGGACACAGGAAGGGGAACATCACACACCGGGGCCTGTTGTGCGGTGGGGGGAAGGGGGAGGGAAAGCATTAGGAGATATACCTAATGTAAATGACGAGTTAATGGGTGCAGCACACCAACATGGCACATGTAGACATATGTAACAAACCTGCATGTTGTGCACATGTACCCTAAAACTTAAAGTATAATAAAAAATAAATAAATAACCTACACATGTACTCCTGAAAAAAAAAATCAAATGAGGTTTTCTAAAAGCAACGCTGAAAAGCCTGTCTGACACAAATGTTTTTAATAAATGTTTGCTATTATTACTATTTAAAATTGTGCAAATATTGAGATTTATGAGAGAAATTTTATAATTTAAAAAGTATTAAATAAAAGTGAACATGCCTCATTGAAAAATTAATCTACGTAATTAATCTGCTTATTCCCATTTCACCTTAATTTTTCTATTGAGCCTTTTACATGTCTCCATAATGTGTTGTCTCATAGTAAATGTTTTCTGTTTATTAATGATAAATTAGTTTGCAAATGATTAAAGAGACTGTTAAAGAAAAGGATTTCATCTTAAATTTTAAGGAGATTATTTCAAACAGAAGTGGGCATAAGATAGAATTTTAAATAATTTAAAATATAGTTCAAACAAAATTAACCATAGGAAGTGTGATAAGATTATTTAATAGCTGTTAATCTAAATAAATATGCTTTTAATCATTAGGTGGTATTTATTAACCTGCAATAACTCTGTTATTAAATTTAAATTAAATCATTATATGAGACATTATTTAAATTGTACATGAATGTTATTTTTTAACTACCTTGCAGTTACCTAAAGTAGCTCAGATTTGCTGAAGTGGAAGTTAAAAATTTTTTATGTTTTCTTTTCTCATATCCTTGCTGCCAATTCTATACACTTATTTCACAAATTTAAATACTCTATTAATATAGGGGCAGTCATCTACAAGTGGAAAACAATGCTAAACAAATAAAAAAGGATACAAAGAAAACAATTATAGAAATTATCTTGTTAATCACTCAACCTTACTGTCTCCAAAATATATGTCATATGCTTTGATAAGTAAATTTATATAGATAGATAGATATTGTTTTAGTTACAATCCAATACTATTTTAATTTGTTCCCTGCATTGTTAAGGAGCTTCAGTTTTACCTTTTGTTTTACATGCTCCAGATCTGCAACCAACCACTTCTTCGAGGAGCTCTACTTCCATTTGTCAGGGAATGATATATTTATTAATCAAGATCTAGTTGCTGGATGTGTTCATTGCTACTGGAGTGTTGCTACTTCTAGGCTCTCTTAGGGCACAAAAATAGGTGATATATGTATAGATACTAGCCCATGCATATACTTGTTTAAGAATCTATTTGTCCACAGGCATATCTAAGAAAACAAACATGGGTTTATACTAATACCTGGGAATTCAAACCAAAATGACAGTGTTTATTCTAGCTTTCCTCTTTGTCTTGTTTTGGTTTGCTTTTTTCAACTTCAGCCTCATTCAGTGAAAAACTATGTTATGTGCTTTTTAATACCAAGAATTATTTTTGGCATATTAAGTTGTTTAAATAATGTTAACAAAAATTACCTGGATGTAATTCTGCAACAGTTACTTATCACATGCTTTAAGATTATTACTTTGCAACATTTGATTTCTTTGGTTTATCTCAGTCTACTTGAGTATATCTGAATAGCTGTTTTATTGTGTGTGTGTGTTATTGTTTCTGTTCTTAAGGACTGTGGGATACACTTCATAAGCCATTGCTTGTAAATAAATTGGCTAAACAGGGCCAGGTTCAGTGGCTTACACCTGTAATCCCAGCATGTTGGGGGGTTGAGGCAGGTGGATCACTTGAGCCCAGGAGTTCGAGACCAGCTTGGGCAACATGACAAAAGCCCATGGTATGGTTTGGCTGTGTCCCCACCCAAATCTCATCTTGAATTCCTACATGCTGTAGGAGTGACTCAGTAGGAGGTAATTGAATCATTGGGGCAGGTCTTTCCAGTGCTCGTCTACTGATAGTGAATAAGTCTAATGAGATCTGATGGTTTTCAAAAGGGGAGTTTCCCTGCACAAATGCTCTTCTCTTGTCTGCTGCCATCTGAGATGTACTTTTCACCTTCTACCATGATTGTGAGGCCTCCCCAGCCAGCTGGAACTGTAAGTACAATAAACCTCCTTCTTTTGTAAATTGCCAAGTCTCAGGAATGTCTTCATCAGCAGCATGAAAACAGACGAATACAGTAAAGTGGTACCAGTAGAATGGGGTGCTGCTGAAAAGATACCTGAAAATGTGGAAGTGACTTTGGAACTGGGTAACAGGCAGAGGTTGGAATCATTTGGAAGGCTCAGAAAGACAGGAAAATGTGGAAAAGTTTGGAACTCCCTAGAGAAATGTTGAATGGTTTTGACAAAAATGATGATAATGATATGGACAAGGAAATCCAGACTGAGATGGTCTCAGATGGAGATGAGGAACTTGTTTGAAACTAGAGCATGGACGACTCTTGTTATATATTAGCAAAGAGACTGGTGGCATTTTGCCCCTGCCCTAGAGATTTGTGGAACTTTGAACTTGAGAGAGACGATTTAGGGTATTTGGAAGAAAAAATGTATAAGCAGCAAAGCATTCAAGAGGTGACTTGGGTGATGTTAGAGACATTCAGTTTTAAAGGGCAGATAAGAGCATAAAAGTTTGGAAAATTTGCAGCCTGACAATGCAATAGAAAGAAAATCCCATTTTCAGGGGAGAAATTCAAACCAGCTGCAGAAATTTGCATAAGTAACAAGGAGCTAAATGTTAATCACCAAGACAATGGTGAAAATGTATCCAAGGCATGTCACAGGGCTTCACAGCAGCCTCTCCCATAATAGACCCAGAGGCCTAGGAGGAAAAAATGGTTTCGTGGGCTGGGCCCAGGGTCCCCATGCTGTGTGGAGCTTAGGGACTTGGTGCCCTGTATCCCAGCCACTCCAGCCATGCTGAAATGGGCCAATGCAAAGCTCAGGCTGTGGTTTCAGAGGGTGCAAGCCTCTAGTCTTAGCAGCTTCCACATGGTGTTGAGCCTGCCAGTGCCCAGAAGTCAAGAATTGGGGTTTGGGAACCTTCATTTAGATTTCAGAGGACGTATGGAAATGCCTGGATGTCCAGGCAGAAGTTTGCTGTAGGGGTTGGGTCCTCATGGAGAACCTCTGCTAGGGCAGTGAGGAAGGGAAATGTGGGGTCAGAGTCCCCACAAAGAGTCCCTACTTGGGCCCCACCTAGTGGAGGTATGAGAAGAAGGCCTCTGTAGATCTATAAGAAGAAGGCCAGACACCAGAACTGTAGATCCACCAATAGCTTGCACTGTGTGCCTTGGTAAGCTGCAGACACTCAACACCAGCCCATGAAAGCAGCTGGGAGGGAGGCTGTACCCTGAAAAGCCACAGGGGCAGAGTTGCCCAAGATCATGGTAACCCACCTCTTGCATCAGTGTGACCGAGATGTGAGACATGGAGTCAAAGGAGATCATTTTGGAGCTTTAAGATTTGACTGCCCAGCTGTATTTTGGACTTGCTTGGGGCCTGTAGCCCCTTTGTTTTGGCCAATTACTCCCATTTGGAATGGCTGTATCTACTCAATGCCTGTATCCCCATTGTATCTAGGAAGTAACTAACTTGCTTTCAATTTTACAGGCTCATAGACAGAAGAGATTTGCCTTGTCTCAGATGAGACTTTGGACTGTGGACTTTTGAGTTAATGTTAAAATAAGACTTTGGGGGAACTGTTGGGAAGGCATGATTGGTTTTGAAATGTAAGGACATGAGATTAGGGAGGGGTCGGGCGTGGAATGATATGGTTTGACTGTGTCTCCACCCAAATTTCATCTTGAATTTCCACATGTTGTGGGAGGGACCCAGTAGGAGGTAATTGAATCATGGGTTCAGGTCTTTCCCTTGCTGTTATGATAGTGAATAAGTCTCACGAGATCTGATGGTTTTAAAAAGGGGAGTTTCCCTGCACAAGCTCTCTTCCCTTGTCTGTCACCAGACACCAGACATGTCTCACCAGGTGAGATGTGCCTTTCACCTTCTGCCATGATTGTGAGGCCTCCCCAGCCACATGGAACTATAAGTCCAATAAACCTCTTTCTTTGGTAAATTGCCCAGTCTCGGCTATGTCTTTATCAGCATCATGAAAACAGACAAATACACCCTATCTCTGCAAAAAATTAGCCAAGTGTGGTGGCATGTGCCTATAGTCCCAGCTATCCAGGAGGCTGAGGTGGGAGAATCACCTGAACACACGAGGTGAAAAGCAATGAAAGGCTAAATAAACATTTAAGGGCTAATATGTTTCCCACAAAATTAGGTATAGACAGTTGATATACAATACGATTGTATTCCCAGACCTTAATATAATGAAAACCAAAAGCCTATATGCTAGTTAAGATAAAATTTAATTCACTGATAAATTAAAATTTCCTTCTGATAATTGTAGGATTTTTTAAATTTTTCAAAATCATCAGTATTTGTGTTATATTTTTTCATTACTTTTTCTGGATAATCCATTAATCCTTTTAGTTTAAGTATTCAAATAAATGTTCTACTCAAAAAATTACATAATTTCTCTAACTTTTTCCATCTTATAGCAGCATTCTTTTCTTGTGTAATTTTTGGTATGTTTCATCTTCTGGAATTCTTATTATTCTGAAGTGCTTTTCTTTATATGTTTGCCTAATCTAATCCTAATATCAGAATAAATTATAGATTTTTACTACTTTAAGTAGAAATTAATATTGAAATCCAGTTTCTTGTGGTTTCAGGTTTTTGGGAAAGAAAAGTCAATATATATGAATAAGATAAAGGGAATTATTCATCATTTTATACCTACTATAGGCATACACAGTATAGCTGAATCTAATGACAAAGAAATTATGATCTCTTGAATAATTTTAATATCACAATTTATAAACTTACAATGTTATAATATTTGAAAATATTGCTATTAATGAAAACACATATCAGTAGGGTTTGTTTCTTTTGAAATCAATTTCTTTTCAAATGCCTTTTTGCCCAAATTCATTCAGAGAAATATTACATTCTTGTCTTGTATTAAGCATTAATGAAAGTTTTTTAAATCCCTCTTTCACTATAAGGGTAATTCCTACAACTATTCCTAACTCATTCAATAGGGAAGAGGAACTCCTATTTTAATGTATCAAAGCCAAAGACATTCATAGTGTAATATTGCATTAATGTTAAGGGTTACTATATCTGAAAGGCGGGAATCCAGCAATCCTCTCTCTCCTTTGAACTTTCTGACTCAGATATAGGCAAGTGCTGGCCTGTTGGGTCAGGTAGTCACCATTCTTCTTTTACAATTCATATGGCTAGAAAAGCGGGAATTTTGGGGCCACTAAGAGTGTCTAACCATTCCTCTCTTCCCTTTGTCCGAGTGTGTGGTTTCACTGTTTGACTAAGGGTAATAAGTAGAAGCTCTGATGCTTAAGAGTCTAAGCTCTTTTCTCAATTTAAATTTACTGGAAAGTCATAAATTACAGAATATTAGACACTTGCTTACATATTAATAAAATTCTTTGTAATTTTCACCTTTTCTCTTGTGTATGTATTCTTAGAGAACACCATGGTGAATTAGGATTTATCCATAATACCCACATGAATCTTACCAGTGATCTTCTAACAATAAGCTTGGTACAAGAATGTATATACATGTGAATATAAAAGGGACAAAGAGAGAGAAAAATTTTAATTTACTGAAATTATCTATTATCATCATATTATTAAAATATTTAATGGAAGTCCTATAAATTTTTTAATTTTCAGAGATTTTCTAGCTCATTTCTCAGGATGATTTAACTATAATATATGATCCCAGAAAAGTGATGAATATGCTTGCTATATAGGATTTAATTCTGGCCTACTAAACTTTTGATAATGTCTTCCAGAACAAACAAATATTTCTTTAAATAATAAGCAGTATTAAAATTATATGAAAAATTATCTTAATGAATACCAGTTCATAATAATTAAACCATATCTTTTGCATATAAAAAATATTTATGCCCTGTGCCTTATGGTATGAAGAATGTTCTCAACTACTTTTAAGTAGAAATTAACATTGAAGTAGAGTTTCTTTGTGTTTTGGGTTTTTTGGAAAGAAAAATCAATACATATGACATAAAATACAGGGGATCAGTAGTCATTTTATGCCTACTAGATGCATACACAGCCATGCATTGCTTAACAACAGGCATATATTTTGAAAAATGCATCATTAGGTGATTTCATCATTGTGCAAACATCCTATAGTGTACTTACACAAACCAACATGGTATAGCCTATTACAGACCTAGGCCATATGGCATAGCCTATTGCTCCTGGGCTACAAACCTGTACAGCATGTTATCTACTCAATACTGTGGGGGACTGTAACACAATGGTAAGTATTTGCATGTGTAAGCATATCTAAACTTAGAAAAGGTGTAGTAAAAATAAGGTATTGTTGACCAAAATGTCATTATGTGATGCACGACTAATAACCTCTAGAACATAGTCTAAATATTTCAGAAGCACTGACATTTATGTGATTAAGTAGCAGGCAGGAAGTAGAAGAAAATTAAAACAAATGTGAATGAATTACCATCTTACAGCAATGCATATATATTAGTTACTTGATGGAGTTTCTACAAATTATTTTTTCCATAAAACCTGAACTTCTTTTAACATACTTTAAATAGTAATTGGAGAATAGTTTATCCTAGCCAAATATTTGAAGTACTGACCAATAAAAATAATGAAATGGGAAACACAGTGCTTTGTAGTTCAAAGCAACATTAAAGGCTAAATATTTCAAGACCGAAGTGACTTGAGTACATAACTGACTTAAGTCCAAATCTTTCTTTCAGCAGAAACTTCATTTGTTGAATTCTGGTTTGATTTTCATCACTACCTAGAATTTTTAAAACTAACACGAGGAATGTGATTGTCCACTAAAAACTGATACAATTCAAACTAAGGGTTCAAAAACAATCAAAAACAACCTAAATTATTTTCTACAGAGTATTACTGAAATATTGGAAGGGAACCCTGATAAATCAGAAAGTTCAGGTTTGAATCCTAACTCTGTTACTTTTTTACTTTGAAACTTTAGCTAAGTCTCCTGATGATTCAATTAAAAAGGCATATTAATGTTTCTAACAAGGTTGTTGTCAATGCAGAAAATGCAATGTACATGAAAATTACAGGAAATTTTTAAAATACATGTATATATTATATATCCAAGGCCTTAATTTTCTACAGAAAAAAGATCAAAGATTAAAAAAGCTTTAAGTAAATGCTTTTCAAGACTAAATAGAAAAAGAATATCAGTAACTGTGTGTTCTTCTCCCGCCAGCATCACAACTAAGATTATAACTCCCCAACATCATTAGCCTGAAAATTGTGACTCATTTAATGCCTTCTCTAAGTGGTGAAATATACTTGGCAACAAAGATCTCTTATTTGTTTTTTTTGTTTGTTTGTTTGTTTTTTAATTCCTGTTACCATTCCCTACATGGCAAGATGTTTGTCTTTGTTTCTCCTACCGTGGAACTCAGGAGGGAAAAACAGTGGGCATTTCTTATAAACATTGTAGGTAAATGAAAAGGCTGTGATTACTCGGAGCAAGAGATTAAAATTGAGGCCAAAAATAGAGCACCTAAAATCTAGGAGGAAAATCAAGGAAGACAATATATTTGTGAAATTAGGGCAATCAAAACTGTCTGTGCATACTAAGGAATTTAGAAAGCTGTATACATGCCCAAGACAGGACACATGGTCAGAAAATACCCACCAAGACCTTAAGCTTTCACTTTCAGATAATCACTAGGCTTAAGGCAAGCAGGAAGTAAGTGTCAAAGCAGAACTTACAACCATCTGGCTAAGCACTGAAGGAGTATCCTACCACCACCCCCAGCAAGGGACCAACGTACAAAGAATGGGAGAAGGGTTTTCCTTTTCTTTTTCTCTCTCTTACTTTTATTTTATATTTGTACCTTCCCTCTTCTACCACCACCTCCCTTCCTTCTTTCTCTCTCTGCTTCTGGCATTCAAGAAAAACTCTGCCAAACACTAGATGCACAAAAATGGAATAGACAGAGATTTCAGAGACAACATATGACAGACAGATCTTACCAAATAATTTAGAAAAGTCACTAAATAACCATATAGATACAGTCCATAGCAAGGAGTAAAAAAAAAAAGAAAAAAGAAAAAACGTGAAGGAGAATGAGATTTTCAGAGTAACCACATTATAATATTCAAAATGTTCAATTTTTAGCAAAAAATTATAAAAGATGCAAAGAAACAAGAAAGTATGTGTTATTGAAGAAAGACATTAACAGAACCTGCCCCAAAAGAAGCACACACATTGGGCTTACTAGACAAAGACTTTAAACCAATTATCTTAAATATTTTCAGCAAGCTGAAAGAAACCATGGAAAGAAAGCTAAAGAAAGTTGGGGAATTATGCATATATAAATACAGAAAATTTTACAAAATGATGGAACCTATAAAAATAAACTAAACAAAATTTCTGGTGCTAAAAAGTACAGTAAATGAAATAAAAACTCACTGGAGTGTTTCAATAGTGGATTTGAGCAGATAAAGAAATAATCAGTGGATCTGAATAGAAGCCAATTGAAATTATCCAGTCTGAGGAGCAGATAGAAATAAAAAATGAAGAAAACTCAATAGAGCCTAAGGGATGTCTGGGAAACTAACAAGCAGGCTGATAAATGCATAATAGAAACAAAGGTAGGAGACAGAAACAGGTGATGAAAGAATATTTAAAGAAATAATGAAGAACAACTTTCTAAATTTGACAAAAGACACAAATCTAAACATAAAGAAGCTCAAGGAACCCCAGATTAATGCAAAGAGATCCACACCAAGACATATTGTAAAAATCTTGAAAGCAGCAAGAGAGAGCAACTCATCACAGACAGGAATCCTTAATAAGATTAACAACATATTTGTATCAGAATCCATGGAGACCAGAAGAATGGGATGACCTTTTTAAAGTACAGTAAAAATAAATTATGTCAACCTGGAATTTTATTTACAGCCAAACTATCTTTCAAAAATGAAGGCAAAATTAATAATATATTGGAATATCTTGGATACTCCAAGATTAACACAAGCCAAGTTTGGCAGTTTCTAGCAAACCTATGCTACAAAAATTGCTAAAGGGAGTTCTTCAGGCTGAAATGAAAGGACACTAGACAGTATCTTGACTCATAAAAAGAAATAAAAATCTTCAGTAAAGTTAAATACATAGCCATAAATCTAAACTGGTTAATATACTAATGTATCTTTTGTTTTTCAGTCTCTTTTGGTTCCTACATGATTTTTAAAAATGAATACAAATCAATAATAACAAAGAATTACAAATACAATAATTACAAATCTATGTTAATGGGTACGAAATTTATAAAATGTAGTTGTGGCTGTGACAACTTAATGAGGAGGAGAGACAGGAATAAGAGTAGAATTTTTGTATGCAATTAAAACTAAGTAGGTATCAATTCTAAGTAGAGTTTTATAAACTTAATATGCTAATTTTAATCCCTGTGGTAACCACAACATACTGCATGACGTTTCATTTTAAGGAAACTATTATAATAAAACAACCGTTTCATAAATACTCAGGTATTCAACATTTATATTTATTCTCACATGTTTTTGTGTTTCTTTTTTCTTCTCTTCATCACTCTTGACTTTTACTTATTCTTCTCTCAGCCCTCCCTTTTTAAAATTTGTTTGAAACCATTTACTTGGTTATGTTGTTTTGCTTTTTCATTTTGTATTTAATAATCCTATTATTCATTCAACTTGCCTCAGTTACTCTCATTTAAAGTCATTTATTAAAGAGAATTGAAGGAAGTAGAAGATTTTGGCTCAGGAGTCAAGCCCATTTTTAATATGTCTTAATTCATTACCAGTTTAAGACATCTGTTGATATTATTCTAATAAACATTTTGTTCTGAAATAACTGTAGATTGATATACAGTTGTAATAAATAATGCAGAGAAATCACCTGTACCCTTTACTTAATTTCCCCTAGTAGTAATATCTTACAAAACTATAGTCCAATATCACAACCAGGACTTTTACATTGTTGCAGTAAAGACACAGAACATTCCACCCTCACAGCATCCCTCTTGTTACCATTAAGTAGCCACACATACATCCCTCCTGCCTCTACCCATTATCCATGGCAACTAATAATCTCTTTTCCATTTCTATAATTTTTCATTCAAGAATGTTATTTAGATGGGAGTCACACAATCATACAGTGGGTAAACTTTTGTGATTAGCTGTTTCACTCAGCATAATTCTCTGGAGATTCACCTAGATCCATCAAGAGTTTATTCCTTTTTATTGCTGAGTAGTATTTTGAGGTATGGGCATATGATAATTCAATTATTCAGCCATTGAATAATATATTAAGTTTCCAGTTTGGGGCTTTTATGTGCATAATAAAAATGTTATACAAATTTGTAAACAGGCTATTATGTAAGTTTTCATTTCTCTAGTATAATAGCCTAAGAATGCAATTGCTAGGTCATATAGCAGTTACTATTTTAGTTTTGTAAAGAGGCTTCCAAGTTACTTTCTAGAATGGATTTACCATTTTATGCTCTCAACAGCAATGTACAGTAGTCCCACCCTTATCTTCAGTTTCTCTTTCCATGGTTTTAGTTACAGTCAACCATTGTCCATAAATATTAAATAAATAATCCATAAGTTTTAAATTGCATGCCATTCTGAATAGTATGATGAAATCTTGCTTTATTGCTCTTTTTCCTGCTTGAGATGTGATCATTTCTTTCTTTAGTGTATTCATGCTGTATATGCTACCTACAGGTCAGTTACTTTGTAGCAGTCTTGGTTATCAAAAAATAAACAAACAAAACACATGGTATAGTCAGCCCATGAATAACACAGAAGTTGAAGTGTCAGCACCTGTGCATCAACTGTTTATGCATAACTTTTTACCCTCCCCAGACTTAACTACTAATAGGCTACTATTGCCCAGAAGCCTTAACATAGTGAATTAACACATATTTTGTGTTATATATATTATACACTGTAATGTTACAATAAAGTAAGCTATAAAAAGTTACTTAGAAAACCATAACAGAAAATGTACTCATATTTACTATTTACTATTCACTAAGTAGAAGTTGATCATCATAAAGGTCCTTCTTGTCATATTCACATTGAACAGGCTGAGGATGAGGCACAACAGAAGGAATTGATCTTCCTGTCTGAGGGATGGCAGAGGCAGAAGAAAATTTATAGACCGGTGGATGCATGCATTTCAAGCCCATATTGTTCAAGAGTCAATTGTATTTATAGGATTTGGTACTATCCACGGTTTCAGGCATCAATTGGGGGTCTTGAATCATCTGCAAATAAGGTGGCGGGGGGCGGGGTTACTGTGCAGGTGGTCCAGGTTTTTTGGTATCGGCAACACATTATGTTTTAGCCATTTTGAGAGATGTGCAGTCATATTTCATGGTGGTTTTCATTTGAATTTCCCTAGTACCTAGTGATGTTTAACATCTTTTTCTTTTCCTTGAATCTTCCGCCTTGACCTACGAATTATTTAAAAGTGTGTTGGTTACTGTCCAAGTGTTTGTGTATTTTTCATGTTCTTTCTTTTATTTACTTTTAGTTTGATTTCATTATCATCAGGGAACATGTTCTGTAGGATTTTAAATTTGCTGAAGTTGATTTTATGGACCAACATATGATCTATCTTGTTGTATGCTCCCTCACACTTGAAGAGAGTGTGTATTCTGCTGTTGTTGAGTGTAGTTTTCTACAAAATTAGAATCGACTGGGTTGCATGATGACTTCATTCAATTCTTCTATATACTTGCTATCAATTTAGCCAGCTATCAATTGTTGATAGAAGTATGTTGAAATCTCCAACTTGTGGATTTGACTATTTAAACCTTTAATTCTATGGGCTTTTGTGTCATTTATTTATCAGCTATGTTGTTTTAAACATAAACATATGGGATTATTATGTGTTCTTCCTGGAATGCCCCTTTTATCCTTACATATTATCCTTCTCTGGTAATTGTATTTGTTTCAAAATCTATGTTATGTGATATTAATATAGCAACTCCTACATAATTTGTTTGCACAATATATTTTTATATTATTTATTTTAAACCTGTATATACTTTGCATTTGAAGTGAATTTCTTGCAGCCCACAAATAATTGGGGCTTGTTTTTAATCTATGCTTGCCAGTTTCTTTACCTCCAAGTTTGGGTTTTTTGTTTTTGTTTTTGTTTTTATTTTGAGACAGAGTTTTGGTCTTGTTGCCCAGGCTGGAGTGCAGTGGGGCAATCTCAGCTCACTGCAACCTCCGCCTCCCTGGTTCAAGTGATTCTCCTGCCTCAGCCTCCCGAGTAGCTGGGATTTACAGGCATGTGACAATACACCTGGCTAATTTTGTATTTTTAGTAGACGGGGTTTCTCCATGTTGGTCAGGCACGTCTCGAACTCCCGACCTCTGGTGATCTGCCTGCCTCAGCCTCCCAAAGTGCTGGGATTACAGGAGTGAGCTACTATACCCAGCCCAAGTTTGGGATATTTAAAGCTGAAAAGAAAACTCAACTCATACCTATGCCTTATCTTGTGTCCCAAGGACTTCTATAACTGTCCTCCCTTCTCTCCTACTTTCAGAGACTCTTTTTGTTTATTTCATAAATAATTTCCAGGATTGTAAATACTATTTACAATGTGGAATAAAGAAAGGCATGTCTGCTCCATCTTCTTAGTAGTGAAAGGATATTTTGATATTTTTAAAAAAATATTCTATTGTAGTGACGGTGAGTGGGAAAAAAAAAACACACCTGTTTTTTATCTTATTGTTCTAAAATAAGTTTTCCAGAGAGCACGTCTCCTATGATATTAGGTCAAAGTACAGAAAAGAAAGAAAAGATGGGACATAAATATTTGTTGTTGGGGCATGAGATCAAGCAATACTCAATCACCCAAACTCTCTGAAGCACCCATGCAGGGGCATATCTTTAGAATGTCCTTCTTCCAGGCAGGAGGCATTGGTCTATCAATAGTAGGAAACTGAAATCACGTGTGGTTTAAATCTAATTGCAAGTGACTGTCATAACAAGAAGTCAAAGATAAGTTGTCATGGGTTTTTTAATAGCTCAACAATGTAATAAAAAATCCAGGTTTTCTTGATCTTCTACCCTGAATTACCAGTGTATACTTTTTCAACTTTGTGACTGCAAACTGACCAACTTTGTGATGGCAAACTGCTCTGGCCATATCATCATGTCCACACACACTATGTTCAAAGGCAGGAAATGAGAGCAAAGGTTGTAAGATAAGACCATTCATCTCACATACCTCTCTCCTTTTGTTGGGGAAAAAAACCTTCAACAAAACATTTCTAGCCAACTCGCATAACAGTTAATTAACCAGAACTGAACTGAATTCCAGCTAGAAAGAAAGCTCAGGAAATTTAGAAGTTAGATATTTATATCACACGTAGCTATTCTGGTGTCATATTGGTGAGATATAGAGAACATTAAGAAGAGAATCCGTATACTGTTGTTTTGTGGAAGTAATTTCTTGGCATTGGAGTAACAGCAAGTTCCTGGATCTTACCAAAAGGAAAAATGCATTGTAGAGAAAAATACTGGGAGGTAGGCTTGCAAAACAAAGTTTAAATGGCCAGTAATCTGTACTTGCAACATTTGAGATAACTAAGAGTTCAATATAGTGCTAATGTAACATGTTTAAGGCCTCCTTTTACTGAGTCTTCAATTCATGTCTTCATTAGTATTTCTAAATGACTGTGAATTAGTACAAATTCCAGTATCAAGGCATTTTAATAATTATTAATTTAAAATTTCTACACCAATGTCCATAAAGAGACACTGAGATGAAAACTGTCTCATAGTCAGCATTTCTTCCAAAATGTTATTGCATACTACAGGAAACCCTAGCCCCACAATAATTTCCAAGAAAATGATTTTCTGGGCTTGAAAAAAAGAAAAAAATTTGTTAAATTTTTCATACTCTATTAGTCGTTAGATATTCACTGGACACATATTATAGGCTCTGATACATCCTAAAGTTGAAAAAGACAACTTTATATTCGTTTAACCCTGTATTTTCTAAGTATGCATCACTTCTCTCATAATTAAATTTATACATAATGTGTAGAAACTGCATGCTAGAAAATGTATTCTGAAAAACATTGTCTCTGTCATGAATAAACTGTTCCAGAAATACAAAGTTATCCTGGCTGAATTTACCTAATCTCATTATCTTTGATATTCCAAACAGCTTAAGTCTCTGGAATATCCTACCCTAGAATATTTGTATCATTAATGGTGATTCCACATATTGCTATTTACAAAGGTCTGTTCTGTTCTTTTATCTGATGATAATAACCTTGAGATTTAGGTTTTATTATAATTGCCAACTTATAGATGAAGACAATCAGTGAGACCAAATTGTTCATTTGCTTACACTCAACTCAGCGATGTAGCTGCAAATAGGACTTAGGTTTAATTGTATTCTCTACAGCCTGCTACTGGCTATTGAGCACATTATTTCAGGTCTTTGAGCCAAGGTTTTCTCAGCTATAAATGAAAGATCATGAGGAGGAATCAAATAGCTGACACTTAGTAACCATTTAATGAAGGCATGGGAGATTATCATTATTATTACTATTACTATACTATTATGATTACCATATTCATGAGTGCTCTGCAACTGTATCTTGAAGAGAGTAAAATTCATTTGGTTCAGTGGAAAGATTTTATTTCTATGTTTATATTCCAACTAATACCTGGCTCTTGCATAATCTACATGGTCAATAATAACCTCCACAGAAGTTTTCACAGACCTAATCATGCCTTTTGTTTTGACACACTACCTTTTAATTATCATTTTGCTCAGCCTAGAATTCTATTCCCTTACTTGTTTACCTAAAGAGCTGGTATTTATCCTTCTCAATGCATATTAAATGCCCTTTTCATTGTGAAATTTTAATTTTACTTTCCAGCGCTGAGTTAGTTGCTCTCTTCTCTGGGTTCTCACCCATATTTTAGCATGAATATTGTATTGCACTTTTCTATTTACTTCTCTGTTTCTTCACCCTATTGCAAACTTCTTGAGAGCATAGCCCATGGTTTATTCACACCTGCATTTGTAGTGTGTGGCAACATACTGGGCACATGGCAGGTCCGTTACATGATGTACTATTTTGTCTGTCATAAAATATACATTAAAATCTTGTCATGGTTTTTCAAACACATAGTTTCAGAATGTTTTAAAAGGACATAATAGAAGGTGACTATAAATATCTATCACTAACTGGGAAACAGTAACTTCTATTCTTAAACTATACTAGATTATTCATAAAATCAGTTAAAAAATATTCACATGGCTTAAACAAGGAGCATACTGCTGGAGTATCTGCTCAGATATTTCTATTATTGGCAATTGTGGCAGCAAAAATTTTGTGTGTGAATTTTTGTTTCTGTTATTTTGTTTTCTTGGTAATGAACGCAGATATTTTTATTCTCCACAGTTTCCCATGGAAATTATATAATTACCACTAAATCCATTCCTTCCACAAATTTGTGTAGACTCTCTCACAGGCTAAGTACACATTAATTGTAGAACAGTGAGCCAAAAAGACTACTTGAAGTTATTTATGGCCAAAAATATGCTTCCTTCTGTCTTGGAAATGTTTTAAAAAGTGCCATCTCTTTTTGTCCTTTATTTAAAGGCTATCTGAAATCCCATGAGTTACGAGGTAACACTGCATGTATTTCCAAAAATGCACTTTCTGGAAGAAAACTGACTTCTCAAGATGTCTTTATAGATTGAATGTGTAGTGTTCAAAATGTGAAACACTTTTTGAATACAGCTAGACAGTTATGATTCTGATTTACAGTTGCTATCAAGGTGGCCTCTGAAATTTTGAAAAAGTCTCAAATTGAACTTGATGTGTAGCTTTGAGTGGCCGTTTCATGGTATGCCCTCTGACCTGGAGCTGGGAAGAAACTTTTTAATATGGGTTATGTACTCAAGTAAGACATGCATACTGCCATCAATACTTTAGTGAACCTTTTTTTTTTTAATATACAGGTACTCATCTCTATTTATTTTCTGTGAAATCCAGGATCTTGTTGTCACTCCACTGCTATGAAATTAACTCTATAAAACAAGGGGAAACAGATTCTTCTCTTTATATTCTTTATACCACATCTGTATACCATCAGAATGACTATATGTGATTTAAACATCTAAATTCTAAATTTTCTTTACTGCTATCTACAACCATGTTTTTAAGGCGAATATCTGTAACAGTAAGTCTGAATTCTGATGTCACTGAGATTTGACTCATTCCTGTATGGTATTTCATATAATATTTAGCACAGTGCTACTTTCATTCAATTACTTATTAGGGCCAAAATTATATTAGAAGTAATAATAATCCAGTATAATGACAATGATAGAATTAGAAAAATATGATTTTATTAATGTACATTATATTAAAGATATTTTTATTATAATCTTAAAATGGGAAGAAAATCCCTAGTCTGAACAGAAAATGCCCTAAGCCAGAAGAAAATTAATCTGAGTTTATATTGTATTATTTTCTAGAAGGAAACATTTGCTTTGAGATAAAAAGAAACTTTCTCTGCCTCTTCTGCCTCTTGATCTAATCAAAATTTCAATTTCCAACTCCAGAATCCAGAAACCTAAAAAAAATGTAGAAAATTGACTGAAGGACACTAAACAAAAATTGGACAACTATCCCATGCTTATTGACCATTTTTAAATCATTTTTGTCTGTCATCTATACAAACTGCACATTTTTAAAATTTTAGTTTTTGCATCAATTTGCATCAGTGTTTTTGCATACTTTAATACAAGTTCTTTCTAACATAGATGTATTGCAAGTGCTTTTCCCATTCTGTGGTTTCCATTTTTAGTGTCTAATAGTGTCTTTGGTAATCACAAGTTTTGCATTTTCCTGTTCAATTTATCAATTATTTTTGTTATGTATAGTGTTTCTATATATGTCATAGCTGGAAGACAATTTTGCTTTTGCAAAATCTTGAAAATATTACCCTATATTCTAGAGAATATGTATAGTTTAATAATTATGACTGTGATATATCTTGAGATATATTATTATTTGTGTGCATGTTACAAGACTTGTTCTTCACAGAAAATTGAACATAATAGATGAAAATCCTGTTTTCATACACTAGACAATAAATAAGTGCGGGATTATGTCCCTCAGATCAGAAACACAAAGGGGTGTATATCATGATTGTGAAGGCTTTCTGAATATTGGCACTTTTTGGATAATGGTACCAGAAAGAGGAATCCAAGGAGGGCGTAGTGGATTTGCTAATTTGAGGAGGCCACAGAGTTGGAGGAGGATGAGCTAGCTGGAATTCTTCAGGTTAAAATGCTGAGGAGGAGAGAGCTACACAGAAATTACCACAGAAATCTGCATGCAGTTTCCTTGAGTCACTGGCTGAATATCAATCCATAGATTGATAGGATCAAACTCTACAAAGCAGGAAAATGTGAGAATTAAAAAAGATCTGTAGGCTAAAAAAATTCCAAAAGCTTATTTTTAGGGCTTGGAAATGCTTGAGTTCCTATCAGGCAGAGTAGATTCTTCAGTAATCACTTAAAGCATTTAGAAAGACAACAGAAGGAGTATACCTTAAAATAGGTATATACAACTTGAAGAGTAAGGGATACTTTAAAATTACTTTAACAGTTTTTAAAAATAATCCCCTTCTAATGGGCCAAACCAGTCAGCAGGAAACAGCCAAAAAGAGCCCCAAAATCTCTTTTTTAAAAAATAACAAATCAAGCCACTAAAGAAGTAATGCTCACAATATCCAGTATCCAAACTAAAATTATTAGAAATGACAAGCAGCAAGCAAATATTACCCATAAGCAGGAGTGAATAGAAATAAATGGAGAAGAAATGACATAGTTAATAGAGGGAAAAGCATATGCCCACATTAATAGATGAAGAAAAAAATTGCAAAATTCAACTCCTACGTATAAAAAAATTGATAGCAAACTAGAAATAGTAGAGAAATTCTTCGACATAAAAAAAGTTATTGAAGGTAACCTGCAGCTATACAGATTGAAAAGAAAGAAACAAAATTGTTATTATTTGCTGACAACACAGTTTAGAAAATCATAATGAGTAGGCAAAATATAATATGGAATAGATAAAATGTAGAAAGTTGTGAGGAATAAAAAAGAAGCTATAGAATTAATAATTAACGAGATCACAGCATATAAGTCTAATACTTCAAATCAATTGTACTTGTTTATCATAACAAAAAACACCAGGGAAGTGAAACATAATATGACTGACAAAAGCTTCAGAAATGTAAAATTCTTATAAATAAATGTAACAAATTACATTAAAAACTGTTCAGTGAGAGAAAACAAAATTGCTAAAGGAGACCTAAATAAAGGTTCAGACTTTGGAAATTTCAATCCTGTTAAGATGTTGATTCTTTGTCAATTAGTTTTCAAATTCAAAGCAATCCCACTGAAAATTTCAGCAGGCTTCCTTGTGTGAGTTGCATATCCAATTTTAAAATGTATTTGAAAATGGAAAGGACCTTAAACAATTTTGAAAAAGAACTGCTACCTCCATTCAAGAATTATTTTAAAAGCTACAGTAATCAAGACAGCCTAGTGTAGTATATAATGGACTCACAGACTAAAGGAGCAGTATAGAAAAATCTAGAAATAGACTCATACATACAGTTTGTTGACAATATAAATGTTATAATTCAAATGACTGAAGATACTGATTGTTTGTATGGATGTGAAGAAACTAGACCTCTCATACACTGCTTCTGAATATAGCAGTTGGTCCAAAAATTGACAATAAAGCTGCTTGGTAGTTTCTCATAAAGGTTAAAACATACTTACCACATGACCCTATAATTCTACTCTTAAGCATTCACTAATCAAAGGAAAAATAATTGGCTACACAAAACTTGTACATGAATGTTTACGTAGCTATTGTATTCTTAAGTTCCCAAAAGTGGAAAAAAATCTTCATCACACATCCATTCAGATTTTTTATTCTGAATGGAATTCTCTTTATTTCTCTCTGGGAAGCTCCTTTCAATCCTTAACATTTAAAATCTGTCATTTCCTTTAAAGCCATTTTCCTTTAAAGCCATTCTACCTTACTTCTCATCCGGACTGGACTAAATGCTCTGCTTCTTTTCCCAGAACTTCATTTCCATGTTATCCATTACTTTATGTTGAAGCATAATAAATATCTTCATCTCTTCTGCTTTTCTCTCCATTTGAACTTTTTTAGAATAGATACTGTTTTATTCTTTATCCTGGACCTGAGTAAGTGCCCAACACCTAACTGACAGGTAATATTTGTTAGCCTAAACTAAATATACTGATATAATGAGATAAAATTTGGAGATGTTCACCTAGTTCTCTTTTTCCCTTTCCAATACCAAACAGATTTTCAAATCTGTGTGTATTGTCTCAAGGAAGAGATGTGTGAAGTTAGAAATAAGACAACACCTAAAAATATTCCCCAGAGCTGAAATAGAATTTGCATTCTATTGTAAAAATATCTTGCCCAGAAGCATTAAGAAAAGTCGTGTTTCTATCCCATTCTTAAGCATCCAAAAGAGATGAGAAAGCAATTAGTTTTGGCAGAACAGAAAAGAAAAGAGACCAAAACAGAGAGGTCTGTCCTCATTTCTTAAATGTGCTGACAGGCAATAAAACCACACAGAAATCTACAAAATAAACAGAGCAAAGAAACCCTTGTCAGGGTGGCTATGAGGAACATCTACTCACTTTCACAAAAATTCTGGTATCCCAAAAGTAGCAGATTAAACATAGAGAACTTTATAACAACAAGTGTTACAAGAAGATCGTCAATGTCTCTAGAAATATCCATGTACAGTTGAACAAAAACTAGTTTTCCACCAAGTCCTTCGAAATAATTTAGTGCCCTAGAAAGACGACATAAGCTTATCGTGAGGGAAATCCTCCCAAAATTTGAGATTAATTTTCCCATCAGCTTAATAGAATGGGGGCTTAAAACAGAAATTAGATAAATGTATAGATGACAAAAATCAATATTTTACATGCATATGTTGCAATATCATTAACACTAACACAAGATGAAGATGCATTCTCTCTATCATGTGAAGCCACCAGAGGCATATTCTTTCAAAGCATTGAAAGATTCTTTCTGGGTCTTGGGAGAATCACATTCATTTGCTATGTGTTTTGTAACTCAAGACAATAAATTGATTTTCTCTGTGTTGATACTCTAGTATGCTTGTTTCATTTTTCTAAGTTAAACTTGGAAGGAAAGCTTATGATACTCTAGTGGAAAAATGAGACACAAATGACAATTTTTTAATGTGCTGTAAAATCTTTCTGCATGCTGTCCTCATCCAACCAGTAGCTAGTGAAGGCATCAGATTGAAAGAGTTAAGCAGTAGAATTTTATATGAATCATTCCAGGAAATCATTTCTCAACTGTATAAACTGTCTTTTCTTATTAGTCATGTAAGTTCAGAAAGTATGATCCAGCTAAACTGAGACATATATTGTAATGCCATTTTCCAAAGATACAGTCACCGCAGGAATACTGGCTATCTCAGTAACAATTATTTTGGAAAATGTTAGAGTTGATGATATTAAGAGGCACTTGTTCAAGATGACATGATCAGTGAGTAACAACCTACTTGGTAAATGTGATGTAAAAGTAGATCTTATAGCTGAGAAATAATCTGCAAATAACCTTGGGAGATTATAGTCAGGTTCTAAATCAGGGGTCTTCTGATTTAGGTAGCAGTCTGTAACCTGTTAGGAACCAGGCCACATAGCAGGAGATAGGCGGCAGGTGAGTGGACTTTAACACCTGAGCTCCGTCTCCTGTCAGATCAGCCGTGGTACTAGATTCCCATGAGAACACAAACCCTTTTGTGAATTGTGCATGTGAGGGTTCTAAGTTGCATGCTTCTAATGAGAATCTAATGCCTGATGATCCGATGTGGAACAGTTTCATCCCCAAACCATCCCCTGACCCCACTCCAGTCCCTGGTGACAAAAAGGTTGGGGACCGCTGTTCTAAATGGTAAAAATGAATGAAGTGTATGATGGTTTTATTTGCTCCTCAAAAATGTACCTGCAGACTAATTTGCTCCACTTTTTATACGTTATCACTAAATTCAATGTTCAGGTATGGATTCCATGCGGCCATTAGTGCACTATTCAGAGATTTCTCATATCAGGATATCCAAAAGCAAAAGAGAATTGTCAAAAAGCCTTCAATAAAGATAAGTTCGTAAAGCCAGGTGAAAGATCATCATGTTGGGTTTTTATTAGTCTTATGGAAGCCCTAGAAATCAAGCATTCCCACTTAGGGAATTTTTATTTTTCTTAAAACTATAACTTAATGTATGAAGCATAGAGATTGATTAATTCCTATCTTTCCAATTTGGAGAAGAAAAGTTATTTAAAGAATAGATAACAGCTTTCTCAGGTGTAAATTCCGGTTTGTCTTTGATTAAGCAAGAAGACTTATTATTAACAGAGAATGATCATTTACAATGAGAAAAGTTGGAGAATGAAGTTTATTCATGTGTCTATAATCAGAAAAATTTATATTCAGTTTAAAAATGTGTAGAAAATGTGACTATAAGTCTGAAGTGAATAACGTTCCAGGCTGGTTAGTAGCGAAGAGATCTACAGGGCTTTAAGCTTAATGCCTTCAGAAAATTACATTTGATGTTTAACGTACCTGGCCCCATATATATATATATATATATATATATATATATATATATATATGTATATATGTATATGTGATAAATATATATACATATATATACACATATATATATTTGAAACAACAACAACTGAGCAATAAGAGAGCACTTCACATTTGTTGCATCTAGGTAATGTTACATCTGTTCATGCCCATTTTGCTGGAATTTCTACATCCTTCACAAGTCCTGCTGCTTGAACAATATGTTCTCCTTTGTATGTAGCCAACTCTATTTGGCAAGCAGTGGCTCTGGCCATCTGCAATTGATGCATAGCTAGTTTTGTTAATCACTCCCAACGGCATTTCCTACACTTTTTTTTCATTTTCAATTAATTGGTCCCAGGTCATTTCATCTTGCAGGGAGCTGCTTTTACAGGTAGCTAATACAACTAAGGGGACTGACACAAGCTGCTGGATACCTGGCCAATAAGCACATTACCAGAACAAGTATAGTCTATTAAAGAGCTTTGTGCTGAGCTAAAATGAAATTAAAAAGCATTGGCCGGGTCTTGTATTATCCTCAAACAGCAGAAAGAAGAAACCCAAAACTCAACTGTATCCTAGGCACATTAAGAGGTGCCTATATTCTTGGACCTAGATGACCTTCTTCTTTGTCAGTTGCCTAACAATAATCAAACATGAAAGTATGCACTCACAGAAATGTGATAGAAGAGAAAGCAATATATTGGTTTGATATACACATCATCACACAGAAAATTCACTTATAGTTATATTTTGGATTTCTGCATTTGGTCTTCTAATATTTACAATCATGTGATCTTTGATGGGTTGACTCTGTCTTGCTTCCTCATAGTCTTTGAAGACAATGTAATTTATCAGTGATCAGATACCTAAAAAAAACTGGGAAAGCAAGACATGGCCAGGAAGATGTGAACATACAAGGGATAATATAAAATGAAAACTTCACCTTTTTAACGTTACAAGAAATTGTTCAATTATAAAGAAGGATCATGGACATACTCATTGACTAGTTGCAACAAAATTTTATACATGTAAAGAAATTACTTAATGTTAAAATGACTTTAAAATGTACTATTTAATGGTATCCTCACAATAATTCAGTGAGGCAGAAAAGAAGTGGCATGTCCAAGATATTATGATCAATAAGCAAAGGACTGAAATGAGTTACCAGTCCTTACATCCTGATCTATGCCACTTCCTTTTGCACATACAACAGAGCTTTTATAGTATGTATCTCCCAAAGGTCTCTTGTCAAAAGTGATAAATATATATGAATTCAGAATATTTCTAACCATTCTAGGACAAAGTCTAAATGCTGTCATCCTCCTTCATGTCCATATTTTTTTTTTACTTAATTCTCACAATAACCATGTGAACTAGTTTTCTTTTTAAATTTCCATGTGCCACATGAGGGATATTAGGCAAGAAAATAGTGTAAGGTTATAGAGCTAAGTAGCTGGACTGGAATTCAAGCAAAATTCATCTTTTTTCCCCCAAATCTGCAATATTTTTTCTCTTTGCTTTTCTTTTTAGTACTCATGTGAATAATTTTATGAGTTGTTTTTAATTAGGTTAAAATAGTAACTATAGTTGACATCTTTTGGGCAGTAATGTGACACTTGCTGCATCAAGTTATGTATAAGACTTAGCAAGTCTTTATAACCAGCCCTATCGGATTTTTGTAACTGCTCACAAGATAATGGTAGATAAAAAAACTTCACATAAAATTTTTTTTTGGTTAAGTGAAAATTGAAATATATCTTATTTCCTTTGTTTTCCTTCCATCAATATTAGAGTTGTTTTACTGATGTAATGTAGAACATTATGTTTAATATCAATTTGCAAAGAATCTAGAATTAATTTCTTAATTTTTAGAGCTTAACAATCAGTTACAGGAAGTCAGAGAGAACAATAAAAAGAACACATCATTTTCAAAGAAAAACATTTGAATAACTTTTTAGAATAAAAGAAAATGTGGCTAAGAGATCACAAGGTGTTTTGAATGATCAGTGTTTTACTGTGGACTAAAATTTATGCCATCCCAATGCCGCGTGCGGTGGCTCACGCCTGTAATCCCAACACTTTGGGAGGCCGAGACAGGCATATCACGAGGTCTGGAGTTCAAGACCAGCCTGACCAATATGGGGGAACCCTGTCTCTACCAAAACTACAAAAATTAGCCTGGCTTGGTGGCGTGTGCCTGTAGTCCTAGCTACTCAGGAGGCTGAGGCAGGAGAATCGCTTGAACCCAAGAGGCGGAGGCTGCAGTGAGCCTACATCACACCACTGCACTCCAGCCTGGGTGACATAGTAAGACTCCATCTCAAAAAAAAAAAAAAAAAAAAAAAAAAAAAATATATATATATATATATATATATATATATATATATATACACACCATCCCATTATGACAAATCAACTTTTTAATCAAAACCAAAAGCGAATAAAAATGAAAAAATCCTCATTAGGGGTGAAATAATAATTCATTGTAAATTATAGAACACCTTGAGCAAAGTTCATATGTTGATTCATCAAATACTGATGGAGTGCCTATTATGTGCCAGGTGCTATTTTACCAGTTTAGGAGACGTAAGTGAATAACATTCTAGTGCCCTTCTCTTGAGGAGCTTACATTCTAAGATCCACAGCAATATCATGCAGATAATGGGAGACTGAAATCTGTACTTTCTGCTGGCTGATATTGTCATTTGTTTTTCTTGTACCTCACATCTTTTCGTTAGTACATTCTGAGGGAAAATCTGCAATAGAGTTATAAACTGCATTCACAAATCTATTTGCATGTAAATCCTAAATCCTTTCTTGCTTTCTTCCTGGCGACCTTTTCAAAAGAGCTCTTATTTGTAGAACTGTGTTAATTTATGCTTTCTAACTTTCATGTCAAAAATAAGTTGGTTCTCCTGGGTAAAAAGGAATCCTTACCAGGAGTAACCTGCCTTTTAATCTTCATCAAGAGGGACTCTGAAACAACTCGAGAGCTTTCACTGCTGGCCAAACCCTGTACTAATGTAGCATTTCACAGGGTTTCTGCGCTAACTATCTTTGGGTCTTCTCATAAGAGGCCTATAATAGCAATAAATATTCCTCAGGAGAGCAAGATAGAATCTGAAAGGGCTATAATAGCTATCATAAATGAATAATAAAATGTAGAAAGGACAAGCCACGATGAAAATGGCAAATGACTATGATGACGTGTGGACTGTACATGAAGTAATTATTTGAGTGTTATATTTACAAAAATTCTCCACAGCTTTTTGTGATGTCTGCAAAATTTAGTGAGGGCTGCATATGCTGTGAAATTGGTAGCACAGAAATAGGTGATTCAGCACATAAAACTTAAAACATTTATTTTGTGTATCTTTTAGAATTACATCAAGTCAAGCCATCTGACTACACTGACTTGTGGAATTTGTGTCTTCGTTTTTCCATATTTTCTTCTAGAAGTTTAATTGTTTTATAGTTACATTTAGGTCTTTTTCTTTATTTCAAAATATCTAATTAACAAATGACAACAATACAGATATTCAAGTTGTGCAACATGATTTGAAATACATATACACTGTGTCATGATTATCACCATCAAATTGACACACTCACCACCACCCATGCTGTAAATGAGATTATCAGAATTTATTTATCCTAAAAAATGGAAATTTGTACCCCTCGATCAACATCTTATGCTAAGCATCCAAATAGACTTTGCTTATGTACATCAAAAAGAAACAATATATCAAATAACAAAGTTGTTACACTATCATCAGAAGTCATCTAATAGCTAGAAAAGAATCTTAGCAGCTAAGATGAAAGTGTAATTTGTGTTGGTATGAGGGATTAGAGGGTATACGTGTTAAGAAAATTACAAAAATGAATAATCACTGCATGACTCTCAATTTAAGAAGGAATAAATGAGAGACACACATGCAACATTGCACTATACTTGTAAAAAAAGCAATTCCCCAAATCTCCAGGGAAATGGAGAAGTAAGACATTACTTTATGCAAAGGAAGCTAGTAATATTTTCTGACTAAATCGTCTTTTACCCTGCTAGGAAAAAAAAATATATATATACACACACATATATATATACACACACATATATATACACATATATATACATAAATATACATATATACATGTATATATATACACAAATATACATATATACACATGTATATATATATACACACACACACATATATATATGAAAAGACATGCTACACACACACACACACACACACACACACACACACACACACACGGAAGACCTTGAGAGTAATCCCTGAACAGAAAAAATGTATCCTTTGAAATACTAGAGTGAAAGCCATCTATGACGTCTTACTAACCTGCTGTATGCTATGCTAGAGTTTTAGAAGCCTTTTTGTTTTTCCAGTTGTAAAGTTTTACAAATAGGGAAGTTTCCTTTTCAAATGAACAATTTATCTTGAAGAAACCTGTGGGGAAACACCTGATCTGTAATCATCTCTCTTTGCTTCCCAGAATTCTTTTGGAATTAATTACAGTGAAAGACCATACAGAAAATAACTTTGGAAGCGATGTGCTCTAAGGAAGAGTCTTCAAGCAGTTCCCTTAGTTACAGAATGTTAATATGCCAGGAACTGTCTTTATATTCTCACTCCTCGCTTCCCAAAGTCTCAAGCACCTGGCCTTGCTTTTCTGTGTTTCTTCTCAGCCCATTATGGGGACTCTTATTTGGATTCTTGCAAAAATTGCTTCATTTCCAATCCATGCTGCCATATAAACTAGAATGACATTCCTCCTCTACAAATTTTATCAAGTAGAATTGCTACCTTCAAATCCTCCCACAATCTCAATGCAACCTGTTTAGCCTGATAAATATTCCACACTAGTTAAAAATCTTTTACTCGCTGATCTCATAATAAATTCACTTGCACCTACTCTCTATTCCACATTTGTCACACTTATCCAATAGCATAGGTCCAACTCAAATTCTCTATCATCTATGAAAGCTTAGTTGACTATAGCTGCTGAAAGTAACCCCTATAATGACTGTATGAACCACTCACTAACTTTAGAATTGACTGTTTCACTTTGCTTATATTTGTATAAACCTTGTCTCCAAAAGAACACGACTAATTCCTGAAATTCATTACCATGGTAAAACACCATGGCTTGCATATAGTTATTCATATTAAATAGGTTTTTGTTTTGTTCTTAAGAAAGAACCCAGATACTTCTGATTTCTTCAGGTTAGGAGAAACATTGAAGACATGATAGTATAAGTCGGGTTCCCCCTTTTTGGTTGAAGATTATTAACTCTAAATTCTGCTTATAATGAAGACAAACATTCAATTGGCTAATTTTTAAATTTGAAAACTTGCTACAGATTTCCCTGTTTAGTTTACTTTTGGAGGTACCTAACATGTATAAGGAGCATGCAATTCTGGGCTTCTCATTAATGAGGCAAACCACTTTTCTTCTTAATAACTCTGTCTTCTCATTTAGACAACAAACATAAAATTTTCTTCCCATTATATTACAAAAGATTGTTGAGAGAAACAAATGTAAAAACAGGTGTCAAAATAATTTGCAAAGTGTATACAAATGTGAGCTATTTCTAGGTGCTGCTGCTTGCCTTCAGATTCTTTAGTGTGCTCCAGTACTGATGAATTGATGTGCCAATCATTATTTAAGACACTCTTAAAGATATGCTGCTGATTTTTTTTCTTGCTATTCTCTCCCGATTGATTTTTCAAGATGCATTGAATGTACTTAGGGATGAAAGAATTACTATTAATGTATTTGTATGTTAAAGTATAAAGTATTTTAAATTGATAAAAACAGAATGGTTTTGACAATCTTAATTTAGTCCATTAAATTTGTAAACTCACTTATCTTCAATATCCTGAGGAGAGAGCAGGTCCAGACTACTGAGTTATTTCTTCTACTGATCTCTTTTCACTCTTCTATAGAATTGCTAGAAAATCTAAAAACACAGATAAAATTATTTATCTACACACTTAATTAGAAATTTGCGTGTAGACTATAGCATAAGTATTGCATTATATGGATCTTAACAGTAAATATAACCATCATCTACAACAGACAGTGACTTTCCTGAGGTTAGAAACTTTGCCTGATTTGTCTCCTAGCACATATTCTGGAAAATAGCTAGCATATAACAAATATTCACTAAAATATAAATAATTCTTAGGTTAGCTTGCTTGTAGGTACAATGTTATTAGTATTAACTTCATAAAAATACAAACCCTTTTGAAAATACATTATTAAAATTGAACATGGCTATAAAAGCTGTATCAAAATCTACCTCTTTCTTCTCCAGAATGTCTCCTAGTTAATCAAACAAAAGAAGAATATCTGTTTTGATCATTGCTTTTTACCAAATATTAGTTGCCATGACAATACAAATCATAATGGCATGGCAGAGGCCAAGTGTACATGACAATTCAGTTTAATTTATTGAGACCATTTCCTGTGTCTCTTTATTCCCTTTTTTCGTACTGGCAAAATTGATTGTGGTACATTTAAGCAAAGATTAGCTGATGCCTGGGGGTGAATATGCTCTGATTTTAGACTTACAGAAGTAATACACGTGAGATTACTTGGCAATTCATGGATTTCAGTGTCACCATTTTACTCACTGCTCCAACAAGAATTGATTCTGGAGCAAACTGCTGTGTAGATAAAGTCTGTCATCTCTTACCATTCATTCTACATTACCACACTGTGCATGCTATTTTCTTTGTCCTTTAGTCAGGGTCCTCCTCCATTCCATGAGATGACTTGTTTCCTCATTATTACTGTCTACCACAGGCAAAATCTACTATAAAGCATTTTAACACCACACTAAAATGATTTTAAATATTAGTTTACACTGGCAATTTGAACCGTAATAGAATCTTAATCTAAATGAGTAAATCATTAATGCCAGAATTTCAGCCATCAACAAGAAAGTAATGCAGGTTTGTTGGAGGACCTAAGAGCCTTTTACAGGACATACATAAGCACTAATTCTATTTTTAAATCTAAGACTCATTTGACTGAGTCAGACTCTGCTGCCATCTACCTGTATCACATAAACTCATTTGTGTAGTTTTGTGTACACACACATGTGTACACACATTAAAAAATCAAACTTGCCCACGTGCAGTGGCTCAGTCCTGTAATCCTAGCACTTTGAGACACTGAGGGAGGCCAAATGCTTGAGCCCAAGAGTTCGAGACTAGCCTAGGTAACATGGTGAAACCCATCTCTACTAAAAATACAAAAACTAAGGCCAGCATGGTGGCACATACCTGCAGGCTCACTTCTCAGGAGATTGAGGTAGAAGGATCTCCTGAGCCCTGGGACATCAAGGCTGCAGTGAGCCGAGATCATGCCACAGACTCCAGTGAGATCCTGTCTTAAAAAAATAAAAAAATAAAAAAACTAATCACTTTGCAAAGTATATTTATACATCTAAACATTTCTCATTTCTAGGAACGAGATTATTTAGTTTGTTATGGTAAAATACATGGGATAATTTGTTGGTGCAGGGATTAAGCATTCTAGGAAGTTTTTCTCTAATTAGAGATAACAAGTATACTCTCACTTTTCCTTCATGAATATTTAAAATTAAGTATCTTTTAGTGTTTTGTTGTGTTCATCATATTTTGAAAGATATATCAACAACTATTTTTTATAAATACTGAGTTAAATTTCCCTTTTATAATGATTTTAAAATTGTGAGATTCCTATAGATTTTTTTTGTTTAAAATTTTAGATTCTGACATAGACTGTACAATAAAATATTTATAGGAATATTTGTTGCCTAAAAGTAATAGGGTAAGTCAAGTGGCTTTATAAATTTTCACCAACCATCAAGGTAAACGCTTCTTCAACTAAGTAAAGTTTAAAAAGGCAGCAGAGGAAAATACTAATACTACTATGACTGCTGTACCTGTATTTTGATTTAAAAATAAAATTTCAGTGTACTTTGTTAATCTTTATGTCAGCACTGCAAACTTAATCAATGACTTTTCCCTCTAATTTTGTTTAAGAAATTTACTTATTTATTTATTTATTTATTTTTAGTGTAACCTTGAACTACTCATACAACTACCTTTTCATGTCAACTTGTTTTTTGGGGAATAGATGAAGAGGAAATACTTTGCCAAACATTTTATGAGTCTTATATTTCCCCAGTATTAAGACCAAAGGAATCACAAGAAACGAAACTGCAGACCAATATCCCTTCTGAGTATAGACCAGAAAAATGCCCAACAAAATACTAGAAAAATGAATTCCCAACAAATAAAAAAGAATGTGGACCATGTTCAGGGAACTGTTTATCCCAGAAATGCAAAGTTGCTTGTGTAAAACTTAATCAGTGTAAGACTGTATTATTACAATGAAGGACAAAACCCACATAATCATCTCAATAGACATGTAAAAAAGCATTTGACAAAATTCAACACCATTTCACCCTTTCATGATTAAAAATAATTAACAAACTATAAGGAGGAAACTATCTCAATCTGATAAAGGGCATGAATCCAAGACTACAATTAATATTATACCTAAAGATGGAAGGCTAAATGTGTTTCTCATGAGCTCAGAATCAACACAAGGATATCAATACTTAATTCAAGAAATAGGATTCAAGGATATTTATACTGCTATTCAAGAAATAAAACAATTTTTGTTCATCTGTGACAATCTTGTGTATAAAAAATCCTAAAGAATTTACACACAATCAGATACACAAAACTATTAGAACGACTAAATACATTCAGCAAAATTGCAGGATACAAGATTAATATACAAAAAATTACATTTTTATACACAAGCGATGAACCAAAATATAATTAAGGAAAGAATTCTATTTATAATAGGATCAAAATGAGTAAAATATATAGGAGTAAGTTTAACTAAAGAAATACAAATCTTAGTACTGAAAACTGGGAACATCACTGAAAGGAATTACGGAGGATTTAAATAAATCTTCTAAACAACCAGATCTTGCATGAACTCAGCCTGAGAATTCACTTGTTATCATGAGGACAACATCAAGCCATTCATAAGGGATATGCCACCATGACCCAAACATGGTTTGGGTCAGATCTGGTTGTTTCAAAGAGTGTGACATCTACTCTTGCCCCCCAACTTGCTCCCTTTTTTGTCATGTGACATACTGACTCCCCTTCAGCTTCTGCCATGATTGGAAGCTTCCTGAAACCCTCACCAGGAGCACATGCTGGTACCAGAATTCCTTATAGCCTGCAGAACTGTGAGCCAAAATAAACCTCTTTTCTTAGTTACCCAGTCTTAGGTATTTCATTACAGCAATACAAAATGGACTAATAATAGAAGCCAAACACAAAAAGCAGCATATTATGTGTTTTAATTTATATGAAATGCCTATAACAGGTAAATTCATAAAGACACAAAATAGATTAATGTATACCAGGGTCTGAGACAAAGGACAAATGGTGAGTAACTACTAATTGATATAGGATTTATTTTGCATGTAATGAAAATTTTCTGGAATTTGATAGTGGTGATAGTTGCACAGTTTTGTGAATATTCTTAAACCTCTTTAATCATATACTTTGAATGTTGAATTTTATGGTATGTGAATTATATCTCAATAAACTAAAAAGTTAATCTTCTTTTTTCTATTTACCTCCCTTGTAAGAACATAACACCATTCCCAAACTATTTTACTTTACTATTTCAGTCATGGATTGTTCTTGTCAGTCCAAGGTTAATTTTTTTTTTTTTTTTTTTTGAGACAGAGTCTCTCTCTGTCACACAGGCTGGAGTGCAGTGGCATGATCTCGGCTCACTGCAACCTCCACCTCCCGGGTTCAAGCGATTCTCCTGCCTCAGCCTCCTGAGCAGCTGGGAGTACAGGCACGTGCCACCACACCCAGTTAATTTTTTGTATTTTTAGTAGAGACGGGTTTTCACCATGTTAGCCACGATGGTCTTGATCTCCTGACCTTGTAATTTGCCCACCACCGGGCCTGGCCCCAAGGTTACATTTTTTAGTTGACATCAAAATTATACTAGAAGGAGACAGCAAGAGTAAGAGGGACTGAAAGAGATAGGTAGAATTATTGGATATAAATGGATTTAATTCATATAACTTTTATCTTCATAAAATTCATTTGCATAATTTATCTGCCTTTCTGGATCAAAATATAAAAATACTTTCAATAAGATTATTGAAATACAATCACTTTGTAGCACTTTTAGCAGTAAGTGTCCCTTCATTTCTATTAAGAGCCTTTTAATTGATTTTTGGAATGGCACTGACCAGAAGAATTTCCAGTTAACATCTGTGGCTTTTGAGGACTTGAAATGTGGCATTTGTGTAAATATATACACGGATTTTTGAAGACAGTATGAATTAAAATGGAATGTAAAATATCTCATTATTACTTTTCAAGTTAATAAGCTGAAATAATACTTTTATTAGTGTGTTAAATAAAACATTATTAAAGGTAATGTATCCTTTTTTGAATGTGGCTTCTAGACAATTAAAAATTACTCAGTCATGCACTGCATAATGGCATTTCCATAAACAACCGACCACATATACAACAGTAGTCCCAAAAGATTTTAATACCGTATTTTTACTGTACTTCCTCTATGTTTAGATATGTTTAAATATACAATATTTAACATTTTGTTACAAAATGCCCACAGTATTCAGTACTGTAGCATGCTGTATAGATTTTTAGCTTAGGAACAATAGGCTATACCACATAGCCTACATGTGTAGTAGGCTATACCATCTCGGTCTGTACACTCCGTGATGTTCACACAAAGACAAAATGGCCTAATGACACATTTCCCAGAACATATTTCCACTGTTAAGTGAGGTGTGACTGTATTTTTATCAACCAGTGCTGGTGAGGAGACCATATACCCACACTGTCAGTTGTTCTTGCTATCTGAGCTTTCTGAACATCATTCGTAATTAAATAAATTTTAGAAATATGAAAGTAATATTCATCACTCCAACCACTTTTTGGAGTGAACAAACACATTTATTTATATGACAAAGAATTCTTCACACATTAAAACTGGTCACTAACAGATATATATATATTTTTTAAATTTGTCATTTACCCATCATTTCCTCCAATTCATATATTTCATTATAAACTGAATGAATAATATCTCTACTCTGTTGGGTTTTGTAATTTAGGATTAATATATGAGAATTTACTACAGTTTTATACACTTCTAATTTACTCAAAATTAGAATCATTAATATTATTGAAAACTCTATTAAATTGTCTTTATTTTCCTTATCACTGTACACCTCTACATCCCTTGGCACTCTGAGCTCTACTAGGCTTCATCACTGGGATTCCTTATCCTTTGGCTTCCAGTTTGCTGTGGCCAATAAATGTCACTGATAGAAGATCAGGGAAGAAGGAGAGGAAATCTGGCATTTATCTCTGTTTCTGTCGCTGCCAACTTCCTGTGTTTCTCTGTCTAAGGCCATAGCTGCAAAAAGCAACTTCTGTTTTACACCTATGGTTCTCTCTGTGAGCTCTGGTAGACTCTGGCTGGCAAAAGCTTCCCATCTGTGTTAGTACTTCATCAATTCTTGCTCTCTTAACCTTGGCTACACCTTTGTGAAGAGTCCCTTCATTAAATTCTCTTCAGTCACCTGTTTGAATAGACATTTGTTTCCTGACAGAATGTTGATTGACGAAGAGTGTGCTATGTATATATCCATTATTTCCACAGTAGACTCTTCTAAGGGCTCGGCATACTGTCGGATATCCCTGAGGAGATTAATCTTCTAAAGTGTAAGAGTTTGGGTTTTGCTCCTAGCCATTTTTAAAAGGTTCATGAGAAGTTTTATGTCCAATTTTTCTCTAGATCCTTATATAATCTTGCATCTCCTGGATATCTGTGTAAGAGGAAATAAAATATTTTGTCTGATTTTGGTAAGCCTGATTTTAACTGCTGAAACTGACCAAGGTGAACATTTCCCATGTTGTTTTTCATCTGTTATGGAACATCATGATCTTTTAGATAAGTGGACACTAAATATTTTTATCATGTACTCCTAAAATAATTTTCAAAAGCAATGTATCTCACAACACATTTTTAACTTGACATCTAAATATTGTATCCAATCTTCAAATAAGGCTGAAAGGGTTGTTATTTCTCTGCATTATAAATGTAGTTATTTTAAAGTGTCACTCGTATATCATTTAATCATATATGCCCAATAATATCAGACTATCACAAGAATTTGACATTACCATCATCCAATTTAAAAACTGATGAAAAACTATTCTTCAACAAATCAGAATTTTACATCATTTTTCTCTTCTCTTTGTACTCATATTTCCATTTTACTTCCCAAACAGAATTATGTCTTAATGTAGTATATCTTTATTTTTAAAAGTCTTTTATTGATCGCTTTTTATACTTTACTGATGTAATGTGTATACATATATTTATATATAAACATTAAAATTTTCCCCAATGCATAGGCTCTATATGTAACGTTTTTTCTATTTTGTGTTTCAAGCAGATTGCAAATGAACAAAAAAATTAAAACTTTTAACAAATAACTATTCAATACAAAGTGTTTTTGTTTATCAAACATTTCAGTGTTTCAATAATGGAACATTGAATAATGTTTCATTATTCACACATTCCTTAATAAAATAAATGTGTTTTCTTTTTCTCAATTGTTTTTATATCTATTGATGACTATTGTTGCTAGAAAGAGAAAAAAGCCTCAAATCCGTATTGTTTTGATTTTGTTTTGTTTTTATAGATTTAAACTTTGAGAAAATGTGTTCACATTAATTATTAATGAGAATAAGAGCTTCGTTTTACTGATGTCAGTAGCTTTTGTTAACTCTTAAATGTCAGAGGCTCAGCTAAGCTGGGAGAAAGAGTGCTGAGGGGCCAGGTATTGGAGTAACCATTAAAGCAATAAGCCAAAGAGAAAATGGTTAAGCCTTTAATCACTTACTGTGATCCTATGAGGAAGACTCTAAAACCAGTGACAGCACCAACTCCACTTTCCCCCACAGAGCAGGGCACCAGTAGGAGGTCAGGTGGATCAATACCGATGTGGAGATTGTCTCACTCTTCATGGAACCCAAACAAAAGACTCTGGCAGTTTTATGGACTCTAGGGTTGGGGGAAGGGAGGAGGGCTAGAGGAGAGAGCTAGGAATGAAAAAGTACTTGGTACTGAGTAAGAGTGGGGAAGAGTGTTTTTAAAGTTTTTCCTGTTCCTCCCATATAGAGGCCTTAGCAGAGGTTTCTGAAGAGGACTCTGCACACAGCCTCAGATAAAGAGACCTAGGAATGAAGGAGCAGGGGTTAGGTATGCAAATATCCAGAGAGCATGACCGGCCTAAGTGGCCTGAATCCCTGACTGCAACTCCCTTCAGAGACTGCAGTGCATTGGCTATGCCTCAAGTCTGATGTAGGGAGGGCAGCTTTCTCTTATGAAGTCTGCCAGGTAAAGCTTTTGTCATTGCCTATGATCAGGCATGAAAAATTCCACGCAGACTTTTAACCAGGAAACAGATTTCTCACCATGTTATATGCAGAATATCAGAGACTAATCTATCAGTCGAAGTTATTTTTAATGATATTTCATCTGACAACTGGATCAAGTCATCTTTCAATTACGTTGAAAGCAATTTTTAAAAATTACATATACAAAGTGTCTAGCCCTTGTTTTGCAAAACTATTTGCTACCCAGTTGTTAGAATCACTCATGGACAACATTTTTAACTGGTCATTTATTAGTGGCCCAAAGGATTTTACTCTTGGGAACAGTAGATTATACTACTATTAGTAGATTTTGGATGAGTGGGAGGCATGCATTTGTTTGGTAAAATGGCGGAAAGGTGATTGTGAAAAGATAGATAGGAAAGAGGAACAAAATCTCAGTCAAACAAGGTAGCTTCATGGATAAATTTTGGAAAAGCGTATATATATACACATATATATACACACACACATACATATATATGTGTGTGTATATATATAGGTATACACGTTTATGTAGATTTGGGCTATAAAAATCCATTTTCTTGGAATAACTATGTCTTTTATTGATTCTAAGGTCTCCATGTGCTCTCAAGGGGTGCATTGCTCATATCCAGCTTGAAGATTAGCATGATGATCACATAGGCAGTAAGTGGAAGAGCCAGGATACAAATCCTGGCAGTCTGCCTGGAGAATCCAAGTTCTTTATACGACACTTACTTCCTTTGGTACAGGTTCCAAGATCCGCCTTGATGATAGGATTTGGCCATATAAAGAATAAAACATTTTACTTCCCACATTTGTTTTCTTAGGGAGTTACTAGACTCTACCTAGAAAAATATAGACCTAACTCAGAGGAATAAAAAAGAAAGTTCACAATGACAGCTGTGCAGAAGATCAAGAGAGCTGCAAGCCTAGTTGAGACTAAGTGGAGAGTGGCAATAGTAAAGTTCACTGGAGAAGCCGTCAGCAAGTGTGCTGGCAGAATTAATTCACTATTCAGCAAAAGCAAATAAAATGGTGTTTTTTCCTCACTCATTCACAAAAGTCTGTAACGGTGGATTCAATGTGAAATGAAAAATTATGTAACTTTTAAAAGAAAACAGATTAAAAAAAAAACTGTATAACCTCAAAGTGGATTTTTTTAAACAAGATAACAAACAAAAAAAAGTATAGCCTCTTAAGGAAAATTATGTTAAATATTAAGAACCATATTTAAAACAACTTTTATCAATCAAAATTATGCTTTAGACAAGTGCAAATAAAAGTCATACACTGGGAATGTGTAAAAATTAAACAAATACATATACTTTGCATATATTTCTTTAAAATCAATTTTAAAATGAATATATTCATTAAAAAACTACCTAAATGTAATATAAAGAAGACATTTGTAGAAGAGGAAACCCAAATACTGCTGGTAATCAAGTATATGCAGATTAAACAAACAAAAATATTTAAAACTTAGTTTCAAAAGATTTTATATGTCTGACAGCTTCAGCTGCTGGCAAGAATTTGGAACAATGACTAGTTGGTTGGTGGGAATATCAATTGTTGAAATAAGTTTACTGTGTAATTTGGCAGTATGTAGCAAACTTGAAGACATATGCATATTTCTATGACCCAACTATTTTTCTCATATACATGTAGGAATAATAGTAATATACAAAATCCTTCCTGAGACTCAAAAATATACATATATAAAAGTCTCCATTGCAGGATTGTTTATAAGAGAATAAAAAGGGAGAGAGAGAGACAAAAAAATCTTATGCCCCCATCAACTTCAGAATTGATAAATAACTTGTGGTAGTTTATAGAATAAAGTGCTACTGTACAGCACTTTATTTATGAATGATCTGAAAGTTAATGTATATATAAAAGCAAAGCAAAATGAATAATATGCACAGTACGACATTTTAGTATATAAAAACATGTTATATGGTGTTTGGTAACATATGCATATGTAGTGATATACATAATATATGTGTCTGTATGTATTTAAGAAATGCAGCAAGATAATTAACTACAAATTCAGAATATAATTAGCTCAGTCTAGTGGCTGAGAGGAGGAGTACAAGGATTGGAATCCAGCAAACAAGATTTGAAAGTACACAAATATATTTGTATTTGTTCCCTTTATGTCTTCATTTAGCTGGTAGAAACTTATTTTTCTCTATACCATTGTTCATACAATTTTAAATAATGTTCCCAGGGGGTCATCCTTTGGGAGAGAAGTAGACTCAAGAGGCTATACAGTAGTATTGGGAGTGTGGAAAACATGATGACACAATAAGAAAACAGAGTAAGGAGTGAAACTGCACGAGAAAGTCATTATCCAAAAACAGCATGCAACCACTACCAAGAAGAGGCCACATTTCAACAGGAAGAAGAGGACTTCAAGAAAATTGGAATGGCTTCCTATTGTCGAATTTCTTTTTCTTACTCAACTACTGTCTGTGCAAACTTTCCAACGTATGAATTCTTCCTTTTGTAATAAATAGCTCACCAAGCTATTTGCAAATGCCATCTGGAGGACATGTTATAGAGAACTAGTAGGTCAGACAAATTCTTTTTTCTTGTTTAGCCAAAATAAATAAAAACAAAAGTAATTATAGGTAATTTTACAATCATTCTCATGATATGAGACAGTGTGGCACATAGAAATTACTAGATAATGGTTTTCTATCTCTATCCTATGAATGTATATATAGTAGGTTTAATGCAGATGTTATCAATCTTAGTAAAGTAAGGCCTGCACATGACAGGAGAGAAGGGAAGGAAAAACAGATGAATTGAAGAGTAGGGACACTAATGCCTCATTATAAAGACAGAAGAATCAATAGATATTTTTATAGTGAATGGTGTTTTTAAAAGAAGATCTAAATATGCTATTTGATATTGGAAAAGAGACCTGTCAAGAAACTTAGAATACGAATATAACCAGGGGTAATATTTAAGAAATGTGTCAACATTTACACTTAAGTAAACCAATCAGAATGCATCTGCCCATGAGCTTTAGTGCCAGACCAAAGTGATGAAAGCTCCCTCTGTCCTAGGAGAAGGATGGGGAGGGTCAGCAGAAGCCATTCAAGGGTCTGAGAAACATCTTCTGGAATGTTAGGCATATTTCGGTTTTGACTCACTTTAAGGGTGCTGTTGCGTACCAACTGAACAAAACTTTCAACAAAATTGTTTTTGGAGATCAGAAGGAAGATGATACAAGCAACATTTACAGAAACTAAGAGAAAAAAATATTTCCATCATAGTAAGAAATCAAATAGCTCTTTCTAAAATTAACAAAATATATAATAGTTTAAACATACTATTTGAAATACTTGATTACATAGCTGAGAGCTAAAGCTGAGAATGCTCAATATTGCTGTCATTTATCAACCTTCCCTTCGTTTCCACCTCCTAATCAAGGTCCTGTGACCTCACCATGTTTTCTATTATTATTCCCTGAAATACGCTGTCTTACCTGTTTCTTTACTCATCTCTATTGACCACTCTACTCCTTCTCAGTCATATACTCCTAAGCTTACCAATTCCAAAATATCTAATATCAAGATATCAAATCCCACTCACTTGTCCCAATATTTCACACAGCCAGCGCACCTTTTAAAGTAGATCTTCATCATCTCCAAGATACTAAATGCACCATTCTCTATCAACATGCTTCTGTCTTCTTAGATTTCATGATCCATCAAAATACATTCTCCTTTGCAAAAATACTGAATTCCCATTCTACTAGTCTTCTACCCTGTTCACTCGGAAGAAACTTTATAGGATAAGGACCCAACAAAGTCTACTCAAAAGCAAGTATGAATATATCAAAATGAAAGCTCATAGCCAGTTTGGTTAATTTAAAGTGAAATTTTAAGTTAAATTTGTGATATCAAATGTAAAAAGGACACTCAACATTCTATGGCAATTCAAAAACATTTATGTGGAAAGTTTATGATTCTATTCTAAAAAATAATTTCATATATTATCTTTTCTCCTCAAACACTTTAGCATTCTTCAACCATCCAATCTGCTTAATCAATTTCAGATAATGAACTTGCTTCTAATTCATTAAGAATACATAAATCATCAGTTTAGAATTCCCTCAAATTTCTACTTATCATGTAACCTTCTTGCATGTGCATTTATTTTGTTCTCTTGGATTAAATTTAAATTTTATCCCTCCTTATTATTCGATAACATTTACTCTGGGTCCCATCTTCTTTATCTATTTCAAGGTATTCTCCTCATTGTTCATTCATTCCTCTCCTCTCTTCAACCATCAATATCTCCCTATCTAGTAGATATATATAAGCATATAAACTTGTCTTGCTATTTCATATTCTTTAAAAACCTCAGGTTTCTCCACAATTCTTGTCAGCAACTTCTCCATTCCTATGCTCACCTATGTAGATAAACTTCTGGAAATAATTAGTGTCTGGGACTCTACTTTCTCATATTCTATTTATTCCTCAGTGCTCTAGAGTTCAGCTTCTTTCCTGGTTACTACATGAAAATGTTTTTTGTCAAGATCTCTAGCAACTCTACTTTTGTCAAATTCAGTGATCATTTTATGCTCTTATTTGTCTAACCAACACCCTTTATCACAGCTGCATTCCCTTCTTCTGAAAACCATATTCTCCTTTAGCTTCAAGAACATGGATCTTATCTTGTTTTTTCTAATTGCCTTTCCAGTACCCTTCCTGACAGCTTCATATTAGACTCTTCAGGGCTTACTCCCCTGCCCTTTGCTCTTTGCTCTCTACACTTTATTCCTATGGCTGCTAATACTCTTAACCTTCTCGTTGGATCTCTTTTCTGCCTATTGTTAATGCCAGCTTGCTTGGTGTGTATACAAATCTCAAAACTAACATGTCCGTGGTGCACATGACAATTTCTCCTTATCCACAGAAATCTGAATGTATTTATCTCAGTAAATGACTCGGTCGTTCACACAGCTTCTCAAGCAATATCTCTGGAGGCTTTCTTTATTTTTCCCTCTCCTCTATCTCCCTCTGTCCAAAATACCGCAAGCACTGTTATTGCTACTATCAAAATAAATCTAATATTTGTCTCCTTCTCTTCCTCTCCAGTGCTGTTATTATAATTCAGGCTGCATCTTGGCTGAGCTGTTGCCATAATCTCTTATTGGTCTCCTGACTTCTAGTCTTGTCCTCCACACTCTTAACTGCCAAGGATTGTTAAAACACAAAGCAGTGTAGGTCATCTTTTTTTTTTTTTCTGTAAAGCCATAAATCAGACTGTCATACCTCATAAAACTCTTCTATTGACTTATCATAGAACTTTGGACAAAATCTAAATCATGCACATGCCCAACAAGCCCTGGCTCCCATGTATATTTTCAATCACATTTTAAACAGTGCTTATTCTGATTCTCCATATTCCAATCACAATGAACTCTGTGCATCCTTTAAATACACCACACCCTTTTCTACCCCAAGACAAACCATTTGCACTGCATGGAAGTTATTATTTGTTTTATTACACAGTTGTCTCATTTTAAACTTCAAGTCTCATATTAACTGGCAGACATCGCCCTCCACATCTAATTCTCTACCCACCTCACTCATGTATTTCTATCACTGAACTCTTCACAATGTCTCAATACATTTATAATTCTAAAATTATTTATTTGTTTTTATGTTTTTGGCCTATCTTCCACATTATACTGTAAATTCCTCGATGGCAGGAATTTCGGCTTTTTCTCAGAATCAAGTGTGCACTAGATTTTTTTATTGTACAGATAAATAAATGATAGGCCATTATGGGTTTGAAATAACTGTACAAACAACCAACTTCATTGTAGATGTCTAGAGTCAAATGATATTGTATGCTTTTCTACATTTCTGTAAGACATAGTACTGTAAATTTTTATCGACTGTTCTAAATTCATATTCACATATAGAGTCAACAACCACATTACTTTATATCAAATTTGTATCATTTATTTCTCTTTATCAAGTATTTTTTGCTGAGAGTCAGCCTCACATTCCGTGGCTGGGCTAAAATGAACAATGTAGAACTAATAACTATAACAAGCTCATTAATTTAATCTCCCCTTCATCATTGCCAATTTGGAACCAAAATGTAAATTCTAATTTCATTGACTTTTTATAGGAAAAATAAATTAGTAGCATTCCCTTCAAGCAAAATAAAGAAACCCACATGGTTTCTATTTTTACATTGCCGTTCATCATAATTTTAAACCACCCACAACAATTCAGTCAAACAATCTGTGTGCTTTTTCCTCTGGGGAACTTGCTAACTTTGCAATTGAGATAAGCAATCAATGCTCACCTCTGCTAAACTATACATAAATATTATTTCAAAAGGAAATTCCTTAGAGGAACTCCTTTATGGAATGTAACTTCATTAGTAAGTAATGGATTGCCCTATTGTAAGTTTTCTCCCATCAAGCTAATTTGGAAACTGTTAATTGTCTTACATTTCCTTTATATGGCAAAATAAATGATAACCCTGTGTGAGAATCGACCTGATTATAATTGTGATTTTTATGAGTTAATAGTATTGTCTTCATCTGACTTTCATGTTCACATTAATTTATTTATTATAGAATATTTACAGAATTAAACTGGAACAGAATTCATCCTTATCTCCATTATGTTCCTGGTCTTTCATAGGCCTAGCAAGAGAGGAAAAAAAAAATCTGAAAATTAGTAAACTGCACAATGAAACAGAAAAAAAATCATCAAGAGCACGGAAAGAAAATATAAAAGAGATTATTTACCAAATAATAGCATTGCCATCTACCCAAGGTGCTTCTCAAATAGGACAAGGGAAAAAATTCTAAGTATTCTTTTAACTCTCCTCAATATTTAAACAAATTCTTTTTCTTGTTTCCATTAAAGTCTACTATATAGACTTTACATAGAGCTTGTTCTTTGGTTCTTTTTTATATTAAGGAAATTATAAGACACTGCCCTTTCTTCCCATTAGAAAGTTTGCTTTTTCCAGTAGCAAATTTTTTTCACCACTGATTTATTTACTAATTTGCTTCATTATTGCTGATAAAATCCTGATTTTCTTCTGAAAATATATTAGCAACATTTTCACAAAAGTATCAGAGTACTGCAGGACTTTTTAGATAAAAGAGACTTGAGAAATAGAATGTAACAAATAAATGGCATACATAATAGAACTGAGACATGAAAAACTTAAATCACTTGCTTTAGTCCACATCACTGAAATCACAGAATTATAATCCTGGAAGATTGAAGTGAGAAAGATTGATCTTGCCTCTTTTCCTATTTGACAAGCTGTTGAATAGACGGCAATGTTATCAGTTGGTAAATAATCTCTTTTGTATTTTCTTTCAGTGCTCTTAATAATTTTTTTCTGTTCCGGTATTCAGTTTACTAATTTTCTCTTTAGCTTTATTAGTATTTTAGTTATTGCTAGTTTCACTCAGAATATTGATGTTTATTTTCCAAATTTGCTCTAATTCTTTGTATAATTTTATCTTCCTTGTAGGTGTCATCAAGGTGGTCGTTTTTTAAACATTTTTATATGCAGTTTATTTATAGTCTATGTTATACTAATAGCTAAAGCCCTTAATGGTCTGTTTTTGTTTCCTTATCATTTATCCTGTAGTTGTTACTCGTGACATCTTACTGTTTTTATCTTTTGTGTCTAATTATTCTTTACTATGTGATGAACATTGAACTTGAAATATTATTGATAGCAAAATGTGAGGCCTAGGTTGAAGTTTTTACTTTCCTTTAGAATATACAGGCATTTTTTTTTCTGCCAAGGATCTGCCAACAATGCTGACCTAGAACAAGCTTAAACCAATTTCATAGTATAAAGTTTCTGAGATTCTCCACGCAAAATTCTCTGAGAGAAGGAGGCTCTAATTCTGTCTTGTCCTGAGGGTGTTATTCGCTGAGGTCCCAGAATATTATTGCAAAAGAGTTTTTTCTTTTTGTTTGTCTCTTCTTTTTTTCTTCCTTTTTTCTTTCTTTCTCTCTTCCTTCTTTCTTTTTCCTTTCTTTCCTTTTTAAAATTCACTGCTTTCAGTTGCCCTTTGCTTTGAATTTGATTACCCTTACCAGTGGAGTTTCAATTTTCTAAAACCTGAATATGCCCTCAAGGCAAAAGTAGATTCAAAACTCACTTATTTCTCAGAGTTTCCTTTTCTTGTGGTATTTCTTTATTGTCTTGTTAATTCTTTATACTCCTAAGAAAATTTTAATAATATATTTTATCCTGATGTTATTCCTCTCCTCAGAGTTGGTATAGTCCTAATGTTATAATCTGTTATTACCAGAAACAGAAAGTCAGAAATGTCTTATACAACAGACTGACAATCTCAATTAATTTCAAAATATTCTTGCATTCAGAAGGACTATTATATTCTTAAACATAAACTATATTGGAAAATATGATTATTCTGAAATTATGGTTATACTTAACAGAATTGCAAGAACGTTTAACTGGCAAATGTCTCAGAAAGCATAGAGTTTTTCCCCCCTTTTCGTTAATTCCTTAAATTAAGTTTGAAACTGACAAGTATACTGGTAAGTATATCATCTATGAAAAAAAAGATGTTTAAATTAAAAAAAGATATGTTATTCTAAAAAGAATCACAAAAATAGCAGTATACCTAGTCTAGTCAGCTCTTCCACTGATAAAGCAGTTGCCTGGATTCTTTTTTTTTTTTGAGATGGAGTCTCACTCTGTCACCAGGCTGAAGTGCAGTGGCGCAATCTCGGCTCACTGCAACCTCCGCCTCCTGGGTTCAAGTGATTCTCCTGCCTCAGCCTCCTGAGTAGCTAGGACTACAGGCGCGCACCACCACGCCCAGCTAATTTTTGTATTTTTGGTAGAGACAGGGTTTCACTGTGTTGGCCAGGATGGTCTCAATCTCTTGACCTTGTGATCCACCGGCCTCAGCCTCCCAAAGTGCTGAGATTACAGGCATGAGCCACCGCGCCCGGCCGCCTGGATTCTTAACAACTTAGGGAATTTTATGGAAGAGTGACAAAACTCCCAGGTGTACCTTTTAAAGAAACCATGACAGCTCTTGTGTTCTTTAAAAATCAAGATTAAAATGGCCCTGTGATAAATTAAATGCTTCTATATTTTACTTGTACTCAGAGGATTTGACAGTTAAGCATTATAAGTTTCAGAGCATGCCTACAAGTTCCATAAACAAGAATGTCTTTTTCCTACAGGTGACAAAACTTGTCAAGAAGTCAATATGCTATATACTTTTCACATGACAGATCATGGTTGAAAAGCTTTGCTTTGCTCATTTATTTAAGCATTCTATAAGTTGTCTTGCTCTTTTATTCACTTTAATAGAATCGTCAAGGCAGACAGATTTAAAAAGTTTATATATGATCATTTGATAGTCGAATACAATCCTATATTTATTAACTAATTTTTATCATTGTGCATTGAAGTTTGAAATACCAAATGTTTTTTTCTTTGTTTCTATCAATAAAGAAGTAATGATTTTAGCCTGAAACTATATATTGTATGTGCTACTCACTTAACAGAGGTCTATTCATTTGTGCAGACTAAATTTGATCAACAAATGTCCTTTGTGACTGATGGCAAATTATATATTAAGCCCTTTGGAAGAAGAAAATATCTAAAATAGAGAGGAATTCACTTACACATTTTCAAACTTAGCTCATTTTGAGGCTTAGAATTATATACATTATAAAACAATTTTAGGGCTATTTATTTTATTTATACTTTTCATTTTTGGAAACTAAGACCATAAATATTTACACAAAATCATTTAGCAAGGATGGTATTCAGAATTATAATACTTATATCCCTGGCGTACAAACCTTGAATAATGCTCTCCCTTTTGAGTATGGCAATAGCTGTGAATATAATGGGATATAAGTTGAGTCATTAAAGCAGTTAAGAAGCAGTAACAGAGGTTTTCTGCTGGTCTTAAAGGAACAAACTCAAAATACGGGAGAGGGACATGATGCAGAAAATGTTGGGTGGGCCCTAGGAGCTGGTTGCTGAAAACTAAGAATCAGGAACCTCAGTCCTACAACACTAGGAAATGCATTCTTCTAACAAACCAATGAGCTTGCAAGAGGCCCATGAGCTACAGGTAAAATCAGAGCATCACCTGACATTTTGATTTCAGCCAAGTGAGATAATGAGCAAAAGACTCTACAAATCCATGGCAGATTTATGACCCACAAAAATTGTGAAATAATAATGTGTCAACAACATATTAAGCTACTACGTTTTTGGAAATCTGTCACACAGCAATAAAAAACTACTACAGAGAGTCAAAAGAACAGTTGGAGATACAATTTTATGTCAATTTCTCATTATTTATCTGTGGTAAACCTATTACAATGAATAAACTGATCTAGAAAAAACTCTACATAGCTTAATTTGCAGATATTAATTTGAAATTGTAAAACATCAATTACATTGTAATTTTAAAAATTTTGGTCACTTTCTCTATTACTATTTTCCAAATAATAACATCGTCATTTGTCCAACAGAGAGTGAAGGAGGAAATCACAAAGGGACACTGTAGTGCATGTTTGGTCCATTTGCATACCTGCCACTCCCACCTTATATTCCCCTTCCGGAGATTAGGGACACACTCATGAATTGGATAGAAAAAAAATGCATTTAATCTATTTATATCCTAATACAAGATTGATCAGTAAGTGTCATGATGATTGATACAGTTCAAGTATGTGGGAAATGGAGGGCTGGTGTGGTCAGCAAATGTGCTTTGGAGAAGATGAGTTGCATTGAACCATAAAGAAATGAGGAATATTTAGATTGTGAAGAGTGAGCATCAGGTAAAGATGGCATTCATAGTAAGAAGAAAAAAACTCCAAAGCATAGAACCATTCATATATTTGAAGCACTTATTGATCATCTTGTATACCTATGATATATAAGGTAATGTGATAAGTTCTGGAAATACAAGGAAATAAAAGATGTCTCACTTCTTATAAATTTAAATTTATCAGTAAAATCTTACATTTTAAATTACTGAGTACTAAGTATTAATAAAATTATGGAAAATGTGTAGAACATGGAGAGGCAGAGAAGAGAAATAAGCCTGTGGGCTTGGGTGACACCAAAGTTCTCAAAAAGGTACGAAAGTTTGAACTAGGTTTTGAAATAAATAAGTAAGAAATCCAGGAAGACAGATTTCCTAGAAAAATGTAAAATCATGTGTTTTTTTCTGAAGAACACAAAAAATTTTAATATGTTTTTACCATACATTGCATGTATAATGGAAAATAAAAATGTAAAAAAAGATCATGCAATACAATAAAAAAGAATGGGTCAAACCTAAAAGGTTTACACTGCATGGAAAGAAATTTGAAATTTATTCTGCAGGAAATGGGCAAACCAATTGTGAATAACTGGCAAGAGAGACTGACTCATGGTCAGGTTTAATTTCAGGAAGATTGCCCCAGAAGCACAGTAGACAATGATCAGTAGAAGATAAAACAGAGGCTGGGCATGGTGGTGGCTCATGCTTGTAATCTTGGCACTTTGGGAGGCTGAGGCAGGTGGATCACCTGAGGTCAGGAGTTTAAGACCAGCTTGACCAATATGGTGAAACCGTATCTCTACTAAAAATACAAAAATTAGACAAATGTGGTGCCATGCGCTTGTAGTCCCAGCTACTTGGGAGGCTGAGGCAAGAGAATCGCTTGAACCTGGGAGGCAGAGGTTGCAGTGAGCCGAGATCACACCACTGCACTCCAGCTTGGGTGACAGAGTGAGACTCCGTCTCAAAAAAAAAAAAAAAAAAAAAAAGAGGATAAAATAGAATTAGGAAGACCAGTAAGGATATTAGTGCCACAAAAATTATAAACAGGAGAGATGAAAAACCTGAAACGAAGCAGTAACAAAGGTGATAAAAAAAAGAAGAGCATATCTGTGACATGTTAAAAGGAAATATAATACAACACTATATTGAGCTATGAAAATTAAATAAAATTTACAGGATTCAATTAGAAATTCTGCCTATACTTCAGGGTTAGTTATCAAAATAAGGCAAAAAGGAAGTGTGAAGAAAGATAGATAATGTATTCACAGCATATTTTTATATTAATTTTAGATGCTTCATAAAGAATTGATGAAGTGCTATCCAGTAAATAACATACAATTCTGGGTCTAGAAATTTAAATTTAGAAGTTATAATCACATCATAGGAAGAAGCATGCGTAAACTGAACTAGCCCAGGAGAATATGTGTATTACATGAAAAAAACAGATAATGAACTAGCATAGGATCCCAGGAAATAGCCTGAAATGAACACATTTAGTGGGTGGATGAAGGATAAAAAGCCAGCTCATTTCATTAGGTTGCAAATGTCAAGATTGCAGGAACTATAATACCACTACCTCTATAACTTTTAAAATGAGATAATAATAATATAAAAATGACCTAGCATATCTTTAGAATAATCAAAATATATGTATAGGAACAGAAGAAAACAGCTGATATAAAAACTTGACAGATTTATTTGACTTCAGAGTAGACACTGCTGAGTGAAAAATTAATGAAATGGAAAATATATCAGAAGCAATTATTCAGAAAACAACACTGAAAGACAATTAGATGGAAAACATAAAGGATTAAAATTATGAAAGATAATGTGAGAAGATCTTATAAAATATAAGGAAGATCTAGTAGGAGAGGAAATAGATAACTGACAGAAGCAATTTAAGATGGGATTTTTTTTAATGCTACAAAACTGAAGTAAAACACTGCATTCAGTAAAACATACTTAACCAAACTACATATTGAAAAAAAAGGTCAAGAAAATCTCAAGCAGGATAAGCAAAATCAACTCATAAATATAAAACTTCAGAACACAAAATAAATATATCACAAAGACAACCAAAGACATGGAGGGTACCTTCAAATGAAAGACTTTGAGTGACAGTTATATTCCCAATAATAACAATGAAAAAAAAAGTTATCTTTTTGTGAATGCACTGACATAGTAGCAAAATACATAAAGCAAAATTTTACTTTGAGCATTTCTATATTTAATATTACCTTAAGTGATTATAGCAGGCATCAAGTGTCTAAAATTTTTCTGTCATTAATTAAACTTTGACAATTTTTGTGTTATATAAATTTGTCTCTATCTTCCATAGCTAATGTATCAAAGAATTTAGTTTTTCCTAAAGGGAATAATCAGTTTCTTTCTTTCAGAAATTAAATTTGCCTAGAGACTGGAATTTGAAGATGAATATTTTATTGAAGTTACCCTAGTAAGAAGACTATTCTTAGTTATTTTGTTTTGGACTAAAAAACACATTTTTCAACTGTAAATTTGCTTAATTTATTTTTAGAAATTGTTGCACTTTAGAAAAAGGTTCCTCAGAGTTCTTTGGGGGTATCATGGTGGGCCTGCAAAGGGCTTGGGCACATGCAGATTGGCAGTATACATAACTTTCTACCTTTGTACTTCAATGGAGTAATTGTTTTTAACTTTTATTTTAAATTTAGGAGTACATGTGCAGGATGTTCAGGTTTGTTACCTAGGTAAACATGTGTCAAGAAGGTTTCTTATACAGATTATTTTATCACCCAAGTATTAAGCCTAGTATCCCTTAGTTATTTTTTCCTGATCCTCTCTCTCCTTCCACCCTCTGCCCTCCAGTAGGCCCCAGTGTCTGTTGTTCCCCTTTTTGTAGCCATGTGTTTTCATCATTTAGCTCCCACGTATAAGTGAGAATATACAGTATTTAGTTTTCTTTTCTTGCATTAGTTTGCTAAGGATAATGGCCTCCAGCTCCATTCATGTCCCTGCAAAGGAAATTATCTTGTTCTTTTATATGGCTGTATAGTACTCCACTGTGTATATGCACCACATTTTCTTTATCCAGTCTATCTCTGATGGGCAGTTAGGTTGATTCCATGTGTTTGCTATTTTGAAGAGTACTGCAATAAACACATGTGTTCATGTGTCTTTATAATAGAATAATTTATATCCCTTTGGGTATATACTCAGTAATGAGATTGCTGGGTTAAATGGTATTTCTGGTTCTAGGTCTTTGAGAAATTGCCACATTGCCTTTCACAATGGTTGAGCTAACTTACACTCCCACCAACAGTGTAAAAGCATTCCTTTTTCCCACAATCTCACCAACATCTGCTATTTTTTTTTTTTTTACTTTTTAATAACAGTAATTCTGACTGGTATGAGATGGCATCTCATCATGGTTTTGATTTTCATTTCTCTAATGACCAGTGATGTTGAGCTTTTTTCATGTTTATTGGCTGCATGTATGTCTTTTGAGAAGTGTCAGTTCATGTCATTTGCTCACTTTTTAATTGGGTCGTTTGGTTTATTTTCTTGTAAATTTGTTCAAGTTTCTTATAGATATTGGATATTAGACCTTTGTTAGATGCATAGTTTGCAAAAATTTTCTCCCATTCTGTAGGTTGTCTGTTTACTCTGTTGATCATTTCTTTTGCTGTGCAGATGCTCTTTAGTTTAATTAGATCCCATTTGTCAATTTTTCCTTTGGTTCCAATTGCTTTGGTATCATCATGAAATCTTTGCCCTTGCCTATGTCTTGAATGGTATTGCCTAGGTTTTCCTCTAGGCTTTTTAGTTTTGGGTTTTACATTAAATCTTTAAGCTGATTTCTTATAGATGGTGTAAGGAAGGGGTCCAGTTACAATTTTCTGCATATGGCTAGCCAGTTATCCTAGCACCATTTATTAAATAAGAAATCCTTTCCCCATTGCTTGCTTCTGTCAGGTTTGTAAAAGATCAGATAGTTGTAGGTGTGCAGTCTTATTTCTGTGTTCTCTATTCTGTTCCATTGTTCTATGTGTCTGTTCTTGTACCGGTACCATGCTGTTTTGGTTACTGTAGCCCTGTAGGATAGTTTGAATTTGGGTAGCATGATGCCTCCAGCTTTGTGCTTTTTGCCTAGGACTGCCTTGATTCAGGCTTGTGTTTGTTTCCATATGAAATTTAAAATAGTTTTTTCTTGTTCTGTGAAGAATGTCAATGATAGTTTAATGGGAATAGCATTGAATCTATAAATTGCTTTGGGCAGTATGGCCATTTTCACGATATTGATTCTTCCTATCCATGATCATGGAATGTTTTTTCATTTATTTGTGTCATCTCTGATTTCTTTGAGCAATGAAACCATCACATCTAATAAAGTAATTTACCAAATCTTTCTGAGCCTCCAATAATAAGCATGTTGCTGGAAGTCAGGGACCCCGAATGGAGGGACCAGCTGAAGCCATAGCAGAAGAACATGGATTGCGAAGATTTTATGGACATTTATTAGTTCCCCAAATTAAAACTTTTATAATTTCTTATGCCTGTCTTTACTGCAATCTCTAAACATAAATTGTGAAGATTTCATGGACACTTATCACTTCCCCAATCAATATCCTTGTGATTTCCTATGCCTGTCTTTACTTTAATCTCTTAATCCTGTCAGCTGAGGAGGATGTATGTCACCTCAGGACCCTGTGATAACTGCGTTAACTGCACAAATTGTAGAGCATGTGTATTTGAACAATGTGAAATCTGGGCACCTTGAAAAAAGAACAGGGTAAGAGCAATGTTCAGGGAATAAGAGAGATAACCTTAAACTCTGACCACCAGTGAGCTGGGCGGAACAGAGACACATTTCTCTTCTTTCAAAAGCAAATGGGAGAAATATCGCTGAATTCTTTTTCTCAGCAAGGAACATCCCTGAGAAAGAGAAAGAGAATGTGCCCCTGAGGGTGGGCCTCTAAAATGGCCCCCTTGGATGTGACGGTCTTCTACGGTCAAGACTGTAGGGATGAAACAAGCCCCAGTCTCCCATAGCACTCCCAGGCTTATTAGGATGAGGAAATTCCCGCCTAATAAATTTTGGTCAGACCGGTTGCTCTCAAACCCTGTCTCCTGATAAGATGCTATCAATGACAATGGTGCCCGAAACTTCATTAGCAATTTTAATTTCACCCAGGTCCTGTGGTCCTGTGATCTCGCCCTGTCTCCATTTGCCTTGTGATATTCTATTACCTTGTGAAGCACGTGATCTCTGTGACCCACACCCTATTCGTACACTCCCTCCCCTTTGAAAATCCCTAATAAAAACTTACTGGTTTTGCGGCTTGTGGGGCATCACGGAACCTACTGACATATGACATCTCCCCTGGACATCCAGCTTTAAAATTTCTCTCTTTTGAACTCTGTCCCTTTATTTCTCAAACCGGCCGACGCTTAGGGAAATTAGAAAAGAACCTATGTGACTATTGGGGCAGGTTCCCTGATAAAGCATATATAGTAAGTTTTTGTATCAATAGAAATATCAAACTAAGTAGTGATATAATATCCTATAATAGGTAATACATGGTACACATTTCTACTATTGTATTTGATCCTATTTATACATTCCTCCAAAAACGGAGATATATAGCAACAGTATTAGCCAATAATTCTGACTTTCTTAGTTGTCTGTGTATATTTGAGACAGTGAGGTCTGGGAGGGGGAATGAGTGTATGTCATGAGACGGAAAGAACCTGTGAGATTTTTCTTTTTAATAGGCTGGAATTCTATTTTTCAGCATGCATAGTCCCTTTACTCAAGCCGCTCAGTCTGAAAGGTGAGAAGGCGAGAAAGTGAGCAAGCAAGCAACAGCCTGAAACAAGGGTATAGGAATACTGTCAATAAATTCTAACACTAGAAGTTGAAAAAGACTTTGAAGAGAGAACACTTTACATCAGCTTTCAGAGTCAAGTTACATTTGGAAACTCATGAACAGTATTGGAGTTATTGCAAAGGTTAGTGTTAGCAAGATGAATGGGGTAGAAGACCAAAGCAAGAAGAAACTGGAGATTTTCATAGGATTGGTGTGGGAAGGATTAACTGTTCAGGCTGAGAAGAGAAGGATGTGAAATTAAATGGAAGTTTATATACCAAGGTAAGCTTCTCAATAGTGATGGCCTAGGGTATAATAATCACTTGCGTACTATCTTCAAATTATACCTCCCTGTTGCTGAAATATGCCCAAAACATTAAATTATGCATTTGCGACACACATTCATTAAAACCTGTGGAAAAAATACTTTATAAAAACAGAATACCTACACAAAGATTTTGGGGAGAGAAAGAGCAACAGAAAAGGAGACAGGGATAATTACAGTAGATATGTTAAATAAATATGAGTACAATTTAACTAGGTTACCCAGCTATATGTCAAAAAAAGTACTATAAAAATTATTAGATTCAGATATATGGTTAAAACTTCATATATATTGTCAAAAATAAACAATTTAAATCTAACAGTATTTAAAATCTTTAACTTTCATTAGAAATACTTTAATTCTTTGAAAGCTCATAAAAATGTGGTTAATTATGAACTAAGAAAAACAGTGAATTTTTTTCAAAATGAAACATTATTAGGTATTATGTTTTCAGTGTGAGAATAATCAAATTATGGTTCAAATGCACTAATATAATTTCAGCAGCCCAAGATTAGTCACAAGTTGCCAGTGAGAAATTGTAATTCATTTTCTGAAAATCATTTGTAACAAAAGTTGCTCTGCGGTTAAAGGGAGTTATCAAGTAATACTGAGAACATGTCCTGAGAACAAAACGATATTTATTAGAAGTACTTTGTGAATCAATACTATATGATTTGGAACACATTCATCCAGAATTTTAAAGAATTATTTAAAAATTAAACTTTTTAAAGTTTCATGAAAAGAGAATTCACTAATTCAATCATTTAAACAAGATTATTTGGGGGACTAAATTTATTTAAGAAAGCAATGTATTTTCAAACTATAAAGTAACTTTTCAGACTGTTAGAAATAAATACCTTTTTTCCCACTCCTGGTATCTCTGAGGAGGAATTTTCCCAGCAGTATTTTTGGCTTCTATTTGTCCTTTCACTCACATTATCTCTAAGGAGGTAACTTAATTTGATGATTGGATAACTTGGAAAGAGTAACACTTCAGTGCAATCAGTCCCAAGGATGAACTCAACTGCTGTTGCCCCTGAGCCTCAGCTCAGCAGAGGTGCCTGCTCCCATCCTGTACTCCCAGAGACTTGGCAATCCTGGCCATTTAAGAAGCAGCCCCACGTGGCTGTCACATTGTGCTATCTCTGCAAACTAGCCATTTTAAGTAACAATAATGACATTTTGTTTGTCTTCTTTATTGTTTTATATTATTTCTCAGTTTTCAGGCAGTAAAGAAAAATGCTATTTATTGGCCACTGACTAGAACAAACCAACACATACAGATAAGATGCTTCACCCAGAATTCTACTTTTCATTGAAAGAAGTGCTGGAAAACACTTGGCTAGTGCATGTAGTTAACAATACAAAAATATTTTTTTCTAATATCCTGGATCAAAATTATTATGTTTCTTGGAGCTAGAGCGAGGTGAGAGGAGCTTGCTATATACTTCTATCATATGGGAAATTAAGAAAATGCTGCTGTTGCACTGGACCATCTTTCTGAACTGTGGGTACAATTTTGGAATATATGGCTAAAGTGAATGTCTGAACAAAGGTTGAATTCAAAGTGAATAATGGATCAAAAGCAGGTTTGAAACCAAATAACAGATTAAAGACAGGGCTTGTTCTCAAAAAAGTAATATGAATCACACTACAGAGTGTGCTGTCAGATTTTCTCTATGGTTTCAAAGGAACAATTGTCATTTGTTTTTTTCCTCCTCCTGACTTATGATTAACTGATTCAATTCCATTTTTTCTAGTGACTGTAAAGATAATGTGTGTGGCTGCAATTTTGAAAGTTCAAAATAAACTTTAAATACAGTTTATAGGGCATTAGCTCAAAAGGATAATTGGAGCAGAAGATGGGAGCTCAAAGCCTTAGAACTATTTATTTCAGATGTACATGTGTAAATCTATATATATTCTTGTGTATGCATATATATAATATGCATACAAATTATATATTATAATATATAATATGCATACAAATTATATAATATATAATAGGCATACAAATTATATATTATAAAATTATATATTATAATATATAATATGCATACAAATTATATATATTATAATATATAATATGCATATAAATTATATATTATAATATATAATATACATTGATGATAATGCAAACAGAAAGATAAATTATTAATGTATTTTAAGTAGTTTATATTCAACATAACCAATACATTTATTAAAAATCATGTTTTACAGACCAAAGAATAATCAAATTTTTGTTACTTACATTCTGCAACCCATAATCATATATAAGGCAAAGGTCAGGCACTGTAGGCAGTTAAAGAAAAGGCAATATAAAAATATATGGATATGAATAATATTATGGCTTACTGAGGAACATGAAAGAATATTGTGCCAGATTACACTCAGCGTTTTATACATTTTCAGCAAAATATACTTGTATGAGCAAAATTAATGAGAATTAAAACCAATAAACTCATTATAGAGACTATGGTTTCATTGTGCCATGTAACCAGATGCAGCAGCAGGAAGATATGGGCAATTTCTTTCTTGTAATCACGCCAATCAGGAAAAAAAGACACACTAGCAGAATTAACGTGCTGTACGACTTTGTGAATGCCCCCTCAAGCTGCCAGTCTTCTTGCCAGTACTATGGCAGTAGCATTAACCAGCAGGAGTATGGACTTATTTCAAGCCCAGGTGTTGAGCAATTTGAAGTGCATGAGTTCCTTGTTGTGAAACAATCACTCCCTCTGAGGTTCATATTGTCCTCATCACTCCATGAACTATGCACATGGTGAATATGCATTTACTTGCTTTCCTACATGTAAATTTCCAAAAAGACTAAAATATTGCTCTCGCCTGCTCTCTGTTCAAATTCTTGCAGCCAGGATTAGGAAGGCAAACTGCAAGAAAAAAGGAAGGCACAGAATTTGAGGACTGCCCTAAAAGATTCTTCAGTTCTGGCATCACCAGTAAGCAACATCAATCTAACAGATGGCCTCAGACTTAAACCAGACAAGAATACAATTTAGCATTCTTTAAGAAATTCCATACAATAGAAATAAAGTAAAAAAAATGTAAAGCTGTAAACACACTGAGATTTCCTAGATTGTCATTCCTAGGAATGTTCATTCTTGCTTAGCCTATTGGCATTTTCAGCTATTTTCTTCTCTGCCACATAACCAAAGGTAATTATGAACAAAACACTTAATATGTTTTAACTTGGTTTTATTTGGAAACAAGGCTTGCAAAAAAACCCTGCGTTTTTCCATTTGTTAGCAGATATCAATACCTTCTACTCAGGAAAAATTAAAATGATAATTGAACAGATATAAGTCCCCCTAATGATAGATTCATAATTATTTTCTGATACTGTATCAGTATCCAAAACAGACATTAGAAGACTTAAATAATTGAGGTAATTGTAGCATTGTAATTAACAATAATAAATGTATTTTAAAAATATGAATTGGCCATTCACAATCTATTGGAAGATTATATTGAGGAAAATTATATAGCTGAAAAATCACACTTTCTTTTTCAGTAATAGTAGTTTATGGTGGGGGGGAGCAATTCATTAGACTGATCAGGATTAGTAATATGACTAGGTTTTCATACAGAAATATAGGTTCTGGTTTCAAACAGCCTAGGATCTAATATTGGTTCACAATCCACTAGCTATACGGCTTTGAGAGAGTAAATAAAATCTCGTGCTTCACTTTTCTCATTTTTAAAATGAAAATAATAATAGTTCCTACTTTTCAAGGAATTTATAACATTATTATGACAATTAGACTTGTTAACACCATTAAAGTAACAAGGATAATGCCTGGAATATTGTAAATGATCAACAAAATTTGAATATCATTATATTGCTTTGTTCAACGTAATAACATATCTCAATTCTATTAAAAAAATTTTAAGTCTTACTGTGCAGAAAATGTCCCTGAAAATTAATATGGTGATTTATAATTTCATTTAGAAAGTTCATCTATATAAATAAAAAGAAAATTTTTAAATAAAATAAAATACAAACTTTTAAAAATAATCTATTAATAACACTTATAAGAGCTCTGATATCATTCACTTAAGTATTTGTCTGAAAAACAAGTTGAAAAAATGCCTTATGACTCCCAGGAAGAAGACATTTAAAAAAATATGTTGAACACATTGCATGCATACATGGATATATAAATAAAATATGCCCAAAGCTTTGTTGGATAGCTGTAAGCTAAAAATGTGACTATGAAATGAAACTCTGAAATGAATATTTTTATGGTTAAGGTATAAGCACTGTACCTTAATTATAGCAGCATGAATAGCACTGGTCTCAGGAATTTAGTACTTTCCCAGGAACAGCATTCTCCCATAGGAAAAAATAGATTTACCTTAAAAGATACAAAGTCTTTACAAAATATGATGCTAACAAAATTTTCAATGCAAAATAAGGTTGCTTCTAAAACAAGGAACAATGAGCAACATATTTGCAATCATAAAAATAATTTTGAATTGCATCTGCAGCTTTGTTTGCAATTACAATACAAGAGTCATTCATCCCATTATAAAGGAGCTTGTGAGCTCTGTTAGCACCTTATTGGTGTTATGAGACAAACAAAAAAAATTGTTTATGTATGTTAATCCTGTTCATAAATATCTGAATTCCACAACCCCCCAACTCAAGCTGTGCATTGAATGTTCCAAATAGTAGAAGGAAATTGTTCTTATTTCCTAAGTACATCATGGATATTTCCATGAATTTTGTTCCTGAGACTATGTGGAATTATAATAAAAAAGAAATGTTGATTCTCCACCACAGGTCATATTCTCACTTTTTTTTTAATGGGGTTTTTCTCTGTTACTCAGGCTGGACTCAAAGTCTTGAGCTCACCTGATTCTTCCACCTCAGCCTTCCAAGTAGCTGAAACTACAGGCACGTGTCCCTGTGCCCTGGTCTTTTTTGTAATAAAAGAATTTATTCAAAAGCATGCTTTAAAAAAGGTTAAAGTTTTCAGTTTTATAAGGGTGGGGTATGAGTATTTAGGAATCTGCAAGTTTTATTTAAATTTATAGTTGAGTATTATCCATTCTCTTGTAACACAAACTCTGTGGGATAATGATAAAATTTTATTGATATTTATTTAATGAGAGACATGAATGTGTACAATAATCCCTGAGATCATGGCTGTCAGTTTCTGCTAAACCACAGCCTTTTTAGTCAAGCAATTGGCTGAGTTTTTCTGTATTTCACTGTCAGAAACCTTCATTCATGTTAGGTAAAGATGATAGACCTAAATGGAAAATTAACACTTTCCACTTGTCATAATTCTTAATGATAGATCCTAAAGATCACAGAGCGGGACACTGAAGGGACAAGCAATGTCCATGTTCTCTGGGCCCCAAGAGCTCTGTGTGTTTTGCTTCTCTCCATTCTTGACCTCACTTTCACAAGCCAGTGCTTGCTCCTCAGTTTTTCTGATTTGAGGGGCATCTATAAGGTACTGTCTTGTCTAGACTTGGTGAGAAAGAGACTGGGGCATGCATCACAATTCTTTACTCTAATTGCTGTCATTCTTCCTTCTTGATCAATTTCCCCTTCAGGAGAAAACAGTTGCTTCTTAAGTAGCAGCACAGTGAATTCTCAAAAATAGCTGTCCGTTATGCAAGGACGCCTGATAAAGAAATATAACTAACCTAAAGTCACCGTTGGTCAGTCAATCCATCAATTAATTTTATGAAAACTTAACAATAAAATAGGAGTACCATAATGGGAAAAAATGTACAGCTGAACATCACAGATATGAGTTAGGTTCCAAACCATCACAATAAAGCATATTTAACAGTAAAGCCAGTCACACAAATTGTTTGGTTTCCCGGTGTATATATACAATTTATGTTTACACTATACTGTAGTATATTAAGTTCTCAATAACATTATATCTAAAAAGCAATCTGCATACCTTAATTTAAAAATACTTTATTGCTTAAAAATGCTAATGATTGCTGGGCACAGGCAGTGGCTCACACCTGTAATCCTAACAATTTGGGAGGCCAAGGTGGGCAGATTACTTGAATCCAGGAGTTCGAGACCAGCCTGGACAAAATGGTGAAAACCGTCTCTACTAAAAACACAAAAATTAGCTGGATGTGGTGGCACGTGCCTGTGGTCCCAGCTACTTGAGAGGCTGAGGCAGGAGATGTGCTTGAACCCAGGAGGCAGAAGCTGCACTGAGCCAAGATAGCGCCACTACACTCCAGTCTGGGCAGCAAAGTGAGTCTCCATCTTGGAAAAAAAAAAAAAAAAGAAAAGAAAAAGAAAAACATTGCTAATGATCACCTGAGCCTTCAGGTAGTTGTAATTTCTTGCTAGTGAAGAGTCTTGCCTCAATATTGATAGATGGCTCCTGACTGATCAGGGTGATGGGTGCTGAAGGTTGGCATGGCTATGGCCATTTTTTAAAACAAGGTAACTGTGACATTTACTGCATCAATTAACTCTTCCTTTTCTGAACAATTTCTCTGCAGTGCTATTTGATAGCATTTCACTCACAGTAGAACATCTTTCAAAATTGGAACCAATCCCCTCAAACTATGCTGCTGCTTTATAAACTAAGTTTATGCAATATTCTAAATTATTTGTTGTTATTTCAGCAATGTTCACATCATCTTCACCAGGTATAGATTACATCTCAGGAGACCACTTTCTTTGCTGGTACATAAGAAGCAACTTCTTATCCTTTCAAGTTGTATTATACATTATAATGAGATAGGATCAATTCAGTTACAGCTTCAGGCTCCACTTCTAACTGTAGTTCTCCTTTTGTTTCCACACATCTGTAGTTATTTCTTCCACTAAAGTCTTGAACCTCTCAAAGTCATCCACAGGTGTTAAACTTCTTCCAATTCCCTGTTAATACGGATATTTTGACCTCCTCTCCTGTATCACAATGTTCTTAATGGCATCTAGATCCTTTCCAGGATGTTTTCAATTTACTTTGCCTAGATCAATCATAGGAATCATAATCTATGGCAATTATAGCCTTACAAAATGTATTTCTTAAATAATAACACTTGAAATTTGACATTACTCTTTGATCTATGGGCTGCAGAATGGGTATTGTGTAAGCAGTCATGAAAACATCACTAATTTAGTACATCTCCATCAGAGCTCCTGGGTTACCAGGTGCATTTTCAATGAGCAATAATATTGCAAATAATTTTTTTAACTAAGCAGTAGGTCGTAATGGTGGGCTTAAAATATTTAGTAAACTGTGTTATAAGCACTGTGCTTTTATTCAGGCTTTGTTGTTCCATTTTATAGAGCACATGAGAATAGATTGGGAATAATGTTTAAGGGCCCTAGGATCTTGGAATGGTAAACGGACATTGGCCTTAACTGAAAGTCACCAGGTGCATTGGCTCCTAACAAAAGAGTTAGCCTATTCTTGAAGCTCTGAGGCCAGGTATTGGCTTCTTCTCTGTAGCTACAAAAGTCCTAGATGGCATCTTCTTCCAATAGAATGCTGTCGTATCTATAATACGTTGAAAATCTGTTGTCTAGTGTAGCAACTTTCATTAACAATCTTAGCTAAATCTTCTGGATACCTTGCTGCAGCTTCTACATGATCACTTGTTGCTTCCCCTTGCACTTTTTTGTTATGATGACAACTTCTTTTCTTAAATCTCATGAAACAATCTCTGCTATTAATAGCTTTAAACTTTTCTTTAGCAGTTTCTTCACCTCTCTCAGCCTTCATAGAACTGAAGATAGTTAGATCCTCAATCTGGAGTAGACTGTGGCTTAAGGAAATGTTTTGGCTGGTTTTATCTTCTATTGTTCCACTAAATTGTTTTCCCATGTTAGCAATAAGGCTATTTTGCCTTCTTATCATTCTTGAATTCACAGGAGTTGCACTGTAAATTTCCTTCAAGGCATTTCCTTTGCTTTCACAAATTGGCTGCCTGTTTGCTACAAGGGCACTAGCTTCCATCCTGTCTCAGCTTTCAACATTGCCTTCCCCACTGTGTTTATTCATTTCTAGTTTTCAATTTTAAGTGAAATACAAGTGACTCTTGCTTTCACTTGAACACTTAGAGGCCATTGCAGAGTCATTAATTGGCCAAACTTCAATACTGTTGTGTCTCAGGGAATAGAGAGACTTGAGGAGGAAGAAGTTGGGGCAATGACGAGTCAGTGGAGCAGTCGGAACACACACGACATTAACCAGTTAAGTTCATCATCTTATATGGGCACAGTTCATGGCACCCCCAAAAATAACAATGATAACATCAATGAACAGGGATCACAGGTAAACCAAATATACAAATAATGGAAAAGTTTGAAATATTGTGAGAAATGCCAAAATGTGACACAGAGATACAAAGTGAACACATGCTGTTGGAAAAGTGTGCTAGTAGACTTGCTTGATGAAAACTTGCCACAAATCTTTACTTTGTAAAAAGCACACAATAGGCTGGACGCCGTGGCTCACATCTATAATCCCAGCACTTTGGAACGCCGAGGTGGGTGGATCACAAGGTCAGGAGATCGAGACCATCCTTGCTAACACGGTGAAACCCCATCTCTACTAAAAATACAAAAAATTAGCCAGGTGTGGTGGCACATGTCTATAGTCCCAGCTACTTGGGAAGCTGAGGTGCGAGAATCGCTTTAACCTGGGAGGCGGAGGTTACAGTGAGCCGAGATCGCTCCACTGCACTCCAGCCTGGGTGACTCCGTCTGGAAAAAAAAAAAAAAAAAAAAAAGCACCCAATATCTGCCAGGTGTGACAAAGCAAAGTGCAAAAAAAAAAAAAAAATGAAATATGCCTATAATATGAAAATTCTAACATGAAATGTTGATAAAATTACCTATGTAAACTATGAAACATGAGCCACAACTTATTAAGAAATACTACAAAATCTCAAGTTTTCATAAAGAACAAGAAGGAAAAGTTATAAACACCCTCACAAAACCGATGATTCTTTAATTTCATCAGATGTTCTGCCCACCCCACCAGGCCATGTTGAAATACTTGTTTTTATGGGCATGAGAACACTCACTTGGTATTGCTTGGATTTTCTGCTTGTTTGTTTGTTTTTTTTACCCCATGGTCAGCTATATTTTTAAAATAACTCGTTATTTTAAAAGCAAGCAAAGCAAACAGTTGCATAATTGTATTCCACAGAAAAACTCTGAAAATTTGCTCAGTGAATAAATTGTACTTGTTGATAAAAAGGACTAGGAAACACCAAGTATTTCATCTCTCTCTCTCTTTCTCTCTCTCTCTCTCTCATACACACACATACACACACACACACACACATTCTCCTCATTCTCTCACAAAACGGGCAAAAATACAGGGCAAAAATATAGCCATTATCAACATGGGAAAGTCTAAATTAGATTATTTCACAACATTTAAAATTTATAAAAATAAATAAAATTACCAAAATACATAAATTTCAAGTCAAATCAATAATTAGAATAATCAGACTTTTAAAAATTTTTGAGATACAATGATTTTTTTAAAAGGTCACACTCTTTTTGTTACTTTTTTGAAGCATAATACCATGAATAAAGAAGGAAATATTAAATATTATGATGATTATATAGGGAGGAATTTTACTGACAATATAAATGTTTCTAAAACTGGTTTTTGGTGAGCCTGAGAAAGAGTGACTTTGTCGGCAGTGGTGAAAAACTAATTAATTTTCACCATTTGTTTTTTCTTTTTAGTAAAATTTTTATAATAATATATCTCCCATCTCATTGTAACTATAATATAGCAATTTTATTTGGCCTCATAACAATAGTTAGATACATTTGTGCACATGTGTGCACACACACACCCCTACACATATTTTTAATATTAATACCTATGCATTAGGATTCTCCAGAGTGACAGAGCCAATAGGAAGAGAGAGAGAGAGAGAGAGAGTGTGTGTGTGTGTGTGTGTGTGTGTGTGTGTGTGTGTGTGTGTATGAAAGGGAATTTATTAGGGAAAATTGGCTCACACGATTACAAAGGAAAAGTCCTATGATAAACCAACTGCAAGCTAGATAATGAGAAAAGACAGTAGTGTGACTCCCAGATAAGTAGTGTGGCTCCCAGGGAAGCCAGCAGTGTGGCTCAGTACAACTCTGAACATCTCAAAACCAGAGAAGCCAAAAATGTAGTCCCCCAGGAGAGGAGGCTGCTGGTGCATGGGAGTGCATGTCCCAGAGTCCAGTGACCAAAAAGCCTGGAGTTTGATGGCCCCAGGCAGGAGAACAAATAGAGGTATTGCTCTCAGAGAGTGTGTGAGAGATGAGGAGAAGGGAAAAAGAAAAGCAAGCAAGTTGAATGTTCCCCTTCTGCCTGCTTTGTTATGGCCTGCCACAGCCCTTTGGATGGTTATCTACATTGAAAGCTGATCTTCCTCTCTCAGTCCACTGATTCACTTGGCAATTTCCTCTGGAAACACCTTCTCAAACACACCCAGAAAGAATGCTTCACCAGCCACTTAGGCACCCCTCAAACCAGCCAACTTACCACTTAATATTAACCATCATAACCTCAATGGATATGTTATCATATTTTATAGGTAAAATTGTCAATTAGAGAACCAAGATATCATTGCTGTTAGGTATAGGTGGTTCTATCAACATGATTTCAGAAATTACAATGGAAATGAATATATATTTTATCATATTGTCTTATTCAAAATATACTTAGCTATTTTAAAATTATTTACCTTAATTATGTAATCATAAATTTTTAAAAAAATTCACCTTATGGCAATACATACCACCCCATTGCAATTCATGTTCCTCTTATTCTCACCCCGTAAATTTTGTTAGTTACACCCTAAGCCTATGACTATGTTCACAATTTTCAGACAAATCTCAAACTAAATCATAGTTCTTAAATTAAACAATCCTAAATGAATATTTAAATGTGTTTTGTGGTGCTATATTGTGATTGTAGTATGACTTATGAGATTCTGAGATGAAAAAAGGAAAATTTTAATGTAGGGGCCAAATGTTATTACCAAGGAAACAACTTCATGCTTTATATTGTTTAACAGTAAGAACAGATTTTATAGCTGATCGAGCAAAACATTGTTGATAACCATGCCTGTTATATAATTCCACTATAATTAAAATGTTTGAAACATACCTTTTGTTCAGTAATATCTAATGAACTGTATTTTGTAATGAAAAATATATAATTGGATAAAATTACTGCAAAGTAGTTAATTATGCTAAATACTCTAAAAAAATTTTTATACCTAACCATAATGGATGTTACTAGATGAAAGGGCAGATGAGGTATGAGTCTGTCAGGTCCCGTGATATGTGGGCAAGGTACTGTTTAAACTTTTCTGAAGCTACAGGGTGCAGAAAACTTAGAAAGAAAATGTTACTTACAAAAAAAGAAAGATGGAGCTGGGACTCTTTTTTCTTTATGCTAAAATATTTATAAGCTCACAATACTCTACTGCTAGTGAAAAAATTAAAAGGCAGAAAATAAACATTTTAAAATACTTTTTATAGGAATAAAATTTTAAGTCCACAATGGATTCCATTTCTGCTCATAAAGTTAGCCAAAGCAAAAATGTGACTAAAATATAAGAAAACAGTTGAAAATATCTCTATATATGTATACATGTAAGCTGAAATAATTATATACTTATATGCTTAGATTCTAAATATTGTCGATAAATTATTAAAAATTTACCATCAACTCAAATATTGAATGTCTTGAAATAAGAAAAAAATGTTAATCAGGACTTAAAAACAATTCTTGATTGACAAATATAAATCCAGGAAACCAAAATAAATGTAAACATAAATCTATGCATAACAAAAAATATAAAACATAGCTTAATGGTTGGTTTTAAAAATTACTCTGAAAACATGGAACTAGGTTTCATCTTAACCTCTAACCCAAAATAAATAAAAATTTTAAATCTTTGTTTCCTCCAAATTGTATTCCTCTTAGGATATGCTTGTGTATGGGAACTGACAAGGAAAACAAGTATTGAAAAAGCAATTATTTTTCTCTTTGCTCCCAAAACACTATAATTTTCTAGTTCTCATCTCACAGCTAAGATCTCTTCTTGCAAAGCCACTTCACTGCTTTCTTCTTCTCCTGGGTGAGGGCTCTTTTGAGTTTCAAGTTACTGGCTTAAGCAAAAGAGGAAACTTACAGGGCTATGTAATCATGATCAAAACTTAAGAAAATACCATTCAAATATCTTTCAAGGTTGTTCCCTACAAGACAAAAATAATATAACATGAAATTCAAACATAAGCAAAGAAATAAATTGGTTAGTTAAAACCATTATTTTGGTAAAGTAACCTGATAAAGAGTTTAAGAATTTTAAACATTCATATTTCAATAAAGTTGAAGGAAGTTATTAAGTAATTAGTTAAGGGTTCAGATTACAATTTTGTTTTTCCAAGATTTGGACTTAGCCACCTTTCATATGCTAGTGTGTATAAAATGACTCAGCATTGTAATTGGATCACGAGGAAAATTTGTTTGGTTTTCTTTAGCATCGATCTGATGCCCCAATTAAAATCTTAACCAATATTTAACCTCAGCCATCTGAACAGTTAAAACCAATTTAATTGAGACATTAATTCCAATTCTGTGGGTATAATATAATTTTTGTCTCAGTGGTGAAAGCTCTTTAGTCATGGGAATTTTTTTTTTTATTCTGATTACAACAATTAACATGAGTTCTACTCTCAACAAGTTTTAAACTGTACAGCATGCACTGTTGACTACAGGCTCGATATTGTACAATAGATCTCTGTCACTTAATCATCTTGCATAACTGAAACTGTATACCTGTTAAATGGTAACTCCCAATTTTCCCTTTCCCCCACCCCCTGGCAACTGCCATTCTACTCTCTGCTTATAAATGTTTGACTTTTTTAGACATCTCATATGAGTAGAATCATACACTATTTGTGTATCAGTGACTGGCTTATTTCAATTATTATAATATTAAGGTTCATTCATGCTGTTGCATTTGGCAGGATTTTCATATTTTTAAGACATAATATTCCATTATATATATATATATATATATATATATATATATATATATATACACACACACATAATATTTTCTTTATTCATTTGATAAGGGACATTCATGTTGTCTCCACCTCTCTCTTATTATGAATTGTGCTGCAATGAATAAAAGAGTGCCAACATTTTTTAGGGATCCTGATTTCTGCCATGATAGCCACCTCTGTTTTCTTTTGGCTATCATTTGCATGAAATATGTTTTTTCATTGCTTCAGTTTCTAACTATTTGTGTCCTTAAATCTAAAGTCTCTTGTTGACAGCATATAGTTAGATCTGGTTTTCTCAATTTATTCAGATACTCTATGTCTTTCAATTGGGAGTTTAATTTATTTACATTTAAAAAAATTACTGATAGGAAAGGGCTATTGCTATATTATTCGTTGCTTTCTGTCTTGTAATTCTTATGTCTCTCTTTTCCTCTCCTGCTGTCTCCTCTTGCTTTTTTTTTTTTTTTTTTTTTTTTTTTTTTTTTGAGATGGAGTCTTGCTCTGTCACCAGGCTGGAGTGCAGTGGCACGATCTCAGCTCACTGCAACCTCTACCTCCCAGGTTCAAGCGATTCTTCTGCCTCAGCCTCCTGAGTAGCTGGGACTACAGACACACACCACCATGCCCGGCTAATTTTTGTATTTTTAGTAGAGATGGGGTTTCACTAGGTTGACCAGGATGGTCTCGATCTCCTGACCTTGTGATCTGCCCACCTTGGCCTCCCAAATTCTCTTGGGTCCCAGTGAGGTTTTTTTTTCCTTTTTTATTGAAGGGCATTGATTCCTTTTTTGTGTGTGCATCTTCTGCAGGTATTTTCCTTTTGGTTGCCATGGGGCTGATGTACAACAATTTATGTTATAATAGTCTAATTTAAGCAGATAACAACTTAACAACTAATCTTATAATAAAAACTCTACCTTTTTACTGGACCTCCCCACACTTCATGTTATCAGTGTCACCATTTACACTTGTAATATTTTGTATTTATTAATACCTTTTACATATATATTTTTAATGCTTTTTTCTTTTAACTTTTATACTAGAAATAAAAGTTTTTTTTTTTTTTTTTTGAGACGGAGTTTCACTCTTGTTGGCCAGACTGGAGTGCAATGGCACGATCTTGGCTCACCACAACCTCCACCTCCCAGGTTCAAGTGATTCTCCTGCCTTAGCCTCCCAAGTAGCTGGGATTACAGGCATGTGCCACCATGCCTGGCTAATTTTGTATTTTTAGTAGAGATGGGGTTTTTCTGTGTTGGTCAGGCTGGTCTCGAACTCCCGACCTCAGGTGATCCGCCCACCTTGGCCTCCCAAAGTGTTGGGATTACAGGTGTAAGCCACCATGTCCGGCCAGAAATAAGAGTAATTTAACCACCAGCATTACAGTAATACTGTATTCTGTATATGTCTATATATTCACCTTCACCAGAAAATTTTATACCCTCATATTGCCATTTAGTGTCCTTTCATTTCAAGTTTAAAAACTCCCATTAGTATCTATCATAAGGCAGGTCAAGGAGTGATAGAATACTTCAGCTTTTGTTTGTCAGGAGAAGTCTTTTTCTCACCTTCATTTCTGGGGACAGTTTTGCCAGGTATGATAGTCTTAATTGATAGTTTTTTTTTCTTTCAACATTTTGAAGCTGCCTCACATCTTGCCTGCAATATTTCTGCTGAGAAATATGCTATAAATCCCATGAGAGTTCCATTGTACATAACAAGTTACTTTTTGCTTGCTGCTTTCAAAATTCTATTTTTGTATTTGAGATTTGACAATTTGATTATAATGTATTTCTGCATGGACATTTTTTGGGAGGAGGCTTATTTTATTTGGAGTTCCTTGGGCTTTCTGAATCTGAATGTCCATTTCCTTCCCTAGATTTCGAAAGTTTTCATCTATCATTTCTTTGAATAAACTTTCTGCCCCTTTCTCTCTCTGTCTCCTTCTGTGCCACCAATTATTGGTCCACATGATACATTCCTGTATATTCCTTAAGCTTTCCTCAGTCTTTCTTTTTTTTTTTCTTTTTGATCTTACGAATGGATACATTCCACTGACCTATCTTTGCATTTGCTAATTCTTACTTTTGCTAAATCTGCTCTGCCCTTGGACCTCTCCAGTCATTTTTTTTTTAGTTCAGTTATTTTATTCTTTAGCTCCAAGATTGCTGTTTGATAATTTTTCAGTATTTTCTGACTCTTTGTTGACAGTCTCCTGTCCTCATTGCCTGAGTGCCTTATTATAAATTAAAAAATTAGAATACCAAACTACAAACTAACATGCACATACATACATGCATACATACATATATACACAATAAGCACAATAGCTCTGAAAGCAAATTTTCTCTGAATTTTCTAGATTTTAATTTCAGGATACTTTTTGATTCCTTTTAGTAATAGTAATATTAGTAGTAGTAATATTAGTAGTAATGTAGCTGTTATTAAGGTTATACATTTTCTTCAAAATATTTCTTGAAAGATTTTTGATATTAATATTTTTGTGTTTAAAAATCACATAAACTTACACTGTTTACACCCCTCAGAGATGGCAGGAGGAAATTTTATACCAATTCATTTTAAAGGACATAGTTATTTGTACCAAAGGACTAAAATAACTTACATGGCCATCATTGATTTTTGAAAAAACTGGTTTTCAAACAATCTTGAGCATCACTTACATTGCATATTATCCAGTGCAATGGTTAGTCTTTTTCCACTTTGGTTTCTTTTGGTGATGAACCAAACCATATCACCAGGCAGTAATGAAGATTGGTGAGACTTTGTTGTAAAAACCACATTCATTGCATAAAGCAGACAAAATAAATTAAGCTTATGGAATTGTTAATGAAATTGAGCTATGTGTGGTTTCCCTGAAAGCAAAATATTTTAGGATCATATTTGCTCTGGTCTTATATTCTTTTAAGTGTGACCATTATATATTTGCATATATTTTCAATTTAAGTGATAGTTTGGAACATTATTTTATTTTGCCATAATTATTTTCTGAAACTTCTACACTCAAATTCATACTGGATTATCCAAGCCTTAATACTTACTATTAGCTATGTTGTCTCTGATAATAAAATGAGGTAGCAAAGAATGAGAACATTTTACATACTTTAAGTGTAGGAAAACTTATATAAATATATATACATTAATTTAAATATATTTGAAATGTATGTACACATTTCCCTTTAAGAGAGAATTTTTTAATGTTGAGAACAAAATATTTTTGCATAATTTCTACATTTTCTTCAAAATAATTTTTTTACTTTTATTATTATTATACTTTAAGTTTTAGGGTACATGTGCACAATGTGCAGGTTTGTTACATATGTATACATGTGCCATGTTGGTGTGCTGCACCCATTAACTCATCATTTAACATTAGGTATATCTCCTAATGCTATCCCTCCCCTCTCCCCCCACCCCACAACAGTCCCCGGTGTGTGATGTTCCCCTTCCTGTGTCCATGTGTTCTCATTGTTCAATTCCCACCTATGAGTGAGAACATGTGGTGTTTGGTTTTTTGTCCTTGCAATAGTTTGCTGAGAATGATGGTTTCCAGTTTCCTCCGTGTCCCTACAAAGGACATAACCTCATCATTTTTTATGGCTGCATAGTATTCCATGGTGTATATGTGCCACATTTTCTTAATCCAGTCTATCGTTGTTGGACATTTAGGTTGGTTCCAAGTCTTTGCCATTATGAATAGTGCCGCTATAAACATACGTGTGCATGTGCCTTTATAGCAGCATGATTTATAGTCCTTTGGGTATATACCCAGTAATGGGATGGCTGGGTCAAATGGTATTTCTAGTTCTAGATCCCTGAGGAATCGCCACACCAACTTCCACAATGGTTGAACTAGTTTACAGTCCCACCAACAGTGTAAAAGTGTTCCTATTTCTCCACATCCTCTCCAGCACCTGTTGTTTCCTGACTTTTTAATGATCGCCATTCTAGCTGGTATGAGATGGTATCTGATTGTGGTTTTGATTTGCATTTCTCTGATGGCCAGTGATGGTGAGCATTTTTTCATGTGTTTTTGGCTGCATAAATGTCTTATTTTGAGAAGTGTCTGTTCATACCCTTTGCCCACTTTTTGATGGGGTTGTTTGTTTTTTTTTTTGTACATTTGTTTGAGTTCATTGTAGATTCTGGATATTAGCCCTTTGTCAGATAAGTAGGTTGCAAAAATTTTCTCCCATTCTGTAGGTTGCCTGTTCACTCTGATAGTAGTTTCTTTTGCTGTGCAGAAGCTCTTGAGTTTAATTAGATCCCATTTGTCAATTTTGGCTTTTGTTGCCATTGCTTTTGGTGTTTTATACATGAAGTCCTTGCCCATACCTATGTCCTGAATGGTATTGCCTAGGTTTTCTTCTAGGGTTTTTATGGTTTTAGGTCTAACGTTTACGAAGTTCCCTGGTGGTCTAATGGTTAGGAGTCGGCACTCTCACCGCCGCGGCTGGGGTTTGATTCCCAGTCATGTAAACCAAAATAATTTTTAAATAAATTTATTAATGCCCAGATTATAGATAATAATATATTGCTTCTAATGTACATACCATGTAGCAATTATTTAAGAAATTTTAAACCAAAGGTGTTAAACTAAAGTTGGAGTTCTATTTGAATTATCAGCCCTAAGAGATATATATTTGAATTATTAGACTTAAGTACTATGGCCAAACAGAATGTGTGGAACTTATTTGAAACTTATTTATTTACAAATAAATCCCCTTTCAAAAAGGCATTTATGGGAAATCAGGGAAATTCTTCTATATATCCTATATTAGATAATATTAAAGATGAAGAATTAACTTTGTTGGGTATGATAATGACATCACATTTTTCAAAAAATGTTTTATTTGTCACAACGAACCCTACCTCCATTACTGGTCCTTGGCTCTCACTGCCATTTCTCTAGTTTGTACTTGATGCGAATCCCTCCACTCTTCCAAAGTATGCTCAGTGGAATCGAGTTGAAACATTGAATATATACATACACACTTAGCACAATGGCTTCTAAAGCATTTTTGCTCTTGGTTTGCTAGATTTTAATCTCATAATAATCTTTAACTCTTTTTAGTAGTAACAGTAGTGATACTAATAGTAGTAACACAATATTAGTAATGTAGTGGTTATGAAGGCTATATATTTTCTCCACAATATTCATATTCATTGCATGACTTTTTGATATTGATATTTTTCTTTTTAAAAAAATCACATAATATAGGAGAAGCAAACCTATACCTAGAGTATAAAAAAATTGGGTTATCATCAACCTGTGGTAGGTGAGCTGTTAGTACTCATTGGTACTTTGGGAAAAAAATATTTGCCTACATCATGCATAAATCAGGCTGTAAAGGCAACATTAAAATCAGTATAAACAGGGTAGAATACTTAGATATCCCATGTATACACTGTATACCTCTCTCAGCCAGTATCTCTACAATTTCCTTTCATTTTTAGGCTTTTTTTCTTAGGTATTTTAGTATTTTAGCTCTATGTCTGTAATAGAGGGGGTTCAGTGGAATATGACCTAAATACTGGCATAAATCTGAGTGCTCGTCTTTCCCCAAATAATGATGTTTCTAAATGGGAAGTTCATTAGAAACATTCTTCTCTTCTTCATCTCTTAGGGTGATAGCTAGCAACATACCCTTCCTTATCTACGAAAATTATTTCTTAATTATAAGAATCATCATTAAGTTTATCATTTCTTTTTTTTTCCAAAGTGTAATAAAAATACAGAATTTGCAGGACATGAAACAGAAGAGGAGAAAGGAGTTATATAGAAAAGTGGAGAAAATAGTATAAGAAAGATCGGGGAAGAGATAAGAGAAAAAAGCAGGGAAAGATAAGGAGAAATTAGATAAAAGTGAGACTAGAGACAGGAGAAAAAACAAAAAACAATGAGTAGAGTACAGTGGTGCAGGAAAGAGAATAAAAGATGTTTTGGGGTTGAAAGTTTTTCACATTTTTGTCATTCAACCCTTCCCCAACTCTATATTTAGGTGCTGATTTTGGGATCACCTTGAATTAATCATCATTTAGTTTTATAAAAAAAAAGTATGCATTAATTCTAAAATTTTCATGCTATTATTTCAAGATTTTACTTATTAAAATATTTACTTACAATAAAAACTGAATATGCATCTCAATCATTAATTAGTTTATGTGTGACATATCAGAAGTGTCTGTGAGAGAGTTAGATAATAGAGAGTCGGTTATTTAACAGAGAGTCAGCTTCAAAGGTTGCTTGGGTGGTGTCCTAGCTTCAACTAAGAATCAGCTTGAGCAGACCATTTTCAAAAGTCACATTACTGCAACTTATTTATTTTCTATGAAATAGTTTCAGTCTTTCACTAACCCTACATAGATAGTCATTTTCAAGAGGAATTTATTTACTTATTTGTTATTTTATTGAAACAGGGTTTTGCTTTATCCCCCAAGTTGGAGCACGGTGGCACAACCATGGTTCACTGCAGCCTTAACCTGCAGGCTCAAGCAATCCTCCAGCTTTTGTCTCTCAAGTGGTTGGGACCACAGGCATGTGCCACCACACCCAACTAATATTTTATTTTTTGTAGAGATGGGGTCTCTCTGTGTGGCCCAGGTTGGTCTCAAACTTAAACTCAAAAACTGACTTAAGCAATCCTCCCACCTTGGCCTCCCAAAGTGCTGGGATTACAGGTGTGCACCACCATGCCTGGCTTAGATGATTTTAAAAAAGAGGTTTTGTTCATACCAAAGAACTAACCTCTTGAATTACATCTTTTTTTTTTTAATCTTAAGAAAAGAAACAATTTTCTTGTATGACTTTTTATCATTATCAGGAGGTTAGTTTTATGTCCCATGTGGGTTTACTTCAAGAATAAATATGTTATGCTGAATAATATATATATTAAAATAATTATGCAGATGGAGACTTGTCCTCAAAAATTTTCAAGTTAATATTGTGTTTCAATAGCACTGCAGTGTTATGTGTCATCAAGTATTTAGCATAGAAAAATATGGTTCTTCCAATTTAAATGTACTGCTTATATTTTTTTCTCTGTGTAAACAAATGTTCCTGGATTTAGGAGACTTCAGAAATTAAAAATGTTTTCAGCAAATATTAACTTGCTTAAGTAACAGATCTCTGAATAACAATATGGGGTGTCTTTAAAAAGTTCATGGAAAATGCATATTATGAAGAAACTATACATGGATTTCATTTTTTTTTTTGCACCAAAATAAACTTGCACTAACTTGCTATTACACATTTATATAGGATCTAGTCTGAGGTACTAAGAAGGATAAGACATCAGTTTGCAAAGAGCCCCATCAGAGTAACATGAATTCTGCCAAAATTGAAACAAAAACAGATATCAAATTTGTGATGAAGTTTGGGTGGAAGAATGATGCCATCACTGATGCTTTACAAAAAGTTTAGGAGAACAATGTTCCCTGCCAAAAGCAGCAGTTTACAAAGGGGTCACTCATTTTAAGGAGTGAGACAATGTTGAAGATGAAATCTATCCACATCAATTTTCAAACAAGACATTAATCTTATTAATTTCCTGAAGAGGACCAACAATTAGCAGCAGAATAATAGCCAACACCATAGACATCTTGATTGGCTCAGCTTACATAATTCAGACTGAAAAATTAATGATGAACGAATAACCCACTCAGTGGGTACCAAAACCATTGTGTCTGGATGAGCTGTAGATAAGAGCAGACCTTACAATGGAAATTTTAAACAAGAGGAATCAAGATCCTGAAGCATTTCTCTGAAGAATTATAACAGGAGATGAAACACAGCGTTACCAGTATGATCATAAAGACAAAGCACAACGAAACAATGGCTACCAAGAGGCGGAAGTGGTCCAGTTAAAGCAAAAGTGGACCAGTCAAGAGCAAAGGTTATAGCAACAGGTTTTTTGGTGTACTCAAGGCATTTTGCTTGTTGACTTTCTGGAGAGCCAAAGAACAATAACATCTGCTTGACATGAGAGTGTTTTGAGAAAATTAGCTAAAGCGTTAGTGGAAAAATGCCCAGTAAAGCTTCGCAAGAGAGTCATTTTCTACCATTCCTCTCATCAAACAAGGGCAATTTTGCAACAGTTTTGATGGGAAATTATTAGGCATCCCCTTTGGTCTTTATTTGGCTCCTTCTTACTTCTTTTTGCTTCCCGATCTTTTTTATTTGATCCTGATCAAACAAAAAAATATTTAAAGGGCACTCATTACTCTTGTCAATAATGTAAAAAAGACTGCATTAACATGGTTAAATTCCCAAGACCTGTAGTTATCCAGGAATGGACTAAATGACAGGTATCTTCACTTGCTTACAAAAGCGTCTTGGACTTGATGGCACTTATGTTGAGAAATAACATTTTTTAAATCTTTCAATTTCATTTTTCATGAGCTTTCTGAAATCTTCTCATATGTTGTGTAGTGTCGCCCAAACTTATATGAACATGTTAACATTCTTCAAATAAGTTTAATAGGATAGCTTGTAATATGAAATCTAATCTTTACTATATGATTAGACCAGTAGATAAATAGAAATCAAAAGTCATGAAAAGATATTAGAAATATGGGATTAACTCAGTTGTATGGTTTTACACTTGAGAAATTCAACAGAAAGTTGATGAATTACAGGTATATGTCTGATATATGGCACATTTCATTGATCTTAGTTCTTAGCAACAGTGCTGTTTGTTTTTAATGTCATTTTTCCTACTGACTGATAACTTTATCATACAATCTCATGTGTATAATTCTGTATATGAATATCCAAAATCAACTAATCAGACTACATCCAGGCCTAATCCACCAGGTAAATCCATGCTGGTCATTTAATTTAATAAATGTGGCTCTCTGTAACTGAACATATCTTGAAAGATAAACTAATGCAAAATATAAAGTGAAAATGAAAGAGAATAAGGACAAAAGAAGAGAGAAAGGCTGGGCCTGGTGGCTCATGTCTGTAATCCCAGCCAGTACTTTGGGAGGCTGAGGCAGGCAGATTGCCTGAGGTCAGGAGTTTGAGACCAGTCTGGCCAATATGGTGAAAACTTCCCCCTTCTCTACTAAAAATACAAAAATTTAGCCGGGTGTGGTGGCAAGCGCCTGTAATCCCAGCTACTCGCTACTCAGGAGAATTGCTTGAACCAGGGAGGTGGAGGTTGCAGTGAGCAGAGATCACACCACTGCACTCCAGCCTGGGTGACAAAGCAAGACTCAGTCTCAAAAAAAAAAAAAAAAAAGAGAGAGAGAAAGAGAGAGAGAGAGAGAAAAACAGAAGAAAGGAAGGAAGTCTACAGAGAAAGAAATGAACATCAATAACTTGTGTTATGGTATAGATTTAGGACACAGTTTAGCAATATAAAGAACACGAGAAGTTAATGGAAAGAATGAGGAATAATGTCAACCATTTCAGGATATGGACATGAATTATTAGACATGGATGGCTAAAATGTGCTGGAGTGAGTCTCCTAGTTTCAAAAGATAGTCTATTTTGGCCCATTTTATAGCAGCCACCCAAACTCAATTTCCTTTCAACAACTAAAATTTTTCACCTTTTCAAATCAACAACTTCCTTCTCTGTTTACAGCATAATGGCATATGAAACCCAAAATGACCAAAGATAATATTTGCTTCCAATTTACTGGAACGATGGATATGCTTCTTGGTGGAAGCATTATTTCTTAAGACCTTCAAACCTGGCATGTGTATGATCATAGAGAGAAAAAATGTAAACTCTTTAAGTGTCCTAAATATATAGAGAAGTATTCACCTCCATCCCTTGCTTCCCAGACCTCTGATCTCTGGCTATGAAAAATACAGCTCTACATGTTGGTTTTAATTTACAGGTTATTCTGAATCTTGTAGGAGAGCACCTGTCCTTTACAAAGTGTTTTCCCCTCCTTAACAACATAACCAGGCATTTAGTAGCCATTGCACCATTATTATATCAAGCCAGATACTTTTATGTGATAGAGTATATCCCAAGACCAGTGATTTTTGTGAATATGACCAATTGCTATACTTTTTCTTCCATAAAATAAGATTTTCAGTCAGATTCAAAGTGACATTTTACCTGGCTTTTGAAGGTCCCCCTGACTTTTATTATGAGGTAAGATAGTAAAAGTGCACTTTTCTTAGAAAGTGAAGGTGAACTGCTTTCAACTGTCTTTATTGATTGCAATTAAGAAAATCCTTTGCCATATAACAGGCAGCGATCTGTATTTATTTGCCACTAAACAAATTGTTTTAAAGAAAGTCTTCTCAAAGCAGAGCCTAAGACAGGGGTTTAAGAACATGTAATTAATTAAGCCAGTGCTCTTTGGAGAAAAGAAGTAAGGCAAACAGGATAAAGTGGGGAAGTGAATCATGCAATAATTTATCTCAGCTTGAGTTCTTCAGACTAATCCCTCTGGGAGCTCTGGATCATGATTTATAACACAGAACTGCTTCCATTGTTGAAGAAGGGAGCAAAGCTTTTGTAACCTCATGATATCCCTTAGGATAAAAAGGTAGGCATCCACTTATGGGATTAAAAAGTGACATATACGTTCAGCAGAGGACAGTTCTCTGGAGTGGAAGCACTTGTGAACTTTTAGAATCTAACATTTACAGAAACTTTGACGCGCAGGCCAGGTAGAGAATGTGTGTAGGGGACCAGTAGTACGCATTATCAACTTCCCACCTGAAAACAGCAGCTGTGATTGTCATCATAGTTTGATCATGTTTATGATAATTCACAGGTATTTTCAAAGACCTATTTCATTTTTTCATCAATCAAAAAGTAAATTAAATAAGAATTGCCAATGGTATATGTTTCAAGTCTATGATGATGGCACTAATATCTGCCATTCTTCCAATTATATGTTTTCTTTCAATTTACCATTTTGGTGGTGATTTGGAATGAGTCCAGGAGTCCTTAGGTTTCACAATGAAATAGACATATGACAAGGGCCTATTTATCACATGATCACCATAGCTTTCTTTCTGACTAGTCAATCACTGTAGTGTTTTTTTTGTTTCTCAGGAATTAGTTTCTACTAGTGTTTTTTTGTTCCCCAGAGATTAGTATCTACTCAGTATCTGATACGCTTACAAAATCTAGGAATTTCCTTTTGCTCAGTGTACAGTCATCTTAGAAAAAGTACCACAAATTCTTCTGGGATTATTTGTTGAATAATTACAATGTACATTGGTTGCTGCATTTGATGGACCTTCCTAAACAGAATTTAGCCTCCTCTTTAATCAAGGGAATTTGGGTCTGTGAACTAGCTACATTTTAAAAATTCGGTAGTAGTCTTTGAATGCCCATTATTGCAGCTCTACTCTGCAGGTCTACAGACTAAGATTATTTTCATATAATACCTTAGTATGTTGCCCAAATATTTCACTCCTAAGAGTGTTGTTATCAAGTAACCATCACCAAAGATCCCTGGATGTCAAAACACTCTGATTGCCACTTGATCCATACAACTTACTGTGGCAATTGTTCCTACCTTGTCTCTGATGATTAGGTGCTGCTAACTAAGATCTCTCTCTCTCTCTGAGTTAATTACTGAAATCAAGAAACACATTACTATGGCAACATATCCTACCATCATCTCCAACTTATAGAGTGGAGTCAAAGTAGAATTATTAAAAAGATGTTGGTGCTTCTTTGAACGATGCACTTCTTAGCGACCTCGTGAAAAGTCCTAGTCTTTATCAGTAGGTATGCATAAGCAATGGCTGACAGTATTGTTCTTAATAAAATCAAAATGGCATACCCAGTATGCCTTCCCTGCTTCAATATGCACTTAATCTTTCATAGCCTTCCAAGGATATTCTTGAGTCTCAATTTTATTAACTATAGGATGCTTTAGAGTATAGGCTTCAATGGTCCAAAAACACATGTTATTAGGGCCATTCTATGGCTGTCAATCTAACACCATACAGGTCTAGTCCCCCATGAATATAATCATACAGAAATCATTTACCAAATGAATGTCATATTTAATCCTCTTCCATAGAGTTCATTACTGCATATGATCTCTTGACTACTGCCATTCACTCTGGCAAAATCTTGCTCTTTCTTTGCTCTATAAGCTATCTCTTCTCAGAAAAGACTTTGCAGTTCTCTCTAAGAAGTGCTGAGCTTTGCCTGTCATTATGGGCTTGTAAGTTATTAGGTGTGGTGGTTGTGGGACTTGTGAAGATTGCCGTCATTGAAATAATTTTTTTTTTCAAAGGAAGGCTACTTATCTCAAATAGTAGGGATGGTGGAGACAGCTTCCTTCACCAGCAAGGAAATTTTTGGAATGTGATGAGGTTTAGACTTCCCATGTATCTGCCTGAAGTCCCCAATTCATGGTTTAGGATTTCTTTTATTCCCAGACAGTGCCTTCACATTAGCACAAAAGACTTAGTGAGTTGTGCATTTGATTGGAGTTGCAACTCTACAAACCATTAAACTGGGACTTAGTCCTAATCTTTACCTCTATCTGCCTTATGGCTACATGAATATTATATATAATTTAACTACAGCAGATGCTATCAGGGCACTGCCCCAGTTGCTCTCAGCACATCCCAGAGATTATCTCTGACTCCAGTGGAAATTATTTTGCCTGTCAATGCTTCTTAACGCAAGCACTGATTGCTCTCTGCCCTACGGTAGACTTCCAGGAGGGGCAAGCTGGAAGTGAGAAGAACTTAAAACCCCCAGAGTGTTAAACCAATATGTGATGGGAATTTGTAAATCAAATATTTCATGTTTTTCTTCCCTCTGGTAAATAATTCTATGTAGATTGATTGGTTAATATTCTGTAAAGTTTCCCACAGAATCCCAAATAGATTGAACCCTAATTGTCCACAAAGTAACCTGCTCATTAACATATGTTTTATATGCTTTATTTTATTAGTTGTTTTACTTCTTCGTTCTCTCACTGCACTTTCTGGGATTATATACAAAACAAGAAATCTACCTCTGACAAAAGAGTAAACTACAAATGAGTTTACTTAAACCCACATTCTTGTCTGAGTGTTCTTTCGGAGAAACCCAAAGTAAAAACCGAACCAACTACCATAGGAATTCTATGCTTTTTAATTCATGCCATGAATTGAAATTTCAAGGCACGGACCTTATCTTTTTCTTATTGTGATTTTACCACACTCAAAATATGTTTTCCCGTACCACAATCATTGTACTCATCATCTTTGTAATAGGGAACATAACCACAGTCTAGCTCCCCACCAGCACATACTTCATTTCATAACTTTCATGTAACATTTGGGTAATGTGCTGTCACTGTTTACCAGGAGCTTCAGCATTTACTTGCTACAGTTTGGATATGGTTTGGTTGCACTTGTTTGGTCCCACCAAATTTCATGCTGTAATTTGATCCCAGTGTTGGAGATGGGGCCTGGTGAGAGGTGTTTTGGTCATGGGGGTGGATCCCTCATGAGTGTCTTGGTGCCATCCTTATGGAAATGAGTGAGTTGTCGCACTATTAGTTCCTGCAATAGTTCCCTCAAGACATAGTTGTTAAAAGGAGCCTGGCACCCCCTCCTTTCTGTCTTCATCTTATCATACAATCTCTGCACACATCAGCTCCCTTCACCTTCTATCATAAGTAGAAGCTTCCTGAGGCCCTCATCCGAAGCAGACATTGGCACGATGTTCCTTTTATATCCTGAATAACTGTGAGCCAAATAAGCTCTTTTCTTTATAAATTACCTGGCCTCAGGCATTCCTTTATAATAACACAGACAAAAACACTTCTGCTCACCTATCAGCAAGGAGGTCACTTGTGTTCATTAGATATATGAGGAGCCCATTCCCAGAAACCCATCTTGATAGTTTGTTTCTGGGGACCATTCCCGGTGTCATTTACAGTAATAAATAATAGTCTCAATAGGAAAGATAATTGTACTCAAAAGACTTAACTGAAAAAATAAAATGTAGCAATGGGACCATTTACAGGTATGTGTCCCAATGCAAAGGAAACAACAATACACGATGAGAAGTTCAGGCACCAGCAACAGCAGGAAGCCATGTTCACCTACAAGCCTGACATTTTTTACACAGGCACTTTAACCAACTAAGCCACAAAGCTTCACACAGGCCTGATATTTTCTCACAGCCTGACAGCTGAAGCTGTTGACACCATAGTTGTGGGAGAGTGCAGGCACTGCCAGACTGCTGAGCTAAAGCAGATAAGGAGAAGAGAAAGAAATAGCTGACTATCTTCCATTCCCTCTGACTTCTTGCATATGCCTCCTGTGGGCAGCAATCAATTGGATACGAAAGGCCAATGAAGTCAAAGTGATAAAGCTCTTAGTCCTTTACCAATCAGGACACAGAGCAAAGCAGCGAAGGGGCAGAATGGATCTGATTGGGCAGCTGGACAATAAATGGCATAGGTGTGTCAGCTATTTTTGTTGTTTTTATTATTAATCTATCTTCAGTCTGTTTTCACATGCTCCTGGAGCACTGGTGAATATAGTCATGGTCAACCTTTCAAACAAAAATAAAAGTAATTCTGTGACACAGGTTGTAACAGTTTTTGTTTTTTTTTTTCTAAAACCTGAAATTTGTCTTTAATTTATTTGAAATGTTTAAGGAGTTGGGTTTCAAGTCTTTATTGCTATATAAAAGTATTGTAATTTTGAAACATTAATAACAAGTAAGTCTTACTTAAATAAATGTGGTTATCAGTTAATACTTTAAAAGGAATTGTTCCTTATTCAGCAGAGGATGAGAGCAGATGAAAAAAAATACTCCATATATCTGAAAAGTAAGGGAAAGGAAAAAAAAAGAGAAAGAAATATACGTTGGTGGAAAAGAGCAATGGAATGTAAAGAAAAACTTTGAAAAAGTCCATCCTGGTTTAGAGAAGCAAGGGTTAAAACACTGCAAATTATTTTTTTAATTATCTAACGTTCACTGGACATTAAGTCTTAAAGTTATCTGACAAATTGGATTTTCTAATTGTTCAATAATTTTGGTTAGTTACATAACACTTAATGGGGCAGGCTGTGGCTTTTCTTTAAGCAAGCACATTTAACAATCAGTACAATATGCACGATCATTTGTACAATCCAACACTTGGTTTCTTTTACAGTGAAGAAAGGGATTCAAATAGTCATAGATCGATAATTAAGACTGTAGAATGAATATATTTTTTATTTAAAGTTACCACTTTTAATGTGGCCTGGAAATGTATCTGAATTTCTCTTTTCCAGTTAGAAATGAATTTAGGAAACTACTTCACTTTTGTAATCCTTAATTCTCATTAATAAATCACATGCCCAGATATATTGTTTAGAAGTAATGACAAAGTGCTTTCTGCAGCTTTCATTAGTGGTCAGCAATGATTCTCATATGATGATGTTGGGAAGTTACACTGAAGCATGTACCAATGAACCCCACAAGGTGCTCTCGTCTTTGATACAGACAGCTGCTTTTTGAAGTAAATTGTCTTGCATCATGGGATGATGACAACTGTTACATATTCTTACTTAAAACCTGAACCTTACCATATCATGATGCACACTAATCACTGTATCACTGTGAGACTTATTAAAAATGAATGAAAATCAAACGACTAGCTTTTATTCATAATATTCATAAGAATATCTCCCCTCCACAGAGTGGAGAAGTACTCTGCAGGCTCGGATCAGCGCATTAAAGGCTCCCTCAGTATGCATTGACACAGTGGACCATAGCAGCTCTGAAAGAGCCGTTATAGTCTATCATGTCAATGGTCTGTGCATGAGGACTCCCTTAGTATGCATTGACACAATACACCATGATGGCTTCAGAACGTATGATTATGATTTCAATGGAAGAAACATAATGGTTGCAATAAGATTTCAGTAAAATTTCAATGGAAGCATCTCATATACTTCTCATGAGATCATAACGACTCAGATGGGTTTGTTATGATCTTAGTAGAAGATTAAAAAATTGAGAGAGAGCCAGTAGGATCGAGTCCTTTCAAAGTCATATTTTTATTTCTCTGTTTAAAGCATTTTCTCATTTCCCACAGGCAATAAATAATCAGGGATGAATTTACTGACAGGCTTACAAAATGAATGCGAATGATAACAATAGCAACAATAACAATAGGCATTTATTGAGCACGTAAGCTTGCCTGCTGTGCCAGGCACTGTGCTACATGCTTCACAGGTGTCATTTCATTTCATACTCGAAACCACCCCTGAAGCTAATAGTATGATTATTTTTTCATGAGCAATGGGGGCTTAGAAAAGGCAGGTAACTTGCTGAAGGACCTACATGGTCAAATGCTCCAAGAAAATGAATATAACAACTTGATTAATCTTACTTTTGAATTATATACATTTGAATTTCTCCATTAAGAATTTTTACAAATGATTGCCATACAATCTGAGTTTATTAGTAAGCCATCCACTGTACATGACAAATACTTAAGGAATCGTGAATAACCTTTTCCCAAAGACTTTCAACGTTTTCTCATTTACTTCTCCTAACAATGTTTGGAGTAAGAGGTTAATCATACCTCATTGTCTCATAGTACCAATACAGAGATCTCTCGTGTGGGCCCAGTTTATTCAAACTGTTTTAATGAAAGTAAGCAGCCCAGACCAGGGATAAATGGAGATGAATTTACAATTTTTTTCCCTGTTTTCACAAACCCATTTTTTCAAATGAAATCTTAAAGAAGAGCTGAGCCTCTCCTCCTAAGAGGTGGGAGAGGTGAAGCTCAGCCTGTTTGCCCCCACATCCAATCTACACGTATGATTCTAAGGTAACCCCTCAGAGTCAAATTATAAACACAATGCCTTAAATAATTTTAATATTTGACAATCTGTGTTCTTGTTTAAAGTACGAACTAAATCCCACATAGATGTTGAGTTTGTTACAGTGATAAATAGAAACAAGCTTGTACGGTCACATAGGTTCTCATTAACATATTAGAACTCTGGAAAATGTACAAAAACCTTTAAATTGATCTCGAAAAAAAATTCTGGATGAGTGTTTCCTCTAGAAACCAGGTTTTTATAAACGTCAAAAAAGTTGTATTCTTTCTAATGTGGGAGGGGTCATTTACAATAAGCTTTTTTTATTTTTCAACTTTTATTTTAGTTTCTACTCTACTATCAATAGGCACCTAGGTTGGTTCTGTCTCTTTGTCATTGCGAATAGTGCTGCAATGAACGTGCAGGTTCATGAGTCTTTTTGATAAAAACAATTTGTTTTCTTTCAATATATACCCGGTCAAGTGGTAGTTCTAAGTTCTTTGAAAAATCTCCAAACTTCTTTCTACAGTGGCTGAACTAATTTTTATTCCTACCAACAGCATAGAAGCATTTCCTTTCCTCTGCAGCCTCACCAGCATTTGTTGTTTTCTGACTTTTTAATGATAGCCCTTCTGACTAGTGTGAAATGGTATCTCATTGTGGTTTTGATTTGTATTTCTCTGATGATTAGTGTTGTGGAGCATTTGTTCATGTTTTTGGGCCATTTGCATGTCTTCTATTGAGAAGTGAATGTTCATGACTTCTACACATTTTTATTTATTTATTTTTTATTATACTTTAAGTTCTGGAGTACATGTGCAGAATGTGCAGGTTTGTTACATAGGTATACACGTGCCATGGTGGTTTGCTGCACCCATCAACCTGTCATCTACATTAGATATTTCTCCTAAAGCTGTCCCTCCCCCCCGCCCTCCCACCCCGCAACAGACCCTGGTGTGTGCTGTTCCCCTCCCTGTGTCCATGTGTTCTCATTGTTCAGCTCCCACTTATGAGTGAGAGCATGCACTGGTTAGTTTTCTGTTCTTCTGTTAGTTTGCTGAGAATGATGGTTTCCAGCTTCATCAGTGTTTCTGCAAAGGACATGAGCTCATCCCTTTTTATGGCTGCATAGTAATCCATGGCGTATATGTGCTGCATTTTCTTTATCCAGTCTATCATTGATGGACATTTGGGTTGGTTCCAAGTCTTTGCTGTTGTGAACAGGACTTCTGCACATTTTCCATGGGGTTATTTGTTTATTGCTTGTTCAATTGTTTAAGTTCCTTTGGATATTAGACCTTTGTCAGATGCATAACTTGGGAATATTTTTTCCCATTCTGTAAGTCATCTGTTTACTCTTTAGTTTAATAGCGCCCACTGGTCAATTTTTGCTTTTGTCGCAATTGCTTTTGAGGATTTAGTCATAAATTATTTCCCAAGGCGGAGGTCCAGAATGCTGTTTCATAGGTTTTCTTGTAGGATGCTTATGGTTTGAGGTCTTATATTTAAATCTTTAATCCATATTGAGTTAATTTTTGTATATGGTGAAAGGTCAGGGTGGGGTCTCTTTCTTATGCATATGGCTAGCCAGCTATCCATTAATTGATTAGGGAATCCTTTCCCTATTGCTTATTTTTTGTCAACTTTGTCAAAGATCAGACGGCTGTATGTGTGCAGTTGTATTTCCGGGTTCTGTATTCTGCTCCATTGGTCTATCTGTCTGGTTTTGTACCAGTGCCATGCTGCTTGGATTACTGTAGCCTTATAATAGAATTTGAAGTCAGGTAATGTGATGCCTCTGGCTTTGTTCTCTTTGCTTATGATTGCTATGGGCTCTTTTTTTGTTCCATATGAGTTTTAGAATAGTTGTTCTGTGAAGAATGATGTTGGTAGTTTGATAGAAATATCATTGAATTTGTAGATTGCTTTGGACAGGATATCCATAGTAATAATACTGATTATTTAAATCCGTGAGTATGGAATGTTTTTCCATTTGTTTGTGTAATATATTATTTCTTTTAGCAGTGTTCTGAAGTTCTCCTTGTAGAGAACTTTCATCTACTTGGTTAGATGTATTCCTAGGTATTTTATTTTTGTGTATGGCTATTGTAAATGGGATTGTGTTTTTGATTTGGCTCTCAGCTTGAATGTTACTGGTGTATAGAAATGCTACTAATTTTTCTATCCTGAAACATTACTGAAGTCATTTAACAGTTCCAGTAGTCTTTTGATGGACTCTTTAGGATTTTCTAGATATAGAATCATGTCCTCAATGAAGAGAGATAGTTTGAGTTCTTCTTTTCCTATTTGGATGCATTTTAGTTCTTTCTCTTGGCTGATTTCTTTGGCCACCAGTTCCAATACTACGTTGAATAGGAGTGGTGAAAGTGGGCATCTTTGTCTTGTTCCAGTTCTCAAGGAAAGTGCTACTAGTTTTTGCCTATTCAGTATAATGTTGGCTGTGGGTTTGTCATAGATTGCTCTTATTATTTTAAGGTATATTCCTTCAATACCTAGTTTCTTGAAGGCATTTATTGTGAAGGGATATGGATTTTATCAAAAACCTTTTCTGTGTCTATTGAGATGATCACATGGCTTTTGTTTTTAATTCAGGTGAATCACATTAATTGATTTGTGTATGTTGAAATAAGCTTGTATCCCAGGGATGAAGCCCAGTTGATTATAGTGAATTAATTTTTTGATGTGCTATTGGATTCAGTTTGTAGTATTTTGTTGAGGATTTTAATGTCTATGGTAATCAGGGATATTGGCCTGTAATTTTCTTTTTTTTTTATTGTGTTTTTTCCAGGTTTTGGTATCAGCGTGATGCTGGCTTCATAGGATGAGTTAGGAATGAGTCCTGTTCCTCAATTTTTTTGAAATAGTTTCAGTAGAATTGGTACCAGTTCTTTTTGTACATCTGGTAGAATTTGGCTGTGAATCTATTTGGTCCAGTGATTTTTATCTTATTTTCTGGTTAGCAGGTTATTATTATTATTATTATTGATTCAATTTCAGAACTTGAAATTTATCTGTTCATGGCTTCAATTTCTTCCTGATTCAATCTTGGGAGGTTGTGGGTTTCCATATAATTATGTGGTTTTGAGACATCTTCTTGGTATTGATTTACATTCTTATTCCACTGTATTTCAAGAGTGTGATTGGTATTATTTCAATTTTTTAATGTATTAAGACTTGCTTTATGGCCAAGCATGCATTCAATAAAAGAGTATCATCTTTCATGTGCAGATGAGAAGATTGTATATTCTGTGGTTGATGGGCAGTGTATTGTATAGCTGTCTGTTAAGTCCAATTGGTCAAGTGTTGAGTTTAAGTTCACCATTTTTTTGTTAGTCTTCTGCCTCAATGATCTGTCCAATGCTGACAGTGGGGTGTTGAAGTCCCTTGCTATTACTGTGTTGTTGTCTATGATTTTTTGTAGGTCTAGAAGTACTTGTTTTATGAATCTGGGTGTTCCAATATTGGGAGCATATATATTTAAAATAGTCAAGTCTCTTTGTTGAATTGAACCCTTTATCATCATGTAATTCCCTTCTTTGTCCTTTTTTACTGTTGTTGGTTTAAAGTCTGTTTTATCTGATATAAAAGTAGCAACCCCTGCTCTTCTTTGTTCTCCATTTGCATGATGAATCTTTCTCCAACCCATTACTTTGAGCCTATGAGTGCTGTTGCATGTGAGAGTGGTCTTTTGAAGACAGTAGATAGAAGGGTCTTGTTTATTTATCTAACTTGTCACTCTATACCACTTAAGTGGGACATTTAGGTTATTTATATTCAAGATTAATATTGATATGTGAGATTTTTGATCCCATTTTGAAGTTATTAGCTGGATTCTTTGTAGTTTCTATTATGTGGTTGCTTTATAGCAGGGGTCCCCAACCCCCAGGCCATGGACTAATACTGGTCTGTGGCCTGTTAGGAACTGAGCTGCACAACAGTAGATGAGCAGCAGGTGAGCTTCATCTGTATTTACAGCCACTCTCCATTGCTTGCATAACTGCCTGAGCTCCAACTCCTGTGAGATCAGCAGCGGCATCAGATTCTCATTGGCGCACAAACCCTATTGTGAAATGTACATGTGAGGGATCTAGGTTGTGTGCTCCTAATGAAAATCTAATGCCTGATGATCTGTCACTGTCTCCCATTGTCCCCAGACGGGACCATCTACTTGCAGGAAAACATGCTCAGGGCTCCCATTGATTGTGCATTATAATGAGTTCTATAATTATTTCTGTATATTATAGTGTAATAATAATAGAAGTAAAGTTCACAATAAATGTAATATACTTGAATCATCCCAAAACCATCCACCCACCTCAGTCCATGAAAAAACTGTCTTCCACAAAACTAGTCCCTGATGCCAAAAAGGTTGGGTACCACTGCTTTATAGGATATGTGAACTATGTATTTAAGTGTGTTTCATGGTAGCTGGTATTGGTCTTTCATTTCCATGTTTAGAACTTCCTTAAGCATCTCTTATAATACAGGTCTAGTGGTAACAAATTCCCTTAGCACTTCCTTCTCTGGAAAATATTTTATTTCTCATTTGCTTATGGAGCTCAGTTGGTGGGACATGAAATTCTTGTATAGAATTTCTTTTTTTTTTAATTAAGAATCCTCAAAATAGTACCTCAATCTTTCCTGGCTTGCAAGATTTCTGCTAGAAGTTCACTGTTAGACTGATTGAGATCTCTTTGACCATGATCAGACTTTTCTCTCTAGCTGCCTTTAAGATTTTTTGTTCAGTGTTGACCTTAGACAGTTGGGTGACGATATGTCTTGGTGATGCTCATTTTGAATAGCAACTCACAGATGTTCTCTGGATTTCTTGTTTCTGGATGTCTACCTCTTTAGCAAGATCGGGAAAATTTTATTCATTATTTCCTCAAATATGTTTTCCAGATTGTTTACATTTTCTCCTTTTCTAACAGGAATGCCTGTTAGAAATTCTAGGTTTGGTCACTTTACATAAGGCCATATATCTTGAAGATTTATTCATTTTTTTAAATTCTTTTTTTCTTTATTTTTATCTGACTGAGTTAGTTCAAGAGACTGGTCTTCAAGCTCTGAAATTTTTTCTTCTGCTTGGTCAGTTATATTGATAAAGCTTTCAATTGTATTTTTAAATTCCTAGGCTGGGCACAGTGGTTAACATCTGTAATCCCAGTATTTGGGAGGCCAAGGCAGGCAGACAGATTGGGCTCACAAGTTGGAGACCAACCTGGGAAACATGACAAAACCCCATCTCCACAAAAAATACGAAAAAAATTAGCTGGGCATGGTGACACACACCTGTAGTCCCAGCTACTTGGGAGGCTGAGGTGGAAGGTTGGCTTGAATGCAGAAGGCAAAGGTTGCAGTGAGCCAAATCATGCCACGAAATTCCAGCCTGAGTGACAGAGCCAGACCCTGTCTCAAAAAGAGAAAGAAATTCCTTAAGTGAGCTTTCAAATTCCAGAAGCTCCAATTGTTTTCTTTTTGAGATGTTTATGTCTTCTTTATTTCCTGGATTGCTTTGGAAGTTTCTTTGTTTTGATTTTCAACCTTGTCTTGAATCTCATTGTGCTTACCTGCAGTCCATGCTTTGAATTCTTTATCTGTAATTTCTGAGTTTCCATTTTGTTTAAACACCATTGCTGGAGAACTAGTGAAATTTTGTGGTGACAATACATTCAGATTTCTCATGGTGTCAGAATTCTTATGCTGGTTCTGTCTTATCTTGAGATACTTGCACTTCTAATTTTATAATTATTTTTATGCAGTTAGGAGTTTTTAATTTTCTTTCATTTTCTATATTATTATTTTTTCTTTTCCTTGCTCTTCCTCCTACCCACCAGATGTTGTGGCTGTAGAGAATGCTGGGTAGGGTATTTTTGTTTTGCCTCTATTGAAGCAGGAAATATAAAAAGAAAAACAAGCAAAGGGAAAACAGCCTTGACCAGGCTGACTCACTCCAAAGTCCTGCTAGAGCTATGATAACATTATCTGCAAGGCCAGGCAGGGGACCCAAAGGAATAGACTCCAGGTACAAGGATGGGAAAAGCAAGTTCTCCTTATCAGTTTCCCCCTTTGGAAATCTCTCCCCATACTATCATTCTTTGCTCTGCTCTCATAACTACTTTTGTAACTGTTTCTGCAAGTTTGTAAAAGTTTTTATAAGTTCCTGTTTTTCTTTCTGTAGCATGGCAAAGTCACAAGACATGTTTAAGTGAGATAAGCTCATGTTGCAAAGCCTGTTGCAAAACCTGTCACAGTATGATTAACTGCCTTTGTTCTGCTTCTGTAAGCTCGCTTACCTGCCCTGCGGGTTTCGAGTCACTAGATGGCCAACCCTCTTTAGCTGTATGTACAAAAGTCAACCCCTGTCTTTGTTCAATGCCCAGCCTTTGGATATTAATCTGCTGAACCAGTGGCCACCTAAATAAAATCCTCCTGTTCCCCAACGCTTGTCTCTCCAGTCTCCTGATTTCTGCAACACTATAGCCCTATGCATGTCTTTTGGCAGGTTTATATTGGGCTGAGCAGTTAGACTTACAAGCCAGTAGCTAGTGCTTACAGATAAGAGCCAGCTGCACTGCAATGGTATATTCTAGATCCTTGTTTACAAGGAGAAGCTTTTGGTTGCTGCAGACAAGGGGCTGATCTGTGGAGTGCACAGTGGTCTGAGCTCCTTGCTCAGCCCTGGGTGAGGGAGTGGGGGCAAGGCTATAATGAGTGGGGCCAGACTGGGCAGATCCTCTCCACCTAGAGTTCATCAGGTGGCAAACGAGCACCAGCACTAAGGGAGAATCCAGTGGGTGGCCACCAGGTGCCCAAAGGTGTGCCTAGGCATGGAGCTTGAAAACCCCCATTGGCCCTAAATTATCTGCATGGGAATATGGGGTTGGCCTGAACTCCTAATCCAGAAGAGTAGTTGCTCAAGAGACCTGGAGATCTACCTAGGGATCAGAGAGGGGCCTCTGCCCCAAGATCTCTGCACAGGAGGGTAGGGTGACTCAGGCTGCTGAACCCAGCAAGCAGGTTCTCTGAATGCCTGGAAATCTGCCTGGGTGTGTAGCAGAGAGCCCCCCCACCACCCGCCCCACAGCAGAATCTCTACATAGGAAGGGTGGGGTGACTTGGGCTTCTGTTCCAGGCAAACGCCTGGGATCTTCCTGGGTGCAAAGCAGAGAGGACCTCCCTGTACCAGGATCTCTGCACAGGAAGGATGGAGCAGGTCAGGCTGCTGATCCAGTTGAGTAGGTGCTCTGAATGCCTGGAGATATGCCTGAGTATAGAGCAGAGAGAACCCCACTGTACTATGATCTATGCCCAGGAAGGTTAGAGCAGCTCTGGATGGTGATCTAGTCAAGCAAGTGCTCCAAATGTTTGGATGTCTGCCTGGGGATAGAGCAGAAAGGGTTCTGATGCACCACAATCTCAGAGGAGCAGGCTGGGACACGCAACAATGGCACACACCACACCAGCTGGTTCTGGGTCAGCAAGCTGGCCCCTTGCTCCTAGTCTTGGCACCCAGGAGAAACTGTAGCTGTAGCAGCTCTCCTCCCTCCCCACCTACTGCTGAGGCACTTTCCACAATTCTGGCTGTAGAGGCCCCTACCCCACTCCAGAGCAGGTGGTTCAATCTCTGGCTGGTGACTAAAATGCCTGAGTAGCCACATTGTTGGATCACCAAGAATGACTGACATTGCATGCACTCAAATTTAACAGGATGTCCTGCTCAGTCCCAGGTCAGGGAAAAACTCTTCAGCTTTTCCCCTTGTTTTTCCCTCACAGTATCTACAAGCCTCTCTTCAAGTTAGCTCCATGGTTTCGGAGAAACAAAGTGCTCTCCCCTGAGTTGCTTGGGTCCCCAGTGAAAAGGTGAGCACAGAGGGAGGCTCCCTGCCTCTCTCATGTACTGGGCTTCCACTCACTTTTATCAGCCAGACATTGTCATGGGGGCTGGGTGCTATTGCTCTACTCCCTGGGGTCTGGGGTATCCTTCACAATTCTGGTGGCTTCCCATTTTCCTTCTTGAATGAAAACTCAGGGTTCATCTTCATGCACTATTTTGCAATTTCCAGGTGGCTGAGGCACACTAAAAGCCTCTAATCCACCATCCTGTGAAAAAACTGGTTTTACAATAAGCTTTGACAAATGTTAAATATCATGATAGTATGTAGTTAAGTGGGATTTCAGTCAATACTTTATTTATTTGGATACTCGCAAGGTTTAGGAACATCTTGGAATGGGAAGAATTATTTTTATTTATCTTATATTGTTTTAGCAGAGACCCTAAACAAGCAAATGATCTGCATCATTTTACTGAACATGTCACATTATAACAGCAGATTAATTCACAGCTGACAATAAACACTCAGGGCAGCTGTAAGAAGCCTTCACTACAATGTCCAAACAACCATATATGACATTATGCATTAATATTGCAAAGCCTGGAAGTAACACTTTTCATAATAAAATAGTCCTTTTACCCAGAAAACAAATCACATGGAAATGTCATAATGTTCCGGAAAAAAATTCTGTACATGATTATGGGTATATATTGAGGGTGACCAAACAAAAGAAAAATAGTTTGTCATCTTTGTTGCTGACAGTTGACTCAGGTAGAAAGAGAGCTTTTGAAAAATAAAATTAGAGCAGAAATATGGTTAATGTTTTTAATTTGTTTAGGCTGTGAGTGGCTTCAATCTAACTGGGAGATTCAAGCATGCACATGAAATTCGCATTTACCTGCAAGGGTATCAATAGAAGAAATATGCACCTATTTTATCATAAATGTTCCTTCTCCTGTGCACCCTTAGAAGAGGAAAAGGACATTCAATTTCACTGAGAAAACAGCTGCAACCACAGTAGTGAGAGTGCTGTGCCCTTGGTTATAATTTTTGCTCTAAGTTCACTGTGTGATTTGAGCCAGGCATTGCCATGTTTCAGGAATTCAACCAAACACCTCAGATTCTGATCAGTGAGAAGAATGCAATTTGCTCCTTTTTACCCTTACAGGAATATTGTGATGTTTTGAGATATGATGTCTGTTAAGTGCTTGCTTAGAAAGCAAGTGATTTATAAACACTGATCTTAGAGAAGAAAACGTAGGCTCTTGACAGTCACAAGAAAACTCAATGACAGATCTTGCTCTTTTCAAAATGCAACCCAATATATTTCCTTTTAATCAGAAAATAAAAAGCTTATTTTTCTTAAAGGAGTGCACATTTAAAGAAGAAAAAGAGTTAAGAATAAAACTCTGAAAATTCTTAAAAGGCACCCTATCACCATCTGTAGCTATGTTAAAGAATTTATTTGAGAAGTATATATTATTATACTATGGTGCAATTATTACTTAATTTTTATGCACTCATAATTATATGTACATATATTCACATACAGACACACATAGGAATATCTATCTATCTAGCTAGCTAGCTAGCTATATACACACACATACAGGTTGGCACCCCTAATCTGAAAATACGAAATCTGAAATGGTCCAAAATCTAAAACTTTTTGGGTGCTAACAGGATGCCACAAGTGAAAAATTACATACTTATTTAAAACAAATTTTGTTTCATGCACAAAATTATTAAAAATATGGTATACAATTATATTCAGGCTACATGTATAAGGTTCATATGAAACATAAATGAATTTTGTTTTTAGACTTGTGTCTCATCCGCAGCATATCTCATTATGTATATGCAAATATTCTGAAATTTGAAAATCATCCAAAATCCAAAACACTTCTCATCCTAAGAATTTGGATAAGGGGTACTCAACCTGTATATAATAGATGATAGATAGATAGATAGATAGATAGATAGATAGATAGATAGATAGATACACACACATATATATATGTGTGTGTGTGTGTGTATGTGTATTAAATATAATCCTGAATATGGTTAGATGTGGTGGATGAACTTATTTTTTATGCTGTTTTGATTTAAACAACTTCAGAACTCCCTCCATTTTGATAGGTAGACAATTTTTTTTGTAAATTACCTTTCTAGCTAAGCATTCACATGTCTCAGCAGCACAGAATATATAACCATATACAACCCAATTTCCTGCAAAATAATGCATATTACTTTTTCTTTTAAATTTATTAGGGATTCCTGTTTAATTATTTTACTTAGGACATGTTATAAAGCAGGAGTCTTTCCCACAAATAGAATGCAAGACAATACTTTTCATCAAGGTTCAGGGGAGAGTCTTTTGCTTGCCAGTTTCTACAGTTTTAAGTTTATAGTCAAACACTCTATTCCCAGACAGATCCTCTTTCTCTTATTGAGTTATTTTCAAAGTCTGAATATTTGCTGTATTTTTGTTATTTGAACCCAGGGACACCAATATTTCAAAGTCATATCATTCAGTTTGGTACTAGAGTCAGAATGTTGTCTAATGAAGAAAAGAATGCATTTATGCTAAAATAGAAAATGTTAATTAATATCGTTCAGAGGCCAGGATGCCAATCAGGAAAGATGGCAGTAATTCTGATCTGCCTTCTTCTCATATCGTCTTCGCCCCTTCCCTAACTCATTTTTTAATGCAGGTAATTGAAGAGTTTTTAATTATATTTTCTAATTAATGAAATATGTTAGGAAAAGGTACAGAGTATATCGATTTCCTCCAACCTTAATAGTTTGAAAGTTCCCTGAGTTTGTTTACTGAAAACATTCCCAAGAAACCTGGAAAAATCAAGACATTGCACAGCCCCCCGACTTGAGCCTCAAAACTGTGATACGCAGTGATAGCTTTCCCAAACCTGACACAGCTTCCTTCTGTCAGGAAGGAAGGATTCTTTGCCATCAGCTGGAAAGGCAGATTCCCCAAAGGTTGAGACAAGTAGGGGAACAGTTGTATCTTCTCTGTCCCTGGAGGGGTAGGATGTTCCCAAGGATAAAGGGGCAAGTGAAGCTGAGAAACCCTACCTTTTGCATAGAAGTTCTAAGAAGTTCAGAACACTTAATACATCATGAAGCTAATGCTGGAAGGCAAACTGAATTGCCCACATTCCTGCTTTCAGTTAGGTCATAGGAGGATATGAGGTACCTTACAATCTGCAATTAACTTCCTCAGAACACTGGGGTATCATTGAGCCTACTGCAGCAGCAATTTGCTAAATGGTACTCCAGTGATCAGAAAGAGTGAGTGCAGTACCCCATGTGCTAACTTATTCCCAGGAAGTCATTAGCACACTGAAAGAATCCAGCTGATTAGAGCCCATTTATCCCTCAATGTACTAGACATGGCAGAGCACATACAGTCGATTTTATGGCTTCAAAATCCAAGTGAGACAAAACAGCAGAGACATAGAAGTTGGAAACCAGAAGCCAGAGACAGTAAGGGAAGTACGATTTAAAGATTTTTGTGATAAGCCATGTTTTTTCCAATGTATTAGGCATTAGATTGCTGTAATGTGGAGTTATATATCTAAAGTTTCCTGATGCTTGAGAAAGTTAACTAGAAGTCTAACTAATGCACATAATTCAATGCCAAAAAAGAACAAGCTTGATAACATTAGTCCTCCTTACTCCTGATAATTGTAGTTCAATAGAGCTTTCAAAACTCTGAAATAATCCCATATAATGCATTTGCCGAACATTTAAGAGGGATTAATAATAGCACCAATGTTCAAAAACCAGAGAAGTAGTATTTATAAATTTACTTCCCTGTTCTATTTGCTTGTCTTTATACTTAAGTTAATATTGTACTATTCTATGTATTGCTTTTTTATGGCAAACACATTATGTAAAACTATGTTTGAAAAGTCTTTTTTAAAAAAACCTAATATAAGGAAAAAGGATATGAGATAACCAGTCCTACGCCGTGTGTGGCTCTATAAAGAGTCCTTGAAGAATATGTAATGTAAATATTATTCCATTTATCAAGTTATATACAGTGCTCATAAAAGCTGGAAAATATTTATTTTCAGGGGAACATTATTTTAAACTTTGTTATGCTTGCTGCTTCAGAATTAGCTATAAGCTTGAAAAAAATGTCAATTATTTAAATTGGACAACCTGTTATGGCAAAGGAAATGCTACTGAGTGTGCAGTTGTGATAGGAGGGTAATTTAATATAACTGCCCACAAATTTTTTTCTGAAAAGCTGAAAAACAATTCACATGGTCCCAATAAAAAAGTTCCTCTTCTGGACAGTAGAAAACATTTATTCTAGAAAAGCATTTTTGTCTGAACTACGCTAGAGAATGACACCGACACCAAAATGAGATCTAGAGTCATGCTTCATTTTTCTTTGTTATATTAATAAAAGAAAATGAAGAATTACAATATAAAATGAAGAATTTCAATATCAAGCAGGAAGTTAGTGATACCACTATCAGTCAATAGGGAAGCTTTTCTTTTATCTCTGTTTGTAATACAACATCACTGTTACTGCAGTTGAATGCTCAAATGAGCTGTAAAACTTATTTACATAAAGACAATACTTTCTATACTGTAGTCAAAGTGAGGGAAGTAGAAAAATAGAGAAGAAAATGGGAGACAAATGAGTTAAACAATGGCTACATCTAGTGAAATAGCCCTAAGAAAATAGTTAACATACCTAATTATGTTAGCGTGGTTTTCACCTTATGATTTGATTGTCAAGACCAGTCTTCAGGAGGTGGGTGGGCATATTCTGTGTTCTGAGATTTGCCAACAGATGAACTAGCCTTGCAATCCTGTTGACACAGGGACAGAAGTTGGGATCTCAGACTGGATAATGATGAGCCTTCCTGGGGGCATGTAAGACTGAAATACATTCCAGATAGCATCCATAGAATAATCTTATATAATGCTCCCCCAAAACCTCATAATATCAAAACTGTATTTAGGGTTGCCACAGTCATAAGGCAAAAGAATAATATATATATTGCTATCTCATTTTTACTAAATACAGAGAGCCTTTTATATTTGGGGTATTTTCTGATTTACAGTGTACCAAACTCAAAATTAGTAAGACAAACACTTTAAGGAATTCACAGTGTTTCAGACTAAAAATCCAAATACATAGCTAAAGAATCACAATATAAGGCAGAAGTAGCAGCAAAATCTACAGTTAGAAAATGTTCTGTACATGGCTTAAAGGGATTAAGATAAAAACGTGGTAACCACACTTAGTGGTAAGGGCATGCATGGGGTTTGGAGTCAGAAGGATCTAAGCTAAATTGTGTTCTTTCTAGTGATAATGATTAGTGATTGAGGAAGATGACGATGATACTGATAATGAGGAAATAAACCTATTAGGATCAATTACTATCATGTTGGAATAAAAACAAAAACAGAAGAACCTTATAAATTAAGTGCCCAATTGTATGGGTTATCCAGCTGTACACTTGTCAGGGAAAAATCCCAACCTCACAGAGAATGACAAGGAGTAAACCTGCCACAACTCTCTAGGTGACAAAGTAGACAATGAGATAAGGACAGTTTATTACTTACAGTTAAGCAAACACTGCAAGTATTGGAATGGCAATGCCACTTCCTCTTGCCCTCCAATCCCACAGGGTGACATCATGAGCCCAGATGGAGGTTATGCATCTACTGCACTGAACCACAGTCAAGGAATCTGGGACCCTGTGTCTGACACATTTTATGGCAACCAGCATACAAGCCTGGGAAGCAAGCCCTTGCCATGTTGACATGCTCTGGTCACTTTTACCTAAGCAGTTACTTACATGACTAGCTACTGAAGCTGCCTGGCATCTGGAGATGATAACCCTTGTCATCTGGCACACTGAACAAGGAGGTCTATGGATGCTCAGGGTCCATGTTGGACTGCCTTTCTAAACACTTGGGTTAAACAGGTATGGGTCATTTTTTATAAAAATATTTTGAAGACATAGAAAGTAAAATAAAATTCTAGATTTGATGTTTCCTTAAACATGACTGTGAGGGGAGAGAGACAAAAAATATTATAAATAAGAAGAAAAAGCAGGTGGCAGTAGAGGAATAAAAATGGGATGTAAGTAGGTAAATGGTAAAAAAGAAAACAAAAACGACAGATTCTTGCAGAGTTTCTCAACCTTGGCACACTGACATTTTGAATGTAAGCACAATGACATTTTGGTCCAGGTAATTCTTACTTTAGAGGGCTTTCCAGTGCATTTTAGGATGTTTAACACTCACTACATACTTGTAGCTCCCCTCTCCCAGTTATGACAACTAGAAATGTGCCCAGACATTGTCAAATATTCCCTGGAGGGAAAAGCTGTCCCTGGTTAAGCACCATTGGGTTATACACAAAAAACAAAGCAAAACCAAACAACAAAATAGAAAACCAGAATGAAAGTAAAACAAAACAAAATAAATAAAAACAGATTTTAAAACAAAATTGTCAATCCCTTTCTTTATGCCAGGCACTGGGCTAAACCCATTAAGTAAATTATTTTGCTTAATATAGGACTACTCTTATAGATGTGCTGTTATTATTACTGCTGTTTTAACTCTGAGAAAATAGAAACTCTTACAGTTTAAGTAATTTGCACAAGATGGCATGTGTAACTGATGCAGTTTCCTAACGCTTTGCAAATCTGACTAGGAGATAACACAGTTCACTAACTGCTAGTTGCAGAATTGGGACAGCAAAGCTATCTGATGCCAAAGTATCTGTCCCTCACTAACCTATTTGAAAGAATTAAAATCACCAAATGTGAGGCAGGAATCTTTCTCTGTCACCACCAGAAAAGACACATTAGAAAGGGAGGGTTGCTGAGAAACATGCCAAAGCAATTACCTCCTTAGTTTTTCTAAAGTGCCTATCATTATGAAAAAATAAAATTCTGTGAACTAAAACAAAAGCTAGAGATACATTTCTTTTTTTCTGTATTATTTTGAAGCCCAATAAGGAAATGATAACATAGCTAAGACCAATCAAAGAACGCTACACAGAATTGTTTTTGCAACATATCTCTTCGAAAGTGTAGATTTTCCCAAACATTCCCACACTTCAGAAAAAATGGAAAAAAAAGGATTACTAAAATTTCTATTGACACATTTGCTAAAAATAGCATGCAAATAAATAATTGGACTCCTAACCAGTGTTATAAAGCTGGATTTACCTTTTAGTTGATACTATATTCCTTTGCAGAAATCATTGTGTGGTACATTCTGAAGGAAACTAATGACTTGCAGAAACTCACAGAGTTGAACTTTGTTGTTTAGTAATAAAACAAGCCCAAATTTATTTTTTAGCCACTCTGATCAATGTCAGGCTTAACCACAACGTATAAGCAGGGCTGATCTAAGTATCTGTTCATTACATTGCAAGACTCTGAGATCTGAGCAGAATGATCTGAGAGATAGCCTGACATAAAATGTAAGGCTGATCAGAGTGTTCCTCCACTACTGCATTTACTTAGTCATGAAATTCTAAGTCTTCTGGGATGTAGAGCATCACTTGACATTTTATGGGGTTCTCGTTAAAATATTGCCCTCAGAAAATGCAATTAGAGAAACAAAACAAAACAATGCAGACCTTCATAAATATAAATACTGATTTTGTCATTATAATATATAGCTTTGCTTTCTGCTGGTATGTATTTTAAATATGTTATTAAAATATATTATTGTCACCATTAACAATTTTCAGTTTAGCAACTAATATAGTACATGTAATATTGGAGTGATCATTCCAAACCACCTGGCAATGCAGTGATTTCAGGAACTTCCTATAACTATTTTTTACCTTTTAGTTTGTAGTATTATTTTTAAAAATCTCCTTTTAATAAAGATGTTCATGTCTTTCCTAAAATTAGAAGAATAAATGGGAATATATAATGATAAAAAAGTTATCAGGGAGATTGAAGAGTAACCTTTACTCCTGGTTTAATTTTGATTGATTTTCTCTTTGACTATTTTCCATTTAAAATAAAAAAAAGTTAATGTTTTTCTTAAGAAATTCAAAGTACTCTTATTAAGATGTCAAGTGTTTAGACCACACTAGGTCTATAAAAATATATAGGATAATTTTCTTGAATTTATAGTAATGTTATTTTTAGTAATGTTAAATTAACATTTGCATTTCATGGTATAAAAATTGCTTTTGTTCTTTGTACAGTACTCAGTGTCATTCTCTTTTTGTCAAAAAGTAAATTAAATAGCTCAGAGAGGCTTTGTGCAGAAGTGTTTGCTCCTTTATTATGTTTAGAGGGTTGGGAATATAGATATTGCCTTTCTTTGCAGAAGGCAGTATAATAACTCTGACAAGAATATAAGCAGAGCTGTTAGCAAAGGCTAAATGCAAATAACATGGCTAAAGTCCTGGCTAGGGAATAACTATCACAAGTGTGATCCACTATGACCATGAGTTTCAGGTTTTATATGTATTACTTCTAATCAAAGAAGGGTATTGATAAAGTTTTAAATTTTAAATAAACTCTCTTGCATTTGTCTTCTTCACTATTTAGAACTGGACAAGCAAACCAGCTTTCTTTCACTTCTTAAACCCTGATTAATGATTTATCAATGGTTTAACAAAAGGAAGCTTTATTTTAATTCAGTAAGACTCTAATATCTCTTACCATTACATCTAAAAATACCTATAATAAATTAACTGAAACAAATCCAGTTTTGTGGCTTTATTTTCTCTATAGTCACATGGTATTACATGTAATGTAAGGCAAAGTTTCAGAAGATCTGACATCGAGGTTTTGAGTATATGACTTTTTCTCCAATTATTTCACCTACTTGATCTTTTCTTCACTTTTATTTGCAGATATAGAACTAACCTACTAGATAGGCATGTAATATTATTGATTATTGAACCTGGGACTTTTATAAAAAGTGATTTATTGTTTGCTCTTAATAATAATAAATAGTCATATCTTTATAATATTTAGACTAGAATTTTTTCATCCATTATAAAAATAAAGTTTTTCTCATATTATCTTCAAGACTTATTTTATCTTATCCTTAAATAATAACTCTTGAAAGTTTATTTAGGTCCTATTGATATCAAACATCATTTTGGGAAATAATCTATGGGATCATTTCATGACCTATTTTTTTCATGTCACAAACATTCATACTTCATATTTTGTCAAAGTCAAGCCAGTGGAAGGGAGAAAATATATGCTGAAGAATGCGACAAATTAATTATTAATTAATACCTGGTTCCCCAACTGGATTGTCAAATGTTCAAATCACTTGAAGAAATCTTGAGTTTAATTCTCATAATACACAGAGCCAGTCAAATCCCAAAGGCAACTAAAAGTTGTCCAACATATAAAAACAGTTATAAAAATTTTTAAATAGAAAACGAACAAATTAATGAATCTCCTAAGTAAGTTAAATTTCATGTCCTTTACTAACTACTAGTTTTTTGTTTGTAAACGTTTTGAAAAAATGTAGAATTTTAGGAGCCTCTTCAAAACAGCACGTGTTTTCCCAGGAACTTCCATGTACCTCCGATACTTAAAGAACATCTGTAGTACAATAGCTTAGTGGAGAACTCTTCTTTGGTGCAAGAGTTTGATACTTTGAATGTAAGAACTTCCTCAATGAGTATTAATTGAATGAGTGTGTATGAGTGTATGCATGTGTGTCTGTGTGTAAGTAAAGGGGATTGGAAAAAGAAAGAATAATTGAAGGAACAATTAACTAGGCACCTATTATGTGCCAAGAATTCACAGCATTCTAGGAAAAAATAATTATTGCCATTTTAACTTGTAAAACACAGTTGTCATCTTTAAAATATTAAACATACTATGCTCAAGACCCTCATGTCTGGTGCTTCAAGTGGCACAGGCGATGTGTAGGAAAAACCCATCTATCCTTCACTCCCTCCAGAGCTCTAGATATAGAAGTGCCATATTGGTTTTCTTCAATGATTATCTGTAAGTAAAACAAGCAAAAATATATTCTAATCTTCCCAACACTATAACTCTAAGCATTTTTACAAATCAATTTATGCTAACTTTATTACTTTTGAATATAAGCTTACTGAAATATTACTTTTTTATACTCAGTAAAATAGTGCTAGTTTTGAAACAATGTCACTTACTGCCTTATTAGATCAAGAAGGTCAAGAGAAATGATAATATTCTGTGAGAGAAATGTATGTGATTTTTCTTATTCAGTATAAAAATATAGCTTTAAACATTACTTAACTAAGAACAAATTCATAGAAACTATACTGCCAGGAATAGTAGATAAACCTTTATAAGGGCCAAAATGGCATGTACCCAGGAGAAAATCACATTGATCATAAGCATTTGGAAGCAAAAATTGTGGGACAATTTTAATTCCACTTTTAATTGGAGGTGACAGTGATTCTCTCTGATTGCCTTTTCATTCTAGAGCTTTTGTTTGTTCAGTTTTAAAGATTTAGATGTTCATTCTTATTTTGTATCCCAGTGGTATTATAGTTTTAAATCTGTGCTTAAGTTTTATTTTTCTTGTTTTGATATATCCACCCAGCTGAGCTATGGTACTGGTTCACCGTAAATCACAGTAGGAGGAATAAAATCGAAAGGTTCTTAATAAATGAAGTTCATATTTCTTGTCTGTACACTTGTACAAAAAGGAATCCGAAGCTTTAAAGGAAATCGTATGTCACTTACAAACTTTCTATGGGGCATACTTAACTTACTGGGTAAACGATATCTCTAAAAAGTTATTTAGTAAGTATTCTTTGTTTTTAGTTCAATATTTATGATCCACTATATTCATGGATTCAGAAAGTATCTTCCATGTTAATCAGGAAAGAGTTGCCTTTTAGACATCCTTAAAGGAAAAGTAGATAATAGCCCAGGGACTCAGTAATAAAAATTGCCCAATGTTCAAACAAAGTATTCAAAGAAATCAGTTTGAGGCACCCAATATTGGGTTACCAACTCTTATCTTGGGAGCAAATCCACTGTCTATTATTTACTTTCTTAGCTTTTTCTTTATATTGAAGACTTATGCCCTCTCCTCTTTGCTGCTGCATACATACAACTTTCCCTTCACCCCTTCATGGCTTTTTTTATTCTATAGGTATAAATTTGTTTCACCAATGTTGATGCCAATTGTGGATAATTTCCCTAGGAAATAAAAATAATATTTAATATTTTTAAAATTTCATTCTTATGGGACAAGTGAAGAAACTGAGGCAAGATAACAATATTAGAAAATGCCTATCACACATTTTATTTATTTATTTATTTATTTATTTATTTATTTATTTATTTATTGAGATGGAGTTTCGCTCTTGCTGCCCCGGCTGAAGTGCAATGGCACAATCTCAGCTCACTGAAACCTCTGCCTCCGGGTTCAAGCACTTCTCCTGCCTCAGCCTCCTGAGTAGCTGGGATTACAGGCACCTGCCACCGTGCCTGACAATTTTTTGTATTTTTTTAGTAGAGACAGGGTTTCACCATGTTGGTCAGGCTGGTCTTGAACTGCTGACCTCAGGTGATCCACCCACCTTGGCCTCCCAAAGTGGTGAGATTCCAGGCGGGAGCTACCATGCCTGACTCACACATTTTATTTATAATTACAGTTTGCCCTAGATTTCATTTCTGTTAAGTCCCACTCAAATTTTGCTATCCCTTTCTACACTAGTACTTAAAGTTACTAATAAAAGTGATCGTCATCAGAATTATGTACTCTTTGTAGGGTGGATTGTCGGAGTGGACAGAGAGTACTATCCAAATTCCTGGAAAGGTAGATTAAAATAACCTTCTAGATATTTTAGATGTGCCACCCTTGAGGAGTGATGCTCTTATCCTCATTGCCAAGGTCTTAGATAAAACAACCACCATCCATTTCCCATATGATTTTAAAATCTTCTTAACTATTACTCCTGCCTTTAATCTTTTTCTAATTTGACCCACACCTTCCTCAACAGCATAAATTGCTTTATAATGACTCAATCACTTATTGTGATTTAATTGCATTCCACAACCATCAATGGCATTCTCGATTTTAACTATGATTACTTAATTTTGATTGAACTTTGCCCTCTATTACTCACAGATATCCTACTCATAAGCATCTGTTCAAAAGCATTTTCTTGCTTCATCATGTAACACATAGCTTCATCGGTGCTATAGTAACACAGTAGGTCATGCATTTGTGTTTTAGAAAACTGTGGCATTATAATTACCTGTTTATTCCAAAGTCAAAAATAGACCCTGCCTCTTGTACATATGTGAATTACCTATATTTATTACTATATCTAAGGAAGTATAAGATGTGAAGAAAAGTTTATTTTCTTAGTAGTTATTTGGTGCTTGAATTCTCTAGAAGTGGAAGATGAATGTTGTTGCAAAGAAGCTTTGAGAAGTCCTCTGACAATAGAAGGTGGTCCAAGGTTGGATTTGCATTATATTTTATACAGAAGTGACTTTGCATAAAAAAGAAGCTGACCACTTGGAATAAGAGCCACTGGATGGTGGCTATAGAGACTTTAGACAAAACAGAAATATCTATTGGGGATTAATTAAATAACTATCTTTGTAGTAAGCAATGTTCTGCTCCTAAGATATTTTTAGTAAGTTCTGCCGGCTTACTTACTGATATTTTATGGTGAATATGAAGAAGCACTGTTTTTTCTAAGTGAAGTCAAAGTGAGAACTCTGAACTTTTTTCAACTTTTTCTATCTCTATGAGTGTAAAAAAGAAGAATGAAACTGGGCAAAAATTGCTGAATATGTATATTGCAGCAGTTTACAGGCATACCTCATTTTATTGTACTTCCCTTTATTCCACTTCAAAGATACTGAATTTTTTATGAATTGAAGATTTCTGGCAACTCTGTGTAGAGCAAGCCTGTCTGCACCATTTTTCCAACAGCATATGCTCACTTTGTAGTCTCTGTGTCCCATTTTGGTAATTCTCATAATACTTTAAACTTTTTCATTAATATTTATTATGGTAACCTATGATGGGTGAGCTTGGATGTTGCTACTGTAATTGTTTGGGTGCTCCATGAACCTCACCTCTATAAGACAGCAAAATTAATCAATAAATGTTATGTGTGTTCTGACTGTTCCACCGACTGGCTGCTTCCCATCTTTCTCTCTCTCTCTTTGGGCCTCCCTATTCCATGAGTCACAGGAATATTAAAATAAGGCCAATTAATATGCCTATGATGGCCTCTAAGTGGTCAAGTGCAAGGAAGAATTGCACATCTTTCATTTTAAATCAAAAACTAGATTAAGCTTGCTGAGGAAGTCATGACTCAAGCTGAGATAGGCTGAAAGCTAGGACTCTTGCACCAATCAGTTAGCCAAGTTGTGAATGCAAAGTTCTTAAAGGAAATTAAAAGTACTAGTCCAGTGAATATAAGAACGATGAGAAAGTGAAACAGCCTTATTGCTGATATAGAAAGCTCTAATTGTCTGGATAGATCAAACTGGCCACAATATTCCCTTAAATCAAAGCGTAATTCAAAGTGAGGCCTTAACTCTTTAATTTTATGAAGACTGAGAGAGGTGTGGAAGCTGCGAGAGAAAAATGTGAAGCTAGCAGAAGTTGGTCCATAAGGTTTAGGGAAAGAACTTGTACCATAACATTAAAGTGCAAGGTGAGGCAGCTAGTGCTAATATAGAAGTTGCAGAATAGTGTCCAGAAGATCTACTTAAGATAACTGATGAAGGTGGCTACACTAAACAACAAATTTTTCAATGTAGATAAAACAGCATTGTATTGGAAGAAGATACCATCTAGGACCTTGATAGCTAGAGATAATATTTCAAAGCTTCAAGGGACAGGTTGACTCTCTTGTTGTCCCTAATGCACCTGGTGACTTTCAATTAAAGCTAATGCTGACTTACCATTCCAAAAATTCTAGGACCCTTAAGAATTATAATAAATCTACTCTTCCTGTAATCTATAAATGGAACAACAAAACCAGGATGACAGCTATCTGTTTATAGCATGGTTTACTGAGTGTTACAAGCCTGCTGTTGGGACCTACTTCTCAGAAAAAAATATTATTTGAAAACGTTAATGCTCATTGAAGATTCACCATATCACTGAAGACCTCTGATGGAGATGTACAAAGATACATCCTGCTAACATAACATCCATTCTGCAGCCCATGGATCAAGGAGTAATTTCAAGTCTTATTATTTAAGAACTACATTTTGTAAGGCTATAGCTGACATGGATAGTGATTCCTCTGATAAATCTGGGCAAGGTAAGTTGAAAACCTTTTCAAAAGGATTCACTATTTTTGATCATTAAGAATATCTATAATTCATGAGAAGAGGTCAAAATATCCATATTAACAGAGATTTGGAAGAAGTTTACTCTAGCTCTTGTGGATGACTTTGAGAGGTTCAAGACTTTATTGAAGTAAGTAACTGTAGATGTGGTAGAAATAGCAAGAGAACTATTAATAGAGCTAGAAGTGGATGGAGCTTGAAGTTGTGACTGAATTACTGCAATCTCATGATACAACTTTAATGGAGGAGAACTTACTTCTTATGGATAGGCAAAGACAGTGTTTTTTTGAGATGTAGTCTACTCTTGGTGAAGATGCTGGGAACATTGTTGAAATGGCAACAAAGAATGGAGAATATTATATAAATTTAGCTCATAAAGCAGCAGCAGGATTTGAAAGAATTGAGTCTTAATTTGAAAGAAGCTTTACTGTGGGTGAAATGCTATCAAAGAGCATTGCATCCTACAGAGATATCTTTTGTGAAAGGAAGAGTCAATTGATACAGCAAACTTCACTGTTGCCTTAGTTTATGAAATTGCCACAGCCAACCCAATATACACCACTCACCACCCTTATCAGTCAGCAGCCTCAATTTAAAGGCAAGACCCTCCACCAGCAAAAAGACTAGGACTGAGTGAAGGTTCAGAAGATCACTAGCATATTTTAGCAATAAAGTATTTTTAATTAAGGTATGTACATTGTTTTTAGATAATGCTATTGCACACTTAATAGACAATAGTAGAGTGTAAACATAACTTTTTTATTTATGGGGAAACAAAAAAAATTGTGTGAATTATTTTATTGTGTTGGACTAGAAATGAAGCCACACTATCTCTGAGGTGTGCAGGTAGCACTTTTAATTTTCTAGGACATATAACTAAAGGAAAAAAACATTTTATGGATTTTTGGCCAGATTTGGGACAGACTTCCTCATCCTGGGTAAAATTTCTGCAGCACAGTAGCAATAATTTGAGTATGTCAGCAGTACTAGTAGCCTAAATGCTCAAAAGTTTGCCAAAAAGGAGAATAATTAATAAATTGAAAAAGTAACAGCCTAAGCAAGCCCAGAGTTCTCCAATTTGATACATACATATACCCCCAAAAAATTACAATATTAGGTATTAGCTACCTTTTATTTGGCACTTACCCTGTTATATCCACAACACTAAACATTGCACACATGTTCCTTAATCCTTATAAAAATCGCACAATGTTATTTTTCCTGCTTTACACATAAGATAACTGAACATGAAATAAACCAAATATCATACAAGACCAAATATCATACAAGTGGCAATGTAGGAATTCTAATAAAAATTCCTTCTAACAGGCTTATTGGATTTTGATAGTTATGTTTGTAATCCCCACAAGTTAACTACCAATTGGTAGTGATTGGGTAAGCTCCCCTAGGGTTCTTTCAGAAATGACATAGAGTAGAGCACAATTTTACTGATAAATATAACAAATTCAGGAAGATGGCCTCTTCAATAAAGAAAAAATAAACATTTTTTTTGAAAAAAATTAGCAAATGTAATAGCTTTTCTTCCTTCAATTACCTAAAAATATGTTTGCATATATTTTGACGTGTCTCAAAACATTGTATTACAGTAATCATGTGTGTTTTCTTTGTGACTCTTTATTCCTTATTTCCCTTCCCTTAGTTGCTTAGGTAAGCCAAGACTGTTGAAAGGCTGGAAGAATAAATTTGATGGCCTTGGTTTCCTAGTATTCTCCATTTTTTAAATTACAAAATATAAACTTGTGTGAAGCCAAGAGAAACTTTCATTTGAATTCCCCAGTAATTATTTCAACTGAAAATTTTATCATAATAGCTTTACTAGATTTAACACAAATTTATGTGTGATTTACTTTGTAAAAGCTGGAAAATATTGGCCACTATGCTTAAAATGGTTTTTTAAAATGTAGGTAAGATTGATTGAGGGTGTACAACTGATCATTGACAAAAACAGCTAATAAAGGAAGGATTATCAGAAAAAGTCTAGAACATAAGCTACACAAGAGTATGTTCTTATTACAGCAGATACCACCAGTTTGCAAAGCATTTCACACATAAAAACCAGTTCAGTCAAGCTCAGACATCACCACTGCCTCAGAAGGGAAGGGATAGCCTTTTTGATATTGATTCAATTGTGCCCACTTACTGCAATCAGTGGTTAGTGAAATTCCAAATACTCAAATCTAGTCCTTTAGAACCAGTGCTATTAAGTCATAATCTAAATTATAACTTCTGTGGTGATTGCTTCACACTTTGATTACAGGTTGCACTATGAGAAGACAGTGATACAGGTGTTAAATGATTATTCTAATGGACTCTCCATGAAGCGTTTGGCATAATGGGGCAGATGTGGTCCAGAATATCTTAGAATTTCTTCTGTATTTTCAAATAATGCCAGGAAATGCATTTTTAAAGTTTTTTTAATTCCTTTGTGGGATAAGTAATCTCTTCAGTTATGCATTTTTGTTACTGTAGATTTCAGAGTAATTTTATCAAAGCAAGTGTAGCATCCATCTTCATAATTAAAATTACTAAAAAAAATTGTATCTAGAATGCATCACACCTTAGAAGCAAGGTGAAACAGTCAAAAACATATTCACTTCCCAAGGCAATTATTTTCTCCAAATGTAATTGACCATTTATGCCCCTCAAATAATTTGAATATGCAAAATTATTTCAAAACTCATAAGAGGGAAATGCAAGAGATTTACAAATTTCAGTCTTTCATTTTTTTTTTTTATTATACATCTTGATATGGTTTGGCTGTGTCCCCTTTTAAATCTTGACTTGATTGTATCTCCCAGAATCCCCACATGTTGAGGGGGAAGTAATTGAATCATGGTGGTTGGTCCTTCCTGTGCTATTCTCGTGATAGTGAATAAGTCTCATGAGATCTGATGGGTTTATCAGGAGTTCCTGTTTTTGCTTCTTCCTCATTTTCTCTTGCTGCCATGATGTAAGAAGTACCTTTCACCTCCCATCATGATTCTGAGGCTCACGTGGGCAAGGCCTCCCACGTGACTTGCAGCCACGTGGAACTGCAAGTCCAGTTAAACCTCTTTTTCTTCCCAGTCTCAGTTATGTCTTTTTTGGCAGCATGAAAAAAGGACTAATACAGTAAATTGGTACCAGGAGTGGGGTGTTATGAAAAGATACTCAAAAATGTGGAACCAATTTTGGAACTAGGTAACAGGCAGAGGTTGGAACAGTTTGGAGGGCTCAGAAGAAGCAGAAGAAGAAGGAAAAATGTTGGAAAGCTTGGTACCTCCTAGAGACTTGTTGAATGGCTTTGACAAAAATGCTGATAGTGATATGAACAATAAAGTCCAGGCTGAGGTGGTCTCAGATGGAGATGAGGAACTTGTTGGGAACTAGAGCAAAGATGACTCTTGTTATTTTTTAGCAAAGAGACTAGTGGCATTTTGCCCCTGCCATAGAGATTTGTGGAACTTTGAACTTGAGAGAGATGATTTAGGTTATCTGGCAGAAGAAATTTCTAAGCAGCAAAGCATTCAAAAGGTGATTTGGGTGCTATTAAAAGCATTCTGTTTTAAAAGGAAAACAGAGCATAAAAGTTCAGAAAATTTGCAGTCTGACGATGCAGCAGAAAAGAAAAATCCATTTTTAGAGGAGAAATTCAAGACGGTGGCAGAAATTTGCATAAGTAGAAAGGAGCTTAATGTTAATCCCCAGCCATGGGGAAAATGTCTCAGGGCATTTCAGAGATCTTCTCGGCAGCCCCTCTCATCACAGGCCTGGAGGCCCAGAAGGTAAAAGTAGTTTCATGGGCTGGGACCAGGGTCCCAGTGCTGTGTGCAGCCTATGGACTTGGTGCCGTGTGTCCCAGCTGCTCCAACCGTGGTTGAAAGGGACTAATGTAGAGCTCCGGCTGTGGCTTCAGAGGTGGCTTCAGAAACTGCCCAAGTCTCGGCAGCTTCAGAAGCTGCCCAAGTCTCTGAGGCTTCAGAAGCTGCCCAAGTCTTGGCAGATTCCATGTGGTGTTGAGCTTGCGGGTGCACAGAAATCAAGAAATGGGGATTGGGAACCTCCACCTAGATTTCAGAATATGTATGGAAACGCCCGGATGCTTAGGCAAAAGTGTGCTGCAGGGGCAGAGCCCTCATGGACAGCCTCTGCTAAGGCAATGCAGAAGGAAAATGTGGGGTCAGAGCCCCCCCACAGAGTCCCTACTGGGGCACTGCCTAGCAGAGCTGTGAGAAGAGGGCCACAGTCCTCCAAACCCCAGAATGGTAGATCCACTGACAGCTTGCACCGTGTGCCTGGAAAAGTTGCAAACACTCAATGCCAGCCTGTGAAAGCAGCATGTAGGGAGGCTGTACCCTGCAAAGCCACAGGTCAGAGCTGCCTGAGACCATGGGAACCCATCTCTTGCATCAGCATGACGTGGATGTGAGACCGGGAGTCAAAGGAGATCATTTTGGAACTTTAAAATTTGACTGCCCCGCTGGATTTTGGACTTGTGTGAGCCCTGTAACCCCTTTGTTTTGGCCAATTTCTCCCATTTGGAATGGCTGTGTTTACCCAATACCTGTACCCCCATTGTATCCAGGAAGTAACTAGCTTACTTTTGATTTTACAGGCTCATAGGTGAAAGGGACTTGCCTTGTCTCAAATGAGACTTTGGATTGTGGACTTTTGGGTTAATGTTGTAATGAGTTAAGACTTTGGGGGACTGCTGGGAAGGCATGATTGGCTTTGAAATGTGAGAACATGAGATTTGAAGTGGTAGGGGCAGAATTATATGGCTTGGCTGTGTCCCCATTGGAATCTCAACTTGAATTGTATCTCCCAGAATTCCCACATGTTGTAGGAGGGACCAAGGGGGAAGTAATTGAATCATGGGATCTGGTCTTTCCAGTGCTGTTCTCATGATAGTGAGTAAGTCTCATGAGATCTGATGGGCTTATTAGGGGTTTCCGCTTTTGCTTCTTCCTCATTTTCTCTTTCTGCCGGGATGCAAGAAGTGTGTTTTGCCTCCCACCATGATTCTGAGTCGTTCTCAAACACGCAGAACTGTGAATCCAATTAAACCTTTTTCTTCCCAGTCTCAGGTATGTCTTTACATCTACGGGTTGGGCAAAGGACAGATTTCTGTCTGACCAATGGAATCTATCACTTTGTGCAAGAAAAACAAACAAACAACAACAACAACAACAACAAAAAACAGGCCAGGCGCGGTGGCTCACACCTGTAATCCCAGCACTTTGGGAGGCCGAGGTGGGTGGATCACCAGAGGTCAGGAGTTCTGGACCAGCCTGAGCAATATGGTGAAACCCCATCTCTACTAAAAATACAAAAATTAGCCAAGCATGGTGGCATGCACCTGTAATCCCAGCTACTCGGGAGGCTGAGGAAGGAGAATCACTTGAACCCGGGAGGCGGAGGTTGCAGTGAGCAGAGATCAAGCCACTGCACTCCAACCTGGGTGACAGAGTGAGGCTCCGTCTCAAAAACAAAACAAAACAAAACAAAAAACAATGTTTCTTTCTTTATGTGTCTGTGTGCCTGCTTTTATTAGAAATGATGCTTCTGTAAACCCACATAATTGCAGAGTGAGACAGTGGACATCATTTTATCAGGCTGAACTACTACAGGGCACAGGCTGTATCTTGTTCATCATCATATGATGATCAATGCCTGCTCAGTACCTGGATCTCAGATACTCCAAAATTGCAATTTTATTGAATTTCTGAATGAGCAAAGTGAAACCCAAAGAAAGAAGCTATTTACTCAAGATCTTGTAACCAGTAAAGAACAAAGTCAGAAGCAAGTCCTAGATTTTAGAATATTAATTCATTATGATTTTCTACAATTATTAATGGACTCAGATACAGCTTAATAAGGTAACACAACTTTTTTTATTCTTATTTCAAAGAGGTGATTAACTACTTACAAAATGTAAATGGATACCAAATAGAAACTTACTCTAGCTGGATTCTGAAATTTCCAGTGGTGAGACCGAAAGTGTTTACAAGTTCTCTAGACTACCGTATAAAGGGTAATTTAGTGTTGCAGACAAGTTTGATTTAAAAGATAAGCCAGCATTCTCTAGTTCATTTTGTGCTTGCTAAATTAAAAATAGCAGAAGCACAGAGCTAACTGGCCATTGGAACTTTCTTGAATTGTCGGGTTGATAACCAGAGGAAACTGAATTATTTCTTTGCAGAATGCTAACTAATTTAATAGAAACTTTAATTAAAAGAACATCAAAGTGCATCTTTCCTCCTAATAGAGAGCACCTGCAACATATGAAAGTGATTCATTTGGATTGCTACATTTTCAATGTTACACAAGAAATTGACTGCACACACAGGCCCATTAAAGATATTTCCTGATAAAGAAATAAATAAGAATTGAAAGATGATTCCTTCCTAAAAAAAGATTAAAAATGACTCATTTCTTGAAAAAGAATATTGTTTGTGATATCAAATATGGCAATAAAACATTGCCAACCATCCTCCCTGAGATCTGCCAAGATTGGACACAATAATTAGAAACACAGGTTTAATATTTTGTTTTTTTATCTTTAAGATACTTAGTAAGAGATCATTTTGAGAAAATTACCTCAATGACACATGTTGATTATACTTTATCTTGAAATGAATACCATATATTTTACTCTTCAATTGCTAAAAGTATGTGAATATTTTTCAATATGCCTATTTATTACAGTCAGCCTGATACACCTGCCAAAATAAAACACAATGTGCATATTTTTAGCCTATTGTAAAGAAAACTTCTAGAAGTTTTTCAGACATCTGATACTAAAATTACCACGTGGGGCTCATCAGATGACCTACAGGAATTATGTAAAAGAATGTCGATTATAATGTAGTACTAAATCTATCCACTGACATATGAGTATAGCTCTTAGAAACAAATTAATATTTTTTTAGCTATAACAAGGATGAGAACATGGTACATATTTACAATGTTCTTACATTATCAAGAGAGGGGAAACATACTTAGATTAACAAAATAGATGAGGAATTCCCATGTTAGTAATAGGGAAATGCTTTATTCATTTAGGTTAGTAAAATTATATTTGGCTACCCATTTCCTTAAGATTTTAATTTAAGCTGTTAAAAATTAAAAGGAAAATGGAAGTTATTTTTAAAAAGAATTGGGAATCTATTATTATTTCTTCAATCATAAATAAGCAACATGATGCAATATGAAAAAAGTAAGCCTCAAATATAATCTACATTCTTTTATATAATTCTTGTAGGTCATCTGATGTGCCCCACGTGGTAATTTTGATTGCTATAATACCAAGGGACCCACAGAAAAGAAGGGTAGGATGACGGAAAAGTCAAGCAGCTAAATAAAAACAGTAAAGGCAAATTGAAGATTAAAGTTATTATTTTAAAAAATTCTAAGCACATATATAGCAGTATTATTTTCCCTCGTTTATCTTACTATATTATATGATAATATAATTTTGCTGAATTAATTAGACATTTGGCTCAATTATACAATAATATGTAATGGTCTGATGACTCTAAAGTAACTACAAGGCTTATGATTGTGTAATTTCAATAAATCTGCGTTTATGTATTTGTTGGGCAGGGGAAACAATACATAGAATGGAATATATGTTTGTTAACTCTGATCTTTGTTTTCCTTATTATTTTTTGCTACAAATGTTATTGTGTGCATTAATTTTTTTTTAGTTTACATCAGTTATGTGGATATTTATTTTCCATTGTCCAAAGTCAAAGTTACTTTTTAGAGTTCTCATCAAATTCTACTAACTCTCCTATTCCTCTTCCAGAGTACATTGAATAATCTATCACTGATATTAATGTCTATATGAAGTTGTTTATGTAGGGCTTTGCAATTGCGTTGCCTCTTTGATTTCTTTCTTAAGCCCTTGTCTGAATACTGCTTCTCTCTTTGAGCCTAACTCTTAACAATCCTCCACCAATACCCTACAGGTAGACTGTCCCTTTTCTGAAATGCTTGGGACGAGAAGTGTTTCAGATTTTAGATTTTTCCGATTTTGAAATATTTGCATGTGCATAATGAGATAGTTTAAGGGTGGGATCCAAACCTAAACACAAAATTCATTTAAATTTCATATACATGTTATATACAATTGAAGGTAATTTTGTACAATATTTTTAATAATTTTGTGCATTAAAAAGTTGTGTTAAATACTTACGTGTGAAATTTTTGTTTGTGGAGTCACATTAGCACCCCAGAACTTTTGGATTTTGGAGCATTTTGGATTTTGAATTTTTCGACTGGGGATGTTCAACCCTTATTTAGTCATATTGAAAAGGATGAACTTGTTCTGAGAAAATTTCAAGATTTTGTACTTTTACCCTCTCTGTATGGAATGCCATTTTCTTTATCTCTTTTCTCCTCCCAGTTTTCATTTTAGTATCTCCTGCTTATCCTTCATAATAATGCCCAGTCATTAACTCCACAAAAAGATTTCCTGGATTTCACAAGTTGTGAGTGTAGAGCCTCTGTAATTCCCCAAAACACTAATCATTTTCGCTCCACAAATAGAATGGAGAGTTCTGTATCTCTATCCTAGAGTGAACTAATGAGCACACTATCACATAACCTTTTGGTGAAGTTATTCCATCTCAGGGACCTTCCAGGTTCTACCTTTTTATATTTAAATTTTAACCTGGTTTCATTGTCTTATTGATGCCTTTCCAATTGACCCTATAGTAAGAGTATCCACTTGGCACAACTGTAGAAACTGTTTCTCAGATCCAAGTCTCTTGGCCTACGCTTATTATTTAAGAACCTGCAGTGCCTTGCTGCAGCACAATGCTGACCCAATATAATTCTCCACAATAACGAAATGTTCTATGTATGTATTGTCTGATACAATAGCCATAGCTACATGTGGTTAATGAGGACTAGAAATGTTGCTATTGTGAAAAAGGAAGTAAATTTTTATTTTTACACAAATTTAATAAATTTAGATAGCCACATGTGGCACATGGCTATTTGCATGGTACCAAGGGATACACAGGGAATACACAGTAAAGAAGGGTTGGGGCCCATTAGGTTATCTACAAGACTTATTGGACAGCGTAGATCTTGAGTATTGGAACCCCAATCTCAGATATCTTTTCTGGAAATTAGTTATTTCTTGGAAAATGGACTCTCAGGATCTGGGAATGGAAAGAAACTTTACCAAAGGAATGTTAGAAAGCATAAGGAAAGAACTTCCCTGCTCGTTTTCTCATCTTTACAATAACAAGATAGGCTGTGAAGTAAATTAGACCCCATTCCTTTAAACTTACAAGATTCTACCATCATCCATCCATTCAGTTACTCATTAATTGATTCATTACTTCATTGATTATTTATCCATCTGATATATATTTTGAGCTCCTATAGATGCATGCACTGTGCCAGAATATATATCACAATTTAATCTATGAAATCAAGAATTTATTTCTAATATGATGAAAATTATTTTCACATCTCTAAAAAGGAATATATAGTCCTCCCTCATGTCCTTTTTATTTCTATTTTAACATTAAAATTTCAATACTCTTTCTACATTTAATGAAAAAAAGAAAGTCAAATTTTCATTTTATTTTGGGCTCTATAACTCTAGCCTTAGAAATTATGGGTAAATAACTATGAGATATCACCTCACATCTGTTAGGAAGGCTATTAAAAAAGGACAAAAGATAACAAATGTTAGCAAGGGTGTGGAGCATAGGGAGCCCTAGTACACTGCTGGTGGGAATGTAGATTGGTGTAGTCATTGTTGAAAGCAGTATGGAGATTCCTAAATAAATTGAAAATAATCTGGGCATATACACAAAGGAGATGAAATCCTCGTCTCTTGAAGACATTTGTGCTCCTATGTTCGTTGCAGGATTATTTACAACAGCCAAGATATGGAAACAACCTAAGTGTCTGTCAATGGACAAACGGATAAAGAAAATGTGTTGTATTGTGTGTGTATATAAAGGAATATTATTCAGCCTTAAAAAGGATATTCTGCCAATTGCTACAATGTAGATGGACCTGGAGAACATTACACTAAGATAAATAAGTCAGATACAGAAAGAAAAATATTAGATGATCTCACTGATATGCAAAATCTAAATTTTTGAAAAAAGATACAAAGATAGGGGATAAAACGGTAGTAACCAGGGCCAAGAAGAGGGAGAAATTGGAGAGATGTATACAGATTAAAGGACACAAAGTAGAAGACATGCAGGATGAACAAATCTTGAGATCCAATGTACAGTGTGAGAACTATAGGTAATAAAATTGTGTTGCATTAGGGATTTTTGTTAAATTAATGGATTTTAGCAGTTTTGTCACAAAAAAAGGGACTATGTGAGATGATGGATACATTAATTTCCTTCACTATAGTAACTATTTTACTATCTATATGTATCTCATAACATTATGTCATAAACCTCAAATACACACACACAAATATATTTTTTAAAACAATGGGTATACAGCATGGACTCTTTTCCAATCATGACTATAGCACATAGCTTTGTGCAAGCTAATTCTGAATTTTAGGATATTGTCTTTAATGCATGAAGTAGGATAATAATAATAATATGCATACATACTGACTGTTTCCTGTGAACTTCAGATTTTGCCTTCTTAATCACTGCAGTATTTTGCCTGAGTACCATGCTTTTCTGGCTATGAAGTAAGATACATAGAAAAATACATCTAGCTAAGTTTCAGGCATATATGATGCAATCAATACAATATTATTTATTTCTTCTTCCTCTGGCTATGCTATCAGAAAATAACTATGTAGATAGTGGGATCAGATACCTGAGTTGCAAATAATTAGCCAAGTGATCATGGGCAAGTTACTGGAATTTTTTTTGTATTGTATCCACCTCTAAAATGGGAACAATAAAAGTATCTAGTCCATTGGGTTGTTGTTAGGATCCAATTGATTAATGCATATAAAAAGCTTAGAGGAGCATCTAGCACACTATTAGCATTCAATAATTTTTATTTATCATTATCGTCTTCATCATTATCATCATCATCATCATTTAAGTGTTTTCATAACTTGCTTCTAAACCATCAGCTTCACCGAAATGGAAGGAAATAAGTGGGACGTACTTTTGATTTTAAGCATATAGGAGTACTTGAACTATGTTATTAGGCTTAGACAATTGTGATGACAGTATTGTGGTTTGGGTGAAAAGGACATGGACTTTAGAGTCAAAAAATGTAGTATTACTTAACAGCTTTGTACAAATTGCTTTATCTCTTTAATCTTCAGATTTCTCACAAAAGAAAAAGAATAAAATCACTGGCTCTGTCTCATTGAGTTTTATTACATGAGAACATGTGCAAAGTATCTCACACATTACTCTGTCACATAATCAATCGTTAATAAATATTTTACCTCCTCATCCTGCCTATTTTAAGTTAGACTACATTTACTAAATGAATTTTAAGAAATTCAGAAATACACATTGAATAAACACTAATTATATGTGTTTTACTTTTTTTTAAAGATAATCCTTTGTCTCTAAATCTTCACAGAGATCTGACTATACATACATAAATGCGCATAAGAAATTAGCTCAACCTCTCATATATTCTCTAGCAAAGGGCAAACTCCATTTATGAGATATGACTGGTCTAGTGGGCGGAGTACTGAATTGGGAGTTAGGAGCAATTGCCTATGTACCCTGCCTAGCTTCTGGGTTTTGTGGTGTTTATTAGGAAAGACATTTGTCTTCTTTTTGCTTCAGTCCTTCCAGCTGTGAAGGAAGTCTTATACTTCCCAATAGGAAAATTTATAAAATTAAGGAAGAACCACAGTCAAGACACATGTCCTCTTCCTGCTAAACTTAAATTCTCTTCCTAAGATAGTGTGTCTGGAGTACTAGTTGTGTATCTAAAGTTGGAAACATGCCAAGGTCACACAGCCAGAATTAGGACTTTAAGAAGAATTGGAGCTATTTTGCTGACCCCAAAATTACCACATTATATGTTGTGCAAATGCCTTGCCTTCTTTTCCACATGTCCCACCCACAGCCTGACAGAGATCTAATTATTTTTTTCAAGGACCAGTTTAAATGCCAACTCTTCTTTGAAGGCCTTGCCAAAACCCTTTGGCTCTGCTCCCTATACTGAATCTTTCTATCTATCTTTTATATTTCTATATCACTTAATACAAGTGATTAGGATAATGTAGGATAGTTATCACATTTTATCATAGTACGGCTGTTTAGATGTCTGTTTCCGATCCTAGACTGGAAGTTTTGTGATGAAAAAACCCCTTTTGTGTTTGTTTGTTTGTTCAAATTACTGCCTAACACACAGGCTGGAATACAGTTAAGTATTCTATAAATTTTATTTCAATTAAATGAAGATTTTGCTAACTTCTTGCCATATCCTCTAAGTTACTTTACCTCATTGAATTAAATGCTGTTATTAAATTATTATACTAAGTTATTATTTTGTTATTTGATGATAATTTGTAGTTTCAGGCAGTATTAGATACTAAACCGAAGATCATGAAACCATTGAGATAAAAAGAAATGCTCTTTTAAATTAATAATATCTGAGAAGTTATCAATCTCCCATATATATCCATTTTGAGCAGATATGTGAATATTCACCCACAGATTCACACACAGTAAACACACATGCCTATGAACATGTGTCAATTTAGTATATAATAAAATATAGCAGTTTCAAATAAAATTTCCCTTATGGCTTATATTTGATATACAATAATAGTAAACAGCCTCTACTTTTGTTAAAAATAACTGAGTCATTATGAACATGAAGAATATTAATCTTTCAAATGATGTTATAGTGTAAAGTTTGCATTTCACATATATTTGCTCTGGAAATAAGTTAGTAGCCTGGGCACTTAATTAGCTCTTTGGACTAATAGTTTTCAATGCATGTATTTAAGTTGCATCTACGTTAAATTAAAATATCTGCTTAAATCAGTAAACTGTAATCTTTCTTTCTCCAATATATTGTACTAAAGATTTTGCTCTACTCATTTCTGAACAACAGGAAACCAATCTTAAGACTAAAGATTTTGTAATGTTAATTGGAAGGAATAGATACATTCTAAAAAAAAAATCAGCTGTTTAATGATCTTGGCTGTGCTGCTCTCCAATTAGTGCTGGGTCACCAATTAATTCTTTTCCAGGTGCCCAAGATTCCTGGATACCAGCACTGGGCTGAGTTCTCTTTCACCTAGTGCTCCAACTAGACTAATGACTTTGACCTTGGGCAGACTTAGCAGTTTTCTCAATTTAAAGAAAAGGTACCCTTTCCACTTTATTTAGAGAATGGGCAAATTATAGTAAACCCAAACAGAACTTCATGGCCATGCATTTTTATTCGTGTTCTAACAAAATTCACTTGGGACACTGGCCTCCCACAGCTATCATGCTTGTATTTTCTTCCACCTGTATGCTTTACCACAATCCTTGAAAACATTCTGGGACTTTGTTTTACAAATTATTTCCTCCCTCTACTGTTTTTTGTCGTTTTGTTTGCTTGCTTGTGTCAATGAAAAGAGTTGAACTCTGTAAAACATTTGGAGAGATTTATTCTGAGTCAAATATGAGTGATCAATGGCCCATGACACAGCCCAGGGGATACTGAGAAAATGTGCCTAAGATGATCGGGCTACAGCTTGGTTTTATACATTTTAGGGAGACATAGACATCAATCAATACATGAAAGACATGCGTTGGTTCGATTTGGAAAAGCAGGGCAACTCAAAACAGAGGCCTTCTGGGTGATAGGTGGATTCAAAGATTTGGTGTACATTTATTTGTTTTTCCATTTTGCACACTCTCTTTCAATTTCCTGCTTTCTCTATGTGGTCAATTATTCAAGCAATCCCTTCACTAACAAGCAAGAGACTTTCTCTTAAATCTGATATACTTCTGAACAAAATTTCTAGTTTTCATAACTACAATTTTTTACAAGGAAATTCTATATGTGCTGCCTGTAAGTCTTTATTACTCATTCATTTATTAACACAGAGTTATATACGTTTCCCCATGACAAAGAATCATGTCATTGATTCTTTCTTCTTAAAGGTAGTCAACAAATCCAATCACATTTAAAGACCTCATCCTATTCCATCTCAGCAATGTTTCATATTTTAAATTGTTTTATCATAGCCTCCATATCATTGTACTGCCTTTGTTTCTTTAGGAGATTGTGAACTTGATCCTGGTTTGCATGACAGCTTTGCCTCTTCCTTACTGAGCAATACTTAAAATAACTTAATGTTTATTGGCTTCTACTTCTTCATGGATAAAATCGGGATGAAAATATATACCCGTTAGATCAGCTTCTTGACAAATTCGTTGCCAATTCTAATTATCTCTTTAACTTTTACTGAAAATGATCTGTCTCCTTGATGCCTCCATAGAGAAGATGACCATATAATTACTTTTCCAAATTTAACCACATTTTAAGTAAAAGAGTGTGTTATTAACAATTTTGGGAAGAACAATATGAGTAAGCAAGTACTATCTCAAATAAACCATGAAGTATGGTTAACAAATCCATAGCGTACATATTGTTTTTCCACTTTGTATTTGTTAATTTTGACTTTTCTGAGAATGCATCTTCCTTTTCTCTAAAATAAACAAATCTTTCTCATTTCTGTTCTGGTCTGTCCCTGAAACTTACCACAATTCTTTCACATCTAACCAGCTAGTACTTCTCTTTCCATGCAAGTACAACCAAAATGAAATCCAGAGGTGTAGTAGTCATGCATTGCATTTTGATATTACTTATTATATTTTGTATTATATTTAGTGTCAACAACCTATATTAACAGATTTTATTTTTAAAGTGTTTTTAATATATACTTTTTATGAATCTAACATACTCTGAAACTCTTTTGTTTTCTTCATGGCTTCTGAAATATAGATAAGCAATTAGTGAATATTTATTAAATATTTGTTGATTGAATTTTTAATTTATTATTTTTACATTTTGGCTGAGCCTGGATATGCTGATTTATTTTCTAAAATTATTCCATACTTTCTTATTTTATGATTTGTCAAAAGTCTAACAGTTATTTTCAGAAGAAAAAATATTTTTAAGTGCAAAATTAAGGAAACAATTAACTTTCAGGGACTACCACAAAATCCAACATCCTCAACTAGATGAACATGAACATAAAACAAAAACAAAAAACCTGAAGAAATAAAATGAATCAGCAACATGTAGTCTTTCCACACATTTAGAGAGGAAAAAGTTAATCTTTTGAGGATGAAAGAGGAATAATACAGCCTAATTTTTGGTATCATTTGATAGATTTCACCTCCCCCAGAGCTCAATTATTTTCTAGCCTTATCAGAATGAATGTATGAATGTCACTATTAGAATGCTCAAAGAGCAAAACAGGAACATAAGAGTTCCAAATAACTGTCTACCAAAATAAAAACAAAAACAAAACAAAAATCTATTTATTTTAACCTTCATTTCCTTACAATTTTCTTTTAAAATCAGAAGTTTCAAGAGGCTAGATGAGATTTGCATCAAATATTTTTACCCGTTTTATTCTATAGTAACAATGATCTAATTGTGCAAAATAAAGGATCTGACTCTATTCCTTACACCTGATTGTTGACAGCTTTCACACCTCACCACTCCTCTTTCCATCTCTGTCCCATATCTGAGTGAGACAGAAAAGCCAAGGTGCTCCCTTCTGTACTGCCCCCAGGAAATTTAAACCATGCAAGCCCTGACCTTTGTATAAGAGCCCTCTCCTCTGCCCCACCTCAAACCACACTAAAAACAAACAGCTGGTGTTTGCTTTTCTTTCTCTGCTTTCTCAAGCCATCTTTAGCCCAACTTCCCAACCTGCACTGCTATCCCACAAAAGCATTATTACATGAGAAATAAATCTTTCCATGCCCTTTTAGTGCACATGTGACATCATCAGTGTTAATATCTGAACCACATGGTGGTAGGTCCATCTTTGTTCTGCAACATAATCACAGCACTGTGGGTTAAAACTGGGGTAGAAAGTTTCTAAATTTATATAGACATATATATCACTAACATGAATTATTTATATATGAAAAATGAAAGAAGAGATATCATGACAAATACTACAGATTTTAAAGGAATAAAGGACTATAGCCAATAATATGATAATTTAGAAGAAATGAACAAATTCTTTTTAAAAAATCACAAATAACTAAGATGGACACATCCTGGACTTAAAGCCACACTTTTTGTTTTCAGTACCTTATATACTTGTGTTATTACTAAATGTACTGTTTTTGAGATACACGTGAGAGAGCTGGGACTTATGGAGGTGGAAGTGCAAGACTATTTGGTAGTAAAACGTGCATTTTACCAACAATCATGAAAACGGAAGAAAAAAATGTAGCCTTGGTGGTTTGGTAATAATTTTATATTACTTAGATATTATCCAGTATTGTTATTTACAACTATACAAAAAAAATCAGGAAAAATATAATGTTAATGATTTTCATACTATCCAATATACTGAGTACTACTGTTATGAGTAAAATTAGTTATTACATTGTATAAAGGCAAAACAAAATGAAGTTGCCTTAGTCTGTTTAGTGTTACTCTAAAGGAACACCTGAGGCTGGGTAATTTTTAAAGAAAAGAGGTTTATTTAGCTCGCAGTTCTGCAAAAAAAGGTTTATTAGCTCACAAGAGCATGGCCCCAGCACCTTCCTGGCTTCTAGTGAGGGCTTTGTGCTGCATCAAAACATGGCAGAGAGGGCCAGGCATGGTGGCTCATGACTATAATCCCAGCACTTTGGGAGACCAAGGCAGGTGGATCACTTGAAACCAGGAGTTCAAGATCAGCCTGGCCAACATAGTGAAATGCTATTTCTACTAAAAATACAAAAATTAGCTGGCGTAATGGCACATGCCTCTAATCCCAGCTGCTCAGGAGGCTGAGGCACAAGAATCACTTGAACTAGGCAGGCAGAGGTTGCAGTGAGCAGATTGTGCCATTGCACTCCAGGCTGGGCAAAAGAGAGAGACTCTATCTCAAAACAAAAAACAAAAAACCTGGAAGAGAAGGTCCAAGTGAAAGAGAAAAATTTCCCTTGTCCCCCTCACACACTTGCGATGGGGGTGTGGCTCGTTTCTTCTGTGCCCCACTGCTCAAACTTCTAGGGGAGCATACAGATAAACAGGTTGTGGGTCTTTGACACCATGGCAGTGTCTAGGGGTGAATGTCTACAGCTCCTGAAGCCCCAGTGCGTGTGTGTTACAGGATGCTCTTTTAGATTGCCATCTATAGGTGGCTTGTATTAACCAACTTAATTAGACCCTCCAACCTGTTGCAAGGACAGAGGGCTTTCTGTATCCTGGGTTCTTGCCTTGTGTATGGGAAGAATCAGATCACAGGTGGGCCTGGAGAATGAGTGCAAGGTTTTATTGAGTGGAAGTAGCTCTGCGCTGATGAGGAGACAGAAGGGAGATGGTTTCCCCTGGAGTTGGGCCACCTGGCTGCCGCAGCCCTCCTCCAACTGCCCCAGCCAAACTCTGCTTCATCCCCACCGGTGGATGGCATGTCGTTGTGCTGGCATCTGTCAGTGTGTGCTTCCGCTGGTGTGCTCCCTCGACGTCCTCTTGCTATCCAGCTGCTTGTGTCTTCTTCCACTGATGTGCTCCTCTTGATGTCTGGCCACCTGTGTGTCTGCCCGGTAGGGTCTCTGGTTTTTATAGGCCCAGGATAGGGGTGTGGCAGACCAGGTGGTCTTGGAAAATGCAATATTGAGCATGAAAGCAGGAGTGCCTGTCACCACCTAGGTCTGTGGGGGTGGAGCCCTAGCCAGGGACCTGCCTTTCTTTACCAAGCACTTCCCTGCCCCTCTCCTGTATCACAAGGGGAAGCATGCACATGTGAAGAGGGAGCAAACCCAAGGGGCATCCAGACTTTATAACAACCTATCCTCTCAGAAGTTAATTCACTCCGCCGGCACTAATTCAGTTTTGCAAGAGCAAAAAATCACTCACTGCTGCTAGGATGACTCCAAGCCCTTCATGAGAGATCCACCTTCATGACCCAAACACTTCCACTATGCCCCGCTTCCCAACATCAACACACAGAGGATCAAACTTCAGCATGAGGTTAAGTGGGGACAAATACACCATATCCAAACCATAGCAGCAACCAGGTATTACAGCAGACAAAAAGAAAGAGGGAGGGAAATATATGTGGTGTGTATATATATATATATATATATATATATATATATATATATAGAGAGAGAGAGAGAGAGAGAGAGAGAGAGAGAGAGAGAGAGAGACGGAGAGAGAGAAAGATAGAGATTTATGCTGGAGGTTCACCAACCTACTAACCAATCAATTATAATTTTGCAGTCCATCTTTCATTAGAGTGTATGAGAAGGCTCTAGTGTAAAATGTGCACACAAAATATAAAAAGGTCCTAATATTCAATATAATGTTGAAAATAAGACTATCAGTGTTAGACAAAAAAATGGGCAATTTAGAGGTAAAATGTAGAGTTTGGAAATTTCTAATGCAGCAAAAAATAGAAAGAATGAATTTAACAATAAACTGAGAGAATAAGAAAATGTGGGAGATTTAAATACAGTGTGAGTGTGCATTAGGACACAAACGTGAGGGGCTTGTATTTTGTTTTCACAGCATGTCAATGCTTTAGTTACATGGACAACTGGATTTTACATGGAAAATCAAGATTTTCATAGGTATTTATGGAAGTATATAAAAGTCAACGTTTATTACAAAGATTGCTGGACCCTAAATGCTTAATTGAAACTTTCTCCTTGTCAGTTTTTGCCACAGAAGAATTTCATTATGTGAATAATGAGGATGTGGTGATGATTTATTTGCCTACTCTATTCTCAGTGGTTTTTATCTTCCATAGAGTAGGGAAAGACCTGGGAGAAATGGGACAGCATCCAGAAGGAAAAGAAAAAAAAACGACAGCAGTAGATTAATAGTTAAGAAACCTCATGTACTCTGGCTCTTTTAGTCATTGATTGTACTTAGGTGGAGAAATCATTTATCTTTATTGACATTTATTTTATCATCTAGGAAAAAGAATAAAGATTTTATTTAAATGAACTCTTACAATCTTTTCTTCCCCTATTATATTATTTTCCCTGATATGATTTTCTTTTAACTTTTGTGACTTCATAAAGAAACATCTCTCTAATGTTTGAGGTGAGATTTAGGGTTTTTTCAAACTACAAAAAATTAAGCTAAAAGTTATTAGGAACCAAGACTTTTGAATAAAAGGACATCATTCATTTATTCATTTAATAAATATGGAATTATGTTTCAACTCAAAATTAATATGGAGCAGAATGTTTAATTTCTACCTCCTTACCTACTTCTTCCCCTGGTTTTCCTCATTTGAAAGAACCACATCATTCATCCACACTTTTACTTGCTTAAATCAAAAATCTAGAGAGTATCATTGAGTATTCTTTTTTACTCTGCCACATCTAACTCATCAGTAAATATTTTTAAATGTAGAGTGAATCCATCTATTTCTCTCTCTCTTTACTTCTATTGCCTACTACATTTGTTACCTGATATTCTGAAAGTTTTTCTGCTTCAACACTTGCCACTACCACATCCTTAAAATCATGTTAGCCAAAGTCATCTTGTCCAAATGTTTAAACACATACAATTACTTCCTATTTAAAGTCTATCATTGACTTCACTCTGTATTTTAAATAAACCCTGTTTCCCTATCCTGCTTACAAAGTCCTATAGAGCGGAACTCTGCCATTTTTCCAACCTTATCCAATAGCACTCTCCTTTGAGCTACGACTTTTAAGCAACACTGACTTTCTATTTATTCAATTATGGAGCTTCTTTTTTGAATTTATGATCTTCACACTAAGTGTTACCTCTGCCTTGAGAATTTTTTCTCTTAATTTTCACATTGCTGGTTCTTTCAAGTCATTGACTTAAATGCCATTTCTCCATGAGGCTATCTCTGGTAGTCACTCAGATACACACGATGACATCATCTGTCTCAATTATCTGCCTAGCACTTACTACTATCGTATAGTTTCTTCTTTCTCTAATTGCAAATGTTCTCTTTTGTCTTCCACTAGAATGTAAGATCCACACAAACTGGCATTAGGCCACTCTTGTTCACTTCTCTGTCCTCAGACATTGAATCAGTATGAAGAATGTGCCAACATAGTCACTGTTCCTGTGAAACTTTATAGACTCACAGTTCCATATAAATGAAGGCCTGTTTATAGGGCAGGAGTTAAAAATCATGACTGACAGTGAAATTCTTCTGTTGTTAGTAGGCTGCCTATTGGAATTCGAAGTTTCAAAATGCTTGGGAAAATGAATGCAAATAGTAAATTCTCAAGATAACTGCATTCTAAGACGACATTTGGTCTAATGTAGATTAATGGATTTTTGGGGGAAAAAAGAGTTTCACTTTTTGATATTCACTACCAGTAAGTCATCACATACAAATAGATATTTCAGGTTTGGGTCACAATCCCAAAAGATACAGTCTCAAATGTCATAAACGTATGTTCTCTCTGGATTATTACTGCTATTTTCTCATAGTATTCTGATGTTCTTTTGTTGGCTTTATAGAAAGGTGAAGTTTGGGCAAGTTCCATGTTATATAGCATTGGCATCTTGCAAATTTCATAAGTCATATTTAGACAATCACATAGAGGTTTAAAATGATTAAAATTCTTTATTTTTTTATATTTCTCAATTTAGCATAGCTCAAAAGATTTGACTTACACTCAGCAACTAAAATACTAAGCTTGACAATTCAAATAGCTCAGTTACTTCTAGTTCAAAACAATTTCTTTTAGTAAGTACTTAATTCTGGATTTTGCTATTTTCTCTTCTCTCCCTCTTTTTTCTAATTGGCAATTGGGTTGCATCATGGAGGCAATGTAAGTATCATTATGGCATTCTTGGTTTGGGAGATAATATTCCTAGGTGAAATTTCTCCATTTTTATTGGAGTGTCATTTGCTGATGGGTGTTCTTGATCCCCCTAGGTTCTCCATGGTTAAGTTACACACATTGCTTCTTCACCTCCTGATGCATGAGTCCTCAACTGACTTGCTATACCTCTTAGCCATTTCCCCACAATTAAGGGGAAAGCGGGCACACAGGAAACTGGTTGCATTTATCTGCAGATCACCACAAAAGAGGAGACTGAGATGATAGACCTTTTTAGAAACCAACCAGCATCTAAATGCTAATTACATTTGTCACATCTCTTCTGATTTTTCTCTCTTCTTTTTCTGCCTGAATAAGCTCTCATATACTTTTGGTTAGGGAAAAAATGCCTTTTCTGTCACCACACGCTCTTCCTTATTATATGTCTTATGGAATAATCTCTCTAGTTTGAGTGTTCTTAATAATATTTAAAGTCAACTTAGAATTGTAAAATATTCTCTCTAATAACACATTTCTGTCTGCTGCAATTGAGGGCCATGGATTTCAAAACCATTCTGCTATAGATTTTCATAACTTCGATACAGCATAAAGCCAAAAAATTAACGATCTCCATCCCAAGGACAAAAAGAATTCCTAAAAAAAATGTTGGGGGGGTAATATTGAAGAGTAGGGTATGAATATCTGAGCAGCAAACTATGGACCTTGCATCAAATTTAGCCCATCACCTTTTTTTCATAAATAAAGTATTATTACCGTGCAGTCATGCATTTATGTACTGTCTATGACTGCTTTCATGCTACTATTGCCAAGTTAACTATTTTTCAGAAAAAACATATGGCTAGAAGAACCTAAAATATTTAACATTTGGCCCATTTCAGAAAACATTCATTTACCACTGCTATAAGTTTAGTTTAATATTAAAATATAATACTACTGTATAAATAAAACCTACTTTTTGATTTTCTATAGTTTCATCAGCTTCATTATAATAATACATGTCATGCCTTGTACTTTCCCATTCAGTAAATGAATTTCCAAGTAAGAGCACCAAAGGTGTAGTCAGGACACTTGGAATATACAAAGAGAACTAAATTTTATTAAATTGTACTACATCCCAGACACTGTGATAAGAAAGTTAAATAATTTAATTAACTGTCTTATCCTGGGTTCTCATCTCATATTTATCAGATGGACAACATCAGAAAGAATGTGCCACAAAGTGTGTCAGTTACTATATACAGGATCCTTTCCCTGATCTCCAATTCTCACATCCTTACAGGGTCAATTCAAAAAGAGAGGCCTCATAGCAGGAAAGTCATAATCTGTCTCAAAATTTTATTCATTAGATGAAGTGTAATTTATTTTTGTTAGATTTTTAAATTTATCTATCTTTTCTCATGGGGGAGAGGGCAGAGCTGTGACGAATCCCTCGACCATATTACTATTTTTGTCTCTCTCATTTTTCACATTATTTATAAAACTCAAAATTTAGACAACATTTTCTATCCAAGTTTCTTTCCAGCATGAAATTCAATGATTTTTTTTTAATTAGGATGTTTTGGATAAGTCAGATGTTATTGAACAACACTCGTTCCTCACTAACAATAAAACAACAAATATTTGAGGCTATCTACTTCTAATTTTGAGTACGCTGTTGATACAAAGATAAATAACAGTAGTTTTTCTAGAGGGAAAGAGATGACTTTCTGATGCATCTACCTTTGCCATCTTGGGCTCCCTCTTGTATTTTTTGGGAAAGTATTCAACTTTAGTTATCTTTGTGAGAATTTTTTTCCTATTCAAAATGAATTGATGTGCTCTTATCTAATTGTCATTTGAAGTTCATTACCTTCAAAGTCTACCATATCACTTATAGGTGTTTTCCATTAGCTTAGTGATTATGAATCAGTAAAATTAGCTTAAGGTGCACATATCTAAATAATTTAGGCACTTTGAAATTTATTTACAGATAACCTCTCATCATATTAACTATCATGCTAAGCAAAAAGAAGAAAAATGTCTTTATAATTTCAGACTCTATAGAATGTAATATTAAAACAAAGAATAATAGAAGAAAAATTAGAATATTTTGAAGAGGGAATGAAAGTAAAAAGAAAAGGAAAAAGTAGTGTCATACATTTCTGAAGATTTTTTAAAAATATATTCTACTGGGCTACTGCTTCACTGACAATTGTAAGCAATGGTTCATAGAGTGAGAAACCATAGACTTCCTTCTGCCACATTTATTATCTTTTCCGCAACATTCCTGATAAGCATTAGCTAAATTTTGCTCAAAAATTAAGTATCTGGAAGCTACTTACAATAATGACTTCTCCCCTACTTTACATTTCTAAGTTAAAAGTGGTTCTTGATAGTAATCTAAGAATTTGGCATTCAGTAATGTATCCCGATCTCCTATATACGTTTTTCTCTAAAGAAAAAAAAAAAAAAAAAAAGGAAGATGTGTTTCCCCTCCTTGGGCAAGAAAGAGAGCCTTATAAATATTTAAAAACTAAAATTATGCCTAGCACTTTGTGAGGCCAAGGTGGGAGGATTGCTTGAGGCCAGGAGTTTGAGACCAGTCTAGGCAATGTAGCGAGATCCCATCTCTATAAAGACAAATAAAAAAACTGGAATTATGTTTCCTCTTAGCCTTTTCTTCCTTAAGTTGGAAACTATGTGTTGATATAGCATGATTTCTAAATCTCATATTATTCTGTCTTTATATTTTTCTGTATTTATTTATTCATCTTTATGTTTAACGGAGCCATCTCTAAAAATCTGATTATTGATGATACTATATCACTATATACACTCACATCTCATTAAAGGATTATATTTAAAAAAAGTTTATAAACTGTCACTGTGTCTAGAATGCAAATAAATTAGATTGAGTAGAAAAAAAAGTTATTTATTTCATTACATACATTTTAATTCCAAAAAGACAGCCAAATCTAGGTGACCTAGTTTCTCTGTCATCTCTGCTATTCTTAATATTTGCTTTATTTTTAGGTAGACTGTCTCTGCTTAACAGAAAGTATGACCACCTAAAGCTTAAGAAAGAGTAGTCACAATCTCAAAAGGAGGAAGATCGTAACTCTAAATGTTGGTAGAAATCACTCCAACTGAACTTTGGTCCTCCTTTGATAATGTGCTTACCTATGATCAACCATTTATCTATGGAAAAGGTTTTGATGGCTAACACTGAGCTCATATTCATGTCTAAGTTGAACTTATTGAGACCATTTGGTTGGTAGTTCAGAGGATGCAGGAGTCATACGGTCAAAAGGAAAAGATGTTTTTGCAGAGCAAAACCTAAAAGAGGATCTCTGTATTCACTTTATTTCACTTAGCACTATTGAGCAATATTTCAGATCATTCCTTAAATCTTCATTAATTCAAATTAAATCAATTTGTATATATGTACCACCAAGACCTATGTGTCACCATAAGACAGAAAGCAACCATGGACAGAAAATAAGAAGAAACTAATAGGGAATCATTCCATTGTTGTCACGCACACATTCGTGTGGCCAACTCTAAATATATGTTAGAGTTAAAGTCTAATTTAGTCATTGCCAGTAGTGACTATCATTAGACATAATGTTTTCAATTTTTTATTTCAATTATGGATGCTATTAATACATGCATTTGTTCACTTAACAAATAATTGCTGAGTTCCTTATCTGTGCTTGGCAGTTTTCCAACTGGGAATGTAATATTGAACAATCCCTGCATGGTCCCTGGCACTGTGGGCTTAAGGGCTTAAGCACAATGTGGACCACAAAAAACATACCAACAGGTGCTAGAATAGTATAAAACAGTTAAGACTAAACTATTCCATGAAATGAAGGGTAACTTTTTCTTTTGAGACAGAGTCTAGCTCTGTCACCCAGGCTGTAGCGCAGTGGCACAATCTTGGCTCACTGCAAATTCGTTCAAGTGATTCTCCTGCCTCACACTCCTGAGTATCTGGGATTACAGGCTTGTACCACCACATTCAGCTATTTTTTGTATTTTTACAGAGACAGTATTTCATCATTTGGCCAGGTTGGTCTCAAACTCCTGACCTCCAGTGATTCTCCTGCCTCAGCCTCCCAAAGTGCTGGGATTACAGGCCCAGCTAAGAGTGACTTTTTGAAGAAATGAGATTTAATACCTAAAACATGGATGATGAGTAAGAGGTCTGTGTATGTTCTTCACAGATAAACAGCAAAGAAGTTTTCCAATGGTTAAAGCCAGGAGGAAATTCTGAGGAGGGTTTGAATAATTCTGAGGAGGGGTTGATACACTACAGGGAGCCAAGAGAAAGGAGTTATATAAGAAGCAAGAGGGAGGCACAAGCCAGACCAGGAAGGCCTTTTAAAAGGTTTTTGGCTTTCCTAAGAGCAATAGAAAGCCACTGAATTGCTTGCATTATAGGAGTAATGTGGAGAGCTTTGTGATTTTACAAGTTTGCTGTGTTTGAGAATGGGAAATGCTTTAGGATGCTAGGTAAAAGGCTATTGCAAAAGTCCTTTATAGAAGAAGTTCTTATAATAATGTGGTGGTGACACAAGATTCTTTTGGTGCTGCTTCACCAGCCAGAAATCTCCACAGCCTGCAGTTCCCCTACCTGGGCCTCACTCAGCTCCAGGCTCACCGCTGGACTTGCTCTACTCACTCAGCCTGGCAGGCTGCACTCAGCTCGTGCTACCAGCCCAGATTCCATGCCTGTTGCGGCTCTGTACTCAGCGGGTCTGGCAAACTGTGACTGTGTTCCACCTTGGATGCCAGCATCTAGTTGAGGGGGATATAGCAGCACCCAAAAACTTTGAGAGGTCAACAACCATGAAGCCCCAAGTGGTATTATGGCTTTTGCCCAGAGAGTTCCAAGGCCTGATTCCCTGAGGACTGCTGCAGCTCTCTCTCTCTTTCCTGCCACCTGCAGCATGGCTGGGGGGCTATGTTTCAGCTCATTCATGTTGCAGATCACATTTGTTCCCACTGCCTGCAGTGTGGTGAACAAGAGGGGCAAGTTACAGCTCATTTGTTTTCCCTGTCTGCACACTTCAGCAAACAGGGGCGTGTCATGGCTTGTTCAGTCCCACTGCCCTGCTCCAGACCATGGCTCCTAGGTTGTCCCAGGCATGCCATTACCTCTTCTCATCATGTGGGGCAGCCACCCACTGCACGCAGAAGATGGGAGGGCTACAGTGTTACAATTCCTTTCACACCTGCCATTAGGCAGGTCCTGCATTCTTGTCCTGCATCCAAGAGAGGAAGGAGGTATGTGGACACTGAAGAGTGGACAAGGCATAGAAGAATTTCATTGAGTGACAGAAAAGCACTCGGCAATGAGAGGGGACCAGACAATGAGAGGGGACCAGACGTAGGTAGCCCTCTGTGTGAGAGGGTGCCTGAAAGCAAATAGCCAAATAGATGGCTGAGTCTGGGGTTTTTATGGGCCCAGAATGGGGGAGTGCAAGCTGATTGGTCCATGGGTGGGCCTGGAAAAAGCACCGTTCAATTGACTAAAAGGCACTGGGGAAGTTCTAACTCTGGTTGTGGACTCTGGCAGCTCAGTTTTCAGGCTTTAAGCTATCTTTGGCTTGAAGGTCAGGTTTCACCAGGGACCTGTCACTGTCTGCCTAGGAATTTTTCGGCCTCCTGCCACTCTCAGTGGCAGTAGAGTTGGGGGTCAGAAATACAAACAGCAGGTCTGAAACTGCCTCTGAAAGTACAGTCATCAGGACTTATTGACTGCCTTTATGTACATATGTAAATATGATTCACTCTTTTAACCTAATGTTAATCATAATTAAGGTATGTTTTAAAACAAAAGTAGCTAGTTATGTTATTTAGTGTTATTTATTATTTTACATGAGGAGCTTAGTTGATGTGACCTGAATATTTTAATGGACAAGAACTTTAATTGAAACGTTTGAAAATTATTTTTCCTCTTTGGGAATAATAATGTATTTTGAGGTTTCCATACAAGACTAAACACCCATGAAGCTAGAAAATGTATTCAAATGTAACAATCACATTTTTGTTTCACTGGATTTCTAAAAATCCAAAGAAAACACAAAGTTACCTAGAGTAAAGAAACAAGAAAAGTAGTAAGGAGAAAGACAGTTGAGAAAATAAACAGAACAAAGACACCCAGGGGGAACATTCAGTCTACCCAATTTTTGGCCTTACCTGAATTTGAAATATCCGAGGAGACAACTCTATATACAGGAGAAATAGGTATCCAAGCATTCCTGACTCTTAAGGTTACACTGACCTCTTTTAAATGATCCACATACCACACTCATTCTTCTGTAACTGAAATTGTCTGACTACACAGCAGCCTTCCTATGAACAATGACCTCCCCAAGGCTATTTCTCTTTTTCTTTGTAAGTGAGGACATACAACAAGAGAATATTGAGTACCTAAATATGCCATGCCCTGTTTTAAATAGTTTTTTTTTGTATTAACTTATTTATTCTTAACAATTCATTAAGGTGTTACATTCCATTCACCATTTGACCAATGAAGGGACTGTGGCACAATGAGTTTACAATGCTTCCTCCAAAGTCTCTGTGCTAGTAAATGGCAGCACTGAGATCTGAGCACACACTGTTTAGCTCTAGAGCCCACATGCTTGAACATTTACTCTGTTAGTCTCAATACAGAAGGCACCATGACAATAGCTACAGTTTATTCAGGTTCTTTATGCCAGGCACCATTGGTTAACAAAAGTTATCCTGGATCCTTCAAATAAAATGACACCTTTAAGGTAGGTATAATTATCCCCATTTTCAGAAAAGAAATCAGTGGCTCAGAGAGCTTAATCCGTTTGACATGGGTCATATAACTAGTGAAAAACATAGCCAAACACCAGTCAGATGTGTCTAAATATAAAAGCTATGCTCTTTTGAAAACATCAAGAAAAATCAGATCCTAGTTTTAGCTTAATCCCTGACAGGATGAACACGAGCATTACTTAATCTCACCAGCTTCAGCCCAACTCAACTGTACAATAAAATAAATTCTCAGTGATTCTTGAATTTTTATAGTTTTTGGCTTTACCTGGGGTATTTGTTATTAATGCAGATTCTTCAGCAGGTCCTAAATTGCTTGATCAAGTAGATCTGGGGGTGGCTGTCCAATCATTTCTGGTTGAAACAATAATCCCTAGAGATGCTTATTCTGCTTTACTCTGTTATAACTTTTACTAAAACTCAGCAATCCTAGGGTAACCATATGGCACCTTGACACTTAGAGATTTAAATATAATTGACTTAGAATCAAACCAATTGTGATAGCAGCAAGAGGCAGATAAATCCTAGGCAGACAGGGGTGGCTCCCCAGTGAAACCCCACCTTCAAGCCAAAGACAGTTTAAAGCATGAAAGCCAAGCAACAAGTCAAATCCATGGACCAGATTGAGAACCTCTCTTCCCATGTGGTGTGCTTTCCTCTGATCTCCACCCTTCACCTGTTTCACATATACCTATTCTTCCCTAATTGTTTTTTTTACATTGTTGTGCCCACCTTTGAGTGGTGCCTTTATTTTAGTCTTTTTTGCATACTCACAAACCAGTAAGCACACACTCCCCCATGCTGAGCCCATAAAAATCCCAGACCCCGTCACATGGGGAGGGAGACCACATGACTTCAGGTAGGGACCACCCTTGTGTCCCCTTTCTGCTGAGAGCTGTCCTGTTGCTCAATAAAATTATCCATCCTCCTCACCTTTTGAGAGACAGTATGACCTAATTCTTCTTGGATGCAGAACAAGAACTTGGGAACTGTCGAATGGGGGTACAAGCTGTGACACAGTCAGGCTGAGGCATGCTGGCCCAGGCATGGGCTGAGCACAGCTCCTGCAGTGAGTGTGGGATCCAGGCTAGTGCTCAAGCCAGGAGTGGCTTGATGGTCCAAGTGGACAGGTTGCCTCCTGTGGCAGGCCCTGGGCCTGGGTGGGGAGGTAACCAGCTGCAGAGGTCCCCAGCTGGCAAAATGACTGAGAAAAATCCTGCATCAATTGCATGACCTATGGGAGTCAGATAGCTCTTCTGACTTCTACAGATCAAGGAACTGGTCTTGGGTACAATCTTCATATTTTTCTGTCTCCAGAGCATTTATGTTTTCATGATCCAGGTCCTTTGTCCACATATGTTGTTTCTGATTTTTTTCATGAGATAAGAAAGGGTCATATGTGGAATTGAAAGTCCTGGTATGGGCTCTATTTCTCTTAGTTATTTCTGCGTTGCCGCTTGCAGCTAAAATAACCCATTCTTAGACCTCTAATATTCTATCTCATAAACCAGCATTATTTATTATCTAAAATTATTCTGTTTGTTCTTCATAAATACTATCTTTCTTCTCCCACTAGAAAGTAAGTTTTACAAAGCAGGCACTCTGACCAGAATAGGTGCTTAATGAATATTTGCTTAATTAATGAATAACATCTATAAAATTTCACTGTATTTTGCAACATTTTAAGATGGAAAAATTTAAAGGAGACAATTTGATAACAAATGCATAATACATATCACTTCTGTAAGCAGAAAATTCATAAACCATTCCCGTAAATTGATTTAATGTATATCCTTATGGCTAACACCTTGTCTAGATTCTATTTAAATGACATCAGAATGACTGTCACAGCAGATCTCTCTCTCTCTGGAGTCATTTATTCATAATTCATTCTGTATACTTTCATCATATTATAATTTTTCTTAAATATCATTTCATCAACACATTTCTAATGATCAAAATATTTGAATTGTTCTCTTTTTTCTCCTATGTTAGGTGTAAACTTTTCTCTCTTGTTCTGAGTTATTATTCATCTAGTTAGAGACTTTTTCTCTGCCTTTATAATTCCTTTGTCCCAAGACCATATTTGCACTTCAATCAATAGTGTCTCCTCACTATCGTGAGAACAAGTCCATGTTTATTCTTATGGTCAAGTCTATGGTTTATTCTTGGCCTTTCCTGTTTGTACCTTTGCTTTTCCACATTCTTCTTGTTCTTCAGAGTCTGGCTCCAGTCTCATTTCTTCAAAGACAATTTCACTGTCTCTTATTAAACTGTACATTGTTTCATGTTATTCTTCTCTTCTGACCTAGATATCACCTTGAAGATACAGCTTATATGTACATCATAATAGTGTTTTTCAATCTGCTGATCATGGGTCTCAATCAACATTATTTAACGAAATAACATAAAATAAATAAAATAAAATAGAATAGTAGAAAGCAAAGACTGCCTCAGAGTGCCTCACAAATATAAACGGAAGTTTTGTTCCTTGAAACTTGTTTCTGTTGAAAGTGTGCATGAATGCTGGTTCACAATATATGACAGATTTCTCAGCTGTAAATCTTAATTTAAAAAGTTCAAAATCTACTGTTCTATAGAACTAAACACAGACTTGTTCACATAATAGAAACTCATTAAATATCTGTCTTTTGATTGGTTGAAATGACTCTTAATTAACATGTACAACTAATGGTAGAAAATTAGGTCCTGTGTTAGACAAAATAATTATATTGCTGCTGAAGCAGTGTACTAAAAGATCATTTCCCTAATTATTTAAAACTACCAAGGAGGAAGTAAGCTTACAAACATAATATGACTCATTTGGTATCACTCAAATTTTCCATTATTCTGGCTTTCAAATCTAATGTCCTCTCTAATGAAAAACCAACTCTGGTTTTTGTATTTGACAAAAAAGGAAGTCTAATGAGGCTATGTGGGTTTTTTTCAAATTTATTTATTTTACATTGACAGATAAAATTGTATCTGTTGTGTACAACATGAGGTTTTGAAGTATATATACTTTGTGGAATGCTTAAATTGAGCTAATTAAAACATGAATTATCTCACATAGCTATCATTCTGTGGTGAGAACATTTAACATCCACTGTCTTAGCATTTTTCAAGAATGCAATATATCATCATTAATTATAGTCACCATGCTGTACATTTTCTTAAGCACTAAGTAAGAAAAGGATTTAAGGTTGACCTAATATGGTTTAGTTTAATGAGTTTTGGACTCAGGGCTTTATTTCACTGTACCATAAACACTCAAATTCTAAAATTCATACTTCTTTCCATGAGATTTATATTATCTAGAAAAACGAATAAAATGTGTGAGCTTTTAGAGTAGCTATAAAAAGTGCCTCATTTCAGAAAACAAGCCACTATTGAAGGCAGAATTAAATGTGATCAGCTTCTAGTGAAATCAGTATCATGCATGTGTTATTGGCTTATATTTCAGCAGAGACCTTTGAATAAAACAAAAAAGATGGCAAGAGGATAAAGATAGGTCTTCATTAATGAACCTTTAATGATATATGGAAAACTATAAAGCAGTATGAATCAATAACAAACTGCTCTGAAGAACCAATAGTGAATTAATTATAATCATTGCAAAATCACACATTTTCACACAATATCTTTTCTAGCAATTTTTAAATGATGGCATTTAGTGATAATTTCCTTTCCTAATGTCAAATATTAAAAACAGACAAATTTTAAAAACCAGAGGAAAACAGAAGATCTTTTTTCTTTATATATTGAGAAGGAAAGTAAGGCAATCTAGAGCAAATAAAAATATTGCAAAGACAGCACAGATGATTTTTTTACGAGTGGTAATAAAACGTGAAATAGTAAGAGTATTGAAGTCTACCATCCCATGACAGGAGAGGAAGTGAGACTAAACAGGCATCTTGAGGGCATCCAGGACCAGTCTGAGGTTTTAGAGTACTAGGCATGACCAAACATGGGGAAAAAGAAATGTACACAAATCACAGACCATATTTCACTTGGGAATCCAAGAGTCACAAAACCTTTGCATTTTAAAGCTGGAAGGGACTTAGATCAACACTCTCATTTCACAGAAGAGGAAATCGAATCATGTTCTGCTAAGTTATATAGTATGTATTCCATGTTTGTCAAAATTGCAAGCAGATTTTTAGAAGCAGGCTTACACGCTAGATAAAATATATATTGGTCTTCTTCTTTCACATCTCTTTCCGCCACTTACTCTGTAAACTCTGTTTCTTCTTCCCCTGTCCTTCTATTATTATTTATTTTATTTTATTCTATTATTCTATTCATCAATATATACTTTATGTCTTCAATTTTTTAAGCATATTACTGGGCATTGAAAATATGTGATCCCTACTTAATGAAGTTTATGATCTAATAAGTGAGAAAGGTGATAAAAAACAACAACAATGTAGAAATTTAAGTTAAATAAAGGGGAGTTAATGTGTGATAATATATTCCCCATTAAAGTGACAACTCATCCATTCTCTAGATATATGATGAAGAATGTGATATCTAAACTGAATCATAAATCATTAGTAAGAGTTCGCCAGGTTTTTATAAAGAATACACAATGGGTTAAGCGTTTTGTTTATATGCAATGTATTGCAGAGGTGGGAAGAAGGGAGAATAATGTGTAGGTAGTGATTTTACAACAATGGTGTACATAAAGTCTATCATATTAAATAGACTTTTTTTCTATTGAAATTTACCCCCAAGTGATCCCATCCCACATTATGAATTAAACATCATTTATTTGCTGAACCCCAATATATACCTCTACCCTGTACCTCTTTATTGAACTTCAGATTTCTGTATATCCAACTGCCTACTCAACATTTAGAAGTCTAACAGGCATCTCAAGTAGAATGGATCCAAATGATCTGTGATTCCCTTCCAAACCTTTACTTCCTGCAAAGGTCCACATATCTAGTTGCTCGGATAAATACCTTAGATTCACCCTAGGCTCCTTTCTCCCTTAAACAAAACCTTTTTTTTTTTAAATTATTATACTTTAAGTTCTAGGGCACATGTGCACAACGTGCAGATTTGTTACCTATGTATACATGTGCCATGTTGGTGTGTTGCACCCATTAACTAGTCATTTACATTAGGTATATCTCCTAATGCTATCCCTCCCCGCCTCCCCACCCCATGACAGGCCCCAGTGTGTGATGTTCCCCTTCCTGTGTCCAAGTGTTCTCATTGTTCAATTCCCACCTATGAGTGAGAACATGTGGTGTTTGGTTTTTTGTCCTTGTGATAGTTTGCTGAGAATGATGGTTTCCAGCTTCATCCATGTCCCTACAAAGGACATGAACCATCCTTTTTTATGACTGCATAGTATTCCATGGTGTATATGTGCCACATTTTCTTAATCCAGTCTACCATTGATGGACATTTGGGTTGGTTCCAAGTCTTTGCTATTGTGAATAGTGCTGCAATAAACATACATGTGCATGTGTCTTTATAGCAACATGATTTATAATCCTTTGGGTATATACCCAGTAATGGGATGGCTGGGTCAAATGGTATTTCTAGTTCTAGATCCTTAAGGAATTGCCACACTGTCTTCCAAAATGGTTGAACTAGTTTACAGTCCCACCAACAGTGTAAAATTATTTAGTGTTCCTATTTCTCCACATCCTGTCCAGCACCTGTTGTTTCCTGACTTTTTAGTGATTGCCATTCTAACTGTTGTGAGATGTTATCTCATTGTGGTTTTGATTTGCATTTCTCTGATGGCCAGTGATGATGAGCATTTTTTCATGTTTCAGCCATATGTAGAAAGCTGAAACTTTACACCTTATACAAAAATTAATTCAAGATGGATTAAAAACTTAAATGTTAGACGTAAAACCATAAAAACCCTAGAAGAAAACCTAGGCAATACCATTCAGGACATAGGCATGGGCAAGGACTTCGTGTCTAAAACACCAAAAGCAATGGCAACAAAAGCCAAAATTGACAAATGGGATCTAATTAAACTCAAGAGCTTCTGCACAGCAAAATAAACTACCATCAGAGTGAACAGGCAACCTACAGAATGGGAGAAAATTTTTGCAATCTACTCATCTGACAAAGGGCTAATATCCAGAATCTACAAAAGACTCAAACAAATTTACAAGAAAAAAACAAATAACCCTATCAAAAAGTGGGCAAAGGATATGAACAGACACTTCTCAAAAGAAGACATTTATGCAGCCAACAAACAAAATCTTTTTTGCTCTACCTTCTCAAAGAATATCACTTGGTTTTCACCATCTGAGCTGCAACCACTATAATCTATGCCACCTGGATACTTTAATAGCTTTGTGATAGTTTTCCCTACATTTACTCTTTCCCCACTCATCATAGCAGCCAGATGGATCCAATTTAAAACCTATATTTATGTTATGACTTTGTTCAAAATGCTTGAAAGCCTTCTCATCTCATGTAGAGTAATAGCCACAGTCCTTATGATAACCACATGGCCCTCCATGAACTGTTCATTTCCTATTTCTCTGCTCTTACTTCCATCTCCTTAACCCTGGATAGCTTGGCTTTAGCCATGCAAGTCTCCCTGTTCCTCAAACACACAAGGCACACCCATGCCACGGGATCTTAGCACTTGTCATTCCTTACTGGAAATACTCCGGCTCAGATATCCACAAGGCTCACTCTCTTCCTTTAAGTCTTAAATCAAATGTCACCTTCTTAATGAGAATTTCACTTGCCATCTTTCTAAAATATATTTTTTATGTATATCTTGTTTTTGCCTTTTTTGTTTTGGGGGTTTTGTAGTTGTTGTTACCATGCGGTACAATGCAAGATATATAGGGGTAATGTCCCTTACCACTGACAATCAGTTCTTAACCATAGGTGCAAACCAGCTCCAGCACATCATTCCTCACAGACACTTGGATGAGAATGGAAGAAAATTGCTTCCACTCGGAAGCACTTTTTCATCATTGGAAATTTCTTTATCGAAAGTGGCTTAGAATAAAAAAGATTTTTCTTCCCTTTCTAAATGCTATTACTCTTGGGAAGAGTAACACATCAATTTACATGAAACATTAATACATTAGCATAAAATCATTAACTGTATATTTTGCTTCCACGGCAACTCCTTAAATTTTTTCACTAAAATATAGGGATTCGCACGTGGGAAAAAGAAAAAATAGTGAAAAACGTGGCAATATCTGTGTGAAGGAGTTTGGACCACTACTAAGGAAGCTAGGAGACATAGTAATAGATAAAGATTCTGGTTAACATGCTATGTGTGGACACTTTAACTATGTAATTCAAAAACATCTGTTAGGGTAGGACAGAAAGAAACTGAACTGATGAAGAAATGCTTGTTTAATTCTGAGTGAAAGACCAGATTAATTAATTTTGGAAAAATTCAACCCATGAATGTAATGTTGAACACTTCTATCCATAAACTGAGACTCAGACTTACTCGGCAGGTTTTATACTGAAAACATATTAAGATGTTAATTAAACAATGTTTTTAAAACACTTAACACTTAGCTTCATGTATGGCAAACAGTGGCTACTTTAACTGGGGCCAGCTTTAAGTGGAGCCAGCTATTAGGATACACTGAGGATTCAGCTACTAACTATTGGTTTATATTGATACATTTCACTGCTCCCATGGAGACACCATATTATTTACGTCTTATATTTAAAACATAAATAGTTGGCAATACCAAAGGTATACATTATAGAGGCTTCACAGTGTAGCAATTTTGTATTCCATGCTTGTGAAGGAATCTCCTTCCACAAAATCATTAAACATTGTTTAGTTTAGTTTTGTTAATATATTATGCAAACTTAGGAATGTGGTCTCAGCTGCAGGGTCAGTTCTGTTTTAAAACGATTTCCTAAAAATAGATGCTAGAAGAGGTCAAAATGTGATAGATACAAATAAATTATTTCATTTCCATTTAGTAAATACATCACTCTGAATCCTAACTGACCTACAAGAGAGATGGGCAAAGATATAATATCACAGATGACAGTTATAGTTCCAAAAAAATTATAAAATGGGAATATAGATGTCTATTTCTTGATTTTTTTTTATGTCTAGCAATTAGCCATAGCTAGTGAATAAAAATAAAGCTCTTAGACTTCTCTGGACCTCCACTCTGTTATGTAAAATACCATTCTGAATTTCACATTTTATGTAAAGTTTTAGCAAAATAAAACAAGAAATCATTAATATTTAATGTAAAGAAGTCAGAAATAACTGAGAGGAAGCAAAAAGTGAAAAGGCAAGCGATGCGAGAGATTGATCCAGATGAGTGAGCAATTATTAAGGAGTCTTGCTTGAGTAAGACAGAGTCAGCATTGTAGAGGGCATCAGGACTGATTAAGAACAGCTGTTGAAGGGAGGAGCTGAGAACTGCATAAGCACCCTATGTGAATTCAACATAATTGACTCAGATTATCCCAGTAGTCTCAGCTACTTTCTAGCTCCACAAAGCACTTTTAGATTAGAATGAACTCTTTCTGTTATCAATTTTTTTCAATGTCCTGCAGAATCATCTTGCAGTGGCTCAAAGATAAGACTTTGCCAGAAAATGTTCATATTCATTATGATATACTACAGCATATATTAGTACAACTCAAAACAATTTCAAAACCAAATGAAAAAACATGTTCTCCTGTTTCCTCAAGAAAATGGCAGCAATTTAAAAGTGTAAAAATTTCTTTATCACATTTAGTTTTTGTAATATATTTTGTTTCTAAGAACTGTAAATCATTTTACCATGTGAATTTCACAGTCCTCCCGCCAACATCAAGTAAGTAACATTTTATTATTATCATTAACTGGTACTCTTCTTAAGGCATCACTAAGATCTGGAAAAATCTGAATTTGACTTGTAAAGGTAATGTGGCTTAGCACCTCAGCAAGGCATAAATACACACTTGCACTTCAAAAGAGAAATGAACAGTGTGAAAGCCCAAAGGAAATTTCTAAAGGACTTCTGCCAGTTAGAATAAGTGAGCAAAAAAAAATTAGAAATTTAGTAATACTTGAAAGAAAATCTGAAGCAAACTTATATTTACAAGGATATATTTTTTTTAAAAAAGCATGCACACAAAGACTGCCTTAAGCATGGAAACATTTATTTACAACAGAATAATGAGTTCAACCACTTGAAAAAAATGGTTGATATAAAAATTTTAAAAGTGCTTTAGATAAATTTAAAAAGATAATGGACTCATACAACATTTATTTAATGTTAAGATACATCTTTTACATAAAGAATTTTGTACTAGCTTTAATATTTTAAAACATTATAGAACAAGATAATAAAAAATGCTGCATAACATGGGCAAAAACCAGATATTACTGGGTTCCTAATGAACGAATTACTCTAGTTGAAATATGTTCCGTTATATTTCACTAAGAATTTCATGTTCATATCATAGGAGTTAGAGCTTTGAATTGTGAAACATCCCTATATTTACTCATGTTCTGCAGGCATATTTCAGCACCATGTACAATATTTGAGTACTTCGGCTCTTACGATTTTCTTTTTTTTTTAGTTGACAATTTAAATTGTCAAATTAAAATTTTTTAATAAAAATTTAAAAATAAATGTAAATGTATTTGTAATTAATACATTGCAATAATACATATTTATAGGGTACAATTTGATGTCTCAATACATATACGTGTTGTATAATGATCCAATCAGTGTAATTAATGTAGCTATCACCTTATGTGTTTATCATTCCTCTCCCAGCTATTTTGTAGTATACGATACTTTACTGTTGACTATAGTCACCTTGCTGTGTAATAGAACACCAGAAATTATTCCTCCTATCTACTGGTAATGTTATATCCATTGGCTAATGTCTCCCCATCCTCCTTTTCCCTTTCACCTCCCCAGTCTCTGATAACCACTGTTCTACTATTTACTTCTAGGATATCAAGAGTTTTTCTTTTTTTTTTTTTTATTCCACATATGAGTGAAATTATGTGGCGTTTGTCTTTCTATGCATGGCTTATTTCACTTATAATATCCCCCAGGTCCATCCATGTTACCACAAATAACAGGATTTTATTCTTTTTTATGGCTGAATAGTATTTCATTCTGTATATATACCACATTTTCTTCATTCATCTATTGTTGGACACTTACATTCCATATCTTGGCTATTATATATAGTGCTGCCATAAACATGGGAGTGTAGATATCTCTTCAACTTACTGATTTCATTTCCTTTGGATGTATGCCCAGTAGTGAAACTGCTGAATTTTATGGTGTTTTTAATTTTGGGGGGACCCTCCATGAAATTTTTCATAATGGCTGTACTAGTTTACAACAGTGTGTAAGTGTTCCCTTATCTCCACATCCTCACTAGTTATATTTGTTTTTGTTTTTGTTGTTTGAGACAAGGTCTCACACTGTTGCCCAGACTGGAGTGTAGTGGAGCCTTCATAGCTCATTGCAGCCTCAAACTCCTGGGCTCAAGTGATTCTCCTGCCTCAGCTTCCCAAAGTGGTGGGATTACAGGCATGAGCCATTGTAGTAGGCCTCCAACATATGTTTACTTTTGTCTTTTTGATAATGGTCATTCTAACTAGAGTGAGGTGGTATCTCATTATGGTTTTGATTTTCGTCTCCCTGATTATTAGTGATGCTGAGCATTTTTCATATTCTTCTTAAATATTTGTATGAATTCTACTGATAAATGTTTATTAAAATATTTTGCTCATTTTTAAATTGGGTTATTTGTTCTTTCTCTAATTAATTCTTTCTATAGTCTGTATATTAATCCCTTGTTAGATATGCAGTTTTCAAATATTTTCTCTCATTCTGTAGGTTGTTTCTTCACTCTGTTAATAGTTTCCTTTGCTGTGCAAAAGCTTTTTAATTCAATGTAATACCATTTGTTAAATTTGCTTTTGTTTTCTGTGTTTTGAGGTCTTATTTTTAAACCCCATTCCCAGCCCAATGCCATGAGGTGTTTCCCCTATGTTCTCTACTAGTAGTTTCATAGTTTCAGGTTTTAGATTTGACTATTTAATCCCTTTTGAGTTGATTTTCATATATGCTGAGAGGTAGGGTTCTAATTTTTTATCCTTCTGCAAGTAGATATCTAATTTTCCCAGCATAATTTATTAAGGAGACTTATCATTTCCCCAATGTGTATTCTTGGCACCTTTGACCAAAATCAGTTTGCTATAAGTATGTGAATTCTTTTCTTAGTTCTCTATTCTGTTCCACTGGTCTCTATGTCTGTTTTTATGCCAGTGCCATGTTGTTTTAGTTGCTGTAACTTTGCAGTACATTTTGAAGTCAGGTAGTGTGATGTCTTCAGCTGTGTTCCTTTTTCTCAGTATTGCTTTGACTCTTCAGGGTATTTCATGGTTCCATATGAATGTTAGGACTTTTTTTTTTGCTTCTGAATAGATCATTAGTATTTTAATAGGGAGTTGTATTCAACCTGTAAATTAGCTTGGGTATTATGGTCATTTTAACAATATTAATTTCTCCAATCCATGAGCAAGAGATATATTTCTATTTAGTTTTGTTCTCTTCAATTTATTTTATCAGTGTTTTGTAGTTTTCATTATAGGGATCTTTCTTCTCCTTGTTTAAGTTTAATGCTAAGTGAGGTATTTTTTGTAGCTATTGTAAATGGAATTATTTTCTTGATTTCTTTTTTAGGTAGTGCACTATTAGCATATAGACACATTACTGATTTTTGTATGTTCATTTTTGTAGGGTGAAACTTTACTGAATTTGTTTACTAGTTCTAATAGCTTTCTAAGGGAGTCTTCAGGGTTTTCTATATATACTATCATGTTGTCTGTAAACATGTTGTCTGCAAAATTTGACTTTCTCCTTTCCAATTTTAGTGCCTTCATTTTTTTTTTAATCTTGCGTAATTGCTCCAGTACTATGTGAAATAGAAGTGGTGACAGTGGGCATCTTTGTCTTGTTCCTGATCTTAGAAGAAGTGTTGTCAACTTTTCCTGTTCAGTATGATGCCAGCTGTGGGTTGTCATATATAGTCTTTACTGTGTTGAGGCACATATCTTCTCTACCTAATTTGTTGACAGCTTTTATCCTAAAGGCATGTTGAATTTTGTCAAATGCTTTTTGTGCTTGTATTGAAATAATTGGATGGATTTTGTCTTCTCTCTGTTGATGTGGTATATTGCATTAATTGGTTTGCATATGTTTAATCATCCTTGAATCCCTGGGATGAATCCCACTTGATATATTGAATAATCTTTTTAATGTGCTGTTGGATTCAATTTGCTCAAATCATGTGCAGTATTTTTATATTTGTTTTCATTGGTGATATTGGCCTGAAATTTTCTTTTTCTGTCATCTCCTTGTTCAGTTTTGGAATCAGGGTTATATTGATCCTGTAAAATATTCTCCACTTTAAAATTTCTGCAATAGTTTGAGGAAGATTGGAATTAGTTTTCTCTTAACTGTTTGGTGGAATTCAGCAATTAAGCCATCGGGCCCTAAACTTTTTTTCAATGGAAAACTTTATATTACTGATTCAATTTTTTACTAGTTATTGGTCCATTCAGATTTTCTGTTTCTCCATAATTTAATGTTGGTAGGTTGCATGTGTTCAGGAATATCTTCTGTGTTATCAAATTTAGTAGCATAAAAATTTTTGTACTTGTGCCGTATCAGTTGTAATATCTCCTTTATAATTTCTGATTTTACTTGAGTCTTACTTAGTCTAGCTAAATGTTCATCAATTCTGTTAATCTTTTCAAAAAAATTTTTGTTTCACTGATATTTTTGAACTTTTAATCTGTTGTGTTTATTTCTACTCTGAACTTTATTATTGTCTTATTTTACCAATTTTGTGTTTAGTTTAGTTTAGTTTGTTTACCTACTTTCTTGAGGTGCATTGTTAGGTTGTTAGTTGGAAATTTTTCTTATGTTTTGATGTAGTTGTGTATTGTTATAAACCTCCCTCTTAGAACTGATTTTGCTGTGTCCCATAGGTTTTGTTATCATGTGTTTCTATTCTCATTTGACTCAAGAAATTTTTTAATTTCCATTTTAATTTTTAATTTCCAATTTAATTTTTAAATTTCCATTGACCCACTGTTTGTTTAGGAGGATGTTGTTTAATTTCCATGTGTTTGTAAAATTTCTGAAGTTTTTCTTGTTGTTGATTTAGTTTATACCACTGTGGCCAGAAAAAAAAATTACTTAATATGATGTCTATCCTCTTAAATTTGTTAAGTGTTATTTTGTGCCCTAAGATATGATCTCCTGGGGAATGTTCCGCGTGAAGTTTAAAAGAATATTTAAGTCTACAGGAATTGGATAATACATTCTTTAAATATCTTTTAGGTTCATTTGGCCTATGGTACAGTTTAAGTTCAACCTTTCTTTGTTGATTTTTTATCTAGATGACCTGCTTATTATTGAAAGTGGAGTATTAAAGTTCCCTACTATTATTGCATTGTAGTCTGTCTCTCTCTTTAAATCTAATAATATTTGCTTTGTATATCTAGGTGCTGTAGTGTTGAGTTCATGTATATTTATAATCATATCTTCTGGTTAAATCATTTTTTTATTATTATATAACGACCTTCTTTGTCTATTTTTAGAGTTTTTCACTTAAAGTCAATTTTATCTGGTTTAAGTACTCCTACTCAGTTTTTGTTTCCATTTGTATGGAATACTCTTTTTCCGTCCTTTCAATCTTTTGCTCTTTATCAGTGAAGTGTGTCTCATATAGGCAGCATATAGTTGGGTCTTTTTTTAAAAAAAAAAATCTATTCATCCACTCCACTTTTAATCAAAGAATTCACATTCAAGTTTATAATCAATAGGTAAGAGCTTACTCCTACCATTTTGTTAAGTGTTAATCCTCTTTTTTTTAGCTCTGTAGTTTGGTAGTTTTCTATGGCGCTAAGCTTTGTCTCCTTTCTCTTTCTCATTCGTGCATCTGCTATGATTTTTTTCTTTGTGGTTAACATGGGGAAATATAAACAGCCTTGTCATTATAATAGACTATTTTAAGGTGATAGAAACTTAATTCTGGTTGCATAAAATTACTCTAGACAGTTTTCCTCTGGGGTAAAATTTATAATTTTGTTTCCTTATTTTACTTCTTTATTTATTGTGTATTCCTTAGCCACCAACTGTAGCTGCTGTTGGTTTTGACCATTTGGCCTTTAAATCTTTACAGCAGAGGACTGAAGGACTTACATAGCACCGTCATATTACTGAGGAACACTGAGTTTGAATTCTGAACTTACCTCTACTGGTTAGTTGTATAGGTTTGTGTGTTTTCATGACAATAATGATTGTTCTTCCATTTTCAGTTTTAGCATTTCCTTAATAATTTTTTATAAGGCTAGAATGGTGGTGATGAATTTCCTTAGTTTTTGCTTGTCAGGAAAGATCTTTATTTCTCCTTTATTTCAGAATGATAGCTTTGCTAGATGAAGCATTCTTTGCTGGTAGGCTTTTCTTCTTTCAGCACCTTGAATATATTATCCTATTCTCTCCTGGCCTGCATGATTTCTGCTGATAAATCTGTTGATACTCTAATGGGAATACCTTATATGTGACTTAACTTTTCCCCTGAGGCTTTTAAATTTCTCTTTGCCTTTGATTTTTGACCATTTGATTATAATATTCCTTGAAGATGACCTTTTTAGGGGTTGAATTTAATTTGAAACATTTTAGCTTTCTGCATCTGGATTTCATCTCTCTCTCAATACTTCAGAAGTTTTCTATTATTTTTAATTAAATAGGTTTTCTGTATCTTTTTCCATCTCTTGTGTCTGTGAAAACTTATCATGTAAATATTTGTTTGCTTAATGGTGTCCTCTAAATCCCATAGGCTCTAATTATTCTTGTTTTATTTTTATATATTTTTTCTCTGATTCAGTTATTTCAAAAGACCTGTCTTCAAGTTCATAAACTGATTCTTCTGCTTGATTTAGTCTATTTTTGAAGCTCTCAACTGTATTTTTTTATTTATTGAACTCTTCAGTTCCAAGATTTCTATTGGTTCTTATTTATATCTATTTCTTTGTTGGATTTCTCATTCAGATTATTAATTATTTTTCTGATTTCATTTAATTGTTTGTTTGTGTTCTTTTGTACCTCACTGAGTTTCCTTAAGGTTAAGTATTTTGAATTTCTTGTCATGCATTTCTGATATGTTCTTTTTGGGGGAAGGTCTGGTATTGGAAACTTATTTCATTCTTTCTTTGGGGATGTCATCTTTCCTTGCTTTTTCATATTTCTTGATTCCCTACTTTGATAGCTGAACATCTAGTAGAATAGTCACTTTTTACAATTTTTTTAAGTAGCTTCCATACGTAGAGATTTCCCTCTAGGTGGTTCCTGAGGTGTCAGTTGAATATAGTATATTGGCTTTGATTCCAAGTGGACTCATAGTTTGGTCTCCACGCAGTTTCTTTACCTTAATCCACCTCAGCAACCTCTGCAATTCTCAGTGGCCACGGCTGTGGGCATTTTTAACAGCTGTGGTGCAGTTTTCCTGGGCAGAGGGACACTGAGTTGATTATTGAGCCAGACATGGTCAAGCACAAAGTGCTGACAGGTTTTCTGGTGGCTTCTCCAGGGAGGTGGAAGCCATCACTGGACTGGCCATTGAGCCAGGTGTGAGCCTACAGGGCATGGCAGGATTGGGGAGTTCTATGGCAATCTCCCTAGGGCGGAAGGGCCACCACCAGACCTGCTGTTGTGCCAGGAACAGGTACATGTGGGCTCAGCTAACTGGCTGGCCATTTGGTGGCCTCTCTGCTGTGCAGGTCTGCCTGTTCCCTGAAGGAGAGGGCAGGGGTACAGTGCATACGTGATTTCAGATCCCAGTATCTCATCTGTTCTCTCTGGCCAAGTCTCTGGGCAGCCAGGGTCATGTTTGAACTGTTTGTGTTTGAACAGGGTCATGTTTACCTGTTTGAAAAAGGTAAAATGATGGTGGGGCCTCAGGGATGGAGAAAGTTACCACTGGCCCCCAGGGAAGAATACACAGTAGCCATGGGTCAGGTTTGAAGATGGTGCTGTGCCACAGTGGCTTGGGTCGCAGAGGTGAGAGAGGCTCAATGTGGGCTCCTACTCTGAGGCAGTGCAGGTGCATGAACTTATGGCTACTCTCAAACTGGATTTGGGGACTGAGGACTGAGGACTGGCAGCAAAGATTGCTGCCATTTGTGCCAGTAATAGAGGAACACGTAAGCATCTCCAGCCTACCTATTTCCTGTAGGAAGCTCCCCCTGACTCAGCCCATCTTACGGTGGGGAAACAGTGTGGCAGAGGTAGGATGCCTCTTTCCCTTCTTTATAGTGCTATCCTTAGCTTGTGTGCTTCACAGGGATTTTTTCACTAAGTTGGTACTCCCCAGGGTTCTTCCTCAGTCACTTCAGTTAAAATACTATTGTATATTCATTGCTTTGGTCTCCTTTTTTTAGAGGGGACAAGGGGAATGAATGCCAGACAACTCTAGTTAGGCATCTTGCTGATATGTTCCTTATTCTTCTTGGCACCTCTAGAAACCAGTATTGTTGGATTCTAATTAAAAGTACTTAACTTATGGCAAACTAAGGGCATTTTAGAAAATACATTATTAAACTTTACTATGCATACAAAACACCTAAATGTCTTGTTAAAATGTAAATTCTGATTTAGTGGGCCAGTGGTGAGGCTTAAGATTCTGCATTTTGAAGCTGCCCTCCAGTATATAATGCTGATGTTGATCCACTGGCCACACTGTGCATAGCAAAGTTTTTATTTTAGTTTCTATTGATCTTTTCTTGTCATTAAAAATGTTCAGTTAAGTATAAGAAATTGCATATTGCCTTGCTTTAAGACAGTCCTCTGATACCTGCATCTGAAGGAGAGTTAACATGTGTAGAGGAGTGTTGACCAAAACAGTTTGCTTTTCTCTAATTCCACCTTTAGATACTTTCACTCTATTTTACCTTGAAGCTAGAAAACTCCTTAAAAAGAATGAACCCATTCTGTTAAGCGATGTTAATGAAGTTAACCAAGAAGCTTCCACATTACAGACTATTAGCTTGGTCATTTGTTGTCAATCTCTATCACCTTTTCAAAACACTAGGACAAACAGAATTTGGTTCCAAACTTCTCTGATAATCATTGCAAAATGTAACACTTAAATGGAAATTTTAGTATCAACATTCAGTTACATATTTACAAAATATTTTAAAGATGGATTTGCTACTTTTTTGGTTAAGATTGACACGTGCATTTTTAGACTTATATGTATACCTTGAGACCCTGAAAACTCATATTGAATTGCATTCATTTCTAGACTTATTCAAAACTCATAATACGTACAAACTTTTCTACTAATCAATTGTTTAGTATATTTTGTATTCTCTCCATGGTTACATAGAAAATATTGGTTCCTACGTATTATTCCCTGTTATAATGCTATCCTGTGTTTTTTTTGCTAATGGATAAGAAAATGTATCAATCACTGTAGGGCCCCTCCCAACCCGTCCAACTGATTGGATCAACAATACCATGAAAATGGCTGCATAGGCTAAAGAAAGCCTGAAAGTGTAATACATGTACCGAGACAAATATGGATTATGGGGTAGTGCACAAAGAAAAATTATATGAACTCACATACTGATTATAATTGCTAGCCTTTCAACAATTAAAACTTCATCTTTATATTTATATTTAGAAAAGCACAAAAATAGCAAAATCAAGTTTCCAAGCAAATTATAAGTCTTCTTTCTTCTCTGTCCTTCATTTATCTTTTCCATTGCCTTTGAAGCCCTAAGCAAAGCAACATCCTTCTCCACTGTGCTAAGATCTTTTAAACACAGTATAGAAGAATCCAATTGTTATAAAATGCAGAAACACACAATGCCAACTGTGATCTAGACTACGATCACTGCAAATTAAATGACCCCAGGAAACCAAAGGCACTGTCTATAGAATGTCAAAGTAATTTCTTATGAAGACATCATGTACACATTGCCAAGATATGCAGAATTACTTCAACTACTTGCTAAAATGAACAAATCTCTAACTTCAGATAACAGACCCGAGGAAGCAAAGGTGAATGCTCCAGCTGGAAGGACAATGGAGATATGCGGAAAAAATACAATAAGTATAGCATAAAAATGGAAAAGAAAATGTTAGGGGCATTCCCTAAGGTTAACTAAGAAAAATAAAAAAGTGTCTCTTAAAGCGACAAAATAAGAAAATTATACATACAAATAATATATAGCTATTTTGTACATATATGTTTATATTTTATGTTAATATTATGTTAAATATATAGAATAATACAAATCATGTAGAAACAGTTCAGTTTATGCTCAACTAAGGAAGCTCAATTCAAATAACAGAGGCATCAGCATTACAATACTGAAGAATTAAGTCAAATTTTTATACTATCCTTGTGAAAATAGATTCATTTCTACCATTAGCTAGTATCCATTTTTGATTTTGACATTTTCTGTACATTTTTACAATAGCTGGCCAAAATTTTAGAGAAAGTCAGACATTTTGGTTGTAGAAAAGCAACCAAAACTTAATATTTAGTATTCTAAATACTAAATATTAGCTTCATGTAACCTAAAAATTTTTTAGTAATATAGAAAGTAAAATTAGCCTTAGATCACCAAGGATCAATACAAAGCCTAGTATTTATATGAAGTATAAGATCATTTTAATGTTGAATTAACAATATTTTGTGCTGAGTGGAGTTGAATGGGGAGACTCTCTTTGTGCTGCATCTTCCTTAATTTTAATTGCCCAATTAGCTGGGTCTGCCGTGTTTCTGCTTAACAGGAGCAAGCTAAACCACTTGAGTTAGGTCTGGAAGTTTACTCATGTGCAACTAGAAAGCAAATACCCTGAATTCTTCATAAGCAATATCATAAGGGAAACAATATATAATAACTTAAAAATAATGAATAGAAAAGATTGATGTTAAGATTGCATTACTGCTTTACTCATTAAATATTTTGCATTTTTTTCAAAAAACATTGTAAGACTTCATTTCATCATAAGGCACTTTGATTAGAAAAAAACGTAACTCATGTTTTAAGAAGAAGCTTTGTGAAAAATACCACATTCTATGGAACATAGGGTCAACCAAAATGTGTTTAACTGTTTTACAAACATAGAGAAGTAGATATCTTAAAGTAAACAGGTAAATATGATTGCTTTGGGCAAAAAAAAAAATTAATTAATTAACTAAGCAAATAATATCCAAAGTATATGATTCTGACTTTTTAGATTTTCTTAGGTTATTATTATTCTTGGTTACTATTTTCATTGTTATTAGTATTCTTTTTCATGAAAGTTCTCATTATTAAAAAAGCATATAAACTAAAAAAATGTGATTTTTAAAGCAATTTTTAGATATTCAGACTCAGATTTTCATGTATTTTTGGTAACCCTAAAAACATTATAGCAAATACTAATTATTTAAATGCTGATAGCAAATATTTAAATGATACAGTTTCAGGTATTAAAGTAACATGCTTGTTTTGTGGTTAAAAATAAATCATTAATCCAATTTAAGGTGTTGAATGAAAATATCTTAATAAAACAATATTAAGACTCTTTAAAAATAACAATAATAAAATTCATAACCCATAGAGAATACAATAAAAACTTACTAGAAATTAAAATATCAGGAGTATGTTATCAAATATCAAGAAACAAAAAGTGAAAAAAAAAGTGGTCAATAGAAAAAGTCTTTAGATAACTTAGTAGTTGGAATTAGCAAACAATATCTATTATTAATTTGTTCAATTAGTTTTTTTTAAAGTCAATGATTAAACATACAGGAAATCTAAAAAATAAAAATTGAAAACTATTAAAAAGAAGAAAATAGAAGTTATCAAACTTAAAATTATACCATCCGAAATGAAATACTCATTAGATAGGCTTAATAGCAGATTGGAGATTACAGAAGAAAAATTCAGTAATATTGAAGACAAATCCATTTAAATTATCTAATCTGAAGAATAGAGACAAGAAAATCTAAAAAACTAAAATGGCCTAAGGGACAAAAAGTCTAACATATGCTTGATTTGGGAAGCACCAAAAGAGAGAGAAATAACATGGTAGAAAAAAACATAAGATGAAACAATGGTTTACAATTTTCCAAAAATTTGGTGAGAAAACAATCACTTGTCTCTTCCTGAAACTAAATCAGAATAAATACAAAGCAAACTGCATTAAGGCATATCATAGCAAAAATACTGAAAATCAAAAGCAAAGAAAGAACAATATATATAAGAAGAATATATAAGAAGAATATATTTCAGAAGAAATAACTATATATATAAAGGATAATTATATTAATTATGACAAACTTACCAGAAACAATAGAAGCCAAAAGATAAAAATACATATCTATGGTATTTAAACACTAAAAAAAAGAGTACTCAGAAATCTATGTGTTATGTAAACACACATCAAAAAGATTGTGTAATAGACATTTTTAGAGAACGAACAGAGGTATTTTATTGTCAGAAACCTGCACTACAAAAGATACTAATGTCCTTAGTCTAAGACAAATGACAACAGATCACATCTCAAGTCTATCAAAGGAAGAGACAAAACAAAAAAATAGAAATGTGGATAAATATTGAAGACTATTTTGTTTCATTCATAATTTTCTTAAATGATAAATATCTGTTTAGAACAAAAAATAGTATCATTATAAGGTGGTTATAACATATCTAGAAGGTTTCCACATTTGTGATGTGATATATAAAGACTGAAATAGGTAATGGTGCAATATTAAACCTGATAGACTGTGATAAGTTAAGAATGCATATTTTAATTCCCAGAGCAACTGTTAAAAAGTATTAAAATGAAATGTCGAAAAACTCTGTAACCAGGCTGCAATATGGCAGTGTTATTTATTATTGCCATGTATTTTTATACTAATTTTCAATCCTCGGGTTATACAATGTGTGCATTTAGATTATTTATATCGGTAATTAATTGATAGATAATCGGTGATAGAAAGATTAAATAGATAGAGGAATCCAGATATGGCATAGTGAGTAAGAGCTTGAACTCTAGAGCAGGACATTCCAGGTTCAAATTCATCACTACCATTTATTCCTTATGTGAGCTTGCAGAAGTTACCTGTACTCTCTTTTTCTTAGTTTCTTCATACATAAAATGGAGCCAGTAATGTACCTCCCTTATAAGTTTTATTATTAAAGATTATACAAATTAATTCATGTAAATTCTTATAACAGCACCTGGCACACAGTAAGCACCCAGTAAATATCAAGGTTTTTTGTTTGTTTGTTTGTTTATTTTAAGGGAAATTAAAGACAATTTTACTTGACTTAAAACTCACGGTTTGCTAACTTGGTCTTAATTTTCTAAAATCATTATACCACGTAAACATTTTTAAACATTATACATTTCAGAGTTCATATATCTCAGGGTGACTGAAGCTTTTCTGCATGGCTGAAGGTAATAGAGAACCTGGTTCTCCCAAGTCCTGCCTCAATCAAGGCAGCTTTCATGTACTACAAAAATGCATGGTCATGTGGATAGTTATTACAGGGTCTTTCTCATTGAATAAACATTCCTTGGATAAACAGATACTATTGATAAAATATTTGGATGTTTTAAGAAAATACGTCATTCATAATTTTGGACAACGATGTATACTAAAAGGAGTAGAGTTTCACATAGTGACCTTTGCCCTGTGTGGGCCTACGTGTTGACATATTTGTGAGCATTATATACACCCCAGAAGAATAAACGGAAGGAAAAAAAAATCAAACACGCTGTATTAAGAACCAGGAAAAGTATATACTTTTCCTTAAGTTGAACTTACTTAAGACAGATTACAAGCATCAAAGCACCATAGGTATTTTGTATAAATGTGATTAATGAATGATTAAGTGAATACTGTTTTTACCACTTCATTTTAAAATTTAAGATAGAAATAAGAAACAACTAAAAGTAACTAAGCATTTTACATTTATTGTATTGAATGACTATAGTAAATGCATTGCATAGGAACATGAAGACAGTAAGACAATTTTTGCACTACCTATACGAAATGCGAAAAAAAGGAGTATCAGGGAAAGAAAATTGCATGCAAAATCTATGAATCTAAAAATGATTTCAGAGCTTGCAATGTAAAAGAAAAATATGATAAGAAAAGGAAAGGTGACAAATGTAAGGAAGGCTGCAGAAGATGTTAAGATAAATAATAAGACGTTTTTCAAACATGAAAGGAACAAAAGGTCAGCGACAGAGAGAGTAGAGTTTCTCACAGATGGCCAGAGCAATTTACTGACTGAAAAGACAGGCACCGCTAAAACAAAAATCAAATGAGTTCATTGCCTTTCTATTCTCACAGAGGGCTTAGGGAACAGAATCAGAAATAGACATAAGTCTCAGAGGAATAAGAAAAAAATACCAAAGGATGACTGTGCTGTGCTGAACAAGTGCCTAAAAATAAGATTAGTAATTTTTTTAAATGTGAACTAAAAATTACTTACATCTTTAACATATATTATTTTATAATTCTTAAATGGAAATCTATAAGGAGTTTTCTAAGGAAAAGTGAAGCAGATTTCTATCAGCCCCCTTTCCCAATGTAGTGACATAAGTGACTGAAATTGGGACAGTCATCGGACAAATAGGCTCTCCACCTGGAATCCGTTTCCCAGTAAGAAAAACAGCATTTGTAAAGAGCTTTTGTAGGCTTCTCAAAATCTATATCAACCACATGAAGGGACAGTCATCAGGTGGTGGATCCTTTCTCTGAGTTATTGCTTCTGTTACACAGAAGGAAGTGACACTAGGAAAAAAGTCTGCTTATATAGAAAAGCCTACACTAAAAAGAAAAATGTTTTTTTTAAATAAAATAGACTTCACAGCATCACTGCCATAATAATACTAGAATAAATGTATCTTGTGATATCAGGATACTTTTTCCCACTGCTAAGTTTCTTGAACTGAATATTGACCGTACACATAGTCCTTAATGTTAAATACTGGAGAAGTGGCTTTAAGTTTCACCTGATGGAGAGTGAGGTAGACAGATAAAATTTCACTAATATTATTTTGAGAACAAGTAACACAAAATAAGTAAACAGGATGGGGGAGATCAGCCTTGTAAGAGGTTAATATAGATGATAAGGTTAGACAAACATTACATATTAGTATGAATTTTAAATTTCTTTAACAAGCCTGGCCTCATGAATAGTCATGTCCAGATGTGAGCTGTCTAGATGAACTGTCTTAATTCTGGAACCTGTTCTACTTATTCCTTGGCCTGAAAATGAGATTCCCTCCAAAATTACAGACAGCTTTAACAGCGTCTTGTAGCACAAACCAAGTAAGGTTTTGAAAGAAAGAGTATCCAAGAGAAAAATCAAAGAGTAGATTTCAAAAAGTGTTGAGAATCCAATCAGAGATATCAAAGAGATTATGCAAAAGAGAGAAATCCATCGAATCCATGGCATAGGATATAAGAAATTTTAGCCCCTTTTTTCTCCACACAGAAAACTCCAACCCAAAATATTGCATATAGCTCAATAGTCTTGTTGGTCTTAAATTAATCCATAGTAACTTTTTTTCTCTTCAAGGTTGAGGATAAGAGTGGAGTAGATCCTTGAGGTCCTTCTAGAGTAATGCTTCTGAAACAGCAGGACATTTGAGATTAAAATAAGGAGCTTAAATTTAGTAAGGGATAAAATTTTATACATGGTAAATGAAGCCCAGGTTTGCATGTATATATTTCTGTTACAGGATTTGGTGGTGGCATTATTTTTATAATAAAAGTTTTAAATATGATACTTTATAAAAAAGGATTACAAATTTAGGAACATAAAATAGTTTGAAATAAAACTGGTACAAAAATGAGATATATATTAATGGCATATCAGAAATAAAAGATGGAAGACAATAATTCTGAGGTCTTAGTCACTGAAGAAAGAAAAAGGAATAAGCCTGTCCCTGAATCACAAAGTGGAGAAAGTTCAATCATTAACCCACAATGTACTATTAGGTGAGAGGTTAAAATTTTATTGAGATATATAATGAAATTTGGATACTTGCTGATTATAGCAGCCAGCATTACTCTAACTAATAAAACAGAAAAGAGTAAATAAAAACTAAATAAAATCAAATTAATGATGACTGTAATTGTAAAGTACTTTCTCTTTTTAAAACTAAAATGAAAAAATAAAATGCTAGTTTTAAAATAAAGTTGACCAAAGAAATAAATATTTTTATTAAAAATATGCAGAAAACAATTATCTATTGCTTTGCATTTCACGACGTGTTAAGTTATGGCTAAAGGTATATTCAACAGAAAGTAATTACCTTGTAGTTGTTTTAATTTGTAAATAAAATAATTGTGTATATTAATTTGTCATTTAACTATGAAGAAAAAATATAGCAAGTTTAAGAAAAGGAGGAAAAAACTATGATGATAAATATAGAGATAAATTATAAAATTAAAATATTATATAAATTAAATTTATAAAATTATAAAATTAAATTTTAATTACAATTTTATATTTTATTTTATATTTGTTATTTTCTATATTTATAAAGTATATATTTTATATAATATATAATATAATAATATAATATGTAACAATATTTTATTGATATATTTTAATTTTATTTATATCTTTATATATAAATTATATATAATATATATTATATAGAATTTATATATTATATATTATATAGAATTTATATATTATATATTATATATATTATAATAATATATTATATATAGAATTTATATATTATATATTATATATTATATAATATATAATATATTATATATAAATTCTATATAATATATATTTTATATTATATATTTTAATTATAAAATTAAAAAGTATAAAATTAAAATAAATTATAAAATGTAAAATGCCCCAGAGCAAAATATTTTATATAAAAATGATTAAAATTATAGTTAGATAAGGAAATAGAGAAAGCACACAAAAATGAACAATGAGCAAAAAATACTAAAAACTTTTAGATGTGACTCTAGAAAATTTATACTAACATTTTTAAACCACAATAAAATATTTTTAAACCACAATAAAATAGACTATTTTCTGTTGAGAATAAATTTTAAAATTTACAGATGAAATACTGTAAAACCAAGAGATTATTAGTTATGAAAGATATAAATATGCTATAAAATAGAAAATTCTAGTTCCATGAAGTATTACATAAGATCTTTGTTAAATTTCCATTAATCTGCTAAGTTTTACTTTCTCTAAACTCAAAGGAAAAGCTACAAAGTTTCCAGTATATTTTATAAAGCTACTGTATGCAAAAACAGTGCAAAACAAAACAGACTAACTTCACTAATTTCACCAATATTCTCAATAAACTACACGCAAATCCAGCCAAAAGGTAAAAATTATAACCACAAAGAATTTATGTCAAGTGTTAATTTTATTCTAGAAAATATAGTCCTGTGATTCATCATGCCAGTAAGTCAAACGTGAAACAAAGCATATGGTCTTCTCCAGAAATGCCAAAAATGCATTTGATAAATTACAAAATCCATAATTCCTATTTAAAACTACAGCAAAAACAAATAGGTAGAAAACAGTTTTAATTAGTGACAGTAATTGGGTGTTACTACTGAAAAAAGAAAGAAAGGAAACAGGCAGAAGCTACAAGGTAGTCACTTCAACTTAGGGAAGATGCTCATTTCATTCAGGTAATTCCCTCCAGTCAATGGTCCTTTCTGAATCAATCTGTCTACAAAATGACACCAAAGCACCAATCCCTCTGAATTTTTTCTATTTTTTCCAAACTTCTTTTCAGTTTTTTTTAGTCAAAGATTTTACAATAAATAAACAAATAATCATATAAATAATTGGGTATTATGGATGAAAACAAAGGATGGAAAAATAACTTGAGCATATTTGAAAAGCATTAACACATTTAAATTGTAATAAATTCTTACCAGTCACTTTTTAAAAACTACAAAGTCCCAATAGATACTTGGCAAGACAATAGCCAATATTCATCTGAACAAATTGATTCATGATGAAGACAAGTAAAAACAATAAGAAATCATTTATGCCAAATAAAATTGATGTTTTAAAACTCACTTAAGTCTTTAAGCTGACAGTAAAATAGGCACTCTCATGCACTCTAATTGGGAGTGTAAATTAGTACAGCCTTTATGGAGAGCAACCTGGCAATGTTTAAAAAAACAGGAGATTTTGATCTGGTAATTTAATCTGTTTAAAATGTAACTTAAATATTCACCAATTATATTTATCACAGCATTACTTTCATATAAGCACAAGTTTGAATTTAAGTATTAATGATGGTAAAATGGCTAAAGGAGAGAAATTCTGTACAATCTTTTCAAAAGGATATTGCAGAGATATTAAAAATTATTATTTTGTAATATTTTTAGTGTCCCAAGAAAAAGCTAATGCTAAAATGTTAAATGAAAAAGACACAATATACAACCATATGTAAAGTACTAATACAGTAGATGTTTCAAATATATGCACTCACACACAGAGTAATAAGAGTACACACATCTATGCTAAAATTTTAATAGTGACTAATTATGTTTACTGTAATGTGGGATGATCTTTCTATTTATATCATGTGTATTTTCTAATTGTCTAAAATAACTTTTTAAATTTCTTTATAATTAGGAAAAAATTTAAAGTTGATTTTAGTAAAGTCTATAACCTTTGAGTCAGTAATTAGTCCTTTGAGATTTTGCTCAAAGAAATAATCCTGAAGGAAGAATACATGTGCATAAACATGTTCATTTAAATATTAACTTAAAAACAAATTTTACAATTTTTTACGTATTTGGTATTTAAATTTTTTAAAATTATTATAAATTCTTAACCCTGAAATTTCCAGCAAAGTATATCACGACAAAAATGATTTTTTTCCATAACATATTATGGAAAAATGTGAGTGGTAGATATGAATGTGACTTAATTACTTATACGAAGCTGAACAGCAATGTAAGTGTGGACACTGAGGTTTCCAGCACAGCTCTAATGACTCCATTTGGACAACTACTTGTATAAAGCAAAGTTTTTTCCACATTGTGGTAGCATCTTTCTTGTTTAGATCACTTTTCTTTTTTTCTTTTTCTTTTTTTTTTTTTTTTTTTTGAGACTGAGTCTAGCTCTGCCGCCCAGGCTGGAGTGCAGTGGCGCCATCTCGGCTCACTGCAAACTCCACCTCCCGGGTTCACGCCATTCTCCTGCCTCAGCCTCCCGAGTAGCTGGGACTATAGGCGCCTGCCACCACACCCGGCTAATTTTTTGTATTTTTAGTACAGACGGGGTTTCACTGTGTTAGCCAGGATGGTCTCCATCTCCTGACCTCGTGATCCACCCCCCTCGGCCTCCCAAAGTGCTGGCATTACAGGCATGAGCCACTGCGCCCGGCCATTTAGATCACTTTTATTTTGTCACTATCATCCAGAAGCTTTATTAGATGTGAGGAAATGAAAACTGGGCCCTCATCCAAGCCCTGTAATTAGAGATAAAAGAAAAACTAAAATTATTTACTTATTTTACTTCTAACCCTACGCTACTTAAAGACACTGCAAAAGAGTTTAAAAGAAAAATGTTCCACCTTGTGGAAATATCCAAAATCATGAATAAGAATCACATAAGAATTTCATAAACATAAGCTTGGTACCAGGAGTAGAGGTTGACTAGAAAATCTTCCTTTTAGTTGCACTTGTTACATCTTTCAAAGTACATGATTAGATTAAACTCCTTAAAGTCCCCACCTCTTATAATTGCATTGACTAATTTAGAATTCATCTCTGAATAAAAATTAAGGGTAGAAGCATTTTATATTCCAGAAGATATGGGTGAAATTGCAAAATCTTTGCCTATGTGTCTTCATCCATAGAATAAGACAACAGTAGTTCTCACGGTTTCTATTTTATAGAAAAAGATCCAAGATACGAGAACCCAACCCGTGCCAGACAAATAATAGTTTTCACTTTTTTTTTTTTTTATTTCTGTTAACCAATTGCATACACAGTCAAAATCAGGATTACTTCACGGGCAGGCAAACTGCAGTCACTTACAGAACCACAGTCAGAAGGGCACCATGCTTGATTTAATGCTTTACTGTCACTATCAAAAAATTTTTAACAATTTTTAAACAAGGGCCTTTAAGTCTTCATTTCTCATTTGGCCTCACCAATTATATAGCTAGTGCTGGTCAACATAACTAATGTATGAACTCTCACTTTTATGTAATCCAGGGCACATGATTTTAGGCTTGTTAATGAAGTTTGTGATTGCCACTTTTCACATATTCTCTATAGGATAAGAAAATATGTATACATATGAAGTGTCTGATGGATTTTAAAGGAGTGGAGTCTGTGCTTTGGTCTAAAAGATTTGAAATCTCCCTGAAGATTTAGGGTAATTTTAGGAAATAACAATTTACAATTTATAAACTTGAACAATGTATGTTGACGGCACTTTGTAATCCGAAAGGTGCTCTGCTGGAAATACTTTATATAAGTAATGAAGATGTAAGAAAAGTTTATGCAATTTCTCATGGCAAAACAGAACACTTGAATATTAGTAAAGGAAGTCACAATATGCACAATATGAAAGTTATGGAATTTGATTTTAATAGTAATAGAATAATTATTCATTTAGTTTCATCATGTAGCAAATGTCTACTACTGTGTGTATATGCTTTTAAAGGTCCCACTTTGTAAAAAGCACAGTACATTAGAGGGCACAACTTCTTATCTACCTCATTTAAGTCTTAAAGGATCAGGATCAGATTTTTGAATTGGATCTCACAAGAAATTGATGGCAAATACAGAAGAGAGGAGTGTTTCATTCTGTAAGAAATCCATAGTAAATGATTTTTAAGAGGCCTCTTTCTAGGTCAGCACTTTGCACGTAGTTTTTGAAAGTTCTAGTTAAAATATGCTACAAACATTAAAATAATAAATGACATTAATTTGGACATATTTCAAATATGTTTTATATATTATAACTGTATAAAACATGCTATACAATATAGATAGCATTGATATCTATATCCAAAATCTTCTTTAACTTATCACTCTATATAAATTATAAACAAGATCTGATGACATTTGAACAAATAACCTGTGACAGTAGTTATTCTGGCAATTTCCAGAAGTAAATTGTTGCAGAAATTAAGTAAAAGGGTGTTTATTATTACTTTTACAAAAGTTACTACTCCATTAAAAACAGAAAATAGCAGAAAGATTTTTAAAAACTGCCATGTATATTGCAGCTTGTTTTGGCCTGCCTGTCTCAGACTAGTAAAAGGAATGTTAAAGCATTTACAAATGAACCTCCAATCATTGTCTATAGTAGCTCTCTGAATGGGCTAGCCAATGTGGTAAAATGAGACAGGAGGGGAAAAAAGGAGAAGCAGAATGGGCCTATAGTTACACCTCACCACAAACTTACAATAGACCCTTATATCTAAACATTGGTAAATGGGTAAATTTAGAGACCAACAAAACCCACCATATAGGTATTGTTAAATTTATTGTACTGCTGCAATACTCAAACTACAGTGAAATGAAGTATGGAAGATTGAAATGCTTAGAATAGGTCGAGTGCAGTGGCTTATGCCTGTAATCCCAGCACTTTGGGAGGCTGAGGCAGTGGATCACTTGAGGTCAGGAGTTCGAGACCAGCCTGGCCAACGTGGCGAAACCCAGTCTCTACTACAAATACAAAAATTAGCTGGGTGTAGCAGTGCATGCCTGTAATCCCAGCTACTTGGGAGGCTGAGGCAAGAGAATCACTTGAACCCGGGAGGCAGAGGTTACAGTGAGCCGAGATCACGCCATTGCACTCCAGCCTGGGTGAGAGAGCCAGACTCCCTCTCAAAAAAACAAAAACAAAAAAAAAAAGATTAGAATAAAATATGAATTGTCAAAAATCCTGAAAGTTTTTTAAAATGAAGGTAGTTTTAAAACAACAATGAATTCCAACATAGTGCTTTAAAAAGAATAATATTCTTGATATAGGTCTTGTATCATTATTATTGTTACTTTAATTGACATAAAATTGTATGTATTTACTGTGAACAATGTATTGTTTTGAAGTATATACATATTCTTGAATGACTAACTCTAGGTAATTTAGGTAATTAACATATGCATATTTAAAATTTCTTCTCAATTTAGACACGAGTATTGTTCTGATTCCATGGCTGTTTTTTAAGGCACATAAAAGTTAGTTGTTTTGTATATTTATTTTAAATCCAGTCATTTCACTAAATGTTTTTATTTGTTTCAACAAATTTTTAATTGTTATTGGATATTCTATGTATGCAACCATATTAACTGAGTTAAAACTTTTTAAAATATTTATACTTATTATTTGATTTTCATGCCTTATGCCATTGTCTGTAGGATTTGAGCCATAGTTTATTCTAAATTTGTTTCCATAAATTCTTATTTTTCTTAGTGTTTTAATTAGTCATGCTTGCTAAAAAACATCAATTTTTGGCTTTTGTTGACAAATCACACGGTAATTTTTTTAAATGTTGATTTTCAGGGGCTAGCAATAAAAAACTGGCTCTCTATATGTAAAAAAAAAGTTGAATCTCTAAATAACATTACATACAGAAGGGCATTCTGAATAATTTAAGATCTGAATGTGAATAGTAATAATTTATAATGGAGAAAATATAGAATAATGTTTTTGTAACTTTGAAATGAAGAAAAATTACTTAAAATCCACATTTATTGAGTTTAAAGTTAATTGGTATAAATATAGCAAATTTAAGGATATAAGTTTAATGTAGTACATCATAGACAATATTGACAAAGAAGATATTAACAACATTAAAAACCAACAAGGGCTCTGTTACAGCTATTTTGGAAATAAATTTGGTAGTTATTTAGAGACATAATGTATACAGACAGCTTATAATTCAAGGACCCAAACCTAGTTATGTCCAGAAGAAATTCTCACACAGATTACTGAGCAGATACACCAAAGGCAGTTTATTGTAGGTTTTTTTGTGTCATTTAGAAATTGGAAGAAACCTACATGCTCGTCACTAGAAGAAAAAAAATTTAAAATATAAGTTCTTCTAGTGGAATGTACTATAAGTTAAAATTGGTGAACGGAATGAACATACAATATACATAGAACTCAAAGTAGGTATTAAGTTTTAAAAAGATAGAATACTAAATTGGATGTATAGCAAAATGAAATTAAAATATAAACATTTAAAGCAACACCGCATATTCTATGTAACATACGCATCCAAGATGTTGTAACAGATACAACATCTAAAAGGAGTGTTGGTAATGAACAGAAGGATCTGCTAACCTTCAGTTTTGGTAGAGGGAAGTGGATCCTCTTCTTCGAAGTTTAGAAAGAAATTTTATACAAAAATATCTCGATGCTATTTGTGTATTTTTTGGGGGGAGGGGATTGCTTTAAAATAACTTCAGCCTCATCAAAACATTTAGAGGATAGTAAAAAGAACTTCCATGTTTGCAATCCTCCATCATCCAGACAATCCAGGATTTTACCATATTTGTCTTATTATTCATTAGTCACAATGCTTCATCCACACTTAGTACTTTAGTATTTTTGCTAAGCAGAGCACTCTCCCGAATAACCACAATACAACCATCAACATAAAGCAGTCAACAGTGATTTAATTCTGCCAACTAATTTAAAGATCCCATCTAAATTTTGCTGATTAACAATGGCCTTCAGAGATCTAAGATGCAATACAGGATTGCTAATTGTACGTAGTTATCACAACTGTCTGGTCTCTTCAATCAAGAAGAGTTTTTCAGTCTCCTGTTTTTTATAAATATTGATGTTTTTTAAGAACACTGGAAAGTGGTCTTTAAAATATGCCTAGGTTTGAGTTGCTATGCTCTTTCCACACGATCATATTCAAGATGCGCAACTATAGTAGGAATATTACAGAAGCAGTGCTATGGTTTTCTGTATGTATTATATCAAGAGGCAAGCTAAGTAAACGTTAATTCAAATCACTTGATTTGAAGGTATATTCTGGTTACTCCACTAAAAAGTGATTATTATTCATTGGCATTTTATGGAATTACAGGGCATACTATTCCACACTATTAATTTATTTATATAATAATTCATATCACTAAGTGTCATGGGATGAATTGTGTCCCACCTCCTGTTCTGACCCTCAGCACCTAAGAATGTGACTGTATTTGGAGACATGATATTTACAGTGATAAGTTAAAATGAGGTCATTATGGTGGATCCTAATAAAATATGACCAGTATTCCTATGAACAGGAAATCTGGACACAGACATTTACAGAGGGAATATATGTGAAGTCACAGGAAGAAGACAGCCATCCACAAGCCACACAGGCCTCAAACAGATCTTTCCCTCACAGCCTTGAATCAACACCTTGATCTCAGACTTCTAGCATGCAGAACTGTGAAAAAAAAAATTAGTTTATTTTTTTTAAGCCACCTAGCCTGCAGTACTTTTTTTTCTTTTTTTTTTTTTGAGATGGAGTCTTTGCTCTGTCACCCAGGCTGGAGTGCAGTGGCACAATCTCGGCACACTGCAAGCTCCGCCTCCCGTGTTCACACCATTCTCCTGCCTCAGCCTCCGGAGTAGCTGGGACTACAGGCGACCGCCAAAAGGCCTGGCTACTTTTTTTGGTATTCTTTAGTAGAGACGGGGTTTCACGGTGTTAGCCAGGATGGTCTCGATCTCCTGCTGACCTCGTGATCTGCCCGCCTCGGCCTCCCAAAGTGTTGGGATTACAGGCTTGAGCCACCAGGCCCAGCTAACCTTCAGTACTTTTTATGGCAGCCCTAGCAAACTAATGTACTATGGACTCATGTATTAGGTTATAATATGTTATCCTTATTTTAGTCTTCACATTAGCTCAGATCTGATCAAAGTCACTTAAAGCTGGCTTCTGTGTATGTTATGCATCTTCATTTATTGAATACTTTCTCAATTTGCAGCACAATGTTTTTCAGATCCATCTTACCCTTTTCTTGCCTTGGACCTGGAAATCCCAATTCTTTCTAGTGTTGAAGGTCATTCAGAAACCATGATCTAGATGCTGTGTTATTGGAGTGATGCCGCTCCCAGGACCACTCTGTGGATAGAGCAAGTAGGGGAAAAAAAAATATATATATATATAATATATATATTATATATAGTGTGGGTATCATCTGTACACATATAATACATATGTAATATTATATATTATAATATATGTGACATATGTGTATCATCTGTTTCTCCATATATAATATTTACATGTGTATCATCTGTCTCTCCATATATAATATATATAAATAAAGATACTAGGCCAGGTGCGGTGGTTCATGCCTGTAATCCCAGCATTTTGAGAGGCCGAGATGGGAGGATCATTTGAACTCAGAAGTCTGAGACCAGCCTGGGTAATGTAGTGACACGTCATCTCTAAAAAGACGTCAAAAAATTAGCCAGGTGTGGTAGTGTGCACCTGTGGTCCCAGCTACTCAGGAAGCTGAGGTAGGAGGCTCACTTGAGCCTGGAAGGCAGAGGTTGCAGCAAGACATGATTGCACCACTGCACTCCAGCCTGGGTGACAGAAAAAGACCCTGTCTTAAAAAAAAATGATAAAAATACTTATCAAAATAAGTCTGTATACATATTTGCATATATATCATGTATGTAAATATATGTGTGTATTTACACATGCAAATGAGATACAGTAGTTTCCTCTTACCTGAGAAGGATATATTCCAAGACTCCCAGGGCATGTCTGAAACTATGGAGAGTACCAAACCCAAAATATACTGAGTTTTCTATGCATACATACCAATGACAATGTTTAATTTATAAATTAGGCACAATAATAGGTTAACAACAATACCTAATAATAAAACAATTATTAAAATATACCATAATAAAAGACGTTAAGTGAATGTAGTCTCTCTCTTTCTCTTATTGCTATACTCACTCTTCTTCTTGTGATCTGTCCATCTGATATCCGAGATGGTAAGTAAGTACCTAACTGGTAGCTAGTATATACAGCAGGGATATTTTTGACAAAGGGTTGATTATAGCCAGGTGGGAAGAGGTCCAAAGACAAGAGATTTCATCAAGCTACTAAAAATGTTGCACAATTTAAAATTTTCGGGAGGGAGGGGCCAAGATGGCTGACTAGAAACAGCTGTGGTCAGAGGCTCCCACCTAGAAGAACGAAAACGGCAAGTGAATCCTGCACCAGCAACTAAGGCATCCAGGTTCTCTCACTGAGGAAAAGCAGGGTGGAGTAATGGCCCACCTGGTAGCCGCACACGGCAAGGGAAGCTCGCACACCTAGCCAAGGGAGGCAGTGAGTGACTGTGCTAACCTGTCCAGGAAACCACTCGCTTTTTCCACAGATCTGTGCAACCCGAGGATCAGGAGTTCCTCTCGTGAGCCCACGCCACAAGGGCCTTTGGTCCCAAGCACGGAGCTGTGCAGATTTTACGCAGCTGTTTGGCTGCAGACTGCTTAAGACTACCTAGTTCCTGGGGGGAGGGGCAGACGCCATCCCTTCAGCTGCCCGCTGCTTAAGAGGACTGAATTCCCAGGGGGAGAGGGAGCACCATCACTTCAGCTGCCTACTGCTTAAGAGGATTGAGCTCTCAGGGGGAGGGGCAGCCGCCATAACTTCAGCTGCCCGCTGCCTAAGGCAATGGAGCTCTTGGGGAGAGGGGCAGCAGCCATCACTGCCGCTCCAGTCTGCCATTTTCCCTTGCCGGTGCTGGGGAGACTGGGCAGTTTGGACCCAGGAGGAATTCCCCACAGCGCAGCACAGTGGCTGTGGCAGATTGTGGCCAGACTGCTTCTTTAGGCCGGTCACAGACCCATCCCTCCTCACCAGACAGGGCTTACCTGCAGGAACTTCAGGAACTCCAGCCAGAGGTTTACAGAACTCTGAAATCCCTGGGACGGAGCCCCTGGGGGAGGGGCAGCCACAGCCTCTGCGGATCAGTGGACTTAGTCTGTTCCACTGCTGGCTCTGAGGAATCCCGGCAGAATGGAAGAATGGGATTCCCCCCAGTACAATGCATCACCTCCACCAAGGGGCAGCCAGACTGCTTCATTATGTGGGTCCCTGATCCCTTGCCTCCTGACTGGGTGGCACCTCAGCAGTGGTCACCAGACACATTATACAGGAGCATTCCCAATGGCATCAGGTTGATGCTCCTCTGGGACAGACCTCCCAGAGGAAGGAGCAGGCAGTCATCTTTGCTATTCTGCAGCCTCCACTGGTGACACCTCCAGGGGCGGGAGGGATCCAGGTCAATAGGGTCTGGAGTAGACCACCCTCGGCAAACCACAAAAGCCTTATGGAAGCGGGGCCAGACGGTTAAAAGAAAAACAATCAGAAAGCAACAACAATAGCATCAACAAAAAAGCCCCCACAAAAACCCCATCCAAAGGTCAGCAGCCTCAAAGATTGAAGCTAGATAAACTCAGGAAAATGAGAAACAATTAAAAAACAATGCTGAAAACTCAAAACGCCAGAGTGCCTCTTCTCCTCCAGATGATTGCAACACCTCACTAGCAAGGGCACAGAACTGGGCTGAGGCTGAGAAGAATGAGCTGACAGAAGTAGGCTTCAGAAGTTAGTAATAAGAAACTGCTGAGCTAAAGGAGCATGTTCTCACCCAATGTAAAGAAGCTAAGAACCATGATAAAACATTACAGGAGCTGTAATTACAGAATAAACAGTTTAGAAAAAAATACATAAATGACCTGATGGAGCTGAAAAACACCACATGAGAACTTCAAAATGCAACCACAAGTATCAATAGCTGAATAGACCAAGTGGAAGAAAGAATTTCAGAGATTGAAGACTAACTTGCTGAAATAAGACGGGCAGACAATATTAGAGGAAAAAGAATGAAAAGGCACAAATAAAACCTCCAAGAAATATAGGATTATGTAAAAAAAGCCAGATCTACGACTGATTGTGGTACCTGAAAGAGGCAGGGAGAATGGAACCAAGTTGGAAAACGCACTTCGTGATATCATCCAGGAGAACTTCCATAACCTAGCAAGAGAGGCAAATTCAGGAATTTCAGAGAACTCCAGAAAGACTCCATGAGAATCATAACAGTCTGTCAGACCACAGCACAATCAAATTAAAACTCAAATCCAAAACACATAATAATCAGATTCTACAAGGTCAAAATGAAGGAAATAATGTTAAAGGCAGCCAGAGATAAAGGCCAGGTCTCCCACAAAGCGAAGCCCATCACAGTAACAGTGGTCCACTCAGCAGAAACCCTAAAAGCCAGAAGAGATTGGGGCAAATATTCAACATTCTTAAAGAAAATAATTTCCAACCCAGAAATGGCTATCTGGCCAAACTAAGCTTCGTAAGCAAAGTAGAAATAAAATCCTTTTCAGAAAAACAAATGCTGAGGGAACTTATGACCACCAGGTTTGCTTTACAAGAGCTCCTGAAGGAAGAACTAAATATGGAAAGGAAAAACCATTACCAGCCACTGCAAAAACACACTGAAATACAAAGACCAAATTATACTATGAAGCAACTACATCAAGATGTCTGCAAAACAAACAGCTAGCATCATGATGACAAGATCAAATTCACACATAATAATATTAACCTTAAATGTAAATGGGCCAAAGGCTCCAATTAAAAGACACAGGGTGGCAAGCTGGATAAAGAGTCAAGACCCATCAATTATACTTTATTCAAGAGACACATCTTGTGCAAAGACACACATAGTCTCAAAATAAAGAGATGGGGGAAAATCTATCATGCATATGCAAAGCAGATGAAAGTAGGGGTTGCAATCCTAGTTTCTGACAAAAAAGACTTTAAACCAACAAAGATAAAAAAAAACACAAAGAAGGGCATTACATAGTGGTAAAGGGATCAATTCAATGAAAAGAGCTAACTATCCTAAATATATATGCATCCAATCCAAGACCACTGAGATTCATAAAACAAGTTCTAAGAGACATACAAAAGACTTATCGACTCCCACAAAATAATTGTGGGAGAGTTAACACTCCACTGTAAATATTAGACATATCATTGACACAAAAAATTAGCAAAGATATTCAGGACTTGAATTCGGCCCTGGATCAAGTGTCTCCTGATACATAGTTACAGAACTCTCCACCCCAAAACAACAGAATATACATTTTTCTTGGCACTACATGACATTCACTCTAAAATTGATCACATAATTGGAAGTAAAACACTCCTCAGCAAATGCAAAATGACTGAAATAATAACAGTCTCTGAGACCATAGCACAAATTAAAACTCAAGACTAAGAAATTCACTCAAAACCACACAACCACATGGAAATTGAGCAACCTGTTCCTGTTTTGACTCCTGGGTAAATAATGAAATTAAGGCAGAAATCAAGAAGTTCTTTGAAACCAGTGAGAACAAAGAGGCAACATACCGGAATCTCTGTGACACAGCTAAAGCAGTGTTAAGAGGGAAATTTATAACACTGAATGCCCATACCCAAAAGCAAGAAAGATCTCAAATTGACGATCCTGACGTTACTACTAAAAAAAAACCCGAGAAACAAGAGCAAACAAACCCCAAATCTAGCAGAAGAAAAGAAATTACCAAGATCAGAGTGGAATTGAAGGAGATAGAGACAAGAAAAACCCTTTAAAATATTAACAAATCCAGGAGATGTTTTTTGAAAAAAAATAATTAATAGAGCACTTTAGACTAACGAAGAAGAAAAGGGAGAAGAGTCAAGTAGACAAAATAAAAAATGGTAAAGGGGCTATCATCAATGACCTCACAGAAATACATACAACCATCAGAGAATACTATGAACACCTCTATGCAAATAAACTAGAAAATCTAGAATAAATGGAGAAATTCCTGGACACATACACCCTCCCAAGACTAAACCAGGAAGAAGTTGAATCCCTGAATAGATCAATAACAAGCTCTGAAAATGAGGCAGTAATAAATAGCTTACCAACAAAAGAAGCCCAGGACCAGGCTGGGCACAGTGGTTCACGCCTGTAATCCCAGCACTTTAGGAGTCCGAGGCAGGCAGATCACCTGAGGTTAGGAGTTCGAGACCAGCCTGATCAACATGGACAAACCCCATCTTTACTAAAAATACAAAATTAGCCAGGCATGGTGGCTCATGCCTGTAATCCCAGCTACTGGGGAGGCTGAGGCAGGAGGATCGCTTGAACCCAGGAGGCAGACGTTGTGGTGAGCCAAGATCATGCCATTACGCTACAGCTTGGGCAACAGAGCGAGATTCTGTCTCAAACAAAAAAAAGCCCAGGACCAGACCGATTTGTAGTTGGATCCGACCAGAGGTACAAAGAGGAGCTGGTACCATTTCTTCTGAAACTATTCTAAACAATGGAAAAGGAGGGACTCCTTTTATGGAGGCCAACATCATTCTGATTCCAAAACTTGGCAGAGTTACAACAACAAAAAAAGAAAACTTCAGACCAATATCTCTGATGAACATTGATGCAAAAATCCTCAGTAAAATACTGGCAAACTGAATCCAGCAGCACATCAAAAAGCTTATGCTCTATGATCAAGTCGGCTTCATCCCTGGGATGCAAGCTTGGTTCAACATATGCAAATCCATAAATGTAATTCATCACATAAACAGAACTAAAGAAAGGAACCACATGATTATCCTAATAGACACAGAAAAGACCTTCAATAAAATTCGACATCCCTTCATGTTAAAAATTCAGTGAACTATGTATTGAAGGAACATACCTAAAAATAATAAGAGCCATTCATGACAAACCCACAGCCAATATTATACTGAATAGGCAAAAACTGGAATCATTCCCATTGAAAAGGGATCATTCTGCACAAGAAAAGGATGCCCTCTCTCACCACTCCTATTCAACATAGTATTGGATGTTCTGGCCAGGGCAATCAGGCAAGAGAAAGAAATAAAGAGTATTCAAATAGAAAAACAGGAAGTCAAACAATCTGTGTTTGCAGATGACATGATCCTATATCTAGAAAACCCCATCGTCCCAGCCCCAGAGTTTCTTAGGCTGATAAGCAACAACAGCAAAGTTTCAGGATACAAAATCAATGTGCAAAAATGACAAGAATTCCTATCCACCAACAATAGACAAGCAGAGAGCCAAATTATGAATGAACTCCCATTCACAATTGCTACAAATAGAATAAAATACCTAGGAATGCAGCTAACAAGGGAAGTGAAGGACCTCTTCAAGGAGAACTAGAAAGCACTGCTCAAGGAAATCAGAGTGGACACAAACAAATGGAAAAGCATCCCATGCTCATGGACAGGAAGAATCAATATTGTGAAAATGGCTATACTGCCCAAAGTAATTTATAGATTCAATGCTATTCTCATCAAGATACCATTCACAGAATTAGAAAAAAACTACTTTAAATTTCATATGGAACCAAAAATGTGAATGCTTTACAATAAAAGTATTTAAGCTTGGAATAACACAATGATAAATTGAGTCTAAGCTCTGCCATTTACTTCAAATGTTACCATCTCTTTCTGTGCCACAGTTTGTTAATGTGTGCAATAAAGATAATAGTAGTACTTGTCTCATAGTTTTTCATAACTGTTAAATGAGATAATACCTGTAAGGCATTTAATAAGAATGTCTGACACATAGTAAGTGTGAAATAAATATTAGCTTTACTTTTCATTGTTATTACTTCCTGCCTATTAAGATTGTCATCACCTTCTGCTTCTATAACACAAATTCTTAGTTTTCTTTATTGCTTATTGCTGGGATTATTGCAAACATCTTCTAATTGGTTTTAATTTAAAAATTTTACTCATACTTCTGCTTAGAAGCCTCAATGATAGCACAGATCCTTCAGATAAAAATTTTAACTCCTCAGTTTGCCTGTCACACAAATATGGCCCTTTATTATTATTTACCTGCTTTCATCTTCAGGTTCATTCACAATTTCACCCACACAAGCAACACAAGATTAGCTAACTGCAATGAACTTCCTCAAATTTCCCATAAGGACCATACATTTTAATACTTTGGTGGTTACATATAGTCTGTTGGCTTTGCTAAAAATTTTGCTTTCCTTATTCTATATTTCTTCTTCCTTTGTTCTCAAGACCAGCTCCTCTGAGACTTTCCATTCAACTCCCTTCTATAGCCATGTCTACTGGTGCCCCTTTATAAAACTTAAATAACATCCTTCTGTTATGGTAGTAGGTGGAATAGTGACTACATAGTGAAATTTGGGTGTACTGAGGAATATTAGAGTAACTGTATTTATTTCTACATAAAAATTACTCTGAAACACAAAAGCTCAAAATAACAATCATTTGTTATCTTATAGTTTCTGCGGGTCAGGAATTTGGGAGCAGCTTAGCTTGTTGAATCAGACTCAGGGTCTCTCATGAGGCTGCATTCAAGATGTGGTTTAGGGCTGAAGTTATTTGAAGGCATGATTTTGCTCAAGAGGATTTTCTTCCAACATGGTTCACTCAATGTCTTTCAAAGAGAGGCCTCACTTCTGGCTACAGACAGCAGGCTTCAGTTCTCTGTCACATGGCTCTCTGCATAGTGGTACTTGAGTGTCCTCGCGATATGACAGTTGGCTTATTTCAGAGCAAATGATCCAAGAATCACACAAAATCTGCAGTGTTTTCTAAGACTGAACTAGAAAGTCACACTGCATCATCTTCAATGATTCATTAGTTATACAAGTCATCCCTATCAAGTGTGAGAGAAAATAGAGCATGAATATTAGGAGATCAGGATCATTGTGGATTATCATGGAGGCTACTAAATTGAAAAACCTTAACGTTAAAGATTATATTAATCATCTAATAATATATTAGGTCCCTCTTGATTATTTTATTTAAATTGTAGAAGGGAGTTTCCCCGAAAAATTTTGCCTTCAAGGAAATCCCAATTTGAAGTAAAGGGAAATAAATTTAAACATTTCTATGACTTTTATGTGACCTAAGTGTGTAAATGTTTAGCATATATTTCATCTTTACAACCAAATTTAAGCTTATGACTAATCATATATTTAAAGAAAAGCTTAATGTGTCATGAAGAACAAAGTGATAAAATGAGGATATTTTCATTCTGGCAACTGTATGGTCCTGGATTATCTATGGAATTCATTGTGCTTCAGCTTTGTTACCACTCAGGTGGGTAATATAACTAATTGTCCTTACATCTTGTGAGACTGTTGTGAGTGTAAAGAAAATTACTTACGAGAAGCAGCAATGAAAAGTTAAACAATTACAAAAAGGTAAAGAGGCTTTATTAGGTCATTTGTAAAAGTGTCTCGTAAATGACATTTGAATATTTGTAATTACCTAGCATATATCACAAACAAATAGTAATTAATATAATCATACATGACATTAATTTCAGGTGACTTTTACCAAGATACCTTATTTCCCTTCTAGGGTAGCTCATCAAGGAGCTAGATTTACAATACCACATGTAAAGACAATATTGATCTTCAGGTATCATTAATCTTTGTTCAAGCTCAGTGCATAAATGTAAATGAAGTAGAAATGAGACAGGATATGTAGGTAAAAAGTTTCCCTCAGTGTTAAATTCTAGTGTTATTAACCCATTTTAGAATTACAGACAATATAATGGCTGTGAAGATAATTTCTGCTTCTCAATGAAGCAAGTTTCCAGTTTCATCGAAGTTCAATTTGTGAATATTCTTTCAAGCAAAAATAATGTTACTTTTTGATAATGCTTTATGGCATCCACAATTAGTAATAATTTACACTGCAGTCAGGGAGTTGCACTGCCTAATCAATTACGCTGCTATGGGCAGCACCTTAGTCACAGTTGCACTATGGATGTAGATTGACTATTTTTCTCTCTGAAATTATGTTTCTATTAAGAAGGATAATTTGACTCTACAAATTATCACTTCTATGAACTACTTTTGAAATTATTCCATGAAGTATGTAGTGACCTGTTATTAAACATCATTCTAGATGATGTATCAGCTGATAATTTATTGTGTTCCTTCTTCAATGTTTTTTAGAGCAAAATGCAGAAAACCACTTGACTTACACAAAGGATTTGTTACCCATAAGTTGAGTCATTGCCGTTCTATTCTTTTAACCATAGCACAATTAGATATGATGTGATTGACATAGATATTGCTACACAGATATGGGGTATTGCAAATTTAAGATATGAGTCATTGCTTGGGACCTTGCTTAGGGTAAAAAGGAAACTGATATTAAATCTACAAAAAAAAGTGATCCAGTGAATGGAATGATGAAAGCATTATTAACATAGTTTCCCATCATAATATGGAAGGCAAATAATGTTGATCTAGAAGGAGAGATTTAAATACGGAATCTTAGTGGTGTGTGCTAGATGTCATCAGGTGGATTTGCCATGATCTTAAAAGAAAGAGATTATTTCAAGAAGACCTGTATATTTCCAAGTAGAAAATTCAGAAACTTGAAAGTTTGGAAATGGAACTACATCTGAATGTCAAATAGTAAATCATACAATTAATTTGTTTTAAATTTTGTTTAAAGGCAGGGACTGAAACAATGTTTACCCTTTCACTCATTACTAAAATTATCTGCATAGCTAAGGTGGTACATAGTAAATCTTTTCATCTGGACAGAATGACTCTAGGGAAAAAGACAAAGGCTATGCCTCTCCTACCAAAGTTTAACAGGACAAAAGTACCCACAATTATTTCAACAATATGACAGTGAGAATGTGGGGGATGGTGGAGGAGAGAATGAAAGGTAATACAGCAAATTTAAGAAGTACATCAAAGTCAGGCTGGAGAGAGCACAGGTAGGTGAAGCTGGGTGTGAATAAGAACCAGCAGTGAACTGCAGTATGGGCAGCCACTTCTGGCCCATAAAGTGGAATGCAGATTCAAGATGGCTAACTATATGCAGCTAGTATGTGCCTCCTCCACAGAGAGGAACCAAAATAGCAAGTAGATATTCACACTTTGAATAGATCATCTAAGAAAGAACAACAGAGGAATTGTTGCTCCCAGCTGTTGGAAAAGGGTAGGTGAGAGATACACAGGGCTGTAGATTTCCACTGTGGACATTTACAGTCTTAGCTACAGGAAAGCTTCTTAACCCATGCAGGCTTTGAGACTAAAATAGAGAGCTGCCTAGAGACTGCACAGAGGCATTTCTCTGGAGACAGAACTCATGCTGAGTCTCTTAGGCTTCTAAGCCCTGAGAAGCTACAGCGTGACACCATTCTGAGAGCCAATACCCCAAAGAACTCTGTCCTGTCCTGGGGCCAATGTCACTGCTGCTGCTGCTGCTGCTGCTGAGCCAAGAAGGGAGGAACAGCCCAGGCACTTTCACATACCTCAATAACAAATCTCACTGCAGGCTGCCATTGGATCAAGACACGAGGATACCACATGATCCACAGCTACCTGCCTACCTTGGATCCACTGAGGTGACCCTTTCCTCCCTGATGGCAAGCTCACAGTGCAGCTACAGCTGCCCACACCTAAGCTTCTGCTGGTGGGTGGGGTACCACCTTGACTATTACAACCAGTGTCCGAACACACTACCAGGGGGCCTGGTCCATCTCTCTGATACTCCAGCATGACATCCACAGGCTTGAGGATCTCACAGCCCAGTGCATCACCATTGCTAGTGTTTGTGCAGATGTCAACATAAGGACACAACAAACATGAAAATGTGTGGAAATATGACACCTCTAATGGAACACAATAATTCTCCAGCAACAGATCCTAATACAAAAAATTCACGAAATTTCTGAAACAGAATTTAAAATACTGATTTTAAAGAAAGTCTATGAGATAAAAGGACTCTGAAAAACAATACAGATATAAGAAAACAACTAAATATAAGAAGTTTATCAAAGAGAGAGAGTTTTTTTTAAAAAGAACCAAACAGAAATTCTGAAACTGATTAATTGGAGGAAATACAAATACATGTAAAAGATTTGACAATTGACTAGATCATGTAGAAGAAAGGATCTGAGAACTTGAAGACAGGTCTTTTGAAATAATCCAGTAAAAATGAAAGAAAAAATAATTTTTAAAATGGGCAAAGACCTTGTGACATTTTGGACAACGTAAAGTGACTGAATATGTGAATTATCAATGTCCTTGGTCAGAAAACATATGTAGTGAAATATTACATGAAAAATTCCCAAGTTTATCACAAGATCTAGATATCCTGATACAGGAGTTCCAAAGATCATCAAACAGATATAATGCAAAAAGATCTTTTCGTGCAGTACATTAGAGTCAAAGTGTCTGAAGTCAAAGCAAAAGAGAGGATATACAAACAGCAAGAGAAAAACATCTAGTCCCCTATAAAAGAACCCCCATCAGACTAACAGTGGATTTCTCAACGAAATCATTAAAGACTAGGAGAGAACGGGCTGTCAAATTCATGGTCATGAGAGAAGAAAACTGCTACCCGAGGATAATGTATCCAGCAAACCTAAACTTATCCTTCATAAATAAAGGAGAATAAAGTTTTTCCAAGATAAGCAAACACTGAGAGAATTAATCACCCCTATATAGCCCTGTGAGAAATGCTCAAGAGTTCTAAACTTGGAAGCAAAAGGGTGACACTTATGATCATGAAAACACACAATGGTATTAAACCCACTGGTAAGCCAAATACACAAATGAGCAAGAAAAAGGATTCAAACAGTGCCACTATAGTGAAATAGTGAAACACCAAGCCACAATGACAAACAATTAAAGAAAAAAAAAGAATTTACAAAACTACCAGAAACAATTAACAATATGGCGTTAACAAACCCTCACATATTAATGATAACCTTGAATGTAAATGGACTAAATTCTCTAGATATAGATATAGAATGGCTGAATAAAGAAATGCAATCCAACCACATGCTGCCAACAAGAAGCACACTTTTCTGGAAAAGACACATACTGACTCAAAGTAAAAGAATGAAAGTTATTCTATGCAAATGGAAAACAAAAGTAACGTAGGAGTAGCTATGTCTATATCAGATTTAAAAAATTTTAAGTTAAAAAACAGTAAAAAACAAAACAAGACAATGACAGTTACTGTATAATGATAAAGGCATCGATTTAACAAAAGATATTACAATTCTAAATATATATGCACCCAACACTAAAATACCCAGATTCATAAAGCAAATATTACTATATTTAAAGAGAGAGAGAAATTCCTATACAATTATAGTGGGAGAATTCAACTATACAATTATAGTGGAAGACTCTAATTCTCAGCATTAGACAGAATATCTAAACATAAAATCAACAAAAAAATTGAATTTAAACTGGACTTTAGTCTAACAGACATTTACAGAACATTTCATCCAACTACTGCAGAATATACATTCTTCTCATCAGCACATGGAACATTTTTGAGGATACATTATATTTTAGGACACAAAACAAGCCTCAGTATATTTTTTGAAATTGAAGTCATCCCAAGTATCTTCTCAGACCCCAGTTGAATAAAAATAGAAATCAATACCAAGAGGAACTTTGGAAAACAAATACACAAAAATGTAAAAAAAATCATGTTCCTAAATAGTCGCTGGGTCAATGAAAAAATTACTATGAAAATTTAAGAATTTCTTGAAACAAATAAAAAATGGAAACGCAGCATACCCAATCCTGTACAATACAGAAAAGCAGTGCTAAGCAGGAAGTTTATAGCAATAAACACCTACATTTTAAAAAATCGGAAAGATTTCTAGTAAGCAACCTAACAATACACCTCAAGGAACTAGAAAAGCAAGAACAAACCCCATTCAAAATTAGCACAAGAAAATTAATAATAAAGATCCAAGCAGAACTAAACAAAGTAGATACAAAAAAGAAAAAGTCAATTAAACAAAACTTTGGTTCCTTGAAAAGAAAAACAAAATTGACAAACCTCTATCTGGCTATATTAATCAAGAAAAAAAAAAGAGAGAAGATCCACATACACAAAATCAACATGAAAAAGGAGAGATTACACGTGATGCCACAGAAAAGCAAAAGATCATTAGAGAGTATTATGAACAACTACATGCTAACACTGGAAAACATAGTGGAAATGGATAAATTTCTGGAAACAGACAACCTGCCGAGATTGAATCAGGAAAAAATGGAAAACCTGAACAGCCCAGTAATGAGTAGTGAGACTGAATCAGTATTAAAAATGTCTTCTGAAAAAGAAAAGCCCAGGTCTGACTTCTAAATTCACTGCTAAATTATAGCAAACATATAAAGAAGAACTAATACCAATCCTCCTCAAACTATCCTAAAAAACGAAAGAAGAGAAAACTTTCCCTAACTCCACAAGGCTGGCACTACCCTGATACAAAAACTAGATAAGGATATGACATGAAAAAACTACAGGCCAATAATCCTAATAAAAATTGATGCAAAAATTCTCAACAAAATACTAGCACACTGAATCCAACAGCACATCAAAAAGATAGTAAACCATGACCAAGTGGGATTTACACCAGAGGTACAAGGATGATTCAACATATGGAAGTCAATAAATGTGATACAGTGCATCAACAGAATGAAGGACAAAAGCCATGTGATAATTCCAATAGGTGAAGAAAAAAGATTTTATAAAATTCAACCTCCCTTCATGATAAAAACTCTCAACAAGGCCAGGCACAATGGCTTATGTCTGTAATCCCACCACTTTGCAAAGCTGACAGTGGTGGATTGCTTGAGTCCAGGAGTTCAAGACCAGCCTAGGAAACATGGCAAAACCCCAACTCCACAAAATATACAAAAATTAGCCGGGCATGGTGGCACATGCTTGTAGTCCCAGCTCCTCAGGAGGCTGAGGCAGGAGGATTACCTGAGCCTAGGGAGATAGAGGCTGCAGTGAGCTATGATCATATCACTGCCCTCCAGCCTGGGTGACAGAGTGAGACCCCATCAAAAACAAACAAACAAACAACAACAATAAAAAAAACTCTCAATAAACTAGCAATAGACGTGGCTTACCTCAAGATATTAAAGGTCATATATGACAAACCTACATTAACATATCAAATGGGGAAAAGCTAAAAGCCTTTCCTGTAAAATCCGAAACAAGATAAGCATGCCTGCTTTTACCACTCATATTCAACATAGTAGTTGGAAGTCCTAGCCAGAGAAATCAGTTAAGAGAAAGAAAATGAATCCAAATTGAAAAAGAGAATGTCTAATTGGTCCTTTGCTGATGATATAATCTTACATCTAGAAAAACCTAACGACTCCACCAAAAAACTCTTAGATTTAAAAAATGAATTCAGTAAAGCTTCAGGATACAAAATCAACATACAAAAATCAGTAGCATTTCTATACACCAGTAATGCACTAACTGAGAAAGAAATCAAGAAGGCAATCACATTTACAACAGCTATAAAAATAAAATAAAATACCTAGGAATAAATTTAACCAAAGAGGTGAACGATCTCTACTAGGAAAATTACAAAACACTAATGAAAGAAATGGAAGAGGACATGCAAAAAATGGAAAGATATATCATGATCATGTATCAAAAGAAGGAATATTGTAAAAATGATCATGCTACTCAAAGTTGTCTACAGATTCAATGCAGTCCCCATCAAAATAACAACATCATTTCTCATAGAATTAGAATAAACAATTCTAAAATTTGTATGGGACCCAAAAAAGAGCCCAAATAGTCACAGCAATCATGAACAAAAAGAGTAAAGCTGGAAGCATCACACTACCAGAATTCAAAATATATTACAAGTCTATTGTAACTGAAACAACATGGTAAAAACAGACACATACACCAATAAAACAGAATAGAGAGTTCAGAAATAAATCCACATATTTACATTCAACTTATATTCAATAAAGGTGTCAAGAGTACACATTGGGGAAAGGACAATCTCTTCAATAAATTGTGCTGGAAAAACTGGATATTTATGTGCTGAAGAATGCAGCTGTACCCTTATATATCCCCATATACATAAATCTACACAAGATCATTAAAGACTTGAATATAAGACCTAAATTGTAAAACTACTAGAAGAACGAATAGGGAAAACACTTCAAGACATTGGTCTAGGCAAAGATTTCATGGTTAGGGCCTTGGAAGCATCGACAACTATAAAAAATAAAACAGATAAATGAGACCATATATATTAGTCTGTTTTCATGCTGCTGATAAAAACATGCCCAAGAATGGGTAATTTATAAAGGAAAGATGTTTAATTGATTCACAGTTCCACATGGCTGGGAAGGTCTCACAATCGTGGTGGAAGGCAAAGGAGGGGCAAAGTAACATCTTACACGGTGGTAGGCAAGAGAGCTTGTGCCAGGGAATTCTCATTTATAAAATCATCAGATCTTGTGAGACTTATTCACTACCATGAGAACAGTATGGGGGAATCTGCTCTCATGATCCAGTTATCTCCACCTGGCCCCATGTGGGGACACAGCCAAACCATATCACTATATTAAACTGAAAACCTTCTACACAGCAAAGAAAACAATCAATAGAATGAGGAAAAAACCTGTTGAATGGGAGAAAATATTTGCAAACTACTCACACAACAATGGATTAATGTCCAAAATACAGAAGAAACTCTAAGAACTCAACAATAAAAACGACCAGATAATCCCATTAAAACATGAGCTAAGGACATAATAAGATATTTCTGAAAGGAAGACATACAAATGGTCAAAAGGTATATGAAAAAATGTTCAACATCACTGAGCACCAGGAAAATGCAAATCAAAACCACAATTAGATGTCATCTTACTTTAGTTAGAATGAAGATTATTAAAAGGACGAAAAATAACAGATGCTGGCAGGGATGCAGAGAAAATGGAACTCTTTTATACTGCTGATGGGAATATAAATTAGTAAACCACTGTAGAAAACAGCATGGCAATTTCTCAAAGCAACAGCAACAACAACAACTACCTTAAATAAAACAATTACCAAAAATAAAACTACCATAATATCCAGCAAGCCCATTATTGGGCTTTTTTTTTTTTTTTTTTTTTTTTTTTTTTTTTTTTTTTTTTTTTTTTTTTTTTACAGTCTTGCTCTGTCACCTGGGCTGGAGTGCAGTGGTACAATCTTGGCTCACTGCGACCTCTGCCCCCCAGGTTCAGGTGATTCTCCTGCCTCAGCCACCCAAGTAGCTGAGATTAAAGGTACACACCACTACACCCAACTAATTTTTGTATTTTTTTTTTTTTTTTGAGACGGAGTCTTGCTCTGTCGCCCAGGCTGGAGTGCAGTGGCGCAATCTCGGCTCACTGCAAGCTCTGCCTCCTGGGTTCACGCCGTTCTCCTGCCTCAGCCTCCCGAGTAGATGAGACTATAGGCGCCCCTTACCACGCCCGGCTAATTTTTTGTATTTTTAGTAGAGACGGGGTTTCACCGCATTAGCCAAGATGGTCTCGATCTCCTGACCTCGTGATCCGCCCACCTCGGCCTCCCAAAGTGTTGGGATTACAGGCGTGAGCCACCGTGCCCGGCCTAACTGTTGTATTTTTAATAGAGACGGGGTTTCATCATGTCGGCCAGGCTGGTCACGAACCCCTGACCTCAAGTGATCTGCATGCCCTGGCCTCTCAAAGTGCTGGGATTACAGGGGTGAGCCACCACACCTGGCCACCATTATTGGGCATTTATCCAAAGAAAATGAAATCTGCAGATCAAAGGGATATATGTATTCATATGTTTATTGCAGTGTTATTCACAATAGCAAAGATATGGAATTAACCAAGTGTCCATCGATGGATGAATAGATAAAGAAAATGTGGTATATATGCACAATGAGATACTATTTGGCCCTAAAATAAGAATAAAATCATGTTATTTGCAGCAACATGAATGGAACTGGAATTATTATTTTTATTTATTTATTTTTTTGAGATGGAGTCTCACTCTGTCACCCAGGCTGGAGTGTAGTGGTGCGATCTCGGCTAACCACAACCTCTGCCTCCTGGGTTCAAGCTATTCTCTTGCCTCAGCCTCCCGAGTAACTGGGATTACAGGCACCCGCCCACCATGCCCAGCTAATTTTTGTATTCTTTGTAGAGACGAGGTTTCACCATGTTGGCCACAGCCAGGAACTGGAGATTATTATGCAGAGTGAAATAAGCCAGGCAGAGAAAGACAGATGTCCCCTGTTCTCACTCATATGTGGAAACTAAAAAAAAATAAAAATAAAAAAAAAATGGTCTCATGGAGACAGAGAATAGAATGAGAAATATTAGAGGCTGGGAAGCATGTATGGGTGGTAGGCAAGGATAAAGAGAGATTGATAAGTGTGTACAAACATATAGTTGGAAGAAATAAGTCTCAATATTTAATAGCAGAATAGGGTGACTATAGTTAACATTGTATAGTGTATTTCAAAGTTGCTAGAAAAAAGGACTTGAAATGTTATTAACACATAGAAATAATAAATACTCAAGGTGATTGATATCCCAAATACGCTGACTTGATTGTTACACATTCTATGCATGTAACAAATACACACACCCCAGAAATACATAATACATTTTATATTAATTAAAAGAGCATATTCATAAAAGAAAAGAACATAGGTATTGGCACATGGAAATGACTTAAATTAAATAGATAAACAGTCAAATGAGTCTTTTAGAAATTCGTTCTGCCATAAGAAAGGCTAGCCCAAACTAAAAGATTCTGACTTTTTGGGAATAAAATGATTATTAGGTCCTCAACAATCCATGGGCAAAAAGCAATTCAGTTATCTAGCAGGATACAGGTTAAGTTATCAATTCAGTTGTGGTCAAGAGGATAAGAGGAAAGGAAGACCCTCTTAGCAACAAATTGAATGCCACCCCTTCCAGGAAGCAGAATCGGGCCTGGTCAAAAACCATTTATTTTCCCCAAGGAAGGGGGCCCTCTCCAGTGTTGCCTTATAGGATATTGGAATTGGTATTGCCGTTGTCTGTCTTCCATTTATCTCTTCTCTGTGTGAGTGACCACTGATATTACCCTGGCCCTATTTACTAATTATAAGTTGGGTGTGTGAGACAGATTACTTGTTTCTTTGTTCATAGTTCTATATATAATATGCATATTATATGCGTATAGTATATAATTCTATATATAATATGTATATAATTCTATACAAGAGATTAATGTAATGACTATCATTCATCATTCCTGACAAAATAATATTAATAGAGATCCTGAACATTGAGCTGGATGCTGTGGCTAGCTGGGACTTCTTGATTGTCTTTCCCGGACAAAGTTGAGAAGGATTTCTGCTTGAAAAGGAAAGTGAACTGAATATTTGCTTATAAAAAGAGGGAATTCTGGTAGTCGTTAACGTGGATCACAAATACTCTGCCTTCCTCTCTTAACTATAAAGTAGGCTTGAAATTCTAGTGAATTTAGATTAATCTTCTGCAGAGATGGAATCAACTCCCATAAAAGATTTCCTGATTTCAATTTTTTAAAAAATATGTGTGCATAATAATGCTTTCTTTAATAAAACTTCCTTCTTTAGGTCATCTTTTTCCTATCATTTAAATGGTGATAATCTTCAGGGTTCATTTATAGCCCTAATCTCATAGTACTTGCCCCCTAAGTGACCTTTTTAATTTTATGGCTTCAACTATCAACTGTACATTAGATTAATATTAAATTCCAGTCTATATTTCTGTACTGAATTTCAAACTCAAATATCCAATACCTGATAGGCACTTCAAACCGATTATTTCTACAAATCGAATGAATATTATTATCACTGCAAACATTGTTATCTTCCAAAATTTCCCCTATCATTGATAGTCACTAAAGGTAAACAAAAAATGGTATTCTTCTAGTTTATTTTCTATACATCAAATTGCTCACCTAGTCATGCCAATTCTATTAACGAAGTATCTCTAGATTGCATCTAATATTCTCTACCCCTACTGTTACTTACCTCACTAACTCTGACTTTGTCATCTGTTGTGGTCCTTGAGCCGAAGAACTCAAAATATTATTGGAGACAGAAAAAGAATATCAGTAATTGTAATAAAACATAACAAATTATGTAATAGAAATTTGAAAGAAGTAACATAGAGGAATAACATCTGAAATCCATCTCACTTTGGGAGATAGGAAACACTTCAGAAGCATTATGTTACTTTCATTCATTTCATAGTTATTTATGAGTTGAAGTCTCCGTGACAGATAAATTGTATAACACAACTCTGCTGTGGACTGGGATAGCATGATAGACCTGATCAGACAGCATCCCTCTTGAATTCATTGAATAAAAAGATGGAAAATAATGGTGTACACTATTGAAAAAAATCATTTTCTCTTAGCATAATAAGACTGGATTGAAATGTACTTGATTGGAAACTGTGGAACATGAGATCTGCAAACGTCAATATTAGACTAGAATATGAAAGACCTTGTATATCTTGCAATTCTTTGGGAATCTTATCTTTATAACAACAGAAAACCTAATAAAAAATAGCTAACTTCTGGAGAGTGTGGTATGAGATGGTAGCTGATTCCTCCCTGTGTTTCAGCCCTCAGGGCAAAAAAATCCCTTTGGTTCAATTTAAAGCAGGAGTGGCTTTACCTTAAGACAATGCTTTAATGAATTTAGTCAAAATAAAAATTAAAAAGTAAGGTTAACCTAAACAAAATTAAGTGGAATAAGAATGAGATATACTTCTCCTGGATCAAAACGTGCCTTATTCAGGAGGGCACTGAACATATAAAGAAGTTTACCAAAAAAGTGACTATAGAAATCAAGAGAATAAAGCAATGAAACATAACAACATTTAATCTGTTGGATTGTTTATAAATGGAATAATTCCTTAATTATTATTAATAATTTTATACTTTGCAAATTTTTCAAAAGGCAAATGTATACTTTTAGAATTGGGAAAAATAATGTTGACTGTTTTAGGACTCGAATGGACTTTCTAGGAAAAGTATAGGATGAAAATTAAATGGTTTCTTATTACATTTGACTTCTCTTAAGAAACAAATAATCATACTAAAGGAAAATGTGTTTATTGCCTCCCACATCTCTGCTGAATTATGACCTACTAATTGGAATAATGCCTCTGTGTGCTCAAATGTCAAACGTGTCAGGCTATGAGTCACATTTCTCTATTTTTGTTCAATTAGGATTCATAATTATATACAAACAACAAGAAGAGAAAGAAAGAAGGAACAAATCTAGAAAATGCTAATACTGAATCACACATAATCTGGAATCCACATGATCTTGAAAAACTTGAGAATCTAATAGGAGATTCTGGTCAAGTCTCCCTCTTTTAGGAAAAAAAGTCTGTACATATCTGATAAATCTGGGGAGTTTATTACAGACGCTGTAAGTAAATAACCAACATTATTTGCAAGGTGCCAATCATTTTCCTTGGACAGACACTAATTTTAAAATCTCACAAAGGTTTAAATGTATAGTCAAGTGTTTAAGTCATTCAAATTTTTGCTTGCTGTAATGAGCAAGTGACTTGGCAGATTATTTGATATTTAAATTTTAACTATATTGTGTATAAGAATATTGTCTTAAAATATTTTAATATATTATTTTGTTATTAGCAAAAATAAAGTGCTTGAGAACATCTCAAGTCTTTAAATATTTTTTAAAAATTAATTTCTTTCTTATTTTAGTTTCAGTGTGAATAAAATATGGTGCACTTCCTATTGAAGGTGATTCTATATTGTAGAACTAAAAAGAGGCAAAAGAAACATAAAATTTGAAGTATTTTTTAACCATAAGTGTAATAACTTAATGAGTGTGAGACCATGGTATGCTTCAAACCATATATTCCTTCCAAAGTTCTGTGTAGATCCTTAGCACTTAGAAGAACAAAGCAAGATTCAACAGAGCCACAGATTTCAAATTCAGCAGTGTGTTTAAGAATTATTTTTTCTGACACTAGACTGAGAAAACTAGAGAATAGAGAATGTCTCCAAGGAAGAGCCCTTATTCAGCATGTGACAAACAGGAAGAAAACACATTATATATGTTTCTTTGTGTTTGTACACAGTATGTTGTACAGACCTAATTCTACCTGATGTTCCCAATGATGAAAAAGAAAATAAACAACACACACTCATGCACACAAACACACACACGAGCACATAAAACAAAAGTAAGAGAAAAAGATTCAAAGGATGGCATATCATGAAATCCTCCATAATATGATTGTTCTTGATTATCTTTGTTTTCACTTATACCCTGGTGTGTTTTCAATTTTCCAGATAACAAAATAAAGCTTTTAAATTCCTCCTTTGTAAAATATAAACGTTCTGTTTCTATTCCGTCCTTTTGCCTCTGTCTCAAGGGACAACCAGAGAGACAGAAATATGAGTTTTTCATCTTTGACTTTTTCCTCCTTCCAAAGAAAATGTACTCAAAAATGTAAGATAAAATACCTTATCCATAATAGCACCAAATAATAGTCTCCTAGTAGGTTATTCCAAATATAATATGTTTATATTCTATGTATTTACGTAACAAATTTATGCACTTATATTTTACATAGTTATATGGGGTAAGTATTTTTAAAAGCTACTAGAGTTGGTGATATTTACTCAAACATGTAAAATTGACCATATAAAGAATTATAAAACCAATATTCTGGTGAAACACACACACACACACACACACACACACACACACACACACACAATCTATTGGTTGATTTGAAGTTTCAGCCATAAATACAGTGCTTGTCATTCTTTATGGCCTGTGTCTCCTTGCCTAAACCTGATTGAAAAAGGAACAGTTAGGCTTTCCCTAATTTGCTATAATCCATGGCATTTATAGGTGCTCTTCTAGCTGTTAATAGTGAAAAATTCAGTAAATTTGATATTTTGTTTTTTTTTTTACCTTTTTTATTTAGTTGCCTAGTTCTTTGACTCTGCAATTTAGTCAAATAAAATAATAATTACTATTTATATAGCTATGATGAAAAATGCCAATAAATATTTTTAGATAATTTTCACTGAGCTGGTAATATGTGTTGCTGTGACATTATAATCTTTGTTTCGTGGCTCTTCTTCACTTATTACTGCAGGACACTAACTTTCTTGTTAAATCCTGTATGTGATTTCTGGGATTCAACAGAGGTTTCAATTATGCTCATAAGAAGGTACATTTACTTTTTACCTCTTCACTGGATGCTTTCTGTGATTTGCACGAACATATTCTCCTGGTTTCAGATTTAATGCTACTCTAAGTTAGAAGATCATTAAAGCTATAGTGCCTTCCTCTCTACCGTTTTAGAATTCTAGTAACAACTACTTTTTCAGACTTTGTTGATGTCCTAGGATCCAACCATGGACTCAAAGACAAATTTGAGTGCTAGACACACCTTGCTGTATTTAGAATCACTCCTTCTTTTTGTTGAGGGTATTTTTACTATTCTGCTGGCTTTTCCACCTAGCTTCTTTCTCCAAGGACTCCTTTTCTTTAAGTTGGAGAAATGCAAAAGGACATCTGGATGGGGTATTCCATAAATTCTCAAAACCTGAATAGGCACTTTGGATTTGCTTTGGTGAACACAGCTTTGATTCTCCGCTACATGTAGCTGAGATGTTAGATTTATTTAAAATATATGATGATCATTCTTTTAATTAAATATATGGCATTTTTTTCTCTTCAAATATTTATTCTCTTCACTGGGAAATACTATTTCTCTCCTGAGTATTACCAGAACTGACTTAGCTTTGTCCTTCATTTTCTACTCAACTTTATCTGGGTTATATCACTTGTTTCTAATTTATTCTCTCTGATAGCACTGAATCTAATTTATAAGCATAATAGATATAATTTAATGAATAATCCAAAGAATTATTAAACACTTTTCTTTAAACAATTTAGGTAAGTCACGTAGCACCTCAATTTACAAATGGATAATATGTTGTTCATAACAAGTAGACAATTATTACAAAATATGACAATATTACTGCTTGGGATTTAAACTTCAATGTATATGTATATTTCCTATTATATGATTAGGTTTTATCAGTACTATATTCAGTAAATATGTAAAAACTGTCTCTCCAGGGGGAAAAAAAATCCTGATTTGCAGCACTTGTCAATTTCCATGGTATAAATTCTCCCAGATTAACTGATTTCAGACTACCAATACCATGTCGCTGGGCATTCGCTTGGGAAGAAATGTACAAAATCAGCTCTTACCAGCTGGCACAAGCCAGTGTGAGCCTACTGCAAAGGACTACTGTTTGTTTATATATATATACACACACGTATATATATATATACACACACGTATATATATATATATACACACACGTATATATATATATATACACACACGTATATATATATATATATACACACGTATATATATATATATACACACGTATATATATATATATATACACACGTATATATATATATATACACACGTATATATATATATATATACACACACACATATCTATCTATAGATATAGATCTATACATAAGTATTTGTAAATTTTCCATTTTTAATTTTGAAGTAAAATTCCATACATTTTAAGTGCTAGTGTTATTCAATCGCCTTGAAATGTCAATCACTAGAGCCTGCAGCTGAAGATAAGAATCCTGAATCCTGGATATCAAAGATAAATATTTCTATGAGTATAATAAGTAAAAGTAATGAGACAAAGCTCTGTGAAAATCATAATGTATATCATAATGGTAACTCATGGGGAGATGGGTGTTTCTTAGAAAATCAGTCCCAAGTTTCTTCTTCACACATGTAAGAATGACCTAGATGAAAATTACATTGCTTACAGAAAATTTAATATTGAACTCATCCCATTTTACAAGAGAAAGAAACTATACTATATTTAGTAAAATCCTAAAAATCTTCATTTTTCATGAAATTCTTACTGTGACTTTTATAAGATTGTTTTTTCAGTTTTATAATTCAAGTACTACTTTGTAAATATATCCGTATGAAGACTTATAATACATGAAATATAGTAAACAGACTAGACAGCTTTATTACATAGCCCTGTCACATTTACTAATTTGTTAATTGTTCTATGATAAAATATATTTGTATAGGACTTAAAATATCAAGGAAAGATATCCCCAAAAAGGTGCTGGTTTCCACAGTTTCATGATGGTATTATAATCTCTAAGGCTTAGAAGAGGTCTTATATTTAATTTTACTACATATGTTCCTTCCATATTTAAATAAACTGAATGAAAACATTTCTTTGTGGAATGTCTCTGTTTACTTTCAACTTTCATCCTATCTTTGGACAGTTCTAAATATCAGAAATGTCTACCATATAATTAACTAAAACAGGTGTTTATATATGGTCTTCTTTTGTTTTTACTTTTATCCTATGGGGCAACATAAAACAATGTTTTTGGTCCAAAGTGTTCAAATATTTAAGAGTTTAATGCCATTTAGTCTTTCCTCATCTTTCTAAACCCACTTTCTTCAGACATTTGTCTGAAAAATAATCTCCTACATTTCCTAAATTTCTTTAGATTCTAACACTTTCTCTTAGTGCTTTCCAATGTTTGATATTATTTTTAATGCTTTGTGTCTAGAACTGAAATGTGGTCTTCCTACTGAGGTTAGAAAATGACTTATATTTTATTTGTTATAGACAATTTCTAACAATTCTGCTTAAGAAAACTAGTAGTCCAGCAAAGTGTATTTTAAGCCTGTATATCACAAATATATTCACTCTCACACACAAACACATACATGTATTCATGTGCGCACACACACGCTGCCTGTAGAAACTGGTATTTGCATTTTTTATGTCTAGGGCAGCATGCACACTACTCCTTTTTATCTTGCAATTACTGCTTTCTCACAATGAAAATGACCATAGAGTCAAACCAGAAAGATAATGGAAGCTAGGTACGCAAAATAAGTAGAAGAAGAATGTAATGTTCTTTCCCTTAGATCAGCGGTCCCCAAGATTTTTGGCACCAGGAGCTCGTTTTGCGGAAGACAATTTTTCCATGGACCAGGGAGTTGGTGGGGTCGGGGGATGGTTTCAGGATGATTCAAGCACATTACATTTATTGTGCACTTTATTTCCACTATTATTATATTGTAATGTATAATGAAATATTTATGCAACTTACCATAATGTAGAATCAATGGGAGCCCTGAGTTTGATTGCCTGCAACTAGATGGTCCCATCTAGGGGTGATGGGAAACAGTGACAGATCATCAGGCATCAGATTCTCATAAGGAGCATCCAACTGAGATCCCCCATATGTGCAGTTCACAATAGGATTCGCTCTACAGTGAGAAATCTAATGCAACCACTGATCTCACAGGAGTCAAACCTCAGGTGGTAATGTGAGCAATGAGGAGTGGCTGTAAATAGAGATGAAGCTCAACCAGCAATCAAATCCTGCTGTGTGGCCCCATTCCTAACAGGCCATGGACAAATACCTGTCTGTGGCCCAGAGGGTTGGGGACCCATGCCTTATATCACTTTATTTCAATGACACAGTCTTAAATATGAATCTTCCATGAACATTCCCAAAGATTGCCAAACACATTTCTAAGAGATTATAGCTGTGTCCATGAATGCTTTTAGCAAGAAAGTAACCAAATTAGCAACTTCATTTCCTCTAATATAGCTAGCAATTTTATCATTTACTGATTATTTATACATATGAGGACATTTAGGACAATTGTTTGTAATTTAGCAGAGATTATAAAAAAAACCCATACTAAATACTTCTCAATGTTCTTGTGTTAAAGAATGTGAATATTGTATTTCAAAAGAGCATCACTCTCCTCTTTTCTTTTTTTTTTTATTTTCCCCTTTGGCTATGGTCCTGAGAAGCCAAGTACACATATAATAAAGGGCCTAAGTCCTGCTTCTCTCTCTTTCCTGTATTTCTGCATTGAGATTCTTTCCTCTACTCAATTGCAGCCACACTCTATATATTTCCCTATTCTATTTTCCATTTAGCCATGGATGTCTAGCTTCTGTGTTGCCTCAGCAGTATTTAAATCAGAAAGGATACTATAATATTCTCCTTATATGTGGGTGTGTGTATAAGAAAAAATGGCTGACAAATGTCTCCTTAGGGTTTGTAAGAGATAATTCAAGAGCCTTTGAAAACAATGATTGAAAACATCTATCTTCTTTTTCTTGCACGAGGTTTCCTTTTCAATGTATGAACATATTAAGTTCTGCATTTTCTATTAGTTAAATTAGTAATACAAGAGTGAAATCAAAATTACTAGTTTTTCTAGTCATTGCCAAAAGATCTTAAATTCTCAATACACATTCCGAAGGTTTCGATTATATTACAAATCCAGGATTTCCTGACTGATATTGACCCTACCATTGACTCATTAGTTAGACCTAAGGAAAATAATTTATGCATAAAACCTTTACTATCTGGCACACAACTGCTCTCTGGCACTACCTGCTCTTTCTACCAGTTTTCAGCCAAAATTTTATTAAAATACTTCTATCCAACTGATACCATGAATTCAGTCATACAAGAAGTGACTGGAATAAATATCATATCATATAGTAATGTCATTCTAGGTAGGTAAAGATGAGAGTAAAGAAGTAAAGATTTGAGTTTATTTTGCTAAACTTTTCTGCCACTTCACTTAGTGCCAAGTTTTTTGGCAGGGAGAGAGCAGGTTTTTAAAATTTAAGTCTGTTTTTTCCTCACGTTCTACAATTCTATTGCAGTTTTGGTGAGCCAGTTCTCTGAACTGACCCTGGATGGGTATCCTTGAAAAATTAAAAGTATCAAAAGGAGGAATTTAGAACTTCCAAAACACTTAAAAAGAAATGGTGAGCTGTTAATTAGTGTTGAATCTCCTGTCTGCATTTGTCACAGCACTTTATACCAGTTTCTATTTCTTGAGTTTTTATACACACATTTTTATTTCTGTTCTTCTCTACTCCCTCTTCACTGATACCCTGCTATGTGGATTATAAGCATAAGTCCCAATTAGTTTATTTCCACTTTCCTGGTGTTGACATTTCTCACTCTGTTCCATGTTAAACTTCTCACCGCCTGCATCTTCTACAGCAAGATTTCTTTCTCCCCTACATACATCCACCAGTCATCTGTTCTGATTTAAGATGAGCCAAAAAGAATTCATTGGAAATGACTACGAAAGTAGTGGGAAATTATTGTCACATCCTGCTTATGGTTGTGATACATAGTTACAATATTTGTCTTGTTAATGTTTTGCCTTTGCTCATATTTCAACATTTTTACAAAAATATTAGGCTTGACTAAAAGCAAGAGAGAAGTTAGATTATTGGGTTCAATCCTATTTGAAAGCATCCTTATTTCAACTTTAAATTATTTTGTAGGTTTAAAAGAGTAGTCAAAAGAATAACTTGAATGTGTATTGAGTGTTTTACTATACATTGATGATTTGGAAGTTTAACCACAGTTTCTATATGAGCTAGAACAGCCTTTGGCTAGAAAATAAATTAAGTATGGGAAATTGCATTTGTAAACTGAAAAAAAATGAGTACTCTTTTTTTTTTTAATTCTGCATTAGAGCATGGTAAAATGGTATACCTAAGATTTACCCTGTGCCTTATATTATTTTAGAACATGATCTTTTAGCCTCACTTGTATAATGTGATATTACAAAAGTAATTCAACTGTTAGAATGTGCAATCTGGGGTATTATTTATTTTTATTTCAACAACTTAAACAACTCTAGTCAATAGAATTACTTTTACCATCTCTGCACTAGTTAGAAAACTTAAAAAAGGATTTAAGCCATCATGGTAGAATGTGGTATAGAAACCAATTTAAAAAGCCAAATGGTTTCTAACATTTGCCAACAATATATAATATTTGTTGAGCCAATGCAACTGAAGCAGACTGTAATAACCTATTGGGGTTAGAAAGTTCATGCCAAAAGTGGATGATTTCCCTAGAGCCAATCAAAATGATGGAAACATTGGTGCAAAATCACAGCTGAGCAGGTTCAGTCCTCTCTTCACTAGCTACAGATGGCATGCAATTTAGGAATGCCCATTTGGTGAAATTTACCAGTTCCTCTAGATATCACACATATGGGTTTGCATTTAAAAAGCAATTGCACCACGAATAGCTTTTTAAACAACAGATGTAAGTATTGACAGTGAAAGGATGTCCAGAAAGCAAAGTACGTCCACATAAGGAAAAAGAGAGCTTATGTTATACTTTACAGCACTCTACATGGCCTTTTAACTTTAAAAAATGGAAAATAATTATGAAATCAATGTTTTCCAAGCTTTTGGAATTAGTCATGAGATTTTGTCTTCAGACTGTGTTACCTTCTGGTATTCTACTCCTTTTGTGTGTGTATTTTTGCATTAAAACTGCAATCTTTAATACCCAAAGTGAACAGAAGTACCCGTAGAGGTATTTCAGATCTGGGAACTGGGAGTCAGTCTGTGGTCTCTGCTTTTAACAATACTGTTTTGTTTTGTTTTGTTTTGTTTTGTTTGGCAGCAAGTTCAAAATGGATCTATGAAAATCCAATTGTCATTTTACAATCGAATGTACTTGTGTGTTTAAGTGTATGCAAAGTGGGATATTTGTGTTTACAGATGTGCACACTAGTTACTAAAGAATATTAGTTATAAGTTGTGAGGGCTCCAGTTGCCTATCCTTCATTGCTTCCTTTAATGAAAGAAATTAATTGTGTGAAATTGCCTTGCTGGTAAAGTGATACCAGATTGCAGTGGCAGCATTGACGTAATCTAACAGTAAAACAATCACATCCTCAGTCAACACCCATAGAAATATTTGATTTCAGGAATGTGCAGGACCAAAGCTTCCCTGGAGAAACACACACATAATTTCTATTCGGGTATTCAACCATAATTTTGTTGTGGATTTCTCCTGAATAGTGTAAGCTCTCCTTGTTTTTATTAAGGGATTATCCTTTTTACCTCACAGTACAAACCCACATGGAATGAAACTATAATTAAAAGGTTAGATTCGGACATCAGGATTTTGACACTGATTTTTTTTGATTGAATAAAATACATTGTTACTTTTTCTTCCATTCTCTGATACAATGATATACTGGAATACTAATAGCTATGCAAATGATGACATTAACAGGAAAAATCCATTTTTCTGGCTGCTTATTACTAGCATCAGGTGAAAAATTGTGGGAGATTGGATTGCTTTTGTTTGGAGGTGCAAAGATGGGCAATTGGTGCTATCCTAGGAAGCAAAGGAAAATGAAATTGCTTGTACAAAGAGATGAACAGATTCAGATTAGTACTGAAATATTTATGACACCATTATATGGGTGTAGTGAGAGTGCAGAATATGGAATGCCCATAAAGTACATATTCAAATAACAAAACTGTTGTTATCATGCATCTTCTTACATATTCAGCTTTATTTTTGTACTGGATTTTACACGGAAACTACAATATCGCCCAAGCTGTATTAAATTTGTGTATTAAATTAATTCAAGTGTTTTCTTGTTCCACAGAACAGATTATATTAGAAATATAAATGCTTGTATATATTGCATATATAACCATAAATGCAATTGATTATTGTATTCCCACAGTGTGCTAACTGCTACTGTACAGTTAGATTAAGAGCTCTGATTTTAGAAATATATAATTTGAGAAAACAAAGAAACTAAGTCTTTTGCTTTAGATGCAAAATTATCCATTGCTTTCATTAGATATGGAATAATTTATGTGTAATTTTCTGCATAAAAGAGCGTGCATTATGGCAAGTTTTGAAAGAAGAGAATGTCTACAGAAAGGAAGACAAACTGAAAATTATATGCATACAGAAAACTTCAAAGGTAAAACATAGAAAATAATTGGGTGAATAATCGAGGCAGAAGGATGGAGGTGGGAGTAGCTATAATAAAGCTGTTCTACAGTGCTCCAGGTGCTACAAAGGGCTGTTGTGGAGTATTTGAAGATAACGACTTTTCCTGTATTTCTGATTACTCTGGGCTCTATTGCTTAGAGGAAGGCTGTCAAAGCAGACCCAGAAAGTAAATATATACATTTTAGGACTTTAGATTTTAAAAGTGGCATTTCAGGTATAGAAGAAAGACTTTGATTTCAAAAGTGGCATTTCAGCTGTAGGAAAAGATTTGCAAATAATCAGGCAGAACAAATATTTGCTGTCAATCCCCTTTTCTCTACCTGTTTCAAACTCCCTCCCACTGCACACACATAAGACATACAGAGATGGTATGAAGATCATTTCAAATAGTGACAGAATTAAAGTGGAAAGCAAAATAATGTAGACAGGTGCTGGTAAATGCCCCTGAGAAGAGATCAGGTGCCCACCCATTCATGGGTGAGAGGCAACCATAGCACAAAAGAGTGGAGTAGAGGCAAGTATAAGGCAGCCTCATGTAATCTGCCCTTTGATGGGGAACAGGAGAGCCCTTTCTTTTCGCACATGAATGTGGCCTGAACAAGCAGACCTAAATAACCTTTCAGCTAAGGCAAGGAAAGCATGAGGTGTCCAGACATCTGCCCCACAGGCCACATAAATATTCTAGAGCCTAGGATGGCTTGTGAGGGAGAAGTTGAGAAAACATAAAGCCACCATTAATCAAATTTATCCTGGAACAGCAAAAGAAACCCTCAAGCAACTGAGTTTATCCTGAACTAATGACATTAAGTTTTTCATTATCAGATAAAATGGCTCATTATATTAATTTTCTTCAGTTATAGTTATGTTTTTACACATCTAAGTGCATAAATAGAGAATTTATACTTGCTTTATAAATTAATCATGAAATAAGCATCTTGGAATATAGTTATGATTCCCAATTAAACTTTAGCTGTGAAGATGAAATTAGTGTACATGTTACAACTAGTGAACCATCAGCATGGGATACAAGTACATACTGAAGTACATGATACATGCAACAGTACTGTGGACCTTTGGAAAAGAGAAGATTAGTGAAAATTGGAGAGGCCACAAAGGGCTTGCTGGAAGTTCTGAAAGGACAGCTATAACTTGTATAGAAACATAATCTGAGGAAGGAGAGGGACAGAAATAAGAATAGCAGAAAGAATAGGCTGTAATCAACACGAAGGTAAGGGTTGTGCCTTGTACTATACACTGTATCTTCAGTATTCAGCCTGTCATACAATAGGCTAGTTGTGGATTGACACTACAGTATGATCATTATAAATTCCAGATATGATAGGATTAGCACAGGGTTCCTCAAATTCTGTAGAACTGACATTTTGGACTGGATAATCATACATTGTATGCCACTGTCCTGTGCATTAGAAGAGGTTTAGCAGCATCTTTGGCCTCCACCCACTAGGTGCCAGCAGGAAATCCCGTTCCTGAAGTCATGACAAACCAAAATTACATCGCTAAATATCCCTGAGAGGTAAATTCAACCCCTGTTCAGAACCCCCGAATTAGCCTGACTAGAGCCTGACAAGGAAATGAGGAAATGAGATATGATAGGTAGAATAACTGAAGATATTTTTGTAGATGCAGGATTATATGCTTTATTTTACTGAGTCATTGCTTTACTTCTTTAATGTGGCACCATTTATTGAGCTCACAATCTGGTCTGGGTGCTATATTAAGTACTTTATAGTAATTATTTAGCTCTGAAATGGGTACTACTGTGGTTATTTTGCAGACAATGAATTGCCAAAAGTCATACAGGTAAGATTCGAACAAAATTCTGTCTGGTTCAAAAGCCATATTCAATATTAGGCTATACTGCCTCTCTGTAGTGTTAAAAGCTTATGATGTAGTAAGATTCTTAGATAATATATTTACACATATATACATGTATATCTGCAGCGTGACAGATGATAGATAAACAGGTAGACAGACACATTGGCTTCATAGCTTATGTTATAGAGTACATTAATTATCTCAGAGATGAGATTATCTGGAATCAGATGACTCTCAATTATTACCTGAGCCCTGTTAATCTTGTTTTATTCAACTTGTGTACAGTGTTGACTAATACTTAAATTAGTTCCAGTTTGCTTGATTTCACACTCCATAAAAGTTAATGCTGGCTGTGTCTACACACACAAAGTGGAGATGAAGTGATCATTGCAAAATTATAAACAGCAGACACACATTCTTTTATTGAAGGAAGGCAGACTGATAAGCCTGAACTATTCAGATTGGCTTTCTACATTCAGTTGTCTTAGATAATGCATACTTGTACTATTTTAAAGCCATAATAGCAAAAGACAAATGTTAATTGACCCTTGGTGAATCTTATGCATATTATATTTATCTCAATGAAACAAGGAAGGATAAAATGAAGAGTATTTCTGACATTTCTTTATGGCTAATCTTAAAGTAACACAACCCTAAATCTCAATTTCATGTGTAAAATAATCAGGTTATGAAAAATAAATATTTGTCGAAGTTTCCTGTGAACTGTGCACCCTTTTTACTCCTGATGCTGCTTTAACCAAAATGACTACTGACTCTTCCAATTAGCTTAAAGACTGCTTTCAAGGTCCTCAGGTCTCCAAGGACAGACAAAGTTACCTTTCGATGTGGAGTGAGCATGACAGACTGTTTAATGTACATGACACGAGATCATTTGCAAAATGGTACTGGACATTGCTTGCAGCTTTCCACTTTGAGTTCAGCAGTTCCCCACTGTGCTGTCCTTCAGTACTTTTATATAATTCTCCAGCTTTATCCCTATTCTCCACTTTTGTCCCTTCAAGCAGGGAATCTGATGGAGATCTGTTCCAACTCCAAACATTTCCATATTATTTCCATTTTTATTTGCCTGTAACTCTAAAATAGTTATCATGAAACAAATCTCATGTTGCCTTTCCTTCCATAGAGGTAGTAAATATAGAGTGGTTAAGAGCATGACTTCCATAGTTTTATCGAGTAGATTTGAATTGTGGCTCCATCCTTGCTATTTGTATATCCTTGACCAAGTTATTGAACGTCTGAATTTCAGTTTCCTTATCTATATAATTAAAGTAACAATACTACATAATTAGATAGAAATATTGTGAGGCATAAATAGGGAAATTGTGATAAAACACTTATAATAGTGCCTAGAACATGGTAGGCCTTTGCTTACCATTTTCTCTTTTACATAATACTACTAGGGAAATAGAATTCCAGGGCAGAGATGTATAGACAGCTGGATGGTTTCTGAGGACAAACATTTCATATTATAAGATTACTAGCTTTAAGTATATAAATTGTGCTTGCTCTTTCTATACTAACAAATACGCATGTAAAAACCATTTTATAAACTTTAAATGCTATGAAATTTTTTTTTAAAAAAAAATACCGATTATTCTCAATACTCTGGAAAGCATTAACACCTAATGTTCAATTTTAAATCACAGCTTTAGTGGCATAAACATAACCTCCTTTATATTTCTCCAAATACCTTCGAAGATTTATTTTTAGGGAAAGTGAGTAATATGGGTATTTTGTTAAATAATAAACTTTTTATTTACAAAATTACTTTCTCGCTCAACTCACTTTTTCTCTGAAATGCATTTATAAAGCAAAAATTACAGCCTTTTTTGTCTTTGTAGTATAAGATTTCCCAAGGTTGATGGGTTCTACAAAAAAGAAGTTTTGATTTTCATGAAATAAATGTTATAGGAGCTTTCATATATAAAAATGCAGGTACTAAGTTAGTAACTCCAAGTCATGGCTTGCTTATATTATTTGACCACACTTATTTCTCAGCTTTATCTTTTTTTATTTTCAAAAATATTTGTTTATTTTTAAAATTGACATTTAAAATGGTACATATTTATCATGTACAGTACCATACTGTCAGAAAAACAGACACACAGAACAATGGAACAGAATAGAGAGCCCAGAAATAAATCCACATATTTACAGCCAACTTATTTTTGACAAAGGTGCCAAGAACACACAAAAGGCAAAGGACAGTCTCTGTAATAAATATTGTTGGTACAACTGGATATCTACATGCAGGAGAATGATATCAGTCTCTTACCTTTCACCATATACAAAAATCAACTCAAACTGGATTAAAGACCTGAAACTAAGAAACTACTAGAAGAAAACATAGAGAAAAACCTCCGTGACATTAGTCTGAACAATGATTTTATAGACATGACCCAAAAACACAGGCAGCAGAAGAAAAAATAGACAAATGGCAGTATGTCAAACTGAAAAGCTTCTGCACAGTAAAGAAAACAATCAGCAGAGTAAAGAGACAGTCTACAGAATGGGAGAAAATATTCACACATCATCTCCAGCTTTCTTACTCTCTACTCTTTTTCCTCCCACTTTTAATTTACAATTTTTTGAACCAGAGAAAATTTCAAATAATAGTGTATTAAATACCCATATCCCTAGATTCAGTTATTCACATTTTATCACATTTTCTTAATATCTACCTATTGATTTATTTATCCTGGACCACTTAAAATAAGTTGCAGACATCTTAATATTTTACCCTAAACACACATCAAATCCAAAAAAGAATTGCAATGCATTTGGTTATTTTGTCTCTTGAAAAATATTTTTCTCTCTTTGACAAAAAACTTTTGTCTCTCTTTGGCAGAACAGCCTCACTACATTTTTTTTTTCAAAGAAGGATATTGAAATTTAAAGAGAATGGGCCAGTTATCTTTAAATATTCTACGTGCTAGATTTAACTGTTGTTTCCTTATGGCATCATTGAAACAATTTCTCTATTTCTGGCATTTTCTATAAAATGAATATTAGTTCTGAGATTTTGATTTGAATTCAAATAAAACTTTTATTAAGAACATATCATGGCTGGGCACAGTGGATCACACCTGTAATCCCATAAATTTGGGAGGCCGAGGTGGGTGGATCACCTGACATCAGGAATTCGAGACCAGCCTGGCCAACATGGTGAAACTCCGACTCTACTAAAAGTACAAAAAATTAGCCAGGCATAGTGTCGGCCTTCTCTAATCCCACCTCCTTGGGAGGCTGAGGCAGGAGAATCGCTTGAACCTGGGAGGCAGAGGTTGCAGTGAGCCAAGATCATCGTCTGGTGATGACGATGCACCACTGCACCCCAGCCTGGGCGACAGAGCGAGACTGTGTGTGTGTGTTGTGTGTGTGTGTGTGTGTGTGTGTATGTGTGTCTGTGTGTGTGTGTATGTACATATATATATAGTTTGTATATATATATGTACATATATATACAGTTTGTATATATATATGTACATATATATACAGTTTGATATATAAGTGTGTGTGTGTGTGTGTGTGTGTGTGTATACACACATAATTCTGGTTCCTTTGTATTGTATTCAGGAGGCACATGCTATAACATTTTCTCACCATCAGCGATGCTAGAGATGAGGTCTCACTCTGACCCCCAGGCTAGAGTGAGGTGGCGAGATCATAGCTCACTACAGCCTTGAATTCCTGGCCTCAAGCAATCTTCCCATGTTAGCCTCCCGTGTAGCTGGGAGTACAGCATGAGCTACTATACCAGGCTGATCCTTTGCAAATAACAATCTGTGGGATGAAATTTTTCACTGTGGTAATACACAGTATTGATCTTTGCTTTTATAAATCATTTCAATGCAGATTAAAACTGTTTTCCAATTTATAATTTCTTCTCAATTTGTTTGCTAATATTCTTTTGTATATAAATGCTTTCTTGATATTCTGGGGATAAACTACTCTTAGTAATTTTTTAAAGGCAGGATAAGTGCTTAGTTATTTTAATTTGGTTACTAATTTTTAAAGTTGGTGTAATAGTTACCTTCAATGGTGACTATTTTTTACTTGCTCTTTATTCTTTACTTTCTTGAGTATCACTATGTTCTCAAGGATTTTGTTTGTTCAACATGTTACACTAACTATAGAAAGATATTATCCTTTTAGAAGCTCAAATTGTCCTAAATTTGGGTGATGGGAGCCAAGTCAAGTGAGTCTACGTCCTTTTGACACAATCTTATTTGTTTGGGGGTCTTTTGGGCACAATAAAATGTTACTACTTCATCTTTTGTTTTCCTTGGCCTAGACTAAAAATAATTATTTTTTCTAGAAGACTTGTTTCTTTAGTTAGGAGTGCTGTTTGAAGGCAACATCTAGGTTTTGGTGCATCCAGAGTATCATTGCTTGTATATTATTGTAATAAACAGAGCTAAGAAATATATTTTTCTTGTATGAATTATAGAGTCAACTGCTTAAGTGTTAAAGTCATTGGTATTGAACAAAATTTAGATATTAACTTGGGTAGAACTTACATTTTTATTAAGCAGACTTATCAAAACAAATAACATAATATGTCTTTTCTATTTGCTCAAGCATACTTTTATATCTTTCAGAAGTATTTTAACTTTTTCCTTATACAGTTTGCTCACATTTCTTGTTGGGTTTATTTCTAAGGGTTTATCTTTCTTTTTCATTTTCTCTCATTTTCTTTTTTTCTATTATAGATGAGTTTTCCATTACACTTCCTAATTCTTGTATATATATAAAAAAATAGAATTTAGTGTGTTTATTTTGTATCTTGCAAACTTACTAAATTATTTTATTTTGTATATTCATTTTGTTTTTGGTTTCAATGATTTATTTATTTGTTTCTTTTAGCTTTTCAATGTAAGGTATTATGACTGCTTTAAACACAAATAGTTTGTATTTTCCTTTTAATTTTTATATGGCCAATTATTTTCCTAATTGCATCTGATCATACTTCCAATATAATTTTAAATAAGAATGGAAATACTGAAATTCTATTTTGTTCTTGGCTTTAATAGGAAAGGTTAAATAGTTCAACACTTAATGATATTAAGGAATATTCATTCATTCAATTTCTATGAAAATTCTAAAATGGAGGAATGGGTATTACATACATTACATTTTGAAGGCATTTTCAGTGTCTAAATAGATAATACAGCTTTTCTTGTGCACCTATTATTATAGTAAATTACCTCAATGGATTTCCTGATATTGAACCATCCTTGCATTTCTGGAATAAAAAATGACTTTAGCATTAATTTTTATTGTGCTGATTTTAGTATTTTATTTGGAATATCTTTTTATTGTTATTTATGAGGAAGATTATCAATAACCTTCTTGGGGGACAAGTATAGGTATTAATTTAAATTTGATTTTTTTAAGGCTTCAGAAAAGTGTAAATAACATTGGGAAGTTTGAAGTTTTGTACAATTTAGAGAGCAATGAGATGTTTGAATCTACCCAGTTTCCAATTAAACACCTGAAAATTATCTTTGAAACTTTTTATCCTCTTTGCTTCTAGCTTTTCTCTCCCCTTCATTCAATCCCTCAATTAGTTTTATGTTCATATGGATTTCAAACTTGTCCAAATCTTTCAGTGTCCCCCAACATTCCCTGATCTGAGCCATGACTACTAAAATAACCTATTAAGTAATGTCACTCTTTATACTCTCAGTGCCATTCAAATCATTCACCTAACAGCCAGAATAATTTTTTTATAATTGTAATAAAATTAAACCTCCGTTTTACTTAAAATCTTTTAGTGGATTTGCTTTGCATTTCAAAACAAAATCCTGGTCATTTATTATATCTTACATGACTTTGCATAATTGGCCCCTTGTTACTTCTTGCTTCTTCAGCCAATTTTTTTTATTGGTTGCCCCCTTGCATACTAACTCCAGCCTGCTAAATGTGTGTGTGTGAGATAGAGAGAGTATGTGTGTGTGACATTGCCAATTTTGTTCTCACTTTGAAAGAAATGTTCTTGTCCTGGATAATCTTTCAGTTTATTTTTTCTCTTTTTTCTAATTATAGCTCAAATATTACATTCCCTGAGAAAATTTCCTTCACCAACAGTGTAATAAGGTAACTCCATCCTTCAAGTAAATCTCCATTATATTACCTATTTTACTATCTTCATGGCATATATCACCATCTCAAAATAACTATTCATGTGACTATTATCTGAACATGAAATGTAAGCTCCATGAGGGGAGGGATTTTCCATGTTGTTCACAATTTTATCCTCAGGATTGTGAACACTATTTGGCATTGAGTAGGCCCAATATAAACAGTGGCTGAACAAATGGATAAAGTAGTATACACAATTGGACAGATGTTGAAAAGTTGAAGTGGCAACCACCAAAGTGGGAGCCTGCAAAGAAGAAAACTAGAGCACAGTAACTCCTGTGAATTTCTGCCTAAATAATGTTTTAATACTGGGCAAGCAAACACTGAGACTATCTATAAAAAATATAGCATAAATCTTTTTAAGATTATTTTTTACTTATAAAAGGTTAAGAAAACAATATTTGTTGTTTATTTTTAATTTTTAGCCTACCAGGGGTCAGAGTTCAGAATGGTGTAAATCCTCATAGTATCACAATTCTCAAGTAGTGAATATTTGTTAGTCTTGCCTATCTATTATGCATCCTATTATCCAGTACTGAGTTTTAGTGACCATGGAGACAACCATGACAAACTTCTAATCAGAATTCACTTGGTGATTTGCTTTCCTTTTTGTGTGAGACAGAGCCTCACTCTACTGCCCAGGCTGGAGTGCAATGGCATGATCAAAGCTCCCTGCAGTCTCTACTTCCCCAGGCGCAAGTGATCCTCCTGCTTCAGTCTCCCGAATAGCAGGAACTACAGGCATGTGCCACCACACTTGGCTACTTTTTATACTTTTCATAGAGACAGGGTTTGCCATGTTGCCCAGGCCGGTCTCAGACTCCTGGGCCCAAGCAATCCACCAGCCTTGGCCTCCCAAAGTGCTGGAATTATAGGTGTGAGCTACTGTGGCCAGCCAACTTTTTCTAATGATATATTTTTATTTATTTCATCCATACTGATGACTTTATACTGTCTAAAATAAAAATAACCTCAAACACTATAGATTCTGTGTCACCTCCATAATAAGCTTCTTCTCCTACACTGTTAATTTGCTGAAGTCTTGTTCATAAACTTCCTAGTTATTGAATGTCTATTAAGTTGTTTTGACATTCAAGTTTATTTAGCAGATATTTATTGAGGACCCATTATGTTCCAGGAACACTGTTCTAGGTGCTTGAGAAACAAGAATGAAGAAAACAAATAAACAAAACAAAAACATAGATCCCCTGCATTTAAAAAGATTTGATTCTAGTAGTGAGATTAGGTGATAAATATTTAAGTATTTAAGTATAATAAGTAAATTATTTACTATTTTAGAAAATGATAAGTGTTATGAAAGAAAGTAGACCATTGTACACAGGATGTGGAATGTCAGGAAATAGAGCAGGATGAGCAGGATTTAGAGTGATCAGGATGGCTGTTTTAGAGTGGCAGGATGGGCCTCAGTAACAATGTGAGAATTAAGTCAAGACTTGAAATAAATGAAGGGCCTGGCCAAGTTCATGTCCAGAAAAAAGAGTCCAGTGGACCTGAAAATAGAGTGAGAGAATAGGATAGCAGTATGTAAAACGATAGCAGTAAAGATAAGACCCATCATGTAAGCCTGTATAAAGACTGGCTTTTTCTCTGAGTAACATGAGGAATTATTTGCAGGTTATGATTAGAAAGTATGACTCTGGAAATTGGGTCAATGTATAGGTCTGGGTTCTCCTGAGAAAAAGAACCAATAACACTAACACTAGATAGATAGATAGATAGATAGATAGATAGATAGATAGATAGATAATAGATAGATACATAGATAGATAGATAGATGATAGATAGATAGATAGATAGATAGATAAATGATAGATAGACTGATTTATTATGGAAATTAACTCATTTGATCACATGATTGTGGAGGCCTAAAAGTCCCACAGTCTGCTGTCTGCAAGCTGAAAAATGAGGAAAGCCAGTAGGGTAATTCAGTCCAAGTCCCCAGGCCAGAGATAGAGGCAAACAGATGGTTTAAGTCCTTGTCCTGGTCCAAAGTCGTGAGAACCAAAGGCTGATGTGGGAGAGCAGGAGAAGATGGATGTCCTGGTTCAAAGCGAGAGTTAATTTTTTCTACCTCCACTTTTCTTTTTTCTATTTGGGCCCTCAGTGGATTAGAGGATGTCTGCTTACATTGATAAGGGCAATCTTCTTTACTCAACCTACTCATGAAAATGCTAAACTCTTCTGAAAACACCATCCTGACACACCCATAAATAATGTTTTACCTACTGTTTGGGTATCTCCTAGCCCAGTCAAGTTGACACATAAAATTAAAAGGCCAACCCCTTGTTAACTTGATACCCACATCTCCTTAAACTATCTAATCTCCAAATGAAGACAATAATGAAGTCATAATTTCACAAAACATGATACTATCTTGCATACAACTAAAAAGCAATAATTCCTTCCCCAGAAAAGTAAAGTCCTTAAGTGACATTTACTCTTCTAACAGCCTATAGCCTGAATATTAAGATATAAAATTAAGAGTACTGAAAACACTGATTTAAAGTTAATATATCTTATGTTCCACGAAAAGGGAAGAAGAAAGACAACAAAGATAGTTGCTAATATGTGTATATATACATATGAAAGTGCTCATAATAAAATAAGAAAGAAATGTTCATGACAATTAAAGTCCTCAATTCTGTAACTGGTCATGTGGTTATAGCTGGTATGTATGACTACCATCTACTACTACTCATTCTGAATTCTCTGCCTTCACAAACACCTCAGCTGTTCATAGTTCTTTCCCTGACAATATAACCCAATGATTCATTTCTAAAGGGTCTGAGCCACTTGTCATTCTGCAAGGCTTGGGTTGTTGTAGTTTTCCATTGATCTTAATGACAGAACACGGTAATATTAATAGAGGCCCTAAAGGATCTTCTGTATTTTAGCCATAGTCTTCCTTACCTCTTTTGTGGTCCAATTTCCAATTAGTAGTCCAATTTCCAGTAGTAGTCCAATTTCCCTTTAGTACCCCAGATGAATCACTCAAGCTAACACCGCAACTCCTTTCTTTGCACTGTAACTCCTTTCTTTGCGCAATAACTCCTTTCTTTGTCTGTTGACTCAGAGGCATGAGGAGCCCAAAGTGGCCAGGTGGCAGTCTTCAGTTCAGTGGAATCATTGTTGTGTCTCCTGGTGGAAGTATTTCTCTGTTTAGAACTAAGACTTCTAGGCCTTTCTGTTTCTGTTGTAGAAAAAGAAAAAAAAATTTTGTTAGTGGGTCACTGGGGGCAATAGTGAGTGATGCCACTCCTATTTCCACCCCTTTAACCTGGATCTATGAATCCTGACTATCAAAAAAATGGCACCACATATTAGACACTGATTCAGAACATATACAGCCTTTTGGAAGAGTCTTGCCTAATCCCTGCAAGGTATTGCCACCTAGCTGGTACTGTAACTGGGACTTCAAAATAGCCATTTAATAGCCATTCTATTAAACCAGCTGCTTCAAAATGGTGGAGAAGATGGTGAAATAAGTCATTTCCATGAATACGGGCCAATTGCCACACTTCTTCTGCTGTGAAGTGAGTTCTGTGGTCAGAGCACCATATGTATGGAATGCTATGATGGTAAATGAGGCACTCTGTAAGTTTTTGGAAAGTAGTATTCGCAGAAAAAATTACGTTCAGGGAAAGCAAATCCATATCCAGAGTAAATGTCTACTCCAGTAAAGACAAAATGTTGCTCTTCCCTCAGTAGGAGCATTATAATGTAATCAACCTGCAAACAGGTTGTTGGCTGATCACCCTGGGGAATGGTGCCATATCTGGGGTTCAGTTTTGGTCTCTGCTCCTGGCAGATTGAGCACTCAGCAGTGGCTATACCCAGGTCAGCTTAGTGAGTGGAAACCCACATTGCTTAGCCCCTGCATAACCTCCATCAGTGCCATCATGAGCACTTTGTTTATGAGCCCAACTGGGCAATGACAGGAGTGACTAGGTAGAAAGGTGTCCATAAAACAGATTATTCTATTCACTTGATATTTAAAATCTTCCCCTGCTGAGGTCACCTTTTGGTGAGCATTCACATGGAACACAGTTATCTTAACATTTTGTGCCCTTTCAGAAAGATCTTGCCACATTCTTCCCCAAATTTGTCACCAATTTCCCAATCATGTTCCTTTCAAATCTTTTACTATCCAGCTAGACAACTGTCTACATCTCATGAATTAATATATAATTGCAAGTCTGTCTATTTCTCCTTGCAAGAAAAGTAGACAACCTGAGCTTCCGCCCACTGGGAGGATTTCTCTTTACTACATGAATATGCAGGTCAAGGAGTACCATGATTTGCCAAGTGCAAGATGGAGAACAATGAAAGCTGGTGATGCCATTTAGTTCAGGTCTGAAGGCCTGAGAACAAGAGGATGCTGATAGAGTAAGTCCTGTTCTGAGACTGAGGGCTGTAGAACCAGGAGCACCAATGTCCAAGGACAGAAGAAGGTGGATGTCCCAGCTCAAATCAAGAGTAAATTTGCCCTCTCTTTACATTTTTGTTTTATTCAGGCCTTCAATGGATTGGATGATGTCTGCCCACTTTGGAAAGAGGGATCTTTATTCAATCTGCTGATTCAAATGCTAATCTCCTCTGAAAACATCCTCACAGTCACACACAGAAATAATGTTTTACCAGCTATCTTGGCATCCATTAGCCCAGTCAAGGTGACAAATAAAATTAACCATCAGAGTTGACAATAGATATTTTAAGGAAAAAAAAGCTAGAAGCAGAAAGCTATGCTAGGAAAAAAGCTAGAAGCGGAAAGCTATGCTAGAAAATTACAAAGCAACCCAGGCTAGAAACAATGGTGTCTTGGATTGGGTTAGTTTAGTGGGAGCCATGAGAAGTAAATGGTGTAGAATACTTGAAAAAAGTGCCCACAGGTTGGCTGTCAGATTGGATATTGTTGAGAAAATACATATCTCAAAACTGAACTTTGGTTAAAATCTTGTGTGACCTTAAACCAGTTTCTTAACTAGTCTAGGCTTCAATATTTTCATCCATAAAAAAAGAGATAGTGATGATAAGATATAATCTAAAGTATTTTTGAAATCAAAGGGATTGAAGTATGTTAAAATAACTGCAACAAAATATGCATCTCTTCCCACCTTCCTAAGTACACCTATATTCACTTATTATACACCTAAGATTAATTATATTTTTATTTTATATAGTATCTAGCATATATCCTTAAAGCTCAATAAATGTTTTCTGCGTTGAAGTAACTTGAATAATAAAGGGATTTGTTGATAATCAGCACCACCATTTAAAAAGAAATTAATATGATCCAGACATTATTTTGTTTGTACATCAGACCATAGTTTCACTTTTACCTTCACAATAACCTAATGAAGTAGGCATAATCATACATATAAAACTCATGACCCAGATAATTTCAATAAATGTCTCAGTTTGCAAAAGCTTGAGATAGATTTGCACTTACATCCTTCTGATTTCAAAGTCGGTGTTCTTACTAAATGATCTCTAATTATATCTCTTATATTTGAAGGAGAGCAAGTTTTCAATGAGAGTTAAAAAAAAAAAGGAATGAGCATTTAGGACTTGTTATATAATGTATCTAAAATATTCTGCTTGATTGCTTCCAAGCCACGTGATGGGCTGCTGCAATAAATAAATATAGATATCCATGTTATTCAATGTACATAAATAATACTAATTCAATATTTTAAAACTAATTTTATACAAGTGGAACAACGTCTTAAAATGTGTAGGACAATGTGAGAGTAAGGCAGTATCTTAAATCCTACCTCACAAATAAGATAATAAGATCCAAGGGCACCAAGCTAACCATGGCAAAGGTTGTAATTTTGATAACATACAAATATTTGATAGAAACTCTCACTCAATGTAACACAATGAACTAGTCTGGTGTGTGTATATATGTATATATATACATATATATATAAGTGTATATATACAATATATATACTATATATTAATATATGTATATATAATATATACATATATATTATGTATATATATTATATAATTATATATAATATATATTATGTATATAAGTATATATGTACATATATACACACATATATACTTATATATAAGTATGTGTATATATACTTATATATATTATATATACATATATAATATCTATACTTATATATATTATATATACATATATAATATCTATACTTATATATATTATATATACATATATAATATCTATACGTATATATATTATATATACATATATAATATCTATACTTATATATATTATATATACATATATATATAAGTATATATATACACATACACTTTTATATATATATATATTTTTTTTTTCCTGAAATGTTCCCTTAGGGACGACAAGATCTGTTGTTCAAACACTGCCACCCACATCCATATGTATCATCTTCCCTGCCAATGTTTTTCAGTAAGGTTTTTTCTTTGTTTTGTTGTTTTGCTTTTGGCCACCATGTAAATCTTAAACAGCCAATATAGACCCACACGTATATGTTATGAGATACATATGACCTATATGACATAACTTCAGATATGGTACTTTCAATTAAAGTGTAATTGGGGAATGCTTGCCATACTTCAGGATATTTGAATTCATTGCTACCTACTAAGTTGTTTAGTAATATGAAGTAGGACCTTCTAGAACTGAGTTAATTAATATAAATAACACATTTGGAAAACATGCCAAATTATCACTTTCGTAGGAAGGAAATCACTCATTTTCCTGGAAAAAATTCTGTCTTCTTGGAATAACTGTTTCACTCTAGTTTTAACACATTGTTTTGGCAGTTTATTAAAACTTCAAGTGGGAGTCATAGAGATTAGTCTAAATATCTTATTTTGCTTTAACACTAGATTTCTGTTAAAACAGAACAGATCATTATATTCATTCATCATTGTTTGACTATGAGGCTGCCGTAAGCCAAAAATAATCAACACTTGTGGGATATATAGTAATTGAAAGTAACAGTAAATTGCATTTTAAGGGCTTATCAAGGTAAGAATGAGATACTTCAATGCCACTTCTTGCTTTCTTGTCAGGAACTTTGCCAAGCTGGGGCAAATTAAAGATTGGTTAAGGAGTGCCGTAACTCTCCGGCCTTACTTCATTTGGAAAGTTATAGAAGATTATCACTCTACCTAAACTTATTCTCATGGTATGGAAGTTCCCTGGATGACACTGATTTGCTTTTTCCAACCAAATTGTGGATAATGGCATGAATTCCACTTTTATTCATGAAATAAAATACAATCACTAAAGCTGTATCATGATTTCATTATGTTTCTATGGCACATTCTATCTATTGCATCTCACAATTTCAGTCTTCTATTCTGTCGAAAAATTTCTGAGGAAAAAGATAAGGAACAAGATAATTATTTCCATGATAAGACGTGTTCAGGGTGGTATAACTGTACATTATTTCCACGATAAGGAGAACAGAAAAAAATTGGGTTCAAATACCTCAGGAAAACAAATTAACATAATACAAATTTTTTCTGTAATAATTTCTTTCAATTGGGGTCCATATGTTCTCTGGGATATGCAGATATATCCTTGGGTGTTAGAAAACTTTCTCCCAGAACTTTTAAAGTATAGGTTTTCATTGTGAAAATTATTTTTAAAAAATTAGTTATTAAGTTTGAGCCTAACACCATGTTTGGAGGCTAAAGAGAAAAAGAATAGAGACATAATTAATATGTAAATGATGCATTCATTCAAAAGACACCAGGGTATGTGTACTAATGAGTGTTTTACAGTGGGTCAAAAACAGATGAGTGGTAGGAGATTTACGTCATTGTAAGATGCACAGTGCCAAACTCAAAACCACCTGCAGTCAGTCCCTAAACAGAGCACTGTGCTATATTCATATTAACATTTCAAGTGGCAATTCAGTTTCAGCAAAACACAATTATTCATTAACTTAAGTTAATTGTGGTTAATTTAAGTATTCTTTTTTTAAAATTTATTTTTAGAGGCAGAGTCTCATTCTGTCACCCAGGCAAGTGCAGTAGCAAGATCATAGCTCACTGAAATCTCAAGTGAGCTGGGCTCAAGTGATCCTCCCGCCTCAGCCTCCTGAGTAGCGAGGACTATAGGTATATGCCACAATCCTCAGCTAATTTTCTTATTTTTATTTTGTAGAGACAAGGTGCCACTATGTTGCTCAGGCTGGTCTCAAACTCCTGGGCTTAAGTGATACTGCCTTGGCCCCCCAAAGTGCTGGATTCCAGGCTAATTTGAGTTTTGTTGGTTTTGTATTCCTGTTTATATATAATTTGTAAATATTTTTGCTTTGTTCAGTTATATCAATGTATTAAATCACATTGTTTTATATTTATCATACATAATTAACTAATATAAGTAATATGTTATTAATAAGACTTTTAGATATATTTTTTAAGGAAGCTGTGTGTTTCAAAGAGATGTGGAGAAATCCTCCTCCATAACATACTTGCCAGGAAATCATTCAATGTCCTTGACAGCAATTGATCATTCTAGTAGAAAGCTTCCTATTAATATAATTTTCTAAATAAGTCATGATCTTTCAGGCATCCAGGTTTTGCATGTACTGCTTCAATTTCCTAGAATTATTTACAGGGATTTCTTCATCCCTCCTTTCACTACACAAACTTCTACTTATTCTTTAAAACAGCTGGGTGGTTACTTTCTGTGTCAATTCTTTTGAAAAGATGTTTGGGATAATCAACTTACATGTGCTTTGGGTAAAAAAATTAATCGAGGTTGCATTTCCCAACATTGTCCTCGACAGTCCTAACACCAAAACTACCATTAAACAAACTAGCTCCAAGCACTGAAAATATAATGGTATACCCTTGTAGTAGTATTAGTAATAATATTAGTCAGGGTTTTCCAGAGAACTAGAACCAGTAGGAAATAGATCTGCATGTATATCTATGTTTCTATCTAGAGAGAGAGAGCTTTATCATAAAAAATTGACACATAAAATAAAGTCTTTAAGTTTTCATTTTTAATTAGGTGAGTCACATATAAATTGCTCCAATGTGAAATATTACCAAGAGTTCTTGTGGAATTCTGAGTTCACATATGCTAAAAACACAATAACTTTATCATGGAAATTTTGTTCTTAGTAGATAAGATTAAATATTTCGTTTTTCTTTGAAAAACACAATTGAATTGTTGTTATGTTTTCTGATTTGAGGGTAAATCAGAAATTAAGTTGCTTTTTCCAGACAAGATACTAAATATTTTAAATAATGCTGACACTGCCTATGAAAATTTAACTTAATTCTGTGTTCTTATTTTATATTGGCATTTAAAGCTGTTTTAATGAGTTTCAGTAGAGAAGGAAACTAAACGGTTGGAATGTTTTTTCCTGAATTTTCCCTCTCTTAGCATCTTTTTTGTTTAAAACAATTTTATTGACCTTCAAGAAAACTTACTAACCTTTTTCTGTAGAGATTTTAAAAAATAATTTAAAATAAAGAACGATTTCTGTTTCCCCTATTAAATGTTCTGTTTTCTAACCCTTTCTTCTCTTCCCCTCTTTTGAATTCTAAGCAAGCCTTTTCAAGTCCTTCTTACATTTTACCACCTCATTCATTTGTGATCCCTTTGTAATTTCCAGGTGCTTGGTTTCATGGATTGCAAAAGCTGAAATCATATATAATCAAATGCTTGATGCAGCACTTTCAGTGAAACACAATTATAAGTGATTTTGAGCATAACCTGAAGAAAGGTCAATTTATTATTTTAAATCAGAAATAGTTTCAATGGCGATACTTTTTTAAAAATTCCATTAAAAACAATTTTCTTTTCTACCTGTTGATTTGACTTAGGGAAAAATAAATCTAAGTTTTAACAACTTTGTTACATAACAGGACTCAATCACATCAGGTGGTATTGACTGATGTATTTAATAATGTAATAAAGATGCCAACCATGACAGAATTGGTTAGTTTGAAAATAGGGCAAAATACCATTTCTTCCACAAATGTGGTTAATAAAAAATATTGCTTACAATGTCATGAAACCTGTCAAGTAAATTTATGATATGCAAAATTTATAAGCTTTCAAGTATTTCTTTGGAGTTTGGCAGCACAGGCAGCCTATCGTGTCCCCTCTTTACGTAAGGAATAAACAAATTGAATGGGGCAAGCTGGCTAGTAAGCAGTCCATATTACAATTGATTAACTGGAAATATTTCATGTTCTGTATCCAACTTTTATCTAGAATATTCTTTGAAGAGTTCTGTATTTCACATTCAATTTTTATGTTCACTTGCAGGTTTCTCTGGTCTCACAATTCAAAGAGATTCTGTTGAAGAGGAAATTAGAGGCTGTGATTCAGAATTCAGTGAGTCTAGTCCCTGCAGAAACTTGGCAGAGCACAGAATCAGTTCTTGGGATGCCAAATTTCGTGGCCCCAAGCCAGATGCTAATTTTGAATGCATGGCATGCATCACTTTGTGTCTCGATTAAGCCATGCCTGTGAGTCCCATGCAAGCCCAGCAACAGATTTTAAGCAACATATGTATTAGTGTTCAGGGCATCATTGATTTTATTCTGGCTTTAAACATGGGACAAAATCACTTTTTTTATATTATAAGTTCCATCTCTTTGAAAACAATAAGGAATGTTAACTGCCTTTTTTTGTCCATGATCTTTCTAAATTGTTATATCAATTTTGATGATTTCTAATAAAGGCATATTCAGCAAAAAAGAATTAACCTTACCTAAATGTAGAAGGCAAGCGGGGCCAATGTAAGAAAATTATTTTTTCTTGTCACCTTCTTGCTTCTTTAGTATATTAGAAATGTATTCATGAAATTGGATATATTCAGAAGTATTTGAGAAAGCCAGTAAAATTACAGAGCAGAGAAAATTAAAATGTTATCAGTGTATACAACTGGACTAAAAAGTTTTATTTGATTATTAATATTTTGATCTTATTTGAATTACACTGCTGTTTTCTCACCTGAGTATCTTATCAGAATGCTTGCTTCTGCTTTCGGCATCAGGATCCTAAAGCTTTCAGCAGTATCTGAGCCTACAGAAACATGACCTTTTCCGTAGAAGTATTTAATACTTTTGGCATTGTTCTTCTTTGGAAGTCACTGGCAAATATGTACATATGTATGCATTTTTAAATTAAAAAACAAAGCAGCTGATATGTAATTTTAAAATGAAAATTGGAGCCACTGAATGACAGAGGATTGATGTGCTGCTGTCTTAACGTACTGACCTTGAACTGCGCAAACTTGCTCAGTTTTTAGCTCCCCAACCCCCCAAAACAACAACAACAAAAAAAAACAGGATGATTCAGATACAGCTGGCTCTGTGAGTTACAACAGAGCACAGGATTCTTGCAAATCTATGGTCTGAGAGCTATAAACAAGAGTCTTCTAGCTACACAAATACATTTTTTAAAAATCAACCCATGTATGAGAAAAACCTGACCTTTTGTTCAGAGAAAAAAAGTCCATTAGTTAAATGAGTTAAATGATTGATTTTATGCTTATTTTTTTTCTCTACAGCATTTTTTTTTCTTTCTGTGTTCCTTTTCAGGATGTTTTATGCAACTCTGAGTATTTAGTCACCATTGGATACTTAAAAGAGAATGGTGAGGAAAAAGCAAGGACAAAATTAGAAACTCCTTTTGAATTGTTGGCTTTTATTCCAGCCAATCTTCTTCTGAGTCGGAAATAATGTTGCTTTTTTTGGAGTAAAGGGGGAGGGAAAGAATTCAGTGTGAATTATATCGTTATTTTATAACATGCTTGCATTTGCTAAAGGAAAACACAAATTGAAACAGAAGAAACTTTTGAAGCATAGTGTGAAAAAAAAATCATACTTTCATCCAACACTGGGTTGACTTTGAGTGGAATTGGTCCAAATTGTGAGTACCGTGGTCATATATAATGGAGATGAGATTGGGTAGGCCTGACATCTCTTAATTTATTTATTCTACCAGGGTAATGCTAGCCACCTCCTGTTTTTATTATACCAATTTAATGCCAGCCATTTCCTGTTTTCATTAGACCATTGTAATGCTAGCCTCCTACTGTTCTCATTAGTGCAGGACTGTGTAATGGCAGCCACCTCATGTTTTCATTATAACAGAGCTGTATGGTGCCAGCTGCCACTTGTTTAACTTTACTGAGAAGCATTTGACCATGGACTACATACCCCTACAAGCTAGTGGCAAACAAGGTAAAGGCCTTCAGGGTTCTGGCGAAATAATGATAGTAAATGCTTAAGTGACTTATTGGCTATTAATGTGGAAGGAATATAGTGGCTCATAATGGCTGGGAAACTACAACAAACTCAGTCAATATTTGAATTGTTTTGTTATAGTTATTGTTTTGTTGTGTTTTGTTTTAGAACAATTTGTCTGACAAAGACCTTCAACAAGATTTTGAAGTGATGTACTGCGATTAGGTGTGGATAGATTGATATTACTGAGAATATCCCATTTGGAATAATGGATAACATTTCTTGAAAGATTATTATGTGTCCAAATAGTTCCAAGTTTTTCATGTATTACTTCATTTATTCCTTACAATTACCTTAGGAGTTACTGCTATCGTTCACATTTTGCATATTAAGAAATTAAGTACATAGCAGTTACATAATTTAAGAGCCAAGAAATTTCCTCCGTAAAGGGCCAGATAGTTATCTTTTTAGCTTTTGGGGACATACAGTTTTGTCCTAATGAGTGAACTCTTTAGCTGGAAAACCGCCAAAGACAATAAGTAAATTAAGTGGGCATAGCTGGCTTCTAGTCAATTTACACAAAGAGACGAGGGGATGGATTTGGCCCAAAGATTTTATTTTGCCTATAACTGATACAAGGGCACGTAGTTGAGTGTGGTAGGTGAGAGTTATGATTCCAATTGAGGTAGTTAAGCCACAGAGTCCGTGACTTCACCATCCTCTACTTCCTTTCTGTGACTTTGTAACTGAAAATACTTCCTATTCCATTCATTTGGGAGCCTTTAATTGTACAATGATTAAAGTTTTCAAAGAGAAAAATGACTTTGCTTTATTATGTGCCTTCAATGTTTTATTTAATTCGTTACATTTTTATAGTTTTATCCCTAATACTTTTATTTATGAAGCATCTAAGAATTATCATCAATAATAACATAAATATGAAATTTATTATTGGAAATTCAGAGTTTTTGCCTATGGATTAAAAAAATAAACTTTCAAATATGTTTTTACCTGCATTTTCTTTTCTGTATGTAAAAATTTTATGGAATATTTTTTTCTTTTAATTCCAGCACCCTGTCGTTCTCTGATTGCTGTGTTAACTTTCCCAAATAGGGTAATTGACACATGTGTATAAGTTTGTTGAAATGATTAAAAAGCTGTCGGGAATCATTACCTGTCAGTGCTCCACAGGAAACAAAGTCCTATCTACCTCTTACAGGACCCTCTAAATGACTATAGTGAGTCACCTTTAAAATGACAGCTGTCACCCTAGAATTTGAACTTTGAAGCAGGAAAAAAACCATATATATACATGTATATATGGGTTTTTATACATAGGTTTATTTATATATAATGATACATGTGCTTCAACAAAAAGGGAAAATATATCCCCAGATTTTGTGTTCTTGATAACATAAGGAAGTTAGAAATTTTTGTTTTTGTTGTTGTTTTGTTTTTTGTTTTTGAGATGGAGTCTCACTCTGTCACCCAGGCTGGAGTGCAATGGCGTGATCTCGGCTCACTGCAACCTCCGCCTCCCGGGTTCAAGCGATTCTTCTGCCTCAGCCTCCCAAATAGCTGGGACTACAAGCACCCGCCACCATGCCCGGCTAATTTTTGTATTTTTAGTAGAGACGGGGTTTCACCATATTGGCCAGGCTGGTCTCGAACTCCTGAGCTCATGATCTGCCCACCTGGGCCTCCCAAAGTGCTGGGATTGCAAGTGTGAGCCACTGGGCCCGGCCAGCAATGCTTTTTATATTAGGCTGTGATCTGCAGTTTGGACTCCTGTCTGCCTGAGGCCAGTAAAAGTCAGGCAGGCAGGAGTGATGTTAAAGGTTGGTAAGTCATTCTACACCTGCATGTAACTTCTTGCTTGTCTTTAACATTTCTCAGTATGAATACACCCTCGCAATGAACTTAGTATGGCTTAGTGTCACTTGTGGAAATTACCTTTATTGAACTGCAACAGTAGACACAAGTACTTGGACGTGCGCGTGCACACACACACACACTCAGAGAGAGAGAGAGAGAGGCGGAGAGACAGAGAAACAGAGAGAGAGATGATTGAAATGGAAAGCTGGTACACTCATACACGAAAGGTAGAAAGCATCAAGGTTTGGCATGCCCTATCCTGGCTGCCAAATTCAGTATTGTCAAGCGAGGATGCCTAACTGAAGTGTTTCCAATATTTGTTCTCTTCTTAAATTGTTTCTATTTTCGCTCTTAGTTTTGGTGTTCCATCTAAGAGAGGGCAGGTGGAGTAATAATAACATTTGCTATAAAATAAAATGCAAATTTCACTATGCAAATAAACCATTAGGAAGTAAATTAGCTTGAACAGTGGTGGTAGATCACAATTATATTGCTTTTTAAAATAGGAAGATATACACACATTTGTATATGTGCTGGGGAGGTTACTGAGTCTCCACTGGAAGGATCATTCCCAAGGCTGAGGCTGTAGTCTTTTCTTCTGCCTCCCTTTGTGAAAGTATCTGATTTTCAGGGTTCCTGGTCTGTCGGTAATACTAGTATTCACTGCAGTGTATAATAACTTTATTTTTAACACACTTAGTGCATACTTAGCCAAATAAAATCCAGTCTCTAATGTGGATTGGCTATGGTAATTACTATTTATATTAATTAGCCTGTCAGTGTGCAGACTTTCAACTTTGCCACTGGAGTTCTTGTCACCCTTTTAACACATTACCATTATTATTTTAAAACTAGAGTCATTTCAAGTTCAAATTCATAAAATGTGCATTGGAACCGCCTACCCTGCCTTACAGATGGGTAAAACAGAATATGTGTCAAGACAAAAAAAACTTTTAAGAAACGTTTGCACTCACCTTCCCCTCACCTCATTTAGAAAGTCAATCTGACTTTTTTTTTTTTTGGCGTTCCACGTGTTACTTTGAAGGAATTAAAATCAGTGTTTATGCTTGGAAGATACCTAAGAGATCAATAAAGATCTCTACTCATTCTACAGCATTCAGGGATACATATGGTTAGCTAACTTCTGCTTGAAGATTGCCATTTCTTGATTTGCTACCACTCTACCATTGTTATCTTTTTAGTATTTGGCCTCTACAGTCTCCCAAAGTCATGGTAGAGACAGATTTCACATACACACTAAGGTGACTTCAGATGGAGAATAAGTTGGTCATGCCAATCTGTCTAAAACGCAACAGAAGGCTAGACCTTTGAGAGAGTCCCAAAGGCAGATTATTTTCTCTCCTTTCATAGCTGGGAATTTTGTTTTACCTGCCTTCCGTAAGGAATCCATTTTAAATTCTTTCAAGAGGCGTGGAGAAGGCCAGGTGCCATGGCTCACGCCTGTAATCCCAACAGTTTGGGAGGTCGAGGTGAGCGAATTGCTTGAGGTCAGGAGTTTGAGACCAGCGTGGCCAATATGGTGAAACCCCGTCTCTACTGAAAGTACAAAAATTGGCCGGGCATGGTCGTGCACACCTGCAATCTCAGCTACTTGGCAGGTTGAGGTACGAGAATTGCTTGAACCTGGAGGCAGAGGTTGCAGTGAGCTGAGATCATGCCACTGCACACCAGCTTAGGCAACAAAGTGAGATCCCGTATCAAAAAAAAAAAAAAAAAAAAGAAAAGAAAAGAAAAAAGGAGTAGAGAAACAGTTATCTCAAGCAATGCCCTTCCCTTACATTCCATAGCGATTCTACCAACATGTGAGCTTTCGTACTGACTAGGGCCTGAGCTAACCCTCTCAGCTGCAGGGAGATGCTGGCCCTGCCAATCTACAGAGAATAATATATCCCCAGGAAGTTGGGAAGAAGTACTGAATGCTAATGAAAGAATCTCCAGAAATTCTCTCTAAATTCTAGAAAACAAAACAAAACAAAACAAAAACATGTTAATCTATTTAATATTCAATATCCAAAGCCCAGTGTTGTTCACTCCTCTTTTCTTATCTATGTCCTTTCTCTGTATGGCACGAATTCTCAAGCTGGGCATTACTGACATTTTTGACTAGATAAATCTTTGTTGTGGGTGGCTGCCCTGTGCATTGTAGGGTGCTTAGTAGCACCCCTGGCTCTACCCACTGGATGCAAGCATCAACAACTTCTCTATCCCCATGTCTTAACAATCAAAATTGTCTCTAGATACTGCCAAATATCTGTAGGGGGAAAATTGTCCCTAGTTGGGAACTACTTATTCTCTATTTTGTGCCAAAATACCAGTTAGTACAAGCTCCAGTAAATATAGAATATTATAGAAGGAATAAGACAGGACAGCTCTATCAACTTTGGGAGTTCCTGGGACAGTGGACATACATAAACAATTCCTAGGAATAAAATTATTCTACCTAACAGAATTCACACAGCAGATTTCAGGAGGTGCTTGGAGGATCTGGGATATTTAAAAGGCACTTTTCAAGGCATGGACATCCTTCCTATCATTTCTGCCCTTGATCTTCACCTCTCTCTTCTGTCTCTGTCTGCCAGAGCTTCAAAGATGATTTCAGATTTCAAACGAAGAATTATTGCTGGGAAGTTGGAAACATACACATAAATACTCTGATAATGGCTTGAAGCTGAGAATTGCAAGATTCAGCAAAGTTGGCATTGCCTCTAGATAGTTGGACCTGGCCCAAGAACAAGGTGCTATTAGGCAGCATCTTATAAAGAATGGATTACCAGGCAACAGCAAGCTGTCCTACTGTTATTTTCCTGAATTCACATTCAGCTTGGCAAGTCTTCTGCAGAACTCTCCAAGCTAGTGAGCCTAATTCAGGTGTACTTAAGGCTCTTGGCTAAGGATCTTCCTTAGGATAGACATCACAGTGACATCCCCTAAGCGACACATTTGGAACAATCCCCACCTTATTCGAACTTACCTTTCTAACCCTGTTTAACTTTAATCAGAAAATATCCTGACTTTATTTAAATGTCTTTATACAGGCCGCCTCTCTCTTCTTCCAGAATGCATTTCCTGTAAGTCTCTGCTGCCAAAATCCTGTCCTACCTTAAATGCTCAATTCAAATGCTGCTGTGTCCAAGAAGCTGTTACTGATTCCCTTTTTGACCTCTCATTTCCTCCCTTGAAAGTACTTGCTTTTTCTTTTTTGAAAAAAATTTTGCTCACTGTGACTTGTACTTTTCTCATAGTACCAACTACAATCTGTATTTTGTAAATATCTTCATTTCTCAGTATATTATAAATTCTAGAGAGACAAAGACTATATCTAGTTAATATTTGTATGCCCCATGGTGTCAAAATATACAATATATGCTCCATAAATTTCTGTTGAATTGAATTGGGATGTACAATCTCTGGAAGGAAAGGTAGCAGAGAAGTCATATTTGACCCATTCATTTATTTCCTTTCCTCCTCTAGATTTTCGTAGTTGTGCAAAATGAAAGAAATGAAGTACATATAACATTTGAATTGTAGAAATCTTTTAGGAAGAAATGCAGGTTAAGAAATCATAAGCACATAATCTCAGAGGTTTATCTTCTCCTACCCTCAAATCAAAGTCAAACACTTCACATGGTGAATCTTAAAATGAGGATTTCTTAATACATAGGAATTGGTGATAATATAGTAAGATAATTCACTTTCTATCACTTTTTCAACCTTTAAATGAAATAGCTAGGCACTCTTGCATAAAGATTTTATCTGAGATTTGTCATTCTAACCTGTTTATCATTTCATATATTTCCTGTTATACTTTATAATGCATTTTGTCCATTTTAACACTCCATGTAGGTTATACCTAAATACTACTGTTAGTTTTCCTTCAGGTTTACATAAGTAGTTTGGACATTTTTCACCCAATGTAATTATTGAGTAGGTCATTCCTACTTCCATCATTTTATTTTATTTTATTTTATTTTTTTTTTTTGAGACCGAGTTTTGCTCTTGTTGCCCAGGCTAGAGTGCAATGGCGCAATCTCAGCTCACTGCAACCTCCGCCTCCTGGGTTCAAGCGATTCTCCTGCCTCAGCCTCCCAAGTAGCTGAGATTACAGGCATGCGCCACCATGCCCAGCTAATTTTTTGTATTTTTAGTAGAGACGGGTTTTCTCCATGTTGGTCAGGCTGGTCTTGAACTCCCAACATCAGGTGATCCGCCCGCCTCGGCCTCCCAAAATGCTGGGATTACAGGCGTGAGCCACCGCGCCCGGCCTCCTACTTCCATCATTGATTTACAACATGTGGACATATGGGAGTTATTTTAATGGAGAAATAAATAGATGAGAAAGACAACATAATATTTAGTTGTCATTGAGAGAAAATTATGAAATGAAGATGAAAATAAGATAATAATCACATGGGAAATAGTAGACAATCATTATAGAATGTTTAGTAATACTGTGGACAAAAAGATATGACATAAATTTGATTCTTAAAGGGAAAGGATAAAATAAAAGTTCAAAAATCTTATCTCAAAGCATATTATTAAATTTAAGACAGCATTTAAACTGCAGTGGTAAGGGAAAATACTACCAAAATATGACGTAATATTGTTAAAGAGGTAGTATACTGGTATTTAGCAGATCAATGAAACGAGTGAATATCCCATCTATTTTAATTTAGATTTCTAAAATATAAAATAAGTAGTGTTTAAAGAACATTAGAAATGTATTACTGCATCTTTTCAGAATAAGATGGAGCTCTGTAAGTTACAAGGAGACAAATTAAACAATTTTTTAGTAAGTTAAATTCAGAGTCAGGCCAGCCTCACTTGATTAACCACCCTGAAAGTGACTACTAGCAATTGCAATATTACCTTTTCATCTGATCTTTGAAGAAGGCAATAAAATTGCATTTATTTAATATAAATGAAGCAAGGCAGACATTTTAAAATGCATTATTTATTTATTAGCCATACTGCTGTTACTTAACTTCTCCTTCCCCTTTGTTTTATGATACTGGCTTCTGAAATTATTAGGCTCTCCTGTTTTTGTATGTGTATTTTAACCCATATGTATGGATGTAATGTTTAAATATCTTTTTAATATTACTAGAACTTACATAATCGTTTCTAAGAAGCCGATTGATAATCCTGTTAATTTATATATGCAAAACTTTATGATATAAAGGAACTCAATACAGTCTACATAATTGCCTCCAGGTGAAAATATACCAAGCTCACTTAAAATCTCTAATGTGCCATAATATTTTTTAGAGCCCATACCACCAATGTTGTGAAATATCTTTAAAAATGGCAATGAAAAATTGAAGGCAATCTTGGAGAAACAATTCTGAACCATTAAGAACCATTAACATAGAGATGATCTAAAGTATATGATGTAATGGTGAATTTTAAAAGACAATCATATTAGTGGCATAATTTTAAAAATTGTTTCAAATGATACATTGGAGATACTAGAGGGGTAAGATATTAAATATGGCAGGATTACAGAATTCACAAAGTCTATGATAAGGGGAGCAATTGAACTTTTAGTTCAAGTCTGGGTATAAGGCTTCCTACCTAGTCGCCCTTGAATAAGTCCATTGACCTCTTTGAGCTTCAGAATCCTTACTTCCATAATATCTTAAAAATTTGTGAAAGTGTTCTGTGAATTGAAATATGCTCTATAAGCAGAGTTTATTATTATTAATTTAGGTTCTGAATTATCCTTAGGAAAGTAAGCATAGTCTTCATATGAGCAGCCCTGAATGCCAATTTTTTAAACAAAATCTAATGATAATCTATTTGAAGTTAATTAAAAAAGGTTCAAAATTTGGTTCTTTTTCCTTACAATCTTTGGAAAATGTTATGAAGTAATTTGAATTACATAACTTCAGAAAGCTATATTTTAAAATATGAATCATAATTAAAATGTGGTTTATTTGATTATTTTAAATAATTTAATGTATATAAGAAATGGAGTGTGGAACAAATAGGAAATCATTCCTCTCAAAGTGAGATGTTTCATTTTGTAAGAGAAAAAGTAGAGCATCTATTTAGAGTTAATGAACGGTAAGTTGATCTGTGTAATATACAGTTTGTAAAAGCTCACCAATATCTTCCCTCCCTTACTTATTCCTTGCATGTAAAATACTTATTGCCATAGTTTGACCAAAACCTAAGTTATTTTTTGATAACTCTTTCTGAAATATTTAAAATGAAGAACGTTAAAAGAAGCTGCACTCTCTTTTAGGAATACTGAGAATTTGATCCCTAATGTAGAATAGATTTCTTAAAATATCATTAGTGTCTAAAATGAACAGAAAATGATACATGCCATTGGTGAGCCATATGCATCCACCACCTCCAAAAGCAGGTAATAAAGAGCTTTAAAATAGTCCATTAGCTGGCTGATCTATTTGTATGTGCCTTATTGATGCTATACTGGTCTTTACAAATTAATTTAATTGCTATTGCCAAATAATTGTATCTAGTGAGTATACCTACTTAAGTAAATATTATCTGGAGGACTTTAACATTTCATTGATATCGAGTAAGCCTGTGATATATGTCCCTTCCACAGTTTCCTCCTAATTGCAGCATAGCCAGACAGGGAACTTCATTTGAAAGACTCAGTACGCCCTCAACCCTGGTCAGATTGTTCAGGTAACTCAGTTATCAGCTTGGTGTACTTGAGGGCAGTGAAGGAATGGCATGGTAAGCATATGGATTTTGCTGTTCTTAAAAGTAAAGTTATTTTCTTTATGTAATGAAATTACTTGTATTAAGTAGTAGTGTTAAGGTAGAATAAGGTCAATTTCTATGTTAGTAAATATCACCAAGCAAAAACTATACATATTCTAAGGGCAAAATGTAATTGGCTTAGCACTTCTTTGTACCTTAGGATCCTTGTATAGCACCTAGTGCATAAGTGGTCTTCAATAAAAAAGAAAAAGCAAGCAAATAAATGAACAAAAGGACAAATATGCAAGTTATTTAATCTATAACAATAAATCTAACCTATAAAGATCTTCTTAGATATGGAAAAGCAATGCACTCTTCATGATATATGTTATGCAGCTAGAAGAAAAGTAAAATTTTAAAAAATTCCAAACAAAAAGAATATTACACTAGTTTGAAATTTAGAAGATGTCACTCAGTTAGTGAAATGGCAGATATGTGGGATGTGTGGATTAACTAAGAAAAAATGCAAACGACCAAATCTAATTTATAAAGAGTAATGTGTATTAGAATGTACCTAATTACTTGTCCAACAAGATAGTAACTCTGACACCATTCCTTTTTAGTGTTTACTCCTGAGGCATCATAGCCCAAGGCAAACACATAGTAGGAATGCAATAGATGCTTGTTAAATGAGGAGAAAAGGAGGTTTATTATTTTTAAATGCCAAGATAAATATGTGTTTACTTTAAAATACCATTTATACATATTGTATATATTGGATTCTGTACTATCTGGAGTTTCAGGCATTTACTAGGGGTCTCAGAACGTTTCCCCTGCGGATGAGAGAGGACTATTCTATTTGCTTTCATTAGTCATGTAAGATTATGACAGAGCTTATAAATGTACTTTTCTGAAATCCTCTGAGATCTTATGCCAAATTCTCTTTATATTAATTGTAAATATTTAAAACCACAAATATTATTAGGCTATGACCCTTTGGTAATTATTTAACTAGCCAATTTATCTAAGCTATGTGAAAGATTGTTAATCCACTTCTATTGAGAAACTAGTGATACTATCAAGTAATTTTTGTTTAAAAAAGTCTTATTTTAATGGCAAGCAGATAACTAGCAAAATGAGCTGTGATGCCACAGTTTGCTTTTCCAAAATAATTATGATCAGGGTCCCTGTGATATGCACAGGGAAGTGTGTAACACATCCCTTCTGGGTTAATGAATTCAAGGGAAGGCAACACCACTATTAGTAATAGCTTTTTATTCGGAGTCCTCATTTTCCAGATAGATCACATTAAACACAGCCATTAAACAATAGCGTTGAGATAAATCCATACAATGTATGCTGCTTTTGTTGTTGTCCTTGTTCACCAATCACTTGGTGCAGCTAAGAACTTTATGGAGTGATGGGCTGATAATGGAAATAGCCAACCTGCAAAACACTGGGGCCAGGAAAGTCAGACTTTAATCAGGTCTCATTCAATAATATTTAGAATCAACACATCTTGATAGCCAAAACTCTCATTCGAATTAGTGCTCTGATGAATGCTGTCTGTTGTCAAAAGAATATAATTAGACTATTATGACTGGGCATATATTATGCCAGACCTGTCTATCTGTTGACCTCAGTAACTTTTACTCTATTAGATAACAAACAGCTTTTAACCTGGTTCTAAAAAAGCATATGCTCTATTACTACATGACTTTTTTATGGTGCCATATTTTAAATTGAACAATATCTAGATCCTTTAAAGGGAAGTCATGTTTTACAAGATTTCAGCTAATTTTGGAAAACAAAACAAGTTAGTTTCTCAACCAGGAATTCAATTAACCTATGGAGTAGTGAGCCAATCTTTGTATATTGCCTGCAATAAAGTTAGAAATGTCAGGTTAAGAAATAGCATGAAAGAATTCTTTGAAATTGCATGATATGTCTCTTTAATGTTTACTTTGGTATACGTATAACTAACAGATTCTCACTACTTTTAACTCTGATGAAAAGGTTATTTTGTTGCTTTTTTTTTTTTTTTTTTTTTTTAGCTCATCTGCAAGCAATTTTTAGAAGTTTGGGTTTCTTACTGAAATTTCCATGAAGTGATTTTTTTTTCTGTGCTTAACTTCAGTTACTTAAAGACCTAAAAGACAAAGTGGTATCACATCACATATTTTGTATGTGTGGGCTTTTTTGAGGGGTTAGTACTTGAAAGATATGAATTGATATTTTTTTCACATTCTAAATTATGTTAAAACCCCTTCAAATCTCACTGTTTGCTCATGCATCACCTATTAGAGCAAGGTGCTCTCTAAAGGTGTGATTTTGGCATCTCATAGGCTTCCTTGAAAGCCAAGCACCAGAGGTCTGCAATAAAGGCAGTTGCCAGCTAAATGAATAAAAGCGAGATTTCCTCAATTCAACTATAAAAGCTTAGAGTCCTGACTGCTGAATTACCACCAACTTGTAAATAAATAATCACTACTAAATACAGATAATGTGTTAAACAGCTAACACTAGTAAATCACTGGTGACAGAGAGCCTAAAGGTAAATCCCTCACACATTGGCACAACCAATTATTACAACCTTATGGTGTTTTAATGTCCTCAGACACATATAATAAATTGAACAACTGGTTACTTAGCATTAAGAATGTTTATAAAATAAACCCTACTCTCTTTGCTGGTTTCATTTACATACTGCTTTAGATTTTACTAAGTGGATATCTGTCTAGTAAGAGAGAAGCAACACTTGGTAAGACTAAATGGAAATCAGTTTTCCATCAAATTTCAGCTATCAAGCTAAATCAACCTGTAGTCTCCTGGCAAAAATAACATCATATAACAGAGACAACACATTTCAGATACATAAATTGTCCAAAATATAGAGAGTCAATTAGGTTTCACATGTACAAGGTCCCTTCTTTTCTAATTTAAACATTTATGAGTAATAAAAACCAAGAGTAGAGCTTTGGAAAGGCTGTTACTAGGAACCAAAATATAGTTCTCAAGAGAATAAGGCTGATGGGAGTTGTCCACTCTTCCCTCTCAAAGCAGTTTTGCAAACGAGGTACAGTCTAAAATATTGATGGCATTTGGCGGAAATATTTTCAGTAGAAGTTTTTAAAGTTTAAAATTACAAAACTTAATTTAATTCAATGTTTGTTTTTGCTTTTGTTTTTGTTTTAAATATAAGAATTTTTATGACATTTTTGCTGTTTCTACACTGGCTTGGTGGCCAGAAGAGAAGGCACAAAATTATCCACCAGTTTGCAAATAATGCATTTTTCTGCTCCAGTGCTCAAACAGCCTTTATTTAACTCAGCACCACATTTTCTAAGGTATGGGCACAAAACTGTTTGTCATGAAGCTGTAAAATGCCAAAAATTTTAAATGCTGAAAGAAAATGTCAATCAAGGCATTTTCCCATCTGCTGCTACTTCTGCAAGTGCTAATTTTATTTTTCCCAATTCCTGAAATTTGAGGTTTCTTAGCCTCATATGGAAGTAAGTTTGAAACTCGCTAAATGTCACAAGGAAAGGTGTAACCAAATGAAGGAATAGAAGGTGTATTGTTCTCAAAGGACACCAACAAAAAGAGGCAGAAGAGCACTGAGATAAAGGAAAACATTTTGTTAAGACCCAGACCTCTTGAAAAACACTACACAATGCAAGTAACCACTGCTGGTACATACATGCATTAAAGCATTTTTCATGTTTTCAAAATATAATGGGAACACACATCTGAAGCACTTAAAATACTTTTGAGAACCAACTGATGGCATAATATCTACACAGGCAGAAGCTGTATGTTATTGAAAAAACATGAAGAAGTTTCAGATATTGGTACAAATGTCAATTCTTGTGATTTAGCATGACTTTAATAAAAGCTTCTACAAGGACTTGCACATAACCATGACTGATGGATGTAATTTTTGACCTTTCAGTTAGCTCCATCAGCTCACTCAAACACATTTTGAACAGATTATGTACTGTAGTACTTGGTAGACTATACATTAAACAAGAGACTTTGCTCTGAGGCACTGCTTCCCACACTCCATGGGGAAAAGGAAGCAGGAAAAAACAAAACTCATAGAGTTCGACAGCTACCAAGGCAACACTTGCCATTTACAATATAAGCCCAAATATTTTTGCAACACAACTATATATTAATTTAATAAAATACACAATATAGCTCTTACACACTCAACAATTTGGCTCATATGCACTGAATCTGCAATAAATCAATAAAATATGTCATTTGATGTAAACACATTGAATCTTCTTACATTTGCACATTTAAATGGTCATGTGACTTGCGTATGTCTAAGACATTTTCACTTTCCTGAGCTATTTTAGTGTCCACAAATGAATAAAACATATTAATCAAGTTAATTTTCTCTGAATCTTACCACTCAATGGTAACTATTTTTTAGAACTTTTCTATGTCAAATTTAAAACATATTCATCATTGTTTAAATCTTTGTTGGACACTAAAATGCTAAATAGGCATTTTAAATCTTTAAGTTTTCTTCTTCTTTAATGACGTGAATTAGTCTACGTGTGTGCAGGACAAAATGGACTGTATCTTTTTACATTTAACTTTTATATGACATGAGATGTCTTACAAATGACCAAAGGTTTTTTTTTTGTTTTTGTTTTCGACTAATGATATGGAATGTTCCTTGTGTTTATATGTGTGTCAGGTAACTTTATACAGAAATGTTTACCACAAATATGTGTTAATGTTTGGTGTAGCTTGGACTACTGCAAGGTCTTTTCAGGACTTTCAGTAGAAGCCTGTGATGACTGCTAGAAATCCACCACAGATCACAAATTATGACCCTGCTTTGTATGGGGTTTATAGGTAAACAGTTAAGTCAGCATAAATCACGGAGGACAGTCTGAGAGTGATCAGAAATACTTCAGTTCTCACACTGCATACCTTCCTAACAGATTGTCAAAAGGTAATTCTTCTCCTCATCCTCCTTTTTCATCTCTCCTTTTTCTTCTCTCTTTTTTTCTTTTCTCTTTAAGCATCATTAATTCTGTCCTAATACAAGTTTGGTCAAAACGAAACCATTGTTATCTCTGAAAAAGAAATCAGCAGTGGAAAGAACATACTTGTGGGCACTTCAGATGTTCACTAAAAGCCTTAAAGCAGCATTGGTCTTTCTTCATCCCTGTAAAATGGGTTATCACCAGGAGGGATCATTTTTAAATCAACAGAAGAGACAAGAAAATGCCAATGCCTTTTTTTTTTTCTTTTTTCACTTTCTCACAGCCACAGGGTCGTTTCCCCGGCAGTCTTGCAAAAGCTTATCAATTTCTCTCACAACTTCCTCTGCATCCACAGACTCTCTGCCCAGATCCCTGTTGGGGTGGTCAAGCTGCTCAAGAACAGCACCCATCTCACTGGAATCCCGGCTGGCTCTGGAATGCACATCTGCAAAGACCCTTGCCATCTGATCGGAAGCCATGAAGGGAGGGTCTCTTGGTTGCTTACTAGGTGACAGATATTGACTGTCAGTGGGCAAGTACTGACTGCTTGCTTCAGCCAGGGCTCCTGGTTTTGCTTCACAGCCATCCAGGGAGCCTTTTGTTGAGGTGCAAGGCTCGATGCACGCCTTGGTTGGGCTGCTTGATGCTGAGGGGACCTCTTGGAGGAGAGGGCTCAGGGCACGTTTGGCTTTTAAATAAGGTTTAACGTTGGCAATGAGAATAGTGTGCTCTCGCTTGTCTTTTCCAAATGTACAAAAAGTCTTTTTCCCAGTGGGATTCACAGTTTCGTAAGTCTCAGTCTCAACATTAGCTTCAACTGTAGGTACAAAGAGATTTGTGCGGTAATCTGCATTTTCAGCCTGATTGGCTGCAGGGAACTGTGGCATCCAGCACCTGTCAGAATGACCAAGCACTCGGCATTCATCTGTGCAATTAACACACTCTTCTGGTTCTGCAAAACAAAAGAGAAAACAGCAAATCCAATCATTAGAGTTTTCTTTAAATTTCTACAGAGGCTGTGATCAGCTCTCAATGGGCTTGCTTGACCTCTGGTCTCTTAATTAAAAAGGAAAAGAAAACAATAATTAAAACATTTCAGGATGGTTGCATAAACCTGCTGGTTGAGACAATGGTTTAATTTAAGTCTATTCTCTAGAGATTAATGAATTCCCACAGCCTGGGAAGAAGTAAGATGTGGCCATTGGAGAATCATTCTCAGTAGAATAGAGCATCACCATAAACTAAACTCCTGGGAATATCAGTTAGTCTTTGTTCTGTATAACTCATCCTAGAAACAGTGAACTTCAAAAAAGATTATCAGGATTATTTTTTTCAAATCAAATAACAAGGCAAAAACTGGATTGCAAACTTCCATAACAAGTTCTAAGCTGCTCTTTAAAAAACGTTTTATCACTATTTTGCTTGTAATTGTTATTTGGATGACAGTCATGAAATAAAAGGTTTCCTTTAAATGCTTACTTTTCCTACTGAGAGTGGCAAATGGAATTTTTTATCAGGACGTATTATGAATAAGCTTGTCAAAAAGTGCACATCTCTATTTTATTAGATAGGCGTATGGATCATGTAATCAGTTTTCTGTTCAGCTTTTTGTTTTGGGTGTAAGTAGGTGAAAATGCATTTACTCAACAGATACAGGTCAGAATGAATGACAAATCATGATTTCCCATTTTAAATAATAATGCTTTCTGTGGGAATTTTTACTTTTTTCCTTTGCCAATAGAGACTCTAAATAAAGCATTCTTTTAATGATCTCTATTTCACAGATGCTGAATGTGGAATATGAAAAAAAATCCTTAATTATAGAAGAGCTGCATACTTCCATTGACCCCAATATTTTAAACCATAACTTTGAGCTACATCGTCCCAGTTGTCCCTTTCTTATATAAATGATTGTGCCCATTGTGGTTAATGACTGTTTCTAAATCAGAGACTTTTACTTTTAGGAGAGGATATTTACAATTTACCTTTATGTAATGGGAATAGAAGTCCCTACACTTTTAGGCGCCCTTGGGATTTGCCATTTAATTGGTGCTAGATGATCTCTACACATTTAGAGTGTCCTGTGCAAGAAAAGGATGTCCACATGAAACATATATTTAAAATAGCAGCAAATGTAATAGCATTGATAAATTTGTATATCACTTCTCAAAGTTATATATGAAACCTAAATTTATACTTAAAGCATGTAAATAATTATTTACATTAAAAAGCCCACAATCTGTTTTATCTCAAAAGGTTTTAAGATAAAACAATTTCTTAAGAGGCTGAAATTTTTAGGAAGAAATCAAAATGGTGTCTTGAGAAAACAAAGATACTATGTTATTTATTCACACCTGTGAAACCTCAAAAAAAATTAGGTATCTTTCTTCTATTTTAATTTTGTCATTTTTTAAAAGAAATGTTTTCTTATGAGTAAATTAAATATTCACTGTTAAATTTATTATGCAGGAAAGAATGCTGAAAAGCAGTCACACAGTGCATCCACAGACGCAAATACTATCTACAAATCGAAAGACTGTTAGACAGACATGAAGAACAGCAGAAACTAGGCATTATTTTTTTTCAGAAGCCTCTATTTATGTATTTAAATTAGAACTGAAATTTTTTAAAAGGGGGTATCAGAAGTTCAATATTGGCCAGGTATAGTGGCTTATGCCTATAATCCCAGCACTTTGGGAGTCTGAGGCAGGAGGATTGCTTGAGCCCAGGAGTTTGAGACTAGCCTGGGCAACATAGCAAGACACCCCTCTACAAAAATAAAAAATTTAAATTAGCCAGGTGAGGTGGTGCATGCAGCTACGCGGCAGGCTGAGGAAGGAAGATGGCTTGAGCCCAGGAGTTCAAGGCTGCAGTAAGCTGTAATCATGCCATTTCACTGCAGCCTGAGTGACAGAGTTAAACCCTGTCTCAAAATAAATAAGTAAATAAATACATAGAAAAGCAAAAAGAAAGGTTCAATATCAGGTATCAGTCATTTGTTTCCTTTACCTACTCTAAATGGGAATCATAAATATTACCTTTATTTATATCTGTCAGTAAATGTTAAAAAAATCATTTCAACAAATAGATAACTTTCAACAAATTTTATCTTTCAGAAAGAAGGAAAAGTAGAAAACTTTACAATCTATTTCACTCAGTAATACTTTTGTATCTTCTAGCATCATGAAATTTTTTAAAAAATTCATTTATAACTCATACACTGTCTTTGAAATATGCTAATGTAGTTTCATGTTTCATATTGACTGGCCTTTCATTGCAGCTATTTGGATAGCTAACACTGAATGAATTCAGTATGAATTTAAGACACAGAAAAAGAAAGAATAATGCAGACGTATGAAAGTGTAAATCGACCTTGAATTTGAAACCACCAACATAAAATGATTGTTTGCTTGTCACTGCTGAAAATCTGCAGCATTTTACTTAACTCCTTTATGTCACATCGTGGGGAGCAAATTTTGAGTATTGATTATGATACATTACAAGCTGTTCACCTTGTGATTAGACTATAATTTTGATGGCAGCAGTTCACAGTCAGTGAAGAAAATTGAATGGACACTTTTGTACAAACAGTAGAAACTATGAGCACAAAATGAACTCTAACTGTCAAGGGTCAAGTTAGAATTTGTGAGAGAGGGAAATCATTTTTGAAAAAACATAAATGGATGAATAGGTAAATACAGAAAGAAGAGACACAGATAATATACAATGAATGACTGGTTGGGCAAAAAAGATAGACAAATGGAAAAAAGGAAGAAAGTAGAAAGGGAAAGAAGCAAAACAAAGTGAAGGGAAGGAGGGAAACGAGAATGAGAGTGAGGCAAGGGCTGGGGGTAGATGAAGAGAGAGTGTAGTGTGGAGGGAGAAGGAGGGAAAGCTGCCACAAAGAAAGGGTTTGTTTAAGACAAAAAGGGGTGTATTCACAGTATTTCTGACACGTGTACCTTCTATTGCACATTTTTAAGTGCCCTCAATAAGTTAAGTGTGTATAATAAAAAATAACATTGAAGAGTATTTACTTAAGCCCTACAGTTCTAAGATAGATGATCAAACTGCTCTCTGTACTTTAAGGGGAATGGATTCTGGAATAGATATGTTAAATTATAAGCTATGGAAATGAAAAAAAAAGCAAATTATTTAGATAGCCACCGTTTGCATATATTCAATATATACACCAGAAAACAAGTCCAGAAACCCTGAACAGAAGAAATCAAATAAAAAATAGTTGAACAAATATTCACTTTTTTCTTCAGGTTCTATCTGGGATTGCCAAGATATTACTTACTTTTGTTTTCCTACTTTCCTCAATATAACATGATCACCCCTTCATAGAATGCATCCCTTGCCAAGAAACATAGCAAAATTTAAATAGTATGCAGATGAGAGATACTCACAGATAAGCATGTTTATATTGCAGAAAGAAAACAATTCTAAAGTACACAAGGTGGGACTGTGGGCAGTTCTGCCTATATTAGACACTGTAAACTACAGTGTTTACAGTTATAAACTATTAGTTTACAATGTCTAATCTTTTAAAAGCATGATTCCCTGAAATATTATGTGACAATCAAATAACTTTAAACACTTGTTTAGTATTAAGAATCACTTTCTATACTCCTGTTGCTGCATCTGACTGTTATGCAAGCCTCAAAGGGAAGTATCTAAATGCAGTAACCTTAATTAGTTCAATTGTGCCTCTTAATTTATATGACATTTTTGCAAAACAGATGAAGTAACTCAAAAGACTGTAGTACTTGCAGTTTACCTGCACCATAAACCACACACAGACACATGCACACATATTCATATTGTATACAGACCTTTATTTTTATGTTTGTGATAAAACTTAGCTTTTTCCAAGACACAGACTAAAAATTCGTTAATAAAATAGAAAATCTTAAATTCATAACCTATGCATTTCTGAACATTAACTACTAGCAATTACCATAAGAGAAATACAGGTGAATCACAGGAAGTTCTATATTCATAATATCAGGGGTACATAAACAAGACAATATTTTATTATTGTAAATAAAATGACAATATTTTATTATTGTAAATAAAATAACAATATTTTATGTATTTGTTTATATATTAACAAAGCTTACATATATTAATGTACACATATGTATAAATCTTTCAGACTAAAAGCACCAATAAGCAACATTTTAATCTTCCCCTTTGCCACAAGCCTGGGTGCAAAACCTATGATTAGATCAACACTTTAACTGTCTCTGATTTTAGAATTTCATGTAATTAAAATGGATTTGGACATAAAGATACCCGAAATCTGCATATTCATATTGGCTGATAATATCTGAAAGCTCTCTCTCTCTTTTTTAACCTACACTAAGCAGTTTAATAGCTTAATCTTAAGGATATCAGGCAAGCAATCATTTTGTGACAAAATATACCTTCAGATGAATCAAGCCATTGTGAAATTATTCTAAATTATATCTATGTGAGGAAAAAATACTTAGATAAAAACATCAAATTATCTGCTTTTAAATTGTTGGGTTTTAATAGTCTCCCACAAATGTTATATAATTTAATTTTACAATGTGTTTTAATTGTATAATGTCACTATATCACAGGAGTGCATAGCCATTTCAATGATGCCCAAAATTATCATTTATAAGATAGAAAGTTGAAACCAAAATGTTATTAAAATCAACAAAGATTAACAAAGACTAAGTGCCTCAGTTGAACATAGTTATTGTGGAAAGCTCAGGGAAAAACACTTGTGGATTCTGATTCTGTAGTGTCCAAGCACAGGAAATATGCCTAGCAACCAGCCAAAAAAGTCTTACTTTGGAGAGAATCTACCTCTTTATTCTATTCTGTTTTGCTCTCAGGCAGAAATTTGTCACAAGTCAGAATTTTAAACTTATTTTCCCTGTCTTCAGAGCACTACAAAAGTAATTTGTGACCACTTAGGGAAATTTTAGAGAGCATAAAAGGATTTCCTCCCCTGAGTTTCAGACTTACTTGGTGCTTTGGGAACTTACATATTTGTACACCTGAAAACGTACATATAGTTTGCAGCACAGGAGTTTCCTATCTGCATCCAGTATTTGCCTCTGATTTTCTTTTCTATAATGATGAGATAAATGTCTGTGTCATAGACACTTAAAAACCAAAATCTATAAATCATGGCATCAATAAAGACAGTCTAAATTGTTGTGGCCAGGGGAAAAGGACATTTCAAAAAGTTATCTGTGCTTTATGATTGTCAACCAAATGGTCTTATTTCTGTTTTGTAAACAGATGTAAATAGAAATTGTGTTCTCCTATTACTGTGGTAGTTGGTATCATTTCTAACAACATCTTAATATTAGAGTTTTTCCAAGTAGACAACTCTATAAATGGAAGTCCAGTTTTTATTTGTTCCCGTTATTCTTTTTTTGTTTCTAATTTACCTTCTTTCAACAATGTAAGCTTTCATAATATCTAATTAGCTGTCTTCCAAATCAGAGAGCAAGCACTCATCTCTATTTACGGTCTGCACAAGTGTTCTGTAGATTAATTCTACAGAATCTAAGCTAAGTACCCATCACAAATTCTTTATCTGTCTGCAAACCAAGCCAAGCCAAGACCTTTGGCTGGCAGTTCATGCTCAGTAATAGTTTTCTGTTAAGAGGCTTTAATGGTATAACAGCAGCTTGATTTTATGGCCTTTTTCTTTCTTCAGCACATACACACAATTACACACACATGCATGTGCACACATTTTTCTATGACCACAACAAATTGCAATTTATCCCAATATATTCTAACATAGAGAAAACATCAATGCTAAAACAGAAATCTCATCAGAAAATGGTCCAACATACCTCTAATAAAATGGATTTTTCTTTCAGTGAGTTGACATAATTTACAACATCCTGTGAACTGACACTTTTCTAACATACACAGTTCTTTCTTTTTTTGGCTATGTTGATTATTATTGACTTACTTTCTTTTCTGATCCTATAAAAACTTTACACTTGTTATAATAATAGAGTGAGTCATTCCATATAAATGGTACCTTAACAATCTATATTCATAAACATTATTATTTCCACTTATGACTTCTATGTCCCATTTACTTGTATATTGTTAAAAATGAATATTCTGTTCTCACTATCTGACTAAAAGGAGTAAAAATTTTGCTTTCAATATTATTTCTAGAGACAGTTCTGGATAAGTAAGTTGTCTCAAAATTATTTTTTCCTGTGTCAGATTTTTAAATGGGTATTCTAATATTACAAATTTCCTGGAATTTTTTTCCTACTTCCAAGTTTTATTTTAACACCATTTTTAATAAGCTTATTTTATCCTTTATGCAGGGAAGAACAGGGTTGTGTAAGAAAAAATGTTAATCGGAGAATCCATCCCTTGCTTAGCTAAGCTATTCTTCTATAGCATTGTATTTCCCATGTGTCTCACTTGTGCACAGGGATACATGTTGTTTCTTAATCAAGTAACTAATATAGAGATACACAGATATGGAATGTCTTGCTGCTTTTATTTTTTAATATAATGAGGAAAATATATCTTGTTACAATATGCTTATTTCATGAGGTTGTCTGTTAACATGTTGGCAGTGATATAATGAGGAAAAATTAGACATAGGACCTGAGGAAATAAAATTATTTTTTAAAAAATCAGCCCCATAAAGAATTATAAATTTAAAATATATCTCAAGTAATAAAACTACTATGAGAAAAAATGTATACATTTTGAGGAGTATACACTGCTAATCTGGCTTCCAGATTTTACTTTGTGAAGTGCTATTCTATCTGCTTTTGATAGCAGAGAGCACATTTTGAAAAGGAAGTTGTTATAATACTATCAAATAGTCAAACCACGGCAGCTTTGAAGTACCAATCCTCTAGCATGCACCTGCATCGCACAATGCTTTTGAATGTATTGCCACGGCTGCATTCAGACACCAGAAATCACTGTCCTATATCATAAGCAAGTGAATCCAATCACAGCTGGGTATTTGGAGCTGTTTGGAGCATTTGCACTTACTGTTCAATGCACCTGCACACCTTCAGGGATGGTTTTAAGTGTCTGTGACCCTTTGGACATAGTAAAATGTTTACCGGAGTGGAATTTTCTGGCGTATATATTGACCACACATAGATAACGCTCTAAGGTGAACAGAACTTAAGACAAATTGAAATGAAATTTATGATAAGGAATAAATGCAAAACAGTATTTGATATGGAAGTGCTAGGACTACAAAACAATGAGAATGTAAACCATGCATTGGGAATTTATGGCACAAATATCATTTGTGTCCCATGGCATGCCACTGAGATCAACACTGAAAATTTAATCTGCCCCTTCCCTGAATTCCCTTCTGTAGGCACAGCCATCACCTGGGGCAGCGGCAGATGCTTGGAAGTAAAGGCACAGCTAAATGGAACCATCTTTTTCCTAACAGGTACCCCGAAGAGAACTGGCTGAAGCTCAATATTATACCACCAGAACAAGGTTTATATTCACTTTGAGAAAAGTATGCTTACAGAGACTTTCAAGGAAAAACAATACAATTCAAACGTCCCACCAGCATAAAGACAGCTCACATTTTGTGGGCACATTAGATGTGTGTAGTTCAGCAATTACTTTAAAGAAGTTACACACAATAATTTATAAGGTAAAAATGCATTACACACCTCCCCACACCTTGCCTAGGAATTGAAAGTTTTCAAGGAGGGGTATCTTGGGTAGAATGCTGTAGAATGAGTGTTTTGTTGCATACAGGTCTGTGGTAAATAAACCTAGGTCTATCTACTTCTAAAGTTCTGAAATTTGTAAGACTATATCTCTTTACCGATGAGTTTAAACTTTGATTGGAAACTAAAAAGTAGAGTGAAACCAGCATATGGGAAATTATTCATGATCAGTTACATTTTGAACTATGTCATATGAACGTCAAGCAGCAGAAATACAGAGAAAAGCGTAGGTTGTAATATTGTGAAAGGCTTTATGCAAGAGGTGGTGCTTGATCTGTGATTCAAAGGCTGATCAGGGTTTCAACAGAGAGTGGAGAGCAGAGAGAGGGCGCTCCAGGTAAAGGATTAAGAAAAGAAACACACCTCACATGGGAATGTGCACTTCACAGGGCAGTAAGAGACCAGCTTTATAGGTCAAAGGACTTAAGCTGCAATGGCAACACTTGACATAACAATGTAGAGAAAATTTGCTAGGATCTGAAAAAAGAATGGAAAAGTTCTAAGTAAAAGACCAAATTTAATGCAGCAGGCAATGAAGCACTAGTATAAGTATTTAAGCAGTGTATCATATGTCTCAAAGATTCTTGAATTATTTCGGTGGTTGATTGGAAAGTCATCAGACACCATTAATGAAACTATAGAATTGGGATGAGCTATAGGGTAAATAGAATCCAAATCAGCATTTTTTCTAAAAAGGGATATCTAGAGTTTTTGGCTCAAGCCAGAGTATCTCCAACAGACACAACAAGACCTGAATGATTCACTGGAATAGGCATTCCAGCCCCCAGACTCAGCTTTCATCTTTCATATCATCCTGCTTCTTCTAAAGAAAGTCTTAATGTGCATTTAAACTGGTATTTTATGTTACCAGCATAAATCTTGCATTTTTAAATTCTTCATTAGAAAAATATTTCTTTTTCCTACATCTGCTTTATCTTTCTTCCCTCTTCCTCTAATTTTCTGTTATCATTAACCAAACATAACATTTCATATGGTAAAGTATTTGAAATATTAAAGGATTATTTTAGAAAATCAGAAAATGGAGAGTCTGGAACAAAAGAGATTCGCTAGGTATTCAAAAGAGAGGTAAAAAATATATCAACAAAGCAAAGACAACAACAAAGAGTAAGATGGATGAATCTCAGAACAGTTTTCATATTTGATACACCATTGAAAAGGTTTTTGATACACCATATAAAGAACAATAAATTTTAAAAACTTCCAATTTTTTCCTAAATAAGCATTTATATTTTGTATGAAGATAATGTAGCAATTTTCCCATTGAATTATATATTACAGCATTACTCTGCATTCCTTATTATTTTTTATCTGTTTACCTGGAGACCCTAAAGTCCCTTGAAATCAAGATACTACAGTATATTCTTCAGCATTCCATTCCTTGAATATATGACACACTCAATGTACACTTCTGAATTTGAACAGACGCTTTAATTGATGGAAAGGATCATTAAATTAAAAGTTATCAAACACTACGGGTAACCTATAATGGGAACAACTACATACTTTATAAATTACTCATTTCAGTACCATTCATTTGTGAGATCATAATGTCAGTTTTCAGAATGATCCCAGGACCAAATGAAGTTGTACATAATAGCTGTCTATTGCTGTGAGATATGCATTGTTTACAGTAATATCAGATGTCTGTTAAAAACAATGTTTATATAGAAAATATAAAGTTATCTATTTATTATTGAAAATACCATTTTAAATTATGAGATAAATCCTGCCTGACATATATTCTACTCGAACTTGGAGGTCAGAATAATTTCCCTTTAGGAAATTTTGGAAACCAGTGACACTGTTATTGAAATCAAAGCCTATATTTAAATAATCACCTCTTTATAATTTTAAATTATGGAAAACAGTGAGTATCCTGAAAACTACACCTCAGCACCTATAGGTTTCTTTCTTCTCTGCTACGTTTCTCTTTTGTTTTTTTCTTCTACTGCATTGCCGTGTCGAATGAGACACTTTTCTCTTTTAAGTGAGCTGTCTCTGTATCTTACACTTTAGCCAACAGCTATCATCAACATATGAATTAATTAATAAAACTTTGTAATTTTAGAGTCTTGAAAGAGTTAATGCAATTTCCGAAAGAACCTGATTTATATGCAGTGAGAAACCTATGCTCTGGCATGCAGTAGTTAGCAAAAGCTGTTTGGCTTACAAGGACAAATTTAAAATTCTAGCAACTTAAATAATACTGTGAATTTCAGACCCAAGACTGTTTAAGTATTCTACTATCCTTCATCTTTGGAGAGGATGTTTTCCTTATGCTTTTATTGCCTCTGTAAGCCAACCCCATCTCTGATAATGACACCATTTTTGATGACATGGATGAATACATCTAAGATTCAAGTCATCCTCCTAGCAAAGTGGTAATCCTGTAAGGAAGGTCAATGAAAACATGCCTATTAAACCAAACTCATTGTAAGAAGCAAGCAAGAGAGTCTTATTAGTGTTTTCTCTCTGCCTGCTGTCTGATTGCTATTGGGATGTATATCTATTTACCAGTTTAAATCCTGTTGTTCATCTTGTTTCTAGCAGCTCTTATTTTCCATTGCTAGAAACAAGCAAACAGAATCAGGTGTCAGTTTTAGCACTCTCAGAAAACAGTTAATTCAGATGCAGTTCATCTTCTCTGGCTTATTATTTAGCAATCAACCTCTGCCAATAGGATATGGGAGTCCCAGAAGATAGATTTTTAAAGAATGTTTTTAATATTTTAATATTTTTAATGACATTCTAGTTTCCAGAAGCTATTTATTAAACTCACAGATTTCTACTTGGGATAGGTCTAAAGTTTCCTTTGTTAACTTAAATTAGGTGGGCATGTGTACACGAACAGATCCGTGTCTTGCTCAGACAAGTATTTTCAAAAATACTATATTTTTGAAGAAAGAAGTAATACAAAAGGTTTTTTTAAAGATTCAAATGAGTGAGAAATATGTATGAAACTATACTACTCCATAAATGATTCTGCAACAGGTACTTATATAACAAAAATGTAAAAACTAAAGCTAAATACCCTCAATGTGTTCATGCATACGCGTACATGTGCATGCATGCACACACACAGAAAAATAATAATAAATATGTACTTGAATAAATACATACAAATGTCTCCTATGAAGTGGAATCTTTCTAAGAGGACAATTAAAATGATAGTTTCCAAAGATAACTTTAGAATAAAATACAGGCATTTGGACCTAAACAATTCGGCCTTGATCTTACTCAAACAATACCCCTACCACTAAGCTGCTGAAACTGTGAATCTTATGGCTACTATTATTTTAAATAGTCAAAAATACCTATAAAGGGTAGGAAAGCAATGATAACTGCCATTTCAAATAAAGGCTGTTCTTGGAATTACCTCTCTAAAACCATTCTGTTCTTATTACCTGTAACTGTGCTATAAATTTATTGGAAGCTGATGTGTTTTATCCTCTACAATTGGTTCATCCCAAGAATAAAACTTTAAGTGAAATCAATGCACTCAATATCCGTGTTCTAAAGTAAATATACAGAAATGTTTCTTGTAATAGGTTTTATTGGCAATGACAAGCCGTTTTTCTAGTAACAGCTTTAATGTTTTGTAATCATTAAAACACACTGAAGCATTGGAGAAATTGGTAGAAGAGGTCAGGAAATTTACATATTAAAAGAGAGGAGATGTGGCTCTTTAGATTATCCTGCTATGTAATCAAACTGAGGGGCAAAAAAGCTACTGGAGAGGGCTATTTCTGAATCACAGTAAAGATAAAAATGTGTTTTTAAAGAAAATGTTACCATGCATCATGCAGTATGGAGATAAAAAAGTGTCTAACAGTGATGTTTTAAATACTTTCTTATCTTGGAGAGTATTTTCTGCGATTCCATTGATAATCAGCCATACCCAGAGCAAAGAACAGACAGTAAGAGTGAAGTGCATTCCTAAAGGGTAATTTTAACAAGAAAATAAATAGAAATATATAAGCAATTATTTTATTTTCAGACTTTTAATCTGAATCCAATCTAAAAAGGAATTCATATTAATATAACAGAAGAACTAATTAAGACAGTCTTTCTTAATTCAAACATGCTATATTTGAGTTTTTCTTATTAATAATCTTTTCATTCAATCTTAGAAATAAGTGATTTTTTTGTTGCTACCAAAGGTATTTTCAAGGAGCCATTTAACAATTTTCATATTCATTATCAAAAATGGATGTATGATGAATTATTCAGTTTGGTGTTCTAAGACCTTCATAATCTAGCCAAAATAAATTTTTTAGGCAACTCTATTATTAAAAAAATAAATTTAAATTCAGGCAAGTCAGATTTTTACATTTGCTTTCACAGCACATTTCTTTATAATGCTTAGGAAAATAGCAGTAATCTTCTAACTGGACCCTAAAATTCCTTTAGAAATATAATTCATAAGTCAATCAGAGAATGTGGACACTTCTATTGGACACATAATTGGGATCACAACGTCTCTGCTGAAAGGAGAAAAAAGCTTGAATTTAAGTAAGTTTCACTCTAACCGTGAATGTGTACATTTTTAAGGTCCAGATGAGTTTTTGACTTGAGCTAAAGTTATCCAGTATTAAAATCCAAGGTCTACCCATAAGTGAACTACAATTAAACTATTTGATTTGACAAATTTCCAGTAACATATTTATTTTAAAGCTCATTCTTTAAATGATAAAAGTATTTATGATCACAAAGGAAACCTACCTGCTATTATTATAAAATGGAAAAATTATTAGGTTAGCAGTATTTAGTAAAAAGAAACTTTCTATCTAGGCTTTTTTCTTATTGAGTATAGTTGTTTTATTACTAAAAATAAATATATCTGCACATAATTTTGCATAAAATCCCAAATATAAATAATGTATTGTTAGATTAATAATTTATTAAAAAGTATACATCCTAAGATACATAACTCATTGATGTATTTATTACCTATAAAACACAAAGATTATATCTATATGAACTATTTGGGAGATAATTGAAACAAAAGTAAAAATATTATTATTCTGATTATTTTATAACATAGAGACAAAATGATTATGTTATAGTAATTTTATAATAATCAAAAATATATATGCAAAATTACATTCAGTAGCCTCAACAATTGTATTCTAAATTGAAGAGTTTTATAGTATATATTCAATAGAAAATATTAGCAAGCTTTGCTATCCTGATTATCTTGACACTTTGAGAAAATGTAAATTTAAAATGATAACTTCAAATTTGTCACATAATTATCACCCAAGGAATACAGCTAAAAAGCAAATGTACATATAGTTATGCATGCATTCTTCATACACATGATTAAAAAATTACATTCATATACCAGATGGAAATGAATAGAAGGGGCCTTGCCTAAAGACAACAATCTCTGAGAACCACTTAGTGGACATAAAATAAGGCTTAATTTACCTAACAACAGTTTCCAGTTTTCCTGGTGCTCAATCACAACACTAGCTCTGTGTTTCTTGTTGGTAAATGGCCATGGTTCTGCACAGGTGTACATGTGCCTGTGCATGTATGCACCAGTGAGCATTCACATACATTTGAGCAGGAAATGGATGTGAGATCAAGGCAGAAATATATTGAGGAACACATGAAATAATGTATAAAAATTTACATTCTAAAATCCAAAATGATTATTGGTATAAATGATACCCTTGAATTTAATTTTTGCTGAATGAAAAAAATATAACACTTTTCCCAACTAATTAAAATTTAATCAATGTGAAATCACAGCTATTCAAGGGTAACAAGGAAGACTTTATATAGACCTTACATATGTGTGTGTGTGTGTGCATGCACATGCACACTGACACACTTGTGTTTCAAACTTCTCACCTTTTTACCCCCAAATCAAGGACAGGTATAACTTTCCCAACTATAACCTTGTCTGTTTAAAGCTGTTCTATTTTTACTCCAGTTTCCATTCATTTCCATACAAGAAATAAAGCAACCTTGTCTCTTTCTCTGGCATGAATAAAGCAAGAAAAATTGCGATTCTTAGATTACTATAATATACATGTATGTTTTTCAAGCACAGCAACAACCTGATATAATCATTTTCTCCAGTAGCAAGTTTTTCTTAAGTAGTGATTAAACTATGCAGAAACCAATCAAATCTCTCAAAAGCATTCAAATGATTCAGAGACTTGGATGATATCCAGACGTAGAATGGTATAATATGTTGAGCTAAAATTTCACCTGAGATAGGAATACTTTTTCCTGTTTTTTTACTTAATTTTTCCAGTTGTTTCAAATGTTAATGTGTTTTCCAAGATTATCTGAATCACATGTAAAGCATACTTAGAGATTGAAATGTATTGCATAATTTATGGAGTTCCAGGGATTTAAATATTTAGCTTCATTAGCCATTATAATTTATATAATTTTGGTTCTGCCTTGCCTTTAGGAAACTATATGGGGCTGCTATGTAAAGGTTTTTTAAAGTATTGTGTAAAGAAGCCTTTAACGTATTTTCACAAAGTAACACTTAGCTAATATGATGTGTAATTGAGTCCAAAAGGAAAGAGGAATTTGGGGACTCAGTTTCTCAGGTGAAACACAGTTATTCAGGTGGCAACAGTGAAGCAGATTGCATCTACACCAACAACTTACACCAAAAGAAAATAATCAAGTTTTTCTTTCCTGTACAGCCCACTTTCCATTCCATCAGTTTATTCTACACTATTTCCTAAGTGAAATTAATATAAGTGGTAGAATTTTCAAAATATGAAATAATTAAGATTTGGCCCACTTAAACTCACTTAAGAATAACAAATATTAAAAATCTGGTGTAAGACTAGATTCTTGTTTCAACCGTTAACACTATACAGCTTTTCCGGAAATACTAAGAGCATTAATGCAGAAACAATAAAGAAAATTACTCACTTACTATGCTATTTTCCTTTAAAGAAATAAAGTCCACATGTTCTGCCTTGCAAATGTATAGTTTTATGAGTGCTATCATCTAACAAGTAAAATTTGGATCACAGAGAAGAAAGCTAGCAGATGAAGAAATTGCTCACCTGGAGGAAGCAGATCAACAGACTGAAGTCTACTTGTGATGGTGTGTAGGGTGAGGATAGCAAAGGAAAGCAAAGTCGGGAATGCTTGAAAAATAAAATATTTTTAGTTAACAAATAGAAAAAACCAAGTAGGAAAAAGGGCCAACTGAATTATGAATCCTTCTCTATTGATTTTAACTTTTATATTAAAATTCTTTAGAATGATCAATATCTAAAAGATATGGTCATTGGTATTTCCCCAGCTACATAAGACTTAGTCTTATTGGAAGAAAATTACTTTTCTGGGGGTATTTAAGTTTAGATGAGATGAAAACAGTGCAAAGTAACAAGATGTATTCCTAGGTCCATGGAAGAAATACACTCATGATGATGATGCATTCATTAACCTTAAATAAAATAATTTTCTGCAATAGTGGATAGAAGATGTGAACAAGCAGGCCCCAAAAATTAAAGTCACAAACTATTCTGTAATATCCCTAGTTACCAAGGTTTTAATAAAAATGTGTACTGCATCTTAATATTAGTTATACAATATATGCTGTCTAGAACTTGAAACAAGACACTATTTGTAATTTAGCCCTTTACTCAGTCACCTAATTTAAGAATGTACTGACTTTAGCAATGAGAAATATATATATATATTTTATACATATATATATTTCTGTAACATCTTCTATTTTTTTGTTACCTAACATGAAACATGTATGTAATACAAAATTAAGAAAATGCTGTGGTATATTCTTGCTTTTGTTTTTGTTTTGCTTTTTATGAGCCTCTAACTTAGATATATTATGTACATGTATATTTGATCTACTTCTTAGACTAAAACAAACAAAAAAAGAATATTTTGTTCTGCATTAATGTTATTGAAATGCACAGTGAATATGAGAAATCAATTGCTGCCTGAAAGTCTTGCCAACAAAAAATGCCTGTTGGTGAGTGAGAGTAACTTTATTTTTAAAATAGTCTCATTTTCTGAGATTCAACCTTTATTCAACATCTGTTGTTTGCCCCTCCCCTGGAAAATAATTATGTAGGATTCCAAGGTAAAACAGGTTGAACAATTAATAACAGGCAGCTCAAATGGTTTTTTTCTCACTGTTGCCCTGGGGATATTTCTTTCATTCTTTTCTTTTTCCCCTGGCTTTGTGTTTAATTTGTGTGTGTTTCTGTCCTATTTTTAAAGTATACCCTCACAACAGATGGAAACACCTGAAAATAAGTCTGCCTCACGCACATGTTTAAATGATGACTATTGTAATATTTAACAGAGTAAAGAGAATACAGAATATACTGAATGTTTGTTTAGAGAAAAAGAATAATCTAGAAATTACCTTGTTATTATGTTTGTCTTGACATTCTGAAAAAGCACTAGTTCTTGCCAAATATATATTAAAAAAGTTCAAAGTCTAGGACCTTCATATATTCTTACTTTGTTACCAAACTCATTTGTCTTTTCGGCATATAACATGACCCTCTTAGATTTTTAATGGTACCAACAATAAGGCTTTTCAATATCCATTAACCATTTTACTACGTAGAAAGCACTTTACATTTACTTGATAATAATCCAAACTCAGTAGTCAATATCTAATGTATTTTAGATACATTCAAAATATGTCATATATTTTTAAAATAATATAAGCAGAGTCACATAAAGTACACAACTCCTTTAATCAGAAAAATTGATCTCATCCAAGTTGAAGAAAAAACAGCTATAGGCTGTGTACTTGATTGGATACTGCCCCCCACCCTAAAATGTATGTCAACCCAGAACATCAGAATATGACCTTATTTGGAAATAGGGTCTCTGCAGATGTAATTACTTAAGATGAGGTCATACTGGAATAGAGTTGGCCTTAATCCAAAGACTTGTGTCCTTGTAAGAAGAGAAAACAGAGACACAGAGACAGTCACATAGGGAGAACATCATGGGACCATAGACACAGAGATTGAAGTGTGTGTCTAAGATTGCTGGCAATTACCAGAGTCAAGGAAGGGTCCTCTCCTAGAACTATAAGACAGAGCATGGTCCTCCTTATACCTTGATGTTGGACTTCTAGCCACCAGAACTATGAAATAATAAATTTCTGTCATTTTTAGCCACACAGTTTGCAGTACTTCGTTATAGCAGCCCTAGAAAACCATTACTAATTTTGCTACTGTGAAGTGAGGTGCTGCTGTAAAAAATATCTAAAAATGTAGAAGTGGCTTTAGAATTCTGCCATGGGTAGAAGCTAAAAGATCTTTGAGGTGTTTGGTAGAAAAAGCCTACATTGTTTTGAATATACTATTGAAGGAAATAATGACATTAAAGTTGATTCTGCTGGGGGCTCAGAAAGAAGCAAAGGAAAATCTACAGATAAAGCTTTTATTATGAACACACACACACACACACACACACACACACACACACACGGTCATATATCACAAACAAAGCTACAGAGAAAGTTTTTTTATGACATACGTATATATAGTCATAAATGCAAATGGTCTCAAATGGAAATGTTTTTGGACACTGAAAGTAAGACAATCCTTGCTATAAAGTGGCAGAAAACTTTGCCAAATTGTGATCTACTACTAAGTAGAAGGTAGAACTTGTAAGTGATGAACTTGGATTCTTAGCTCAGATCTCCAAGCTAAGTGTGATGTGTGTGGTGTGGTTACTTCTTGATGCTTATATTAGCTAGGTGCAAAAGTACTTGAGTTTTTGGCAATTTCTTTAACAAAAACCACAATTACTTTTGTAATTGAGAAAATTACATAATTAAGAAAATGAAAATTGAGAAAATTAATTAGAGGAAAAGAGAATAATTGAGGAATGAACTCTTAAGGAAAATGGAAGCAGCACTTGATTTGGAAAATTCTCAACTGCCAATCAGATAGCATGCTTTGGAAACAGAGCCAAGGATGTGGCTCAACAACCATTTGCTAAAAAGATTAAGCAACTGACTTATGGATCCAATCCACCATTTCAACAGTGGTTAGGATTAGAGATGGAGTTACTGAGGAAGGATCTATAGAGAACTCTCTTGTCTATTGCTCATCCTGTCAACACAGAAGATGAACAAAGTTTTTGAGAATTTTATACTAGCAGAAACATTGCCAACTTGGACTGAAAAGGACAGAGATGGGATGAAATGAAGAATAAACCATCATGGAGAGCATGGCTCTGCTAAACCTTGATTTTGTACTTCTAGTCTCCAGAACCATGAGAAAATAAATTTCTCTTGTTTTAAGCCACCCAGTTAGTGGTACTTTGTTATAGCAGCCCTAGGAAACTAATCCAGGCTGTTGAAAAAGAAACTTCAAAATATAAAATGCCTACATAGCAATAAAAACACTGCTGCTGATAATGACAATGGAGTAAATTAAAAAGTAGACTGTGGAAAGATAAAACAAGACTGAAATGACAAAATTAAATTTTTGTCTTCCATTTTATGGTTCACAAATAAACAATTTGGCAAAAGATGTAAGTACATATGCCAGTAAAATTGATGCTGCTGACTGTAAGATTCAATTGACAGCACCCAAGAAACACATATGTAATTGTTCCAAATCATACGAAATACTTTGAAACAAATATTTTCTTAAAATGTCTACAAATTAATCACTATTTTTGCTTTTTTTTCAGTTTTGTGTTTTAATATTTACATTTCCTGGATTTCATGTAGAAGTAATCTGATGCTTTTTCTCTGACACCTATTGAAAGGTAAGGGTATTTTTTTTTTTTTTTTAAGACTGAGTTTTTCTCCTGTTGCTCAGGCTGGAATTCAATGGCTCAATCTTGGCTCACCGCAACCTCTGCCTCCTGGGTTCAAGTGATTCTCCTGCCTCAGCCTCCCAAGTAGCTGGGATTACAGGCATGCGCCACCACACCCAGCTAATTTTGTATTTTTAGTAGAGACAGGGTTTCTCCATGTGGGTCAGGCTGGTCTTGAACTCCAGACCTCAGGTGATCCACCCGCCTCGGCCTCCCAAAGTCCTGGGATTACAGGGGTGAGCCACTGTGCCTACCCTATTTTTGCTTATTTTTTAAAACTGATGAAGCTTCTCTTTTCAGTTTGTGTACTGTGTTTGATTTCTAGGTATAGTATATCAGATGTTTGGTATCATCTCCAGGGATAAATTTACTTAAAATTTCCATATATACTAGTGAGTTATTAAATGAAATGTGTGACAATACATGTGCACAAAATGTGCACATATGAGTATGGGTATTTGGATTCATGATCAAAAGAGATCTTCTTCTGTAAGGAGAATACATGTCTTTATATTTGTAAATATAGCTCCATATACATGCATGTTCTTAGTCAGATACTTAATATGGATAATATGAATGGATGATGCCAACAGCTGATACTCTGCATTGTTTCAGACAATATATAATTTTCCTACTTTTCTAGAAAATGAAAACTTAAACATTAAAAATATTTCATATTTATACATTTATTAAAAGGCATTGATTATATTTTTCATTAAGATAAAAAAGCCAGAAATATATTTTCCTTAAGAAATATTATGCTAAATTTCACTAAAATATACTATATATTAGCAATATGGGTTATTAGCAAAGGCATTTCTCAATTTAGTACAAATGCACATATTTTGTTTCTTTTGGGTTTTATATCTATATTAATATTAAGTCATATTTTCTCTCTAAGGCATTCTATTTCATGAAATAAATGTTGTGGAGGAGGAGAAGAGTAAATGTCAAGTAGCTTTAAAAAGAAATTGAGACAAACTTTATAACTGGTTGTGGGATGCTAAAGAAATTCTACATTACGTATATATACATATACATAATATACATATATACATACACATATACACATGATATAATGTATATGTACTTATAGTATTCACATGTCCTTAGCAAGTGCAGATCCTACAAATCAATCTATCCAAGTTACATAACATACCTCAAAGTGATTAAACCTAATGGTGTGTGAAAACTGACAAGAGTATCTTACACACAAATGCAATAAAATATCTCATCGTTTTGTGATATTGTTCAAAGTAGAATGTTTCCGCCATGTTATTTCAATTTCTTTAAATGAAAAATCAATACATGTTTTATTGTAGCATAGCAAATTATCCCTTGTCACTGTTTCAAATAATGGCTTCCAATTACTGTGCCCACATCTTAGGTTTCAGGGTTTCAGTAGTTTTTTTGTTTTTTTTTTTTGGATAGAGATTTGAGTCAGCAAGCTGGGCTTTACAATAGGGAATAGCTATTAAATTAAAATTATTCCTAATATTTATCTATCAATCATTATGATGACTCAGAAATATAATGCAAAATTAGATTTAAAAAATGGTTTATATTATCAGAATTATAATCAAAGGGAAAAACGCTTGATAGACTTTTGCTTTTCTACAAAATTTCTGCTGCCTACTAGACTGTTTTAGAAAGCAGATTTTGTGATCTGTAATGCCTACCAAAAAGTCATGAAGACATAATAAGCCATGTAATCATCATTATCCTTGACAATGGCTACAAAGAAGAGAGAAATCATTTAAACCATTTCACTTTGATGTCAAAACAAAATGGCACACTGACAGGTACAGCCGGGTTGTGATTAAATTTCAGAGACTACAAACCTATATAGCTGAATTCTTATTCATTTTAGTCTTGAAATCAGAGAACAGGTATCTAAGAGTACAAAAATATCCAACCAAGTCAGGAATAAATCTTATCTTAAATTTTTTTCTGTGACTTTCTCTAGCTCAACAATAGTAACAACAGCAGTAAAAATAAAAGGATAAGTCAACATTCTGATTATGACAGAAAACAAACATCACTGGTAGACTATACAATCAAAAAGACTGAGCCTATGTGTATTCTACAACTGAAAATAAATTATTTTCTGAAAGTTTATTCTTTATTTTGACTTTTGGAATTCAAAGAAAAATTTTACTACATTAAAAAGGTCATAATTAAGTAGATTCCTAGTTTAGTTTACAAAAACATGCTAAACTCATAGGGTGGCTGAACTACAGTACTAAATACAATGCTAAGAATACTAGCTCAGAAATTAGAAGTTTATTCAGTTAGTAATATTTAAATGCATAGTACCCAATTATTAGCTATATTCAACATGCTGTGCAATTGTTCTAAAAAAGAGAATACTAACTCAGGCTAATTAATTTGAGTTATAATAATTAATCTGAAGCCTTTGAACAGAACAATAAAACATAATAGAAAGTGCAGGAGAAAAAGAGCTAGTTTCCTCCTTCTGGGACATAGACATGATTTTATGAAGATGCATGAAAGAAGAGTTTGTTTTACTCCAATCTCCTTTTGCTCACTCCTCCTTATCTTTCCTCCACTATACACTTTCTTGCATCCCTAGATTTATTAGACTTTCTTTGTTAACCTAATTGGGAAATAATCACCTTTACTTATTTACTACCCCTAGAAGTTCTTTATGCACCCCAAATTATCTATAAGTTTTCCTCTCTCAAAAAAATTTTTTGAATGCCAAGCAGTTCATATCTGGTGCTTGTTAGGCCTAAAAGCAAGCTGATTAAATTATATTCAAAGTCATGTGGCTTAAAAAACCCATAACCTCAAATTGTAGAGAAAAAGAAGATGCCTTTTATGGACTTCTAAATTCTTATCTTGGCAAAAAACAATGTGTCATTAAAAAGTGGGGAACATTTACAGAAGCCAGTTAACTCCATCATTTGTGAAATTTTAATAAAAGTAAACTGGTGATATAAAAATGAAAACAAGACAGAACACACATATGCACATGTGCACATGCAAACGCCACACACACAACACAGTTACAAACACTTACATACTTTTGCAGAGAGATAGGCAGAAAGGTCAGAATCAGTTGGAGCCTGCCAGCATCTTTAACTGTGCCTCCTTCTAATAGCTAATTTTTCTAACCACTTTTTGAACTCATTGTCGCAGCAGTTCAGAATGTGACAAAGACAATAAGAGCAGGACAGTGTTCTCCTATGGGTCTATGTGGGTCTTTATAGTCAGAGACTGGCTGTCTTGCCACATGCAGTTGCGTGTCATACTGCTGAGCTCTTTCAGTACTTGGAGAGCACAGTGGAGGCAAAGGGAGAGTATATCTACTATCCTTTGACTCTAGCTGCCTGCTTTGTTTGAGGAGTTGAGAATTTCAACTTGAATATGTGGATTACTGCAAATATAAATGATGTCTGGCAGTTAGAACATTGGGGAAGGGAAGGGGTTGAATTTGGCAACCCTGCACAGCCGGATTTAAAGTTTTACTGTAGGTGTTCTAGATCAAATCTCTTATGTTCTATATTCTTTCACTCCCTCCTCTGTAAAATGGGGATATCCTCACAGGGCTTCTGTGGGGGCTAAGTGAATACATGTATGCAAAGCACTCAGTGAATGCTACTATTAGGTTATGATGCCAAGTAGGGCTCGGTGGGCAAATCAAGAAAAGTACAATATAATTCAGGCACAAACTCTGTTTAGACATGGAGCCTTTTGCAAGTGAAAGCCATTTATTTTGAAGCTACGTTTTGGTACCAAAAAGAAAAACAGGCTGGGCATGGTGGCTCACGCCTGTATTCTCAGCACTTTGGGAGGCCGAGGCGGTGGATCACCAGAGGTCAGGAGCTCGAGACCATCCTGGCCAACATGATGAAACCCCGTCTCTACTAAAAATACAAAAATTAACTGGGCCTGGTGGCACGTCCCTGTAATCCCAGCTACTCGGGAGACTGAAGCAGAAGAATCGCTTGAACCTGGGAGACAGAGGTTGCAGTGAGCCGAGATCATGCCACTGCACTCCAGCCTGGGCAACAGAGCAAGACTCCATCCAAAAAAAAACCCGTACAGTTATTGTTGTTGCTGTTGTTTTTAATACACTTAAAAACTTTAATACACTTAAAATAAAACTTCTCACTCAATTTAAATATGTAATAAAACAAATACACAAAACTTTTGAGGATGGAATTCATTTACATTTGAAGCAAAAATGTTATAAATATATTATTCTTTACTTCTATGTCATTTCTGTAATAAATAGAATCAGAATTTTAGAACCACTGGTCACCTATCACCATACTTCTCTAATAGGGGACTATGTTCAGGATACATAAAACCGAAAACAAACCTGGCACATTTTTTCTGAAGAATAAAATTACTAGATGAAAAATAATTGTAAGCATTACTTCTCTATTAAAAAATATTGAAATTATAAGACATAAAGCAAAATATGGGTGTCTTAAATTTAAAATATCAGAATCAAATACTTCTAGCAGTTGTTGGAAGGCCCACAAGTATGTATTTACTCTTTTCTGCCTTTAGAAATCCTTTAGTAGAAAATTCTGAGAAATATCAAAGGGATTTGACTAGGGCCCCACACAAATTAGAAGCAGAACAAATTTTAGAACAGTATCTCATATCTACCGTACACGTTATTTTCCCATCACTTTTTGCTTCACTTCTACAGGTTATGTTAAAAAACAAACAAACAAACAAACAAACGGGGGAGATACAAAGTAGCACTGTGACAATGTAGTTTGATAAACTGTGAAAGATAATGCTAGCTTTTGTCTTTGATTTTTTTGGTAAACTAAACTTCATTTTAAAAAATTCTTTTTTATGAGTCTCAATACTGGAAGAAAATAATAAGGAAGGTTTATTTTTAGTCTAAACATCTAGTTATTATTTACACATTGCTTATTGATACTCAAAAAATGGTGACTCAAAAGAAGGACATTATTGTTGCTGTTATTATTATATTATTATTGTTACTGAGATGGGGTTTTCCTGTGTTGCCCAGGCTGGTCTCGAATTCCTGGGCTCATTGTTCCTCCTGCCTCAACCTCCGACGTAGTTGGGAGTACAAGCACACATCACCAGGCCTGGCTTAAAACACATCTTATTTACCTGTTAATTGAACACTGCGAAAATAACCCTATTTCAGAAGTGTTTGTTCTGAATTTTTCTAGTCTAGTCTAGTTCAGATTTTAATGTGCATGACTGACTGCTCACCTACAGAATGACAGTCACATTAATATATTTACTTAATATTTTTCCAAAGACAAATGCCTTTGGACAATATCAACATAATTTCAAACAAAAGAAAGAATATATTTACTCCCACCATTAGGCTTCTTTAATCCCTCAAAACAAATGTATCCATCTAAGCTTCTTCCCTTGCAGCTACTGTTCATTAGCATACATAATCTTTGTGTAGTTGGTCAAGAGATCGAGACCATCCTGACCAACATGATGAAACCCCGTCTCTACTAAAAATACAAAAATTAGCTGGGCATGGTGGCACGCGCCTGTAGTCCCAGCTAGTCAGAAAGTTGAGGCAGGAGAATCGCTTGTAGCCGGGAGGCAGTGGTTGCAGTGAGCCAAGATCACGCCACTGCAATCCAGCCTGGCGATAGAGCAAGACTTGGTCTCAAAAAAAAAAAAAAAAGAGAGAGAGAGAGATGTAATTATGTGCGATAGTTTATATTTTAGGGAGGTGAGGAATGTTAGGTATCATAAAATAAAATATGTTTATTTTTCAGGTAAGAAAATTGAAGTCCAGGAAACTTAGGGGCAAAATAAGAATTATTCACCTGATGCCAACTCTAGTCTCTTCCCACACTTTATGTATCTCTATATTTTTCTTTTTATATTTCTTTGTGGTAGTTACTCATAACAGGTTGACCACATAATGTGTTGACCAAACCACGGCAATTTTGAAAGTGATAGGAACTGCTATTAATAATTATGACAGAAGAATATGTATAAACAGAGATTTTTCTGAGTAAACCATGACATAAGATATCCCTACTCATAAGGCAAGGAAAGATCAAGTTTAGTATCCTTTGTTTTGTTCTGAAGAGGTCATTTTAAAAAGTAAAACAAATAAAAATTTCATTGGGTTGAATAATTTTAACATTTTTTTCCTGGAAAAGAATATACATTTTTAATATTTTAAAATTTTAAAATAGTTGTATATTTATTGACTGAAGATTCCTTCGATGTACATGAAAAAATGCGGTAGAAGATCTTTATCATTTTTGAGAGAAACAATGGGTACCACAAAGAACAGAAATAGGGAAATGTTAAGAATATCCATATAAAATATTAAGCTAATCAAAAAACTTTAAACCAAATTAAGAGTTATAAAAGAAGCAATAAAAACACGCCTTGTAAAAAAAAAGAATCTTACATATAAAGGAGCTAGTAAAGAACAATAGGTAAAAACAAAAGAAGGATAAAAAGGCATGAGGATCCAGAATGAAAATGCAAGTATGCAAAGAGACTGTGCAAATAAATCATACAAAACAAGAGAGAGAAACGTAATGTGCAAATTTGATGAAAGAATTCTGGTGCCGCTCACTTGAGTAATCAAAGAATGACAGATCAATAATTAAAATTATAAAGATAGCTGGGAGAATAGTTTCTTAGGAATTCAGGAAATTAAAAGAAACTTTCACCTTTTTTTAATTTGGGGATATAAAAACAAAGATATGAATCATTTCACAAACATGAACACATACACACTTTAAAAACACAAATCAATGAAACAAAACTAGGTATGAACTTTCTAATATCTCTTTTGACAAAACATCAATGCCTACAAGGGAATGCATAAACATTAAAATACTACAAGCTGAAACCATCGAGATGTACCATGGCTGGTAATTATCTAGGACACTAAAGATCCTAGTGTTAATCTAATAAAACTGCCGTTATCTCTAATACTTCAAATCTGTGCCTTGAGCTAAACAGTTGTCAAAATGGAGCTCTGTTTACATATAACTGAATCAGAGTGGCTGAAAAAAGATGTCAAGTCGGTTCTAGCTACTGTTTTTTTTCTCCTTTTCCTTTCGATTTTTGACATAAAATAGCTAATATTTTATTCTGATTTTCTACAAGGTGCTATAGATCACTATCCATTTTTTAATTTCTCATAAAGATATGCTACCTAATGTTAAGGTGACTGCTCATTTGAGTTCTTTCACTCTGAAAGGCCGGCATTAACAGTGTTGAAGGCCATTTTATTAGGCATCATTTCGGATCATTATATCTCTATGACCTGAATGAATCAGCTTCAGAGTGAGAGAAAATATGTTGGAATATTTTTGAGTGGATCACATTACTCAATGATTTCTGCGGAATAGGTAAACTTATTTCACTATATAGTCCTCAAAATTAGCAATTGAAATTGTGAAAAGCACAATATGCTATTTGGTGTCTTTCAGTAACATGAGCAGGAATAGTGCCCATATTGTAAAATCGGCCTCTGTTTTCCAGGAAGGATCGAGAAAGCAGCATGATTTTTCTCAACCCCTGAAAACCTATATTTAAGTCCTAATTTTAATCTCAAACAGAACATTTATGTGATAAACTTTCTAGCCTCAATTTTCCTATAAGGCCAACAGGTAAAGTTTGTTTCCATAAATATATTCTAGGAATGATACTTAAGCATATGAATAAAAAATATTGAGTTATTTTTTAAAAATAACTAAACAAGACAAACTCTATGTGTGTGTGTGTATATCTATATGTATATATCTTTATATATATTTCTCTATATATTATCTTCATATTTATGTATATAAATGAATCAATTTAATCAATTCAGAACATGTTATAATTCTAGGCACCACAAAATACATTAGGTCCAGGTAAAATGTTACTTGATTAAATGTTTTTGTACAATGTTACACCATATGTATACTGGCTTTTTCAAGGCATGAATTTTCACTATCATTGAATTCAGATGCCCCACTGCTGTGATGTGGTTATCTGTGGAAACAACTGAAGAATATCAGGACTATTAACAAATATTTTAATATATTTGAAAGACTGATAGAAACCCAAAGTAGAATTATGATCTATTTAATTTCACATAATAAATATAATTTAAGTTTATTTAATGTGAAGTACCCCCCAACTAGGAGTTTTGGTTCTGTGCTTTGTTACTGACTCCTTTTCCAACTTTCATTTGTACCCTAAAAAAAAAAAATCACTTTTGTTTTGAGCTCTAGGATGAATATATTAAAGATACATAGTCTGTGTTTTATTTCATTATTTGTAATCTATAGTCTTTTTTCTTCTAAATACCATTTTTGATTATTTAACTTTTGACTCTATAGAAAGCGTATATAATGACAGTCATTCTTATCCGGCCAGTATGAATTGTTAACAGACTCACAGTTTAACTTTTGGTAGTAACATGTTATTACAAGCCTAAATATCAGATAACAATGGTAACACAGCAATTCATGCTGGATATAATAAATAGTTGGCTTCTTAACATCATTTAGCCTATTTTGCTTATTTGGCAAGATCAATGAATTTTTTTTCTATGTGAGTTGTATACATTAGATGTTAAACCTGTTAACACAAATCTAAAAGGATAACTTAAAAATCCAGTATCTCTTGAGGAAAAAAGAAAACCATCTTAGATTTCTAGCACAGAACACATGCAAAAATTTGCTAAATCACTGTTCTGCAACATGGCTAATCTGCATAAAACCATTTATTTTATGAATAAATAAGAACTACTCTGTCTAGCCATATGAGATCAGAAAGAATAAAAAACCAGCCTGAATTCATGGGGTTTTCACTTAATGAAAACAAGCTCATGCAGCTTAATGAAGAGAGGGGCATTTGAAAACTGAAGCAGGTGCCCCAATGGATAGAAGATTGCCTCCATAAAGGATGGACTCCCTACCTTAATAAAAGCAAATGATCCCACTTGATGCAAGTATTTCCTAATGATTTCTTCAAGCCTACTTAAAAATACAAAAAAAATTAAGAATTATTTAAAACAAACCAAATGGGCAATTATCAGTTTGTTGAGACTGTCAATCAGCTGTGGATGTGGGAGGAATTTAAGTAGATGAAAGCACTGCCAACCTTTATATTTGACTCCTTTCTTCTACTAACACAGACAAAAACTTTAGCAATTTCACTGCCATTTAGAAAGAAGAAAAGGCTTTTTCCTCATTGTGAATCTCAATTTATAGATCTGTTCTAATTTCCATTGTTAATACTCAAAATGTGTAAAACCTGGCATTTTGCTTAAAAAACAGAACCCCTAACTTTCTTTATCCTATGTAAATGACAAAATAAATTTCAATTTTATTACTAATTCTTTGAAATGTATTTTAAAATATGGTATATTTTAATGGATACCATATAAGACAGGCTGCGAAGAATTAATCCTAAGGCATTTAAAAACAGTCCAATTATTTTCCACATTTTTTTTGCGAACAGTATATATCTGTATTTTCCTTTATTAAAATGATCTATTTTAAGTAACATTAACATTTCCATCAATATTCTATTTTATTATATTTCTCTACACATTTAAGATGGTTTTCTTAAAATATTGGGAATAAAACATAATTAATTTACACGAAATTAAAACCCACTTTTTTTGAACATTTATAAAATAAGAATTTGTCTGTCTAAAAATAAAGATTTAAATAATTTTATGTTATCTGCAATTTTTCCTTTCTATTCTAGTCAAGATACTCAGTACCTTAGTTAGCCAGTATTTTCATCAAATGTTGTCTGTTGAAAGTCAAAAGTAACTAGTTTGGAAAATCAAGGTAGTAATTACAAGTTAAATATAAATATCAATCATATATTCCTATTTTTTACTAAGAACAACCGTTACGTTATCATATGTACAGAGTTACAGGGTTCACACACTGTTTTCCCATGTATCAATACACTTGAACTTCATCTTCAAAGAGAGACCACTGCTAACAGTTCTGGATTTCAAATGAGGGTCCTGAATCCAAAGAGTTAAAGGGACTTGATCTATATCAGCAACTGATTAAACTAAACCAGGACCCAGATTTTCTGCTTAATTGTCTACTTTTATATGAAACAACAATATATCCCGGGTAGAGCAGAGACTTTCAATTACAAGAATGCTTGTTGAGCCATGATTTGTTTTTTAGTAACATGGAAATAAGATATAAATTACAATGGTTTTAATCTTTGAGGACAGAAATGATATAAGTAAAGAGCTGAATATAAAGTAGAGACGTGGTAGTGGCAATTTTGTAATCTACCACATTGGTCCATAACATTTAAATTTGGCCCCAGTTTTCCATCCCTAATTTGATGTTTCTTCAGAAAAATGTAGTTTTGCGGAGGGAATTATAAATGCCAGACTATATGTTAAAAATTGGTTGATTTTCATTAAAATAGCTAGAATAAATACATTTCTTTCCACTGAAGACAAAATTTACCTTTAGAAACCAATCTTTTCCATCCTTTCCTCCATGCCCCCCACCATTCTGTCTTTCCTTTCTTCTTCCCTGCCTTCCTTTTCTTTCTTTCTTTCTTTCTTTCTTTCTCTCATTTTATCTGTAACTTCAAATTTACCTTGTGTGCCTTCATATGAAAACTCCAATTTGGCAGCATCTCAAAACCAAGGGTTTATGCTAAAATTGCTAAATGAAAGTCAAAAATTTACAAACTAAATATGATCATCTCCTTTTTTCAGTTATTTAATATTTTAAAATGTAAATTATCAATATACTTGAAGCTTTTGTTTTATAACAGATACACTACAATAAATAGATGGTAACTCAATCTTCCCATTTTCTCTACACATTTGATTTTAATTTATTTAGAAAGGAAAAACATAATTGATTTCATTTTTTTTCAGGCAGTAGGAGACTTTTCTAAAAATTCAATTCAACTGGATAAATGAGACTTACACTTATAAAAATGTGTCCTACTTAGCAAGTATCCTGGGCAGGAATCAAGTGGTTAATAAAATACAAAACACTAAAATATATATAGCACAAAAGGCCAATATCTTTCTATTCCTCATCAGGGAATTACAGAAACATCCTGACCCAGCTCTTTGGACACACAGGAGTTGCCATCCTGATTCAGATCCTTGATTAATATACTCTAGAATGATACATGTGGCAATGGCCTACATACGATCTCTCTGAGGACTGGAGAAAAAATAGACTATTAAAATGGAACAATTATAGTATCATATACTGTAACTGTTTTTTTGGTTTTCAGAGAAATTTTTAAAAAGGTTAAAAATTTTTTAATAATAAAATGCTGACCTCAAGTAAAAGGACTTCACTTCAGGAAAGTATTAAAAAAATGAAAACACATAATATTTACCATTTTATAGTTTATTTTAGCAACTGAAACTAGTGTTAAGTGTGTTTATTCAATAATTGAATTTGCTTAGAATATCTTTTGAAGGTTCAAATTTCCTTTTATCTTCTGAAGTAAAGAATGTTCCCTAATACTTTCTGGACATGCATTTTTTTAATAGGAGGAACCCTTGTATATACACGAATGCACAGGGCTAAAAGGGACAAAAGGAAAGAAAGTCCTTCATTCTCATCAAAATCTTTTCATCTTCATTGCTCATTGGATTCTAACAATTGCTCTTTATGGTAAGTATGCAAGGTATTGCTGACATAATTTTACAAATAAGAAAGTAGCTATTATAATGTAGCAATTTTATTGTGCTCCAAAACTGTTGCAAACAGAACTCAGGTCCATTGGGCATTTTTTAACAACAAACATCTTTAGCTGAGAAAACATAGCATAAACCCATACACTTGGACTGATTTATCAACTTCTAGCTTTCACATCTTGACAACTGAGTCAATACTCAACTTTGCCAAATCAAGGTAGGATTGATTTCATTTTGCATCTAACTTGATCTAGATGGAAATATAAAACTTGGCTATGAAATATTCAAGATGTGCTGCCTAGACTTGCCTTGTATGCTGTTCTTTAAGTCATTTACCTCAAAAAAGAAAAAAAAAAAACACTTGACTGAATGCTGGATTTATGTACCTACAATGTGTAAGTTGGAAGTATTCCTGCAACCTCCTTTGACTTTAACTGGTCTCTGAAGACATAACTTATATAGAAAGATGAAATCTAAACATGTAATAGTTTGAAAAATTTAAAAAGAAAATCAAGAATTTGTAAAACTTTTTCTAAAGAAAAGAAGAGATTATAAAATGTGAGAAAAATAACTTTAAAAGACCTATATAATTAGAAAAATAATTATTTGGACTGAAATGCTGTGTAATAATTTAATCTTTTATAAAAGAGATCTGTGTAGCTGAAAGTTATAAAATCATGCAATCATTTTTAAATTATTGTGTCCTTCCAATCATAATATTTGAAATAATAAGATCCAAACGATTTTAAGTGAAATCAAATTTAAGGAACTTAAGAAATTGTATATATGAAATTTGACTTTACGCATCATTTCCAAATAATATATATAGGACTCACATCCACTCTAACCTATCTGCAATTCCTCTAAGTTAAACCTTAAAAAACAAAGTATGAAAGAGCAGTGTAAAATTTTTAAATGAATCAGAATCTCAAGATCTAAGCATTCTTTTAGAGAAGATATTTTGTATCCTAACTCCTTGATATATATATATATATATATATATATATATGAATGTAAGTGAACAAATATACCAAGTTTCTTAAAAATTTTTTTTACCTCAAATACTATTTCAGTTCACAATTAGTTATCATACTGAAATGAAAAAAAAAAGATGTTGGTCTGCATTCAGGTGTTCACCTTTACTATTTCAATGAGCACTAACTTTCTTGGTATTTGAAAACCGTGGAAATAAATGAAAGTGGAAATCTTGACAACAGGCATATCCCTGGAGATAAGTACAAAAACTATAACCTCCTATCCAGGCTGAGTCATGGATTTCTTTTTGGCTATGGAAAAGCTGAGAAATTCCACTGTCTCTATTTCTTTAATTGAAAAAAAGAAAATCTTTATACTTCTTATATCTATGTATTTGTGAGAGAAATGGGCATACAATAACTTAATTCTAAAACAAGTTCAAATAAATAAAAATTCAAAGGTTTTATGATATGTTTCACCTTACTGCTGAAAATACATAATATATGAAATGTATAATTTGTTTTTTAATCAAAATGGTAGCATTTAAAATGAGATTTATGTTTATAAGCTGAGTTGGGAAAGCTAACCAAGCTTTTCTTCTCCCCTTTGAAAGGGAAGGCTTGAAAGGGTGACTAAAAAAAGAAAAGAGTAAGAATGAAAGAAAAATAATACTCAATCTAAAATAAGTGAATATTAAAATACAAGTTAATTTGTGTTCTTTCCATCTTCTTTTCACATGGCCACCTTTAGAAGTGTGTTCCAATAAAAGGATATGAAATACATATAGCATTTTAACATTCCCAGATGCTCTTATATATTGAATAAAACATTTAAATTACTAGAAATGTAGCTGAATTAGTTTATGGCACGTCTTAATTCATTTTAGTACAAAAGCTTTAAAAGTCTTATTTCATTGTGAATACAAGCTCTAAATGTCAGCCTAGTTAACTTCAAACAAATTACAATATTTAAAAAGTAAAACTTTAAAGTAAATTAATACAGATATAATTAACTGTTGATAAACCAAGAGAGCAGTTAGTTAACGTAACATTCAATTGATGTATGGAAATAAAAACTGCCAGTATGCTTCCTGGGCATGGATAAGAAATTGAGACTCTCTCATTTATTTATCCATAAAATTGCAGACAATTTAATAATAAGCGTAGAACTGTTATTCAAGGCATGAAATGCTAAATATCACTGTTTGGATACCAGAAAATAGAGGATGAAAAGAAATAGTAAGAGAAAATGTTATCAGCCTGCCCCATGAAACATTATCGAGTTGAAATTATCTTCCTGATTTTATAAGCATTTTAACTTCCTGTTCTCACTGACATTTATTAAACCATAAGTCACCTTAAATTGGTTTACTTGTATTAAAATTTAATAAGCTCTAGTATAATTTCAAAATAGAAAGACAGTCTGATATGCATTCAAATATAGGTTTGCCTTCAATTCAAAAATAAAGTGCCTTTATTAGTCAGCATAACAATAATGTGTTTATTAATTAGGCAAAGGCAAAATATGTAAGGAAACTCTACATTCATACTAACAGCAACTAAAATTATCCTAGATAGGCCACTTTCTCCATGAATTAAAATTTAAATAATTTTCTTTCTCATGGATTCCCTTTCAACTTACCCATTTCTACTTCTAAATACACAGGGGAGATGTGTGAAGCTATATGTAAAGCTTTTAAATTTTTAATTGATGTGTACACATACTACATCTATGAGTACCAAAAATAGCTTACATTCTTTTTAAAAATTAAAATGTAAATGTTAAAAGCTTTAACATTAAAAAATAATCACAAAAGAGGCAAATAGAATAATACTTGGTTTACTCCCCACTTTTCATCTCTCCATGGTCCTTATGTTTTTTTGGTCTCCTCCATGATTAGTTTTTATCCCATCATTTAAAAAAAATTATCTATTATTAGGCTGGCCATAAGTTCAGATTTGTCCTGAAATATTTGTCCCAGTGAAAGACTTAAAAGTGTCCCTTTCACCCTCAAAAATTAGCCATTTTGAATAATAAATTATATGATCATCCTACTAAATATTTTCACTATGTGCTATAAAAATGGTCATGTATTGAGTGAATTAAGTTCATTTTAAATGAACAAAAAGTTTGCTTCATTTTCTATTTCTTTCACTTAATAACAGAATTTTAGCTGGAATAATTAAATATTTCTTCATAATTACTTCATATTTAATTTTGGTAAACACTTTTGACTAATGAATTGGTAGTCACCAAAGAATTATTAATTTATTATACTTCCAATGAGCAAGAGTAAAAGAAAAAATATACATATTGCTGACACTATTCTGAGGCTGTAATTTTTAACTCAAATGCATGTAATTTAAATGTCTGTAAAATGATTCTGCCAAAATGTTGATACTGCATTTAAAAACCACAAGGGATATCATTTTCAAAGGTTATACAGTTACACTGTCAAATGAAGGGCATACAATATAGCTAGTTAGAGTAATGCAATTAGTGAACATGCTGTGCTTAGATTATCATAAAAACAATACTCGGCACGAGATAAAGATTTCATGATTTATATCACACATAAATGATACTACAAAGGACTTATATTTATGGATTATGCATTGTATCAAATTTTTCTACCCATGAAAATTTTCAGTTTTATTGAGAAGTTGTATTCTTTCATCATAAGTATACATTAAATATACCATTTCACCTAATGAAATTCATGATTTTCCTTGTTTTCACCTCTCTTATTTAGTTTCAGGTGCATAATTTGGTAAAAGAAGTTATAGTGACTCATGAATATTATGACAATAATTTTAGGTTTTCTAAACTGTTCTATCTAAAACTTGAACTCCCTTACACATCATTAAATGATCTCTTTACATTCTAATTAGATAAAGAACCTTTGAATATAATCTCCTACACTCTTTATTACAGTAAGATGATATTATAGTAATTCTTAAAAGTTATTCTAGATTCTACCAGTTCATCTGATACTGCTTCTTTTTTGTGTTGCCACTTTTAGAGATGTGTTCCAATAAAAGGATATGAAAAGCATATGTTTTCACTAATTTGTAAAAACACTTGTGCCCAAATAATGCCAACAATACAGTAAAAACCCAGCATGAATATGGATAGGATGCTAGTCTAAATATTAAAATAATTATTTTTCATGCATGATTTTAAAAACCTAATATGAAATATAAAAATATAATTATATTTCCTTCTTAAGAGTATTGTCTTTTTGGACACTGGCCTGGTTATGTGAAGATTCTGAAGAATCTATAGCCTACTAATTTTACTTTAACTTCCTATGGAGTCATTGTTTTCATCAAGAACATTTAAAAATATTCACATCCTTTAAAACAATAATTTTGCTTCTATTGCCACTTCTTAAGAAAATAATTAGAGATCTTATTTTAAGACATATCTTTAACAGTATATTATCTGCAAATATAATTAGAATAGCCTATTATAAAAGTAATTATAAAATGTATGTGTATACATATTATTTTTTCCCAGAATAGAGGTATGCATCAATAAAGAATTCTTCAACCACAGTTCTGAATACGGAGTTGAACATGACTAATGATTTTGAAGAAATTTAGGGGTCAAGGATTTGCTTATAATATAATGCTAAGTGTTAAGATAAATCCACAAATTATATATTTGGAATAAATCCGATTGCATTATGCATATACAGAAAAATACACTCAAAGATACTTATTGAGAAAATATGCAATGTATTTTTAAAGGTCTATGTAAATTTGATTATAATATATAATTTCCATGAATGTTTGGTACTTTACTGTAAGAGAACCTCATTTAGATTATCCTTTTTAAAAACAGATTACAAACATCATCAATAAGGTAATTAACCAAGAATTGTGTCCTTCCCATTTTCTATGAAGTCCAATACAATCCCTCTTCTACATTCTCCTTTCACTATCTGACACTTCCTCTAATCTCAAACTTGCCCCTTCTCCCTCAGCCATGCTGGACTTTGTGCTTTCGATTCAATATGCCAGACAAGTAGGAAATGCACTGGTCATTTTCTCTGCTCAAAATTCTTCCCCAGGGAGCTTCTGGTTGTGCTTCTTCATTACCTTCATATGTTGACTAGAATGACATATTCCCCTAAGTATTGTTGTCTACCCCTTCTACAATGTACTTTGTACATTTGTACTCAGAAAAAGTTGTTGAATGAATCTTGCTGTTCAGAAATATTTTTAATTAACACATTATCATCATCTTTATCATCAGCAACAGCAAGAATGCTAAAATTTTGCGAAAGCACAAATGAATTTCTTCGCTAATAAATTTTTAGTCATTGATATTATCCATGAAGAATTAATCATGGCCTCTTCTATACTAAGAAAATGATTGGTGGAATTCAAGTACGGATGCCAATGCTACAATGGTGGAATTAGAGTAGAGGTTGATACAATAGCAAAACTTCTCCATATGTTTGTATATACACTGCATTATGAGGTGGTAAGACAATTAGAGATAATCTAGGTTGGTCCTCTCATTTATGGGTATGGAATTTAAGACACAGCCAAGTAAAGGAAGGTCTTAGCCAGAAAAATAGATCTGCAGCTGGTATTATTACTGAGTCAATACTGCAACTGATTTTAATTCCTGATCTTACATTCATTACAATGATGTGGAATCTTTCAAATCTTCTGCTATGCATTTGATGATACAGTCAAGTACCTTGATATAATATATAGCATTTCTGCAAATACTCATACATCCTAACAGACATTTTAATGTTTGTAAACATTTGAAAACAAACATGTGCACACACATACAAATCAAAACACAAAATTTGAATTAAGGAGAAAGATTGGCTTTAATGAAAATAGCCATTAATCTTGCTTTTTTTCTAATAAAATTTTTTAAATTGCATTACTATGTGTCAATTATGTCAATTGTCATTTAGTCAATGTGTCAATTAGTACCAAAAGGGAAATTTTATCACACTTAACACACACAAACACAATTTTTCCCAAAGTTTTTTATATTTATTTTATTTTTGAGACAGGGTCTCACTCTGTCACCCAGGCTGGAGGGTTGGAGTGCAGTCTTGTGATCACTGCAGCCTAGTACTCCTGAGCTCAACCCAAACAGTCCTCCCATCTCAGCCTCCTGAGTAGCTGGGACTACAGGTGTGCACCACCATGCCCCAAATATTTTTTAAATGTTTTAACTAGTTATTGAAGGAGAGAAGCCCATGACTTCTAAAGGTTTTAAAAAAAATGGGGTGGGGGGGTAGGAGAATGATTGAATTAAGCTTTTTAACTGGATAAAATATTTCCAAAGATGTTAGTAGTTCATTGCCCTATAAGTGTTACAAATTGACAGTCTCTCTCTACACAGTTTATCTAGACTAAATTGTCTCACAGGAGTCCAACTATCCTGAAAATGTTTGAACCTGATGAAGGTGGAGGACAATCTGCCACGTGTGAGGACTTAGCTCCACTGGGGGAGCTCCCTCCACAACTTCAGCCTTGGACAGTAGTGACAGAGGGGAACAAGAGGACACATCATTATAGAAGAATTTGTGTTATTCATCCTTTTGTGTGGACAAAACTTTCATTATTCCTTTCAGGTATTCATGGTCAAATTGGGGGTTTAATAGTTAGTTATTTTATATATTTTAATCATAATATTTTAAATTGCTGAATCCAAATGAAAGGCACTGTACAGGTCAATAATGAATGCAAATCTTCTTTTTAATTTTTTTCAAGCAAACTCCTTCATAGCTACTCCTTTGATAATACAATTTTAGATTTTTTAAAAAAATGAGTTAGCTTCATTATTAAAGAATGAACCTCAAGAGCCAGTCAAATATATATAATGCAAATGTAAATCTAATTGAGATTGAGATTGTGTTTAATCTAATAGCTAGCTACTTCTAATCTGAACACATCAAAACACCTACAAAAACATTCTAAGAACCTCCATTGAAAGAAAAGAGCTTGTTTCACACACCTGTGAATAAATTTTAATTCCCTTTCTCCTCTCTCTTTCTCAAGTAATTGCTGGTGTTTTCCTGATCACTTTCAAATTCCTTAATTCCAACCATTTACCCTTCTTTAAATGTTTCAGAAGTAATTTACTTTCCAGTTGTGAAATACAGAACATAAAGTTGTTTTTAATAATGAAAAGTAAAAATGTAAATGAGAATAAAATAAAGTACCTAAAATTGCATTTTATCAACGGAATTTAGAATTGCACGATGTGCCATTTTTATTATTTAACCATTCTGAATACATATTAGAGATTACTCATTTAGTGATGGCCTGGCAGTTGGGAAACTTCCTATTTCACTTCTAATACTTAGTTATGCATTTAAAGGATGGGGCTCACTATGTTCTTAAGAGAAAATGCTGGAATTTCAAATAAAACACAATAGTCATAACAAAAAGATTTGTGAAACAGACCACAGTGCGTTCTAGGCTGAAAAATTGTAAGCATCCCTTCTTGAGTGTTCAAGAAGTTTTCGAATTATTTAATCATAGGCCATATTTCGAGGAAATAAACTTTCACTTTGCCTTGAGAATTCAAATATATGTTATTTTCCACTATCTAGTTTAACACCATTAGCAACTGTAGTTTTAAAGTCTAAACTTTATATTATTTTCATATCTCCAAATCTAGTTTTTTATATTATATCTCTTCTCTAAATTACACAGACTTTGTTTCTCCTACAGATGTCATATCCATCTAATTGCCAAGTGCTGTTACTTATTTGCAAACTACCTCAAACCTTCATATTTCCACTCAAACTGACCACCACATAAATTCTGGTTCATATCACTTTATATGGGAAATAGACCCAGACTGGCCCCTTTGATATCATCTTTGCTCTCCTACAATTTGTTTGTAGAGTCATTGCAAAAGCTTTCCTAAATTACTGCATTAATTATGTTATGCTTCTCCCTTATATTTTTGATGGTTTCCTACTGATCATTAAAAATGTTCAAATTCTCAGGTTAACATCCAGGGTTCTGCAAAATTTGGTCTCAGTCCTTTTCTGCTAACGTTAGTAATTTTTAAAATAAATTTAAAATTTTTGAATTGTTTTAGATTTATAGACAAAATGAGTTACTACAGAAAGTTCCAACTACCTCACAACTAGTTGGCTCTATTATTGACATCTTATATTTGCATGGTACATTTGTCACAATTGATGAACAAATATTTATTAATTATTACTAACATTATTACTAGCTCAATTCAACACTTTTTTTTTTCAGAGATGAGATCTCCCTGTGTCACCCAGGCTAGAGTGCAGTGGTAACATCATGACTCACTGCAACTTCAAACTCCTGGGCTCAAGCGATCCTCCTGCATCAACCTCCTGAGTAGTTTGGACTAAAGGTGCATGCCACTATGCCTGGCTATTTTAGAAAATTTTTTCATAGAGACGGGGATCTCACTGTGTTGCCCAGGTTGGTCTTGAACTCCTGCCTTCAGGAGATGCTCCTGCCTTGGCCTCCCAAAGGGCTGGGATTACAGGCAAAAGCCACTGTTCCTGGCCTAAATTCCGTACTTTACTGTGATTTCCTTAGTTATTACCGTATGTCCTTTTTGTGTTCTAGGATCCCATCCACAATCTGACTCCACAATTTTTTATTCTATATAAAATTGATTACAATTTCATCACACAAACCACACACCCACAGGTAAGATAAATTTTCATTCCAACCAACTTTTATACTCAACTCCCATCCATTATTTAATATTCATATGGTAGATTTAAAATAATTTTTAGACTGGTATTCATAACTAGCACAATATCAAACTACATATTTTTCCAAAAGCTTTGAAAAACACAAACATCCACTGAGGGAAAGTAAGCTTTAAGAGATCAGGAATTAGGCTTTAGGCTTGTTTGTACATAATTTCACACCTTCGTTCCTTATATAGTGGCACAAATAGCTGTTGACTCAATGCAAACTATATTTGAGAAGATACAAAAGAATGTATAGCATTTTGAAGAATCAGTAATGCTTTATATGTCAGTATTATTATTGCTATATAGATTTTACCTTGTCCAATATTTTTAATAGGTATTACATATTAAGAGCATAAAGACAATTATAAGAATTTACTTATAGTACTAAGAGACCAAGTTAGTTTTAGTCTCCCTCAAGTAAATTAGAAGAAAATTATAGATAACATACTAATTACTATCTATCACATCTATTTATCTTTGAAGATTTTAATAAGAATTTATATGGCAACACACTATTGACTCAACTTCAATTTCAGTATGATGTTGAACCAAAGCAAATTAAAAAATCTGACTTCTTTTTAAAGTAATTCATAATGCAGATAGATTCCCCAAGGCAAAATTAATTACTGTGCTGTATTATTAGCTGAATTTGAGTAGTTTGACATTATTGAACTGATATCAGAAAAATTTGGTTATGTTAGAAGAAAATGATAGCATATCACTCAAACATTGATGGCACTAATACATGTATCAAGCATATTCAAATGAACTGGTGATACGTAAGTAATAAATGTAGTGAAATGCATGTACAAATTTATATTCATAACACCATAGTTCTAAAACCAGTGAAGTAAAATACTTATCATCTATTCATAAAAGCATAATACTCATAATGTAAAACCAATAACTTGCCCCATGGCTTTAAAAATCTGTTTCTTTCATTCTTTTCAACATTCAACATTTTAAAAATGATGGTTAATGAAATATTGTCATATGAACACATAAATAATTAGGTTGATAAATAATGGGTTTTGAATACTTGTGTGCTAACAAGTCTATGTGAAAATGCATTATTAACTATTGTTTATACATTTTGGAATTTTAAGGACAAGTTCCTAGCAACCTGGTACAATTTCCAGGCACAATTAGAGTACATTTGAGAAGTTAATAATATTTTGGTAGATGTAGGCTAGGTGTAATTTTTAAAATTTTAAAAAGCTTATGCCATTAAACTGAATATAAATATATGTGTTTAAATAAAATAATGTGTGTTTATATATATGTGAATGTGTGCTTATAAAACAACATATATTTAGTAATCAAGTATAGAAAGTCAAAATTGCATCTCATAAGAACAAATCTAGGAGGAGATTTATTTCTAACCTCTAGGATTCTATGTAGCTTAGTTTTTAAAAATCTCAGTACATTACAGAAGGAAAGTGTGAGCAGAAACATAGTGTTGTTTTCCTCAGTGAAAATGAAAGAAAGAAACCTGGAAAACTCCGGCCTCTGGAGAGTCGTTCTTTTAACTTTTATTATTTTAATATGGGTTCTCCTATAAGTTTAAATTCAAGGGTATCTCACCTCGTGCCCCAGAGGCACATTACCCCTCTCTTTAGAAACTATTTAATATGTGAGTAATTTGCTGCTATTCCTTTTCTTGGTGATGTCTTCTTATTGCTTTCAGCAAATCTTTCATTTCTATCATTATTTTCTACACATCTCAATTGGTTTAGGTGAACTTACCTAAATTGATGGTTTTTAAATCAGTGCATATATATGGCTAACTGAATCAGCATTTCACAAATAACTGCCCACTACTATCTGGGTATTCAAATTGAATGATTTAATTAGAAATGTGTCTTCTGGGTACAGTAATAGGAAAGGCGGTTTCTGAGTCCTGAGGAATATTTACCAGCGTCACCTGAGGTCCTTATTATATTTACTCACAGGATAAGCTGTTATTTTGCTGATTTGTCTCATGTTTCACAGTGTTGATTTGATTCACTATTTTCCTGAAGATGTCAGCTTACTGTAATTTTTGTATATACTTTATAGTACAATATCAGTTAAAGGCAATCAAAACCTAACCTAAGTTTTTCTATCTTTCTCTCAAGATTACATTATATTCTGAGCATCTGCAGTCACATATTTCAAGTAAAGGAGTCATACGTTTCAAAATGGATTGCACTCATTCTTTGCAAAGTCCCGATTCTCTTTCCACCCTTTCTATTAAATCATTTGTTTCCTCTGCATATTGTTTTTGCCAGCCAATACTACTTAACAGCCCAACTGTATTGTTAAAACCTGATGGAAGTTCTTAATACTGAAAAACATGATCATTCTATCAAGGGTTTCCAACTCCCAGTCAAGATGTTAATAAGGCCTTTATTCTCCAAATACAATCATCCCCATGACTCCCTCTTAAATACCACCTAGGCTGGTTAGAACTTCATTATTTCTCACATGGGCTATGGCCACTGTGAAATAATAAAAATACCTATGAAATTAGAATTAGACATCCTAAGCTAAAATTTTGGCTTAGTCACGCAAAAGCTCTAGTAACCTTAGAATGGTTATTTCCTCTATTCAAAATGAAAATAAATATGCCTGTCTTATGAAACTGTTGAAATTTTTGTATGTTCCCTGAGGTAAGTTAGATAAGTGTACATAATTCTGTTCTTTGAATAGTCATTAAATGTTGTATCTGCTACTGACTTTAACAGAACTACCCTAAGGCTTAAAAATTATTAATAGTTTGATATCATGTCATTTACCGGATCAAGATCCTTTAACATTTACCCATTATCAACTTCAGGTTCTCTAAATTCTTCTGCTTAACCTGTGGTCTTAATACTCGATCAATCTTTTTTTCTTTTAAACTAGTCATTGGGAATACTTTGGAGATTAACAGAAATATTTTCTTCCCCACACAAAGCCTGCAGACTACTGGTGGAGACAAGTTGGTGCAAAAACAACAACAACAACAACAAAACAGTCTCAGCACTAGACGCCTCTTTCCTAAGAAAGAAAAGAAGAAAATGCCTCAATGGCTGGTTGTAGAGTGAGCTAGCAGGGGTGACAGAGAGGATTTGTTGGCCAAGGTTAAAAGTTTACACTGTTTTGGAAGTGTTGTGCATTGTAATTGGAAGAGTGAAATGACCTGATTTACATCGCAAGCAGATCACTTTCTTGCTAATTGTTGGTGATTGAGTAACAGGACAACAGAGAATACATGTGACCACCTGAGAGGGTATTTTGAGTAAGAAGGGTAGCCTGGGTAGGGAGATACACTGGGGGTGAGTGAACTGAAGAAATTTCAAGTAGAACTAGGGTGTGGTAACAACACGGCTTAATGACAGATGTTAGCATGAGGAAGAGAAAGGAAATAGTAATTCCTTTGTTTCTAACTGGAGTGACTAGGTAAATTGTAGGAGTATAAGAAGGAAGATGGCTGGGGAGGGCTTGGGATAGACGTGAAGATAAAATGCTGGCAGGTTTGGGATGGAGGAAAAAAAATGGAGTTTAACCAAGTATGTGGGGTTTTTTGTTGTTGTTGCTGCTCTATTTTAATTGTGCAAAAACTTTGATCAAGTACCTAGAGAACTGTGAAATCTCTCATGAATACAGATGGACTACAGAGTTTTGTACATTGTAGAGTCTCATTAAAGGGGAATTAAATTTGTGTGTATAATGTAGATATCTTGGAAGAGTCTGAGATAGTTCTAAACATAACACTCATGCTAGCACTTAATAAATACAACATTTAAAAAATAAAAAGTGATCTTATTTATTGCTCATAATTAGCAGAAGTACCATTTGGCACTGAGAGGCACTGAATGGGGAGATAGACCATATATTTAGAATTGTCTCATTATATCTTGTTTTCACCAGTGGCTATATATTAATAAGCTAAGCCTCATATATAAGGGTGGTTTTAGGAGTATATAGAAATTAAATTATTTTTAAATGGTGTTAATGTGTTAACACAGAGCTTTTTGTGTCTTCTATCCATTTTCAGTAAGACTGACCAGGGTTAACTGCAGAATCTGTAGCAATAAACTAGAGATTATTCTGGGTAAAGGTAAGTAATCTATATAAGCACCAAAACAGAATAAAACAAAACCAAAAAACACCAGATATGAGTCTCAGGAGTAAATGCTAAGCAAGGTAAATCAAAAGAATAATACTAATAAATAATCACAGTTAATCATATGACTATAGGTGGTGCTGAAGTACTCTCCATAAATCTTTAAATTTAGTTATAAAGAATAAGGTTCAACTCACCTTTTAAAAGTAACATATCTTATTTCCAACTTAGAAATATTGATACAACTGTTCTGCAAACTCTCCTTTGCACTTAATCATCTAAGATTGTAAATAAGTAAAAGGGATGAGAGTGGAAGTTTAAGTACAGACATGGCATGAGACAGACAACTGCTGCACTCCTAAAGGCATCAAAATGAGCGAGTTACCTCAGTTCTCTGATGCTCAGGTTTTCATCTCTTAAAGGTGGTAACAGCAATATCATCAACTTGAGGAGAGATGTGTTTAAAAGCACTTGCTTGCGACAATGCTTGACACATAGTAGATGTTTAATAATTTTTTCTTTACATTACCAATTATTACTAGCTGATCTTTGTTATCTGATTGAATAACTTCATATGGTTTGTTGTATATTTATACTCTTAAGAATTTCATTAGGAATTATATTTAACATAGAAGTATCAGCTCTGCTGTAAAAATGAGTGGGAAAAATCAACTTTGGGTATCATCAACAAACAGAAATCGATATTGCACAATATTTCTTATGAGTTATGCTTATTGTTCAGAATAATTTCAATAAAAGTCTTGGGCACAGCAATTAAATGACATGATATAATATACAAAGTTCAGAGAGTTTTAAACATGCCACTGTCCTTTTGAAACTTGATGAATGATCAGCTTGGCCATCAAGTTGTTTGCATTTTCAACCCTCCTCAGGTGCACATGTACCCTAAAACTTAAAGTATAATAAAAAAAAAATCATTCTAAAGCAATAACCTGACTAGGTAACCACACTGAAAATAAAGTTTTGTTGCTGTCTGTAAAATAAGATTTAAACTCGTTAGTATGGCATTCAAGTCCTTCATAATCTGACCCTAACAAATTCTTTTGGTCCAGTTTATCTCCATGATAACCCTACACTCCAATAAAAATATTTTGATTTATTTGCCATTTCTAAATTATGCTATGGCTTGCTACATCTCCACTTCTTTGATGATGCTATTATCCCGCCTTTAAACACTCAATTCACTTTTTAAATTACTCTCAGTTTTTGTAAGTTTTATATTTTCATCTGATAGACAGTCCACTTTCAAGATCGTATTACAAGCTCATGTAATTTGTGAAGTCATTCCTTATTTACTTCTCTAGCAAAATTAATTATATATACATACACACATACATATTTATATATATATATATGTAGATATAACATTTACCTAATGGAATTACAGATAGATCAATAGAGAGTTGATATCCTCAAAGACAAAACACTTTGAAGGCAAACAATGTCATATACATGAGTATATGTAATTTTTACTGAATTACTGAAGTAATATTTACTGAATTACCTTATCCATGTATGAATTAATGATAATGAGACCTGGCCCTGAACAAACATCAAAACATAACCCCATGAGTAAAGAAAATATTCTCAGATTTATATTTACTTAAGATGTAATCTATTGTCTATTGTTTTCTAACAGAGTGCAGTAATGCTTGCATACATCATGAAGTTATTCTGTATGCATTAAAATTTTCTCAGGTTTTCTTGCCATCTCCCATTAAATACTACAAATACTCTTAGCTTGTAAGGGTAAAAGGTCAGATATCTGTATAAAGAATATTATGTAATGAACACGGTAATTCAAATTAGAAAGAAAATGATTCAGAACAAAAACAAAACAATTTCATCTTTCAATATGAATTTTCAAATCCTCAAAGAAAATAAAATCTAGGGCAGACAAATCAATTTCCATGAAATATATATTTTGTTTCAAAAATAAACCCAGTGTCAGAGGTAAGGGTGTATTTGTTATTGGTCTGCAAATCCTAAAAGTGCTATTCAAAATGATCCTATGCTGTGATTATACATTACCATGTGCCTAGGTTACTTTTTAGCTTCCCAAAGTAAATATTTATCATATTTACTTTGGCTAGACTAAATAGTCCATCACCCCTTATACTCCTTTTTTTTTTTTGTATTCAGTCTGAAGATTCCTAACTGCACAATTCTATTATGATTTCATAGAATATTGGATTAAATAATGTGTCTTCGTAGTCGATAATTTTTTTCATTATACAACTGCTTAAATCATCATCAATATAACTTGTCAAGAATTTTAAAAAGGAAAAGCTGTAACATGCAAATTAAATATAAGACTGCATATTCCTTATTCATAATTTTAAAATAAAAAAATCCATATCTTGAAGTAACTTTGTTACTTTTTTGGTGAATAAAACTGACTTGAACTGACATAGGTTACTTATATTATTAGTTTACCCTATTTAGTGCGAGTATTCAGATATTTCACTACACAATGTTAATGTGTTTGATTATGGATACTGTCACAGAATCCAGTGGAAATGCTACATAATGTATGTATATGAACTATAGCCCCTTTCTAAGATCAGAAAAATTCTTAATTCTGGAAAGCATACAGTTTCAAGAATTATATGCCTAAATATCATAACATCAATTTTCAAAAATTCATGAGAACCATGAGACGGAAAAGTAAAGAAAAAATTAATTTTAACATGTTAAAATATTTGGTTTGATATATTCCATGCCCCTATTTCTTGTTTTTTACCAATTATAAATATGAAATAATGGCCACACGTGTTTTTGACGCATGTGCACCTTGTGGTAGAGTATCTTGGTAATTTTCTTAGCTCCTCTGAATTTTTACATATCTGAGTGTCATTTATATAAGTGCTTATGTGAAATAAGAGATTAATGGACTTTACCCTGCACTTTATAGAAAAGATTAGAGCCACCTATTATAAACTACCAGCAATTGTTTACCCTTTTCTTCCACATCTCTGTTTATGTTTTCAAATTTATTTCTTCATTCCTTTCTTTACAGAAGAGTTTATCTTTACTTTAAAGCTAGCCTCCCCATTATGCTTCAATGAATATCCTTTTTCTAGTCCAATCCTTCCATATTTCCTCCTAACTGGATCAACTGCCTCAGTATATTGATACTCAGTTTTCTTGAATATTCAAAGCTTTTTTCATCCATAACAATATCTTCCTTAGCTACCCCAGCTCCCTCTCCATTACTTGCTACGTTTTCTTGAAACAGGAGGAAACCTTCTGTCTCCGATCTCTGACCATAATTCCTTGGCATATCCCTCTTTAAAAAAACCTATTTATCATATACAATATGATGTTTCGAGATATATATATATATATATGGAGATAGAGAGAGAGAGTGAAATAGTTAAATCTGGCTAATTAAAAACTATATTGCTTCACATAGTTATTATTATGTAGGGAGAACACTTAACATCCACAGTCTCTGCATTCTTCAAGAAAACAACATATCATCTTTAACCATAGTCACCATGCTGTACAAAAGATCTCTTGAACTTATTTCTTCTAACTGTAATTACATATCCTTTGACTAACATCTCTCTAATCCTCTAGGCCGGCCTCTCAACCACTTCAGCCTCTGGTAACCACCATTTGACTCTCTACTTCTATGAGATCAGTATTTTTGGATTCCACCACATGAGTGAGATCATGCAGTATTTGAGTTTCTGTGCCACGATATATCCTTTTGAAATCTCTTATCTTTTAACATCTTAACTCCTCTCATGGAAATCAGGAGTGACCTGTCAGTTGTCAGATTGTATAGATGTTTCTTGAACTTCATTGTGTTAGATTTCTCTAAAGAACCGACAGTGTGTCTTCTTGCGTAGCTTCGGCCACTGTGACTATGTAGCTTCCTACCCCTCTCCTTCCTTACTGACTATGGCTTTCCCGTTCTTACTGATAACTCTTCTGTCTCTGTCCATTCTCCTCTGAATACATCAAACAATTCTTTGAAACACTGTATATATATCTTCTATATTTCATGCTTGTTTATGCTGTTTAAGTTTCTCCTTATCTCTTAAAGTAAAATTCTGTTCATCTCTTAAGTCCTAGCTCAAATTTTAACTCTTACATGAAATCTTCATTGAATAAGTATTAGTATTCTATCCTTCCTCTTTAAAAGCCCTAGAGTTTTCATTTATACCTAAATAACAATACATTATTTTCTACATTTTACTATATTTTCAATATATATTTCATTTTCATTACTAGACTGTAAATTCTTTGAAAATAGGTTTCATAAGTCCCAAGAGAGTCTAGGGAATTGGCTAGGAATCCTCACTGGAATGTAAGCTCTATGTGAGCAGGAATGTTTGTTTCACTTACTACTCAATCCTCAGCACTTGAAACGGTATCTGTCACATGCCAGAAATGCAATATATATTTGTTGAACAAACATTCAACATAACAACTAAGACAGTCCCATATGCATAGTGGGCACAAGACAAAAAGTTAGTTAAAAATTCAAAACATATTTTTTTCAAGTAAATGTTTCTTCTTTCAAAATAGTGAGCTTGAAAAGTTATACATTGATGCCAGTCATGCATGGTCACATATTTGGGACTGCCCTCAGGACTAGTTTGTGAATCATAAAATACAACCAGCTCAGTATATTTTATTTTAAATAGAAACAGCAGTATTCAACCAATATATTGTCATAATTTGGCTATCAATTATACTTGGCTGGAAATGAAATGTAAAAACTGTGGGATTCAGTGAAATATCTCATCTAGGGGTCTCTAGATTTTGGATTCCCACAGAACATACTGAGTATTTTTCTTGGCAGGCTGAACTATTACTGACCTCTTCCTCTTCCTAGCTTCTTAACGTTGTGTTCTATGGGATTCTGTTATGAACCCTATTATCTTTTCTCCCAATATTCTTTCTCATTAATTTACTTGGATTTAAGTATGCTTCTATGCCAATAACTTGCAAGTTTATACCTCCTGACCTCTCTGATTGCCAAACTGTAATTGCCAGTTGCCTCTTCTGATACTTCCATACGGGTGCCTCAGACATTTCTAACATGTCTAAATCTAAACTCTTCTTTATAAAGCCCAAATGTTGTTCCTGCAGTGACCTCACCCTGTCTTCACCACCTTAGTAAACTGCACTACTGTTTAGGCAGCTACTGAAGTCACAATCCTATGATACAATAACACATCAAGTTTTATACTACCTAATTGTTTTCTGAAGGTTTTCTCAAAGATCTGGTTAACTGAAGTTGTTTTTTTGTTTTTTTCCTAGCATCTCTGGAAAAAAATTTCAAATGTTCCACATTACTGAGTCAATTCTAATAAACATATAAGCATCAGACATTAAGAGATAATTAACACATACATAACATTAAAACTTAATTAAGGCATTAAATAATTCAATTAATATTCCATTTAGTTAGACATTAAGTCATTTTTTTCCTTTAGAATTTCTTATCCCAAAAACTAATTTCAAGTAAAATACTAAGCAATCCATTATCATTATAAAAGTAGTGGCATATATCAAAACAAGTTTTTAATCGCTTACTTTGTTCATTCCTCCTACCTCTTCACTACTCTGGGCCTCATTTTCTCTTGCCTTGGACTACTTCCCAAGCTTCCTAATTTATTCCTCTCTCCCAACACATTGCCAGAAACATCATCTCTTTAAAATGCAAGTTTGCAATGTTACCTCCTGAGCACCCCTAATGGCTCTCTATCAGGCTTTGCATCACTGGGCTTCCAGCCACCTCCCTAGTCTCATATCTGCCATTCCTAGTCTCACACATCGCTACTCATCTGCACCTCACAGCAACTTGCCATACACTGGTTCACGTCATCTGTGCTTCTGAGTGTTTCCTGTCATCCTCCCTCCTCTGACTTTACTCTGCCAAGTGTGCAGAAGGGTCTGCTCAAATGTTTCTTACTCCACAAATTCTCTTTGATTCCCTAAATCTGGGCTGGGTTTTCATTCTACATGAATTTTGTGGACATGTCTTACTGCACTGACCTCATAGTTTATATGTCAGATTCTCTTATGACAGTGTGAGCTCCCTGAAAACCCAGTCTGTGCCTCAGCTCATCTTTGTATTCCGTGGTATACCTGTTTATTTTAAAACAGTGAATGAATAAATGAATGAGTTAAAAGCTTTCCTGTTTCCATGATTCCTTACAACACTAAGGAAAGAATCAATGAGCAACAAATAAGAGAAATAGAGATATTGTGCACAGACTGACAAAATATATACATCCTAGTGTTTGGTGATAGCACAGTAGTGTCAGTGGGTACGTCTGGATTGAGACATTTTAGCGCTTTCATTCAATATATGTTAAAGGATCAAGAATCAAGCTCTCAAAAATGACCACTTACATCTTCAGATTTCCTTCAGGTAAGGAAATAAATGGTGCTGCTACAGATATGATGTGCCTATTTGGAGACTTTGAAGTCTCTATTGTGTGTTACGGGAATGGCTTGGTAGGATGGAAAGAGTCCTACAGTGGAAAACCACAAACCTGGAACTAGTATTGCCTTTGCCACTAACCTGAAGACTCAATGGAAACTGTCTGTTTTCTTATAAAATGGAGGCGTTATATTTCAAGGTTTCTTCTCACCATAATGTTTTGTAATATGGCTTTTAAAAGAACAGAGGACTTCTAATATTGGAACATGCTCTCAAAATGAAATAAGAGAAAATTTCTGGGGAATGTTTTAGACCTATTAAATTAACAAAATTATTTCCTTAAGTTCTTAACTAACTAATGCTGATAACTAGTCTGAATTTTAATAGTGTACGGGCACCCTCCTAGTTCCATAAAAGCGTACTTAATAATAGTGCATGATTTTTCTTAATAAAAAATAAAAAAGGTGGGCACAGTGGCTCTAACTGGTGACCCCAGCACTTTGGGAGGCTGAAGCGGAAGAATTACTTGAAGCCAGGAGTTCAAGAGCAGCCTGGCCAATGAAACAAGACCCCATACCTATAAATAAATTTGAAAAATTAGCCAGGTATAGTGGTGTGTGTGTCTGTAGTCCTACTTTGAAGGCTGAGGTAGGAGGATCACTTGAGCCCAGGAGATCAAGGCTGCAATGAGCTGTGATTGCAATATTGCACTCCAGCATGGGCAACAGAACGAGACCCTGTCTCTAGAAAGAAATAAAATGAAATAAAAAATAAAACAAAATATTGTCATTATAATAAAACTAAAAAAAGGACTTTTTTATGTTGATATGTTGAGATATTTACTTGAAAGATACAATAATTATAAGGCAGGAGAGGGCTTTTAGGACATTTGGAAATATAGTCCCAGCATTCCCTAATTTTAGCAAAAGCAAGAGATTCTCAAAATCACATGAGTCCGTAGTAAATCATGCAACACTTGTTAGGAGGCTTTACAATGTGCAACAAATATGAGAATCATAAAATCTCTCTATTTTCATGATACCAGCTGCTGGATTCTAGAAGCAGATGTTTGCACATGTGAAAAATATATTGAAACTTTTAAAGTTAGGTAAACTGTGGGGGCAGTTGCAAACTTTGGTAAGCAAAAATAAACTGAAGCTGCATACAATTTGGGAAACACTTTATCCAGAAAACATAAACCGAGATGAATTTTGAAAGTCTTGAAAGACAGCACAGGGGGGTGGGAAAATTGACACTGAGAAGCTATTAGATAAATGCATTCTAGTAAAACCTTACAGGGCTTGAAAATAATTGGAAGTCCTGGCAAATACTGCAGTTTCTTAGATGCCATCTATGTGAAAACAACAGTGTCCTTAAACATTTCTAAGTAATTTTTTTTTCTGGTGTTAAATATTCAACAGTTTCTTCCTGTCCCCCATATATGACAGTAATTTTCTATTTCCTTCCTAAGACAAATTTACTATTAATAAGCTTGCAGCAGCATTTCTTTTAAAAATTGTTTTCAGAGACTGGCATATGGCCACTACAAGGAGGGACTCAGTCATCACCTTCATGTTCTTGGTTACGTGGAAGTGGTTTTTTGGCAGGCCAGGTCTCACTAACAGCTGAACAGCAGGCCTCTGTGACAAATGTTTCAGCACTGATTGAGTGGTTAGGTTAAATATTAAAAGCTGAAAGAGCCAGTGCCCCTAAACAAAGGCTGGAATGTAACAAAAGCCCATCAAGTCTTGAGTAGGCCTTTCCTGGGCCTTAAAGCATAGCAAGATAACAAAGGAATTCTTAACAGGACACGTTTAGGATTAAACAGGTTTTACTGGGGGTCTGAAGAAACTTCCCAGACCTCCACAAACAAGTTTTATTGGAGGATCTAAAGGAACTTCCCAAACCTCCATGATTTAGCAGGAGACAAGATGAGGGTAATCACCCCCGGCACCTGGACCCATTTAGATTAAGTACATTTACTGAGGCTCCAGAGGAAGGTCTTCAGGACTCAGACCTTAGTTATAGATTAGAAGAAGTTAATCACTTATGTCTTTAGACAAATGCACACTTACACATAGATGTATAGCTTAGAGGTTATATAAGCTCTGGAAAACTTTGTAATTTAGACTTGGTCTGGTGATACTTTCCCAGCCTTCTCCCTATACCCGGTTACAGAAGTAAACTCTCTTCTTTCCCAGTTAGTCTGCATCTTGCTATTGGGCCACAGGAATAAGCATCTCGACCCTCTCTTTGGTTTGGGAAAAGTTTGGCTGTTGTCTGTTATGGGAAGGTCTGGGAAAAGATCTCGACTGCTTAATTGGAAGAGTCAGAACTACAGTAACCATTCCACAGACTAGAACACAGAAAGAAACAGTTCTACTACTTTTCTATTTAGTGTCAGTTATAGGGAAGATTGTAAAGTAACTGGTTTGTGGTCAGCACCTTAAACCTCTAGCTCACTAACTTCACACAATCTGAATGTGTGGTTCCACACATTCGTCCCCAGGTGGGCACGAGCCTCAACTTCTATTTCCTTGCTATAGCTTTCTTAAATAGTTCCTTCATGGTAAAATACAGGTTGTGGAAAGTTTCTTAATCGGTTTCATTTCCAAACATAATTAGAAATATGATGAACTTTCAGTCATTATATGGGGAATTAGAAAGGGAGAGTTGAGGGAGTGAAACTCAGAGCCTCCCCCACCCTTACCTCTAGGCAACTGCGAAATTACATAACAAATACTGCCCTCATTTAAACTAGCCTAAGCCTATTTTGATTAAGGTGCCCCCAAGCAAAATTCAAATACTAACTTAAAGAAACAAACAAATATTTATTAGCTTTACTTTCTGTGATTTTCTAGAATGTTCTAGGAAGGAAAAAAAGGCCATCCTTAAGGAAGAAATTTAGTTTTAGAACTGGAATTCACTAAAACAAACCAAAGATATTTGATATTCCTATTACTGGCAACTTTTCATGGATTTTAAAAATTGGATTTGAATCAGGAATTTCATTATGAAATTTTAAAACTCAATGTAATTTAAGAAGACAGATTTTCTAACAGTAGAGGCAGGAGAAGGAAGCCATAGAATTAAATAGAAAACTAGAAATTACAAGGCAATTAAATAAAATGAAAAAATGAGAAAGAATTAGAATGGTAATCCCTGGGAAGCAGAGAAGTCCTTGAATCCAGTCACCGGGAAGGGACTGACGGCCGGCCACCCAAAAGGGTGATGTTAGAATTGGTGATGATCCCACCGCCACTTCTGGCACAGGTTGCAACAGAATTCTCCTGTACAATTCTATTTCAAGGAGTTGGTTTCAGTCAATTATAAAGATAGCAGAAAGCTGATAATCCTTGGAAAATTGGGAACTATCACTTAGCCATCATTAAGGAGCTCAGAGAAATTGCTGGTAAGCACTTATAAGGACTGTACATTTATTAGTTAGAAATCAATGGAGACTATTAAATTTTAGAAAATGCTTATTAAATCTTTTCATGAAGAAAAAGTTATTGCTAACAATCAAAATAATTTACAGGGCTTCTAATGGATAGAAATTCAAAGATACAGTACTTACTTAAAGAAGCTAAAGTGTGAATAATATTCTGAGGCTTAAGAAAACATTAGCTTCATAAACTCTTAAAAAAGTTTTATTATTTATAAAACTATAGGTAGCTCTTCTTTACAGAACTAATACTATATTTATTTTCATTAGGTCTTGATATAAATCAGTTTATCTTCTTCCAAAATATAAAATCATTAAAAAAAAGGATCAGATATATTTTTCTCAATATTCCATGGTTTTCTTTTCCCATTTTTAAAATAAACAATAATTTATTAGGTAAAAATACATATTTACCTTTTTATTAAGTAATATCCTATTATGGTACTATACAACTTCCAAAATATTTGGAATTTTTTAATCTACCTTCCTACCTACTATATTTTATAAAGGATGAAAGGGGGGTATGGAGAAAATCTAATTAACTATTTGAAAACTAGGGCACAAACATGCAATAAAATGGAAAGAAACTAGATACATTCTTTGATTTTTTTCCCATCACACTAAAAGAAAAAATAACCTCTTTCTACTAACGGGTTTATTAACATTACATCCTTAAAGCTGTCTTCAGCTCTAGTACAGTACATCACACCTTCAATTAGCTGCTGAATTCTTTTAAATTATTTTGCCAAAATAGTGGGCAATACATTACTTTTGCGATGTATTTGGAATTAAACTAATGGTAGCAAAAATACACAAATATCAGGAACGGAACAAATAGAAAAAATTTCACTGCACAGAAGATGAGAAAGTAATATTTGAGCTAATAAAATAAAATCTCAAAAGGCCTAAGTCATTTCCAAAGGAAAACCATTATTAACAAAGAAAGTATTGAAAATGTGAAGATTATTTTTGAAATTGATTTTCATTTCTAAATTAAAGAAATATTTCAATTTAAATATAAAACATTATTTTTCTAAAATGAGATCATTTAAATTGGAAAAAATATATATATTTTTAAATTATATTCTAATATAAAAATATAAAATATAATATGCTACTGAATTTTAATTGAAATCTGTGTAAGGCACTGCTACACATTTTTAGTAAGAGAAAAAGACTGAGAAACACATCTCCTTTCATTTAGCTCTAGTTTTTTCTCGTAAGAGAAAATTTACTTTTGTTTTTTAGGGTAATTTTGAAACTATTAAAATTAGGGTTTAATATTTGAAATCTACATGAAATAATTATTTGGATATGGCTGTCATCATCTCTCATCTATAAAGGAAGTTGTTATTTATATGTGTGCTTGACTTAATTGTGGAATTTTCTCTCATGATGTTTTTCAAATAGAATAAATAAATACATTGATCAAGACAATAGCTGCTTGCTTGTTTAACATTTTAACATTATTTCTGAGTAAACTACTCATTACGTGAATAGCATAAAACATTGTTTGAAAGGGCAGGCTTTGAATGTATTTTTTAAATTTCTATACTGCCTTCACTACTTATAACTACAGAATATTAAAAAAAGTTGCTTAATAGTTACTTAATATCTACTGAATGTGAGAGTAACAGTACTTTCCTACCTATAAATGCCATGAGAATTAAATAGGGTAATATGTTTCAGGTACTGAACAAAATACAGTAGTTCAATCAATGCATATGAGATATTTTGATCTTCTCCCCCTTGGTTTGCACACATTAACTGGTTTTTACTTACTCTGATGTTTATTCAATATATTCTCATAGCAATGAGTCAAAATGGTTATTTGAGCAAAGTCTCTCATTTGGAGACAAGGTTGTGTAGAAAATAGAAAAGTTAGAGCCATATCCAGACCTAGGATTAAACTCCAACCTGCTGTGCCAGTTAATAAACTTCGAGTTAGCTTATTTTTTATATGTAAGATAAAAATAAAAACTTTTTAGAGTTTGCAGGTTAAACAACCTAATGTTGAAATTGTTTGCACTGTTTATGGTAAGTGGTAAGAACTCAATAAATTGTAGTCTCCTCCTCTAAATCTAGATGAACAGATACAAACATAGATAGTTGAAAGACAGACTGACAGATAGATAAAATAGTTGACATAGACAAAAAAGATAGATAAAGAGATATATAGATGAGAAGTAGACAAAGAAATATAGGAGGACAGAAGACACAGAAAGATGAGAGGAGAGAAAGCAAAGGAGGGGAACATGAAGAGGGGGAAGGGGAGAAATAGAGAGAGAGAGATCACCCATCTGTAATTAGTTCCATATGATTACTTAAAGGCAGGCTCTAATTCAAATTCATTTTTGACATTCCTGAATGATCTAACGTTTCCTTACATATTCAAAGCACTTACTAGATATTTATTAAATGAATGAATAAATCAAATCAATGGATCAATCAATCAGTGAAATATTATTTTAACTAACTTTAAAAAATGTAGGGACATGGATGAAGCTGGAAACCATCATTCTCAGCAAACTATCGAAAGGACAAAAAACCAAACACCGCATGTTCTCACTCATAGGTGGGAATTGAACAATGAGAACACTGGGACACAGGAAGGGGAACATCACACACGGGGCCTGTTGTGGGGTGGGGGGAGCGGGGAGAGATAGCATTAGGAGATGTAACTAATGTAAATGACGAGTTAATGGGTACAGCACACCAACATGGCACTTGCATACATATGTAACAAACCTGCACGTTGTGCACATGTACCCTAGAACTTAAAGTATAATAAAAATATATATATATAAATCATGCTTTAAAGTGGAAGCCAGTCTTTTACACATAATTCATAAATTATTTAAGTGTATCTTCTAGATTCAAAATAATTTTCCTGTATTTACTAATAGGGATGTGTGGCATTCTTACTCTTAGACTAGCAATTATTTCCTGCGCAATATTATTTAAAATTTATGCCATCTTTGGCATTTTTTAAATAATAATAGCCACCTTCCCTAGACTTCAATTTTCAATATCAAAATTGAAAAAATAGCTTTTTAGTATAAATTGCATTTTCATACTTAATAAATAAGACCACTTCCTTTCTCTATAAGAGAATATACATAAAATTCACTTCTGTCAAATACATTTCTAAGTTAGTGGTTGGCATGAAATTAAACAGTTAATGTGAACAGCAGTTTTTTCTTGTTGCTGTTTTTGTTGGTTTGCTCTCTTTTTAAAAAATTAACAGAGTTTCTCATAAAGATACAAAAAACTCTTCACTTACTTTAGGCATTTTCATAAGTAGTAGCCAATCAATTATCTATCAATCATTTTATGTGTCATTCACATAGATGGGTCTATCTCATGCAGTGTATTTACATATCAAGTTTCAACAAGCCATTATTGAAAATGTATCTCAAAGATTCATATGTTTTATAAAATCACAGAGCTACAACCCATCATGACCATTTAAGTCACGTCAAGTAAACATATAAATTTTCAGAAAATGGGAATAATAAATAAGGATTCACATTGCTTTTGTTAAAAATAATTTTTAAAACAATATTGCACTATTAACACAGAAAGTTGCTATGGTAAAAGATCGTGAAAAAAGTCATCGGTCTAGCAATTACTACTTAGAAAACAGCTTTTTCTGAGGTCAACCTTAAAATAAATTCAGCATAATTATATTTATTCCAAAAATATTAATATATATTTAAACTGAATATATATTAATTTTGTTTTAAAAAATATATATAAATAAGTATATATAAACATATATGTATATACTTATATATATGGGTATATTAATATTTGCATTAAACATTTTAACGACTAGAAAACTTAACACTGTATCTGTTGAGGTATATATATAATAGAACAGGCTGCCCTACAGGCAAAAATTAACTTTCTATAAATCATTAATCAGTAAATGACTTAGAGGTTAGGTTCACATATTTTAAATGTAGTTTCTCATTCAAAACAACTGAAATAATAAGTCTAAATATATTTACATACTACTAATGTTCTGAAGACTGTTACTATATCAACTACAGTTCTTTTCACTTTTTACAATAGGACATAAAAAACCTATTCACAGTTTTTAGTCTTATACATAAGAGTAATTTAATTTACTTTGGATGAATCATTAGCAAACATTTTATTGTATTTGAAACAACAAAAACATTAAAATTAATAAAAAGTCATGAGATGAATAAATTAGAGATAAAATTTTACAAAAATATATGTATTTAAGACACATTGCTTTATTACCCATTTGATATTCATGAAGCCTTAGATGTAAATCAAAAGAAAGCCAAAACTCTGGTTTACCTATGACTCTTGAAAAACTATTTTGAAGCTAAAATCCAAACAAAAAATAAATCAACAAGCACTGCTAAGAGCTATAAAATTCCAATGATTTCATTTTATCTAAAAAGTGTTGAATTTACTAATTTTTATACTGTAAATTCATAAATATACATATCTAGCTAATATATGCCATATTTTCCTTGTTAGTATAACCCCAAATAGGAAAGGGTGGGAAATGTCTATGAAATAAGAACAATCAAGTGACTTTGGTCAAGTTCTTGTTTTAGGATTAATGAATGATACCCAGGGCCTTCGTTTTTCGTTTTTGACTGTGTTATTCAATGGTTGCTTTTTTTCTGGGGCAACCTCAAGATTTGCTGTTTCTTTGATATATTATAAATGGTCCATTCCACTGTGATAAACTGCAACTCTAGATCTAATAGGTTTATAATGACTGCTTAAGCTTTACACTTTGTAAGCATTGGAAGACTTCACTCACCTTGTTCAAGTGGTTGGCTTTTAGTTGAAGTAGTTTTCATCTTGAGTGCCTCCCTAACAGACATGTCACAGCAGGAGCCTTTGTTAGTGTCTTGGTCACTGTCAGCCTGATCACTGTCCCCGTGCCCACTGTCTCTCAGGCTGGCTCTTTCTGGGTCCTTAAACGTGGAGCTACTGAAATACATATAAAGAAAAAGAAGAGAAAGTGTTGTCTCTACTAGTTTGAATCTGAAGTGTAGTCTCTTGCAAAGCAATTTTGACACGAATGCAAATGGGGAAGCTGAGAAAAGTTATTTAATAGGCCTTACCTTTGAACAAACTGCTGCCTGCTGCCCATGTAATTGGGCTCTGCGGGAAAATTGTCTGTCTGTGAAAGAGAAGGAAAAAAATACGTATAGTTGTACACTGGACAAATCTCCTGCAGAGCAACAAGATTTCCTAGTGGAAAAATGATTAATAATTCAAAAATTCCCTTAATCTTCAGATTTGTACATTTTAATTAAATTGGAAATTGCTGACATGTAATTATGTACTCAGAACAATTAAATGATTCCGGTCCACAAATTACCTGTTAAAGTAAACAATGAGCCTGTCATAACTGGCATTCTCTTTTAGTACCAGGATGGATAACACTGGCTGTGTTGTTTCATTACTTAGATATTAAGATTGAATATTTGTGGGAGGAGTGGGAAAATAACCTAATTTCTCCATATTAAAAGTGTGAATTATTTAATAATACTCATTTTTAAACATAATTACATCATCTACTGGGATTCTATGTGTTTCTTGATGTAATATCATTTAAAGTCATCCACTCCTCAATTAAGAGATGCAGGGCCTTTCCTTCCAATTTTGCCAGTAATGGATACAAGCATCTCACATATGGTTGAACTCATTGCTATAATTCATTCTCAGCTACAACCCAACTATGGAAATTATGTTCAAACAATCCAGTCGGAATGGATTTCTATTTTACTTCCTAGTTATTAAAAACAAAGCAAAACAAAAATAAGAGAGAAAAAAATGTTACTTAAAACGTGAGCATAAAGACATTGAGAAACCAGGCTTGTTTTTGCGGTTGTTTTTACTGCTTCCAAACTGACATGGAGGTCTGCCAAAAAGAACTGAATTCTCCTTGTATCATGGAACAGAGTCTTTTGGGAGAAAGAGACTGGATCTTTCATAGATTTCCCTATACTGTACATTCATACACATTACTTCTTCTTGCAGCTGACTCAGTGACAAAGCTTCTCCTGTTTCCTGCATCACTTCATATCACGGCATTATACTCTGAAGCAGCTATGGGTTCCTACAAGATTATCCAGCACACAAGTATCAGTGACACAGGGATCATGCAATTCATGAAACAGAGGGCCCAAGGTAAGACTTAATGTAGTGCAATATGTGCTTTCCTTATTAATAAGGCTAATTTAAAATAAGATATTCTTTTTTTCTTCTTCCCATATAATAATATAAAGCATTTGAATTTGTGAGCGATTACTGAAAAAAGAAAAAGGCATATTAAGAATGATAGTTTAAAGTATTGATAAGTAATATAAAGTATTGATACATTAAAGAATGATAGTTTATTTGATATCATTAAAGAATGATAGTTTAAAGTAATATGTGTCATTGTCAAGTTTGGGGACAGAAACCCCCCCCACAAATTTCTTAATATATAACCTTTTTTGGTTTGTCCAAATGACATTTATCAAAGTACACGCAAAGATGAAGTGAAGCATTGGAAAACTTCACTCACCTGCATGTCAAAGTACATGCAAAGATGAAGTGAAAAAGGTGGATTCATTGCTCACTCCTAACCGTCTTTTACTAGCAGTTGGTAGCAGACACTTTCTATTTATATATTGTAGTAATTTCTAGATTCAGTGAAGCATCTTACTTTTTGTTTCCATAATGACAAAATATCAGTTTTTAAGGATAACTTGATTTTCTAGTAAAGTTAATAGCAGTAGTCAACACCAGTGGCAAAAATGTTTCCAAAAATATTTTGAAAAATTTTTAAACTATAATTACTTAGTCACTTCACATTTTAATTTAATAAAAACTAGTTCATCCTTTGAATTGATCAAACACATGTATCTATTCCATTATTGCTGTCAGTTGAAAGCTAAAAATAAGTGTTTTAGAACACTTCAAGAAAACAAAATCCAGGTTATTAAAGAGACAATAAAATTTACTGTGAAATCAGAAACTCTAGTTAAAAAATGTAAGCACTATTATAAGTAGTCTTGTGATTTTAATGGTTTTAATTAAGTGGAGCCTCATAGGATGTGGATCCCTATTCGTTTAGACACAAGGAAATAGTCTGGGGAAACTTTTTTTCTCTTGTCCTGATAGGAACAGTATCTAGAAATATTTGCATATTATTAAAGTTCTAAGCATTTCTAATTAAATAAGAAACATAAGCTAAGAAATGAAATCATATTTCCATTGAATGAAGAGCTATTAAAATTATATGTACACACACATGTATTTATGCATGAGCATTTGATGAACTCTGGGCAACGGTACTGCAGCCAAATATTGGTCTGATGAAGATAGAAAAACAAGAGGAAAGGAGAAAAGAACGGTGTTTGGGAGAGAACAAGAGAAAATAGGAAAGCCAAAGAAAGGCCAGGTGGAGTGTCTCATGCCAGTAATCCCAGCACTTTGGGAGGTGGAGGCAGGAGGATCACTTGAGCTCAGGAGTTCGAGACCAGCCCTGTCAATGTATTGAGACCCCATCTTGATAAAAATAGTAATAAAATTAGCCAGGTGTGGTGGCGCCCACCTGTCCCAGCTGCTCAGGAGGCTGAGACTGAGAATCACTTGAGCCCAGGATGTCGAGGCTACAGTGAGCTGTGACAGCACCACTGCACTCCAGCCTGGTCAACCTGTCTCAAAAACAAAAATAAATAAACAAACAAACAGAAATCTGAGGAATAGCAAGAGAAAAGCACAGAGAAAGAAAGTGGGAGAGAGAAATGAAAAGATACAGGAACGAGGAGGAAGCAGGGTGAGAGGAGTGAAAAGAAATGTAGAAAAAAGAAGTTGGTTTCTAATTATAGAATTTCACAAAGTACAATTTTAAAAGTTTGCAATTCAATCACTAGCAGAGTATCAGAAGTTTACTAATAATGTCTGAACTCATTGATTAAAGTAGATAGGAATGAGAGATTGTGTGTGTGTATAATTACCATAACGTAATAGCCATTTGGCCTTTAACAAACATATAACTAATTGACTACATTTTCATTATCTAGACTCCAAGGGTCTCTGAAAATTCATTTAAAATAATCTGAATATAAAATAACAGTATTTGCATAGAAAAATGAAAAATAGAGAAAAAAGCCATATGTATGACAGCACCATTTAATTAGAAGTATAAGAGTATTCAGATATTTTACAACACTATACTCTAAAAATTGAGTTTTACCTTTTCCATTTATAATTCATAAATTTTAAGTCTTGGAAGAGGGTAGAATTTGAGGTCAGACATTTGTACATTTTAGGACTCAGCAGAGTAATTAAACACGAATATTTACAATGCTTGAAAACCTTATCTTTCATGCAAACTAATCACTAGTGTTCTCTTCAAACTCAACTTGAACACAGTGACTTTTATATGATAAATATATAAACATGATGATTTGTTTATCATTAAAAATATCACATGTACCTACAATTGGTGGGTAGCTACATAAATGTTTTCAAGTAGGTATTTTAAAAACTATATGATGATCTATTTAAAAATCTACAAAAAATCAATAATACATGAGACAAAAAAATCACTTTTTTAAAAAAAGTGATTATTTGATCATAACAAAACAGATGTGAACTAACATCATACTGAATGTACTCTCCTATCTTTTTCGTTTTCTTTCTTTGTGTGTTAAAGGTAATAAAAAATTAGATATTCTTTACTTTCCTTTGTGGAGAAAATAAACAGGAAAATAAACAAGTGAGCAAGCAAGCAAACAGAGTGGATAAAGTTGGCAGAATATGAATTCTCTGATTATTTGTCTTTTTTCTTTACTAGTGATCAGCAAACTGTGGTACATTTATAAATGATATTAAAAATCAACATTTTTATCAGCAATATTCAGTAATAAACTATTCCTAAGGATATGCAATCTTCTACAACTTGATGTCTGATTCAAATTATTGTAATTCTTAAAAAACTTGTCTGAAAAAGGTCAAAAGAAAGCATGTAGTGAAACTGAGTCATGCTAGCTGAGACTAGGAAAGCTCTCTGTTTGTGGAAGTAGGTTATTTTGATATGGCCACTTACATGTCCTTAAGTTCCTCTGAGAGGAGTAAAAACAATACACTTATAATAGCGCCTATCAATTAATTGTTCAACAAATATTTTTTAAAATGTATAGGATCTGTATGCTGAACATTATAAAAAAATGAAATAAATTTAAAGGGCCTAAATAAATGGAGAGATATATGTTTATGGATTGGAAGACAATTTGGATCCCCAAATAATGTATGCATGTAACATAATTCCATGCAAATTCTCAGAAAAATTTTCTGTGTATTTAAACAAGATGATTCTTAAATTAATATGTGATAGGAGATGAACTATAATAGCCAAAACAATTTTTTAAAAGATAAATCAATTTCTGAAGAAATTACACTACTCTCTTTTAAGACTTACTGTTGGGCCCAGTATGGTGGCTCATGCCTGTAATCCCAGTACTTTGGGAGGGTAAGGTGGGTGGATCACTTGAGGCCAGGAGTTCGAGACCAGCCTGGTCAACATGGTGAAAAATCCCTTGTCTACTAAAAGAAAAATACAAAAATTAACTGGGTTTCAAGGCACATGCCTGTAATCCCAGCTACTTGGGTGGCTGAGGCACGAGAATCGCTTGAATCCAGGAGGCGGAGGTTTCAGTGAGCTCAATCTGCACTCCAGATTGAGCAACAGAGTGAGACTCTGTCTCAAAAAACAACGACAACAACAAAAAGACTTACTATTGAAGCCACACTAATGAAGACTGCAGTATTGCCAAACGAGTGAATACATATGACAATGGAACAGAAGACTGTCCAGAAGCAGACCCACACAAATATGAACAGTTGATGTTTAACAAAGTTGAAAAGACGATTCAATATATAATTCAGTAGAAATGAACCTTGATCTATACCTTACACATTAGACACACACACATACACATACACATTCTCTTTTTCTCTCTCTCTCTTTCTCTCCCTCAAACATGGAACATAGACCTAAATGTAAATCGTAAAACTAAAAATATTCAGTAGAAAACTTAGCAGAAAATCTTTGTGAAAGGGCACTACACAGTGGTTAGACAATATCAAAGCATGATCCACAGAAGAAAAAGTTGGAGTTTATGAAATTAGAAATGTTGATTTTGCAAAGAAACTGTTAAGAGAATTTAAAAACAAGCTACAGCCCTTGAGAGAACATCTATAATGTTGCATGCAGACTGTATAACGAACTGTCAAAACTAAGAAAACAAACAAACAAACAAACACTTGAAAGGCTTAACACTAAATCATATAGAATATATTGATGGTACAAAAGCACATGAAGAGAGATTTACTATAAGCTGCAATTAGGAAAATGAAAATCACAATTACAATAAAATGACACTATATATTTATTAGATTATATGAAATTTAAAAACTTAACAATACTAATGCTGATGAGGATGTGGAACAACTGGAATTCTCATAAATTTAGGTGAAAATGCAAAATGGTACACCTACCCTGGAAAACAACCTGGCCATTTCTTACGTCAAACATAAATCTATCATATGACCCAGCAATCCTACTTCTAGGGATATACCCTAAAAAAATGAAAAGTATGTTCACACAAAATTCTGTATGTTTGCCCCAAACTGGAATCAGCCTAGGTATCTTTCAAAAGGTGAACAGACAGACCATCATACATATTCATACATAAGTGTAATAAAATACCATTTAGCAATGAAAAAATGGACTACTGTTGTAACAACCCGAATGAATCTCAAAAGCTTTATGTTGAGTGAAAAAAGTCAATCTTTAAAAATTGCATACTGTATCATTCAATTTATAAGACTAGTCATTTAAAAAAGGCAAAGCTATTATGGCACAGAACAAATCCGTGGTTGCTAGGGGTGAAAGGTGAGGGAAAGTATGATAGAGAGAGATAGCATAAGGAAGCTTTTAAAGTGATAGAACTGTTCAGTATCTTGCTTGTTTCATGAAACTACACATGTATGAACAGTCATAGAACTATACACCTCAAAAAAGGTTCACATTACTGTAATTAATTTTAAAAGCAAATGGTAATACCAAAATATACCTAATATGATTATCTGCATCACATATATGCTGAGGATTCTTCTGTCTCATAAAATAATTATAATAAAAGTTATTTTTTTAATATTCTCAACAAAGAGTGTTTCTGAACTTGTCTTTTAAAATGATACTGAGCCAATTTCTGAAACCTATGTAGATATTTAATATTTATTTGGACAGAATACAAATGAATTTGGATATAAATATCTATTTAATCACACCATCAAATCCAAGCAACAGATCCATAGCTCAAATTTATTTAATTTTATTTTTTGAGACAGGGTCTCATTTTGTCATCAGGCTGGAGTGCAGTGGGGTGATCGTGGCTCACTGCAGCCTGAACCTCCCAGGTTCAAATGATCTTCCTGCCTCAGCCGCGCAAGTAATTGGAACTACAAGGGTGCGCCAACATGGCGGCTATCTTTCTTTTTTCTTTTTTCTTCTTTAGTATAGACGGGGTTTTGCCAAGTTGCCCTAGTCTCGAACTCGAACTCATGAGCTCAAAGGATCCACCCGACTCGGCCTCCCAAAGTGCTAAGATTACAGGCATAAGCCACCGAACCCAGCCTTCAAATTTTATTTCTTCCAAAGAATTTTTTTCTTGTGTGTATCTCTGATTTACCCAGCCATAAAATAAATACTTTACATAAAAATTTCAAACTGCACTTGTTGCAAAGTAGTAGCTTCTCTTTTGAACACAGGAAAGAAACATGGCTAGATCGTGGAGGACTGGGCTCTGTCTTCAGAAACGGTGAATTGTTTTAATTTTCAAAATGGCTCATAAAACTGTTTCTACCTTTAGAAGTAAGTTAACACCATACTTTGTAAAAACTTAAAAAACATGTAATACAAAACGGTTAGCCTCTGAAATGTACCAAAATGTATGCAAAATATTGTCAAAATAATTTTACAATTTTGGCAGCAAAATTAAGATAATATAAGAGTATTCAAAATGTGGGGTTTTAAGTTTATACGAGATAATGTATGCAAATTTCTTAGTTTATAATACAATTCTCATTATAAGTTTTTAATTTTTAAATTGTGCAGCACAGTAATGATATGAAATAATGGTAACTGGATGAGTGTATGGTAAATTTTAATGCAACACTTGGATTTCTATAAAATTAGACACCTGTGGGATGAGAAAAATAAAGACCTCATTATTTTAAGTCTAATTTCTAATGAATTTCTAAGAAAAAAATCAGAACACTAGTCTTCAAATGTATCCCTGCAAAAGGAAGAGAAGAATAATGTGAGCAGTAGGAAACTGTATTCTATGGTCAGTTTTTCACCATCAAACATACCATTTAAGTAAATGCTGCTAGAATTCAATCTGGGATTAATTTACACATACTCTGATAATTATATATGTGAGTGTGTGTGTATACACACACACACACACACACACACACACAATATAAATAACCTTGGTGCTAATTAGCCAATATTATGCTACCCATTATAGATAGAGTCATGAGATATTCAGGAAATTTCCTATGAAAGGAACAATTCTGACACACCATAGAACTCTGACATTTCCAGAATGATTGGTGCGGAGACACAGGAGGCAATGGATTATAAACTGCTAGCATTCTTTTGTAATTTTAGTAGAGATGGCGGCTGAGGCAGGGGAATCGCTTGCACCCAGGAGGCGGAGGTTGAGGTGAGCAGAGATTGCACCATTGCACTCCAGCCTGGGCGACACAGCAAGAATCCGCCTCAAAACAAAACAAAACAAAACAAAACAAAACAAACAAACGAAAAACCCGTTAGCATTCTTGAAGTCCTCTTGGCTTTCTCTATCTCTTTACCAAACTGGAGACCTTTAAGTCAGAGTCTACCACTCAGCCCAATGGATGCATTCATTTCACAGATGTACATTTAGCTCAGAACATAGGCAGTCCCAAATCCAGCATCAACAATGTAAGATTCACAATATCCAAGATTCAATCAGGAATTACAGGGCATGCAATAAGCCAGGAAAATATAACCTAGACCTGGGAGAAAAATCAATAAAAACAGACTCAGGGATGAGTGATGATAGGATTAACTAATAGGACCTTTAAAAATCGATCAGAAATATTAAAAATATGTTCAGGAATGTAAAAGCAGGACGTGGAGAGTGTCTCCTTAAATCTTGTGCCTTAACTACCTCCCTTGCCTCACGTTAATTTTGATCCTGAAAGAGAGAAATAGAAGATATAAAAAAAGATTCAAACGAAACATCTAAAAATAAAAGCTGTAGTATTTTAAAGTAAAAATACACACACTGGATGGGACTGGAAGCAGATTAGAGACTAAGGAAGAAAAGATGTAGCATTTTTTCAGCAAGTTCTAGAAACATTTGCCTCAATAATCTAAATAGATAATACTTAAATTTATTTTTTGCATTATCTGTATAGGCTTTATATGTTTGTGTCAACATTATTTTTATACATTTTAAATATATTATAAAGATACGTATTTCAAATACAAAGTGATCTTCCACTGTTTGAAATATAAAGACGAAGACATTTTTAATTCTAGGTGTATTAATCTAGAATAATTGTAAGTATGTCTTTGACTTTTTGAAGTCATTAAGAGAGCAACTCAGCTCTTAAAATCTAATTTGGGGTTGGATGTGTAGTGAACAGAACAACATTTTGTCTAAAAATAAATGATTCTAGATATGGTGTTAAATCGTATAATTATAAAATCAGCCAAATTTATATTTTCAGTGTTTTCCTAATCCAGGGGTACACAGAAATAAAATTTTGAAAAATACCCTTGAATTAGGGACAGAAGTTTGTTTGTCTACCTTGATACCATTGCGTTGAAAACTAAACAAAACAAATTTTTGCCTTAATTCAAAGCCACTGCTTTTCACATTGATAACAAGCATTCTGTTTGCAGTAGACTGAACACAAGGGAGTGTTAAGAGGTGAATAATTCACTTTAAGCCTTTTCGTACCGACATTGCTTCTGATAGCTTTGCCTTCCACAGAATATATGGTGTGGTTCTTTCTACATTGCTGAAGTAGGCAACGGCATTTTAAGCCACCACTCATAAAGTTATCTGACAGCACCTATGGCTGTGGAATTTTTAAAGTGTATGAAGTATGGCAATAACTGTATTTATCAGTGGTTTTCAAAATAATACATTTTATACAAGTATAGTGTGGTTGACATTTGTGTTTTGCTACTAAAGGCGTAATAAAAACATTGGGTATTCTTACAATATTGAGCAAAAACCAGCATTCCTTTAAATTAAAAATGAGAGGACAGGAACAGCCACATCCTGTAAGTAAGAATTTTTAAGTCTGCTGCTCAATGAGGATGACTTAGATTTTTTTCTTAAAGTAATCTGGGTATATATTAAGATCTCTTGCAAATGCTAACTCTTTGAAATGACATTGATAACTTTAATAATAACTGATGTGCCAGCATTTAATTATGTAATTTATGAATCTCGAAAAAAGTTATCTTTGACAAGAACAAAGAAAACTGAGATTATCAAAAAGTTAAAATTAAATTAAGATGAGCGCTATTTGTTATCTATGAAAGCGCATAAAATAGAGACTGCCATACATTCCTGTTATATATTTGCTGTATTGCGAATCCCAGGGCCAACTGAGATGCCACTAAATACTGGATGTGCCATGAGGACAGAAATTAAAACATACTTAAAGACTGCTAACTCCAACATCCTCAAATCACCCATTCTCTTCTGTGTTGTCAGCCTCTTCATCTCAGCCCTATTCAAAACTTAGTCTTCCCTTTTTATTCCAGAGGCAGTGTAGGAGTAAATTTGAAGTTCTTTTCTGTTTTTTGCTATCTCTCAGCCAGACTTATCTCTGGAGACATTCCTCTGCTTTCTTCCTCCCGTGCTCTTTTTCCATCTCTGTTAAGAATACTGAAGACTTTTCCCACTGAAAGAAATATCTAAAACTGGATTCTCTGCAATAGGGCCTCCAGGACGAAGAATTCAAAGGTTATATGTGGCCAGTGAAAATTCATTACATTTCTGAAATAGCTTCTTCTAATATTCTCGGTATATAAAGACAAAGGAAGAGAATAAAGAAAGGAAGATAAATTGGTGATATTACTTATTATTGCTAAGAATTCTGAGTCTTATGGTAGATACATTTTCTTAAAATTAGATATAATTAAATTTAAGAAACCTGCTAATAAGCGAAAATACATTTTTACAAATTAAATTTTTATGATCAAGCTGGTTTTTAGCCTAATTTATTTAGCTACTATGGACATGCTTGGAAACTATAATGCATTGAGTCTAAATGCATGTTTATAATGTCACTAATTAAATTCTGCACTGGGAGATTTGGAGTACAGTGTCTTGTATTAGGATCTACAAAACAGTATTACTGTAGTGATGTTTATTATTCATTCTTCTCAATTGCCCTAGGAGATAAAGTGGAGGCATTGTTTACATTTTTTTTCAAACAAAGAAACTGTAGCTAAGTGACTTTCATAGATTTGTCCATCATATACCCAATTTATTATAGAACAATGACACTTGCCAGAGCCTGCCAGCACCAGTCGGTTGCTGTACTGCCTCTCTGAGATAATGGAGAAAAATAATGAACCATTCCAATATTTTTGGAAATAAGTTGATGAGAAATTAATGTAACTTTCCTTGAAAATTTTTTTACAATTACTGTTACATAATAAATAAAACTAGAACTACTATCCCCCTTAATACCAAGATGGTTCTTTGAAAGAATCTGTACTTCTACATTTCTATACCTTCATGTTATTGTTTTAATGTGTTTTATTGTTTAATGTTTAATGTGCTTTATATATAACTCTGACAACTAGATTTTTCTTTGATCGATAACATTAAAAGGCAATCATGGCCATTTATTATCAAATATTCTAATGCATGCAGGAGGTTTAATCATATGATTACTTACCATCATTATACTCATATAAATTGTCAAACTAGGCACCTATGAATACCTACCTTTTTAAATGCAAAAGAAATTTAATATGTTACTTTTTTCCCATCATTATGTAAAATTCCCACACACAAACAAAATAACTAATTTAAAAGGTGATCCAAACATATAACAGACTACAAGTCTGTTATATATTTCCATCAATTTATTTTTTCACAATACACTAAAATAAGAAACTTTATGAATACAATAATTTTGGTAAACAAAATTCACCATTCTTACATCTCAAAATATTAAATCATCAATTAGAAGATAAATCAATTATTATTTAGATAATGTTACATTTGACAAATGAAATTAAAAATATCAACAAATTTAGTTGTCTCTCTGTTTTGCATTATTCTTTCAACTGTCACCTTTGTAGGTGCATTTTAACTCCTAATAGAAAAAACAAAATAAAATGAAGTTCAAGATGAAATGGACTGACACAATGCCTATTGTTTTTCTTTTAACTCTTGATAGGCATAAATAATTTTTACTTTTTTATGACTATAAACAACAAGTCAGTCCAGTAGCTAATCAGCCAACATATTTTATAATAATTAATAAATAGTTTGGGTAAATTTTGAAATCCCCAACCTTCTACATAGCTTCAAAGATAATTTACCAATTCCATCCAAAAACATAATGAAAGACAACCTCTGACATGACCATTACATAGGAAAAGATATTTCCAAATTTGAGGAAAAAAATAATTATTAATCAAATTAATGAGTATTAGATTTCTATGATAGTTATCATTTTCTGAAATATAAGAATATATACCACATTTAAAATGTATGACTCAATGGAAATAGTCTATTTTAGGTAGACATTTATACCTCAAATTAAAATAAAGTGTCTTTACTAGTGTCAATATACTTTTAATTAAACATTAGCACAAGATGAAGTGAAATCTCTGTACTCTTTATCAGACTGTCACATAATATCAAATTCAAGCATCTCCAATTTTTTCTTTGCTTAAAGATTTTAATTTCAAGAATTTTCTCCTCTAGTGAAACAAGCAATCTTACTTAATGACGATCATTTCATGAGACAATAGGTCTGCATTCTTTTATATCTAGTTTTAAAATAACAATCATTTTGATTTTGTTAGAAACTTTTTATAATCTACATGGTGCAATTTTTACAGGCACACACACACAAATGAAAAAAAAAACTTAAGAAATATCAATAACAGTCATGCTTTACAACAATGGTTGTCTCATGGCCCATTATCTGTTTTTGAAAATAAAGTTTTATTGGAACTCAGCCATGTCCCATTCATTTGCATGTTTTCTATGGCTGCCTTCCTGCTTCAATGGCAGAGTACAGTATTTGTGACAGAGAATTTCATGAACCACAAAGTTTAAAATATTTACTATCTGGCCCTTAACAGAAAAAGTTGTTGACTCCTTACTTAGAAAATCTAGGTCTAGGTTCTTAACCATATAATTAACATTTTTACTCTGCACATTCCTGCAGATAAAATATTAAAGATGAATTTTTATGTATGCACTATGCTTAATTAGGTCATAGTTTAGAAAAAACACAAATCATTTTCTTTCTCTGTAGGACACAGACCTCCCTCACAAGATGTACATGTGGAAAGCACCTGATTGAAAAACTGTTCATATTTCTTTTAAGTGGACTGCAGTGTTAGGTGATTTGCAGTGTGTTTATACTCAATTCCAAACTACTTAAAACTGCGGAAACAGTACCGCCATGGGAACACCTGAAAACAAAATGCATTTCGACACATGAAGCTTCCTAAAGCATATTATAAATTCCTCTAGAGTGTACTTAGTGTAAGAGTAAATACCGGTTCTTTCCAGCAACATTGCTCTTCAGCTCTTGTTTACTTCAAAGAATTCACCCTTATACCCAGAACTTACTCCTTTGTATCGCATACTTCCTCACCTATTTTATAGGATGATCTCACCACTATATTACACCTTCAAATCTCTTTCCTTTTAACCTCACTTCTATAGGTCCATTATAATTATTTCTTTTTTGTGGATGGGGAAACTAAGTCCTATGAAATTTATGAAAGGCTAGTGGAGGTTTCAATATGAGTAAGTATTATGAACAAGTTTCTTTTGACTCAAATTTTGCACTCTTTCAAGTACTGTATGATTCATCTAGCTTTTCTGTGTATTGTGCTTTCTATTCTACTCTATTTATCATTGTCACATCTATTTTACAGATTTATTATTCTCATTCTAATTAACACTCCCTACAGTTTCTAATACGAGGTCATACCCCCTGGAATGGCTTTCTTCCTAACTATTCAGCTCTGAATTAGATTAAACACAAAGAAAAGCAATGAAATCTACTGGACCATTTTGACTAGAATAAAATAATAATCAGAGCCAGTTCTATGATTAAATCTGAGAATTGATTTAACTAAATAAATTTAATAAAATTAAATAAATTTAACATTAAATCTGAGATTAAATCCATGAGAATCCTGGGCTGCTCTATAGTATCCAAAATTTGTGAATACTTTTACTACACAAGACAAAGCTAGAGAACCTCTTGAAACTACTGCCAGGTTCCTATTTGAAAGACCCTGTGGCAATGTGTTATACATAGGTCACAGCATAGATTTTAATGTTTAACGTGTAGAAGCCTTAAAGAATTCTCCTCCAAAGTGACCTGCAATCTAGGAACCAAGTTGCAGTACTTTATAGCAGCAGTTATTTATACTATATAAATTTCTCAAACTCTATAGATACCTCAATATGATAAATGCATGCTAATCATGAGATCCCGGTGGTATAAGAGCAAGAACTCTAAACTTTGAACCAGATGACATTAGTTCTGTATTCCTAGCTGGCTGTAAATACATGAATGAAATCTCTGTATTTCAGTTTTCTTGTAAGAAAAGAAGTATAAATGGAATCAGAAGCAATTGTACGCATCCAAATTTCTAATATTCACTATCCTACAACAGTTCTTTTGTAGAAACTTCTCTTCATTTTCTCCTTGGTACAAGCTTTCCTTCCTAAAAGGCCTCTCTCCATAAAAAAGAAGTCACAATTTATATAGAAGACTTAACATCTTTCTACTTTAGAGTTTACTTTGTTATTTTAAGAAATTTACAATATCTAGAAACCGATTTTGGAAAATCCTCTACCAAAAGTTTGTCACTCTTAAAATCATCTAACAAAAATTAACCAAAAGTGACCAAGCCTGGTTTAGAGGGTGCAAAATGAAATTTGTAGTAAAATTAATTAGTACTCCAGTAAAACTACCTTTTTATAGTCGTAAGTGTTCTTTTTTTTTTTTTTTTTTGAGACGGAGTCTCGCTCTGTCGCCCAGGCCGGACTGCGGACTGCAGTGGCGCAATCTCGGCTCACTGCAAGCTCCGCTTCCCGGGTTCACGCCATTCTCCTGCCTCAGCCTCCCGAGTAGGTGGGACTACAGGCGCCCGCCACCGCGCCCGGCTAATTTTTTGTATTTTTAGTAGAGACGGGGTTTCACCTTGTTAGCCAGGATGGTCTCGATCTCCTGACCTCATGATCCACCCGCCTCAGCCTCCCAAAGTGCTGGGATTACAGGCGTGAGCCACCGCGCCCGGCCCGTAAGTGTTCTTAAATAAAACTCTGTTCTTATGCAACTGCTTATATTTAGGCCAAGTGAAATATTGTTTTTATAGAGAATATGTTTGCAAATCAGTACCCTAAAGTTTAACTGCACCAGAATGTTTTATGTAATTTGCTTTTAACAACAATAATAATATGTGTTAATATGTATTTAGTATTTATCATATTCTTTATACAAATAATTACATTTTATCTTTAATTCTTACAACGGCCCTATAGATAGTAAATATTATGCCTTATAAGAAATCAGAAACAAAATTTAAAAAGATTAAGCAACTTCCCCTGGACTGCATAGCTAATATATATATTTTTAAGTCAGGAATTTTCAAAATAGAATCCCAGGCATTGTGGTTCACACTTGTAATCCCAGAACTTTGAGAGGCTGAGGCGGATGGATGGCTTGAGACCTGGAGTTTGAGACCAGCCTGGGCAACCTGGCAGAACCCCAGCTCTAAAAAAAATATAAAAGTTAGCCAGGCCTGGTGGCACATGCCTGAAGTAACAGCTACTTGGGAGGCCGATGTGAAAGGATTGCAATGAGCCGAGATCGTGCCACTGCACTCCTGCCAGGGTGACAAAGTGAGACCCGGTCTCAAAAAAAAAAAAAAAAAAAAAAACCTCAATTAAACCACCTATCTATCAGAGAGTAACTGAATTTTAATATATCCATTGATTGGCCTAGAATTCCATTATTAAGATAATGTGAAACTACATTATTGACATGAAAAAATGAAATAGTATATAATTTTTCATGAAATTTATACAATTTTAAGGAAAATGCAGTTTACTATGCTGTGTTTAGTATATATACAACTCTTTATAAAATATATAGTTGTGTGTTTGTGTGCATGTGCACAGGCATGAAGAAGTAGAAAGAGATATAGGTTCACAATCCTTTTTTTCATTTTGTAAGACCATCCTCTTTCATATTTTAGAATGATATTTTGATGTATATGTCATGTATTGTCCATTCCAGTGGGGACTAGCGGAACACCTCAATATTAAACATATCGATATCTCTGCAGTGAAAAATGTTGATATTCACACTAGGTAGAATAAGTAAAGATTATAAGTAATGTTAAATCAGTTCAGGCCTGAGTCTTTTGAATTTTAGAATTGGAAAGGAAGAATTGCAGATTTACTCAACAAAAAATTAACAATGGTTTTCTCTGAGTAGTAAATTATAGGCAATTGAACTCTATAAGTTCAACTTTCTCTATTTTCAGTCCACAATTATGTAATGACTTCTTACTATACACTGGACACTGTTTTAGATATTTATTTTAGTAGAATATTTGCAATATATAAGAATTTTTCTTAAAATTGGGAAAAATATAGTCATAATTTTGAGAAGAGTGAAAATTAAACTCAAAGACAAATAACATATTCAAAAACAACTTGAAATTATTTTAATATAAAAACATGGATATCTGAATATCAGGAGTTTGTAATAGTTGTTGTTTTTCCCAGGATTAAAGTATCTTTTTGTAGGGAAACTATTGACTTGCTAAAAATCAAACAGAAGAGGAGTAACTGGCCCTGTAGTCAAATGTAAGCAATTCATCCCTGGAGGGTCACTACAGATTCCAGTTCAATGATAGACTAGTTGAAATCCAAAAGGCAGTAGACCAGCCGTGCCTGAATCTCAACTACACAGGCCTACAGGCACGTGGTCTCAGTGGAGTAGCTCCATCTCTGGAGTATCTGTTATTACACACACACACACACACACACACACACACACACACACACACAATCAAGGGTCCAGAAATCTCAAATATTTACATCTCATCTGGGCTTGAAAAACTCTTTTTTTTACAAGTTACTTAATTATATGTTTTGTTTTATAACATAACTAAAAAAGTTATGTCACCTTCTTATTGGTGTGTTAGACACTTTTGTGTAAATATAAAACACAAAGGACATAATTTTCTCCAACAGATAAAAAAGGAAAAGTTGTTCTCTTTTCTGATAGTCTGCTTTCCTCTTCCTTCTTTTCAAACCATGTAAATCAGGTTGTCACATACAGCTTGGAAAATAGGGTATTCCTCTCTCTGAAGGTGTGTAAGTTTATTCAAGTAGAGTTAGGTAATTTATAAAAGCTATATACTTAATATAAAAAAGACGAAGTATGAAACTCTTCCCCTAGTCTAATTTGATTTAAGGATCTTGATACCCCTTTTCTTGGGAGGACAAAATATCACAAATATAAAATGGTGCATCCAGTAGCACAGTGCATAAATAGCTCAAGCTGAAAGCATAACAATATGCTCTCCTATTATTGCAGAACCAATAAATAAGCATAATGAAAATCATGACATATTATTACATTATTCTGTATTGCTTCTGTTCATTAAAAAACAGATGAGTGCATTTAAAATAATTTTATGTCAAATGACAGTAAGCTTTGCCATTGAGATGATGCTGAAAGGGATATTTGTAAAGAGCAGAGATGCATGGTCTTATGTGGCTTACATCAAAGTTATGATAGAAGTACAAGGGATCTGAGCACTAACTACTTCACACCAAAATGGCTGTAGCATGGTATCCAAAACATGTACATTATTCACATTTGCTGTGTGTTTTCTGATATTATGGAGTCAATAAAAAACAAATTAAAAAGCTTTAGGAAAAGCTTCCCTGTCAATTTGCCCTTGGACGGATTCTCCTTTTTCCATTTCCTTGTTGATTTAATGTAGTAGATTATATTAACAGCACTGGCTTGTAAATAAGGAATATCTGAATCCTATTAATGGAGATATGCTGCCAAAATAATCAGCTTCATACTTAACAAGTTTCCAAGTATTTGGGAAAGCTGTGAAATGGGATTACAAGGTTAAGCTGTGTACATCTGGCTCATCACTATATAAATATTTCAGAAATTTGATCTCATAGGATGAAGAAACACCTGTCTAATCATGACTCTTTTCCAAGGTACATGAACTTCAGTAAGCAGAGCAATACACAAATGCTGGCAAGAAATCTTGATCAATTTACATAATGTACTTCCTATATTAGACACACAGTTTTATCATACATCATCCTTCTGAGTAGAGACATAAAAATATCCTAGAAAGATTATATGGTATTATACTTACACTGGCAAAAGGAATTGGGAGTGCCCAACATTTTAAAACTCAAGATAACCACCTGAAATACTAAATAGTTTCATTAATTTTTTTCCCTTATATCATGGTACGTGATTTTAGTGTAATTGAATGTTGTAAGTATAACTCTAAGGTAATATGAATCCAGAAAATAATTAATGTGAGGTAGGAATTTGCACATAAAAAAACAATAAAAGCTTGAGCAGTCCCTCTAGTTAACAGAAATGTTAATGAAGTTGAACATTAGTTGCTTTTAAGCAGATCCAAGATTAACTATTTTGACTCTTTGTCAAATATACACTTGCCCATTAAGCCTTTATTTATTCAAATTTTGTTCCAACAAATAATCGGGTTTTAAAAATGCACTGAGTATGGCTCTTATCTAATTAACTTCAAATGTCCAACTTGAAAATACAGACTTTGAAACTGTTGTCCAAAATGGCAGCTAAAGGTCAATGAATAAAATTTCCAATTATATTTCCTGGGAGCAGATGGGTGCAATGAAACCTAATGATTGAATTTCAAATGCTTTCATGCACCTTTTATCTGTTTTCCAACATGTTGATTCTACCTTAATGCTCTAAAAAGATAATAGGTTTATTACAATTAACCAACTAAAAAGGTATCTCCACTTTCCAATTATTTATACTACCTGGGGATATTGAACCACAGCTCCTTTCCTTCCCTCACTCCTAGAGCCTTTCTATCACCATCCCACACTTTCAACCAAAAAAATCCAAACTGTAATATCGTTAAATAACAGATGTCTCCTTGGCGATTTGATTTCTCTAGTTAAATAATGGATATTTAACATAAATGTCAAGTTTAAGTTCACTGAGACTCAATGGAAAATTTCAAATAAAAATAATTCTAAGAAATTTGTTGACTAAGTTTAACTATAAAGTTTCTTTCTTTATATGATGAACTGATACATTAGCTTACGCTGACTTGCATAGTCATAAGTATGGAAAGAAGATTTACCAAGAGGTTAAAAAAATTAGCATTCTATTCTTCAGGAGTAGCAGATGGAGAATTTTATCTCGACTATATCTTATTAGAGCACACTCTTGCCCGAAGAACCACAAGAGGAAATCATGTGGAGAAGTTTATTTTATTGCTTTTATATAAAAGAAAATCAACATTTTACATCTTAAAATATATACTCAAGCCTAAATTAAAGGAAATTGAAGAAGCCTTTTATTTTAGCTAATAAACAAAAGTTTCTTGTCTATTAAATGCATTTTTAAAATGAGAAACATAATACTGCTCAATCCAATCCACCCCTGTGTATATGCACTATGTAAAGTCAACTATACAGAGGCCAGGCCCAAATGTGCATATAGTTAAACATTTATCTGGTGATAAATATCACCATGCCTTATCAACATATTTATTTGAATATTTTTAAAAAGTACACTAGATGTAAATATACAAGGTACTAAAGTAACCCTGTGAAAAGCATATTTTCTGCTGGGATGTCACAGAAAAGAGACCAGAGCCAAGGATAAAAATAATAGAATTAGAACAGGTCAGCATAAGACATAAATAATAATTTATTTCCTTTTCTTTCACTCACAATCATGTATTTTGGATAATACTTCTAAAATGTTTAAATGACTTTTCAAAGTCTTTTAAACAAATGACATATGTTTTTAGATTATAAGGTTTGATATAAAGACTAAAAAGTACTTGCCAACTGGTGTATTTATGAAACGTTAAGATTTTTACCAACATTATTTGGAAGTCACATTGCCAGCAGATGTCCAAGCTGTATTTTTTAAAAGAAAGCATGTACGATAGTTTAAGAAAAAGTCACAGAAAGAGTAAAACACAAACAGATTATGGAATATTACAAGCCCAGTTTCTGGTTGATGGTGTCTAAGAGAAAACTTGTTCCTGGCACACAGGGCTTCTTGTAGTAACATGTAACCAAGACTTATTTTGACATCCCCCTGGATCAAGGTTGAGTAGCACTGATTGCTGATGTGTCTTATTTTCAAAAATGCCAAATATTTCAGGGTGAATTAACAGATGGACTTGAACTATTAGTATAATGCCTAGACAAATGTGGATATAAATTCTGCATTGAGAACTTCTTATTCATGGGATAATCTTATATGATATTTAATACCGTTAGCTTAATCTTTCAGAAAAATCCTCTTGTCTACGAAGGTTGAAAATGAATTCTAAACATTTTTAAATTACATTTCTATGCTTCTTTCTATTTTTCCTTCACTTTTTATTTCAGCTACTCTGACTAATGGGGATAATTGAATTTTTAATATGTTTGAAAACTCGTTCTGCCTAAAACTTTTATTCTGTAAAACCTCCTTATGGTTTGATATGGATTTTAAAATGTAAAATTCAGACAAACGTAGCTAACTCTCAGTATAGCTTAAAAGTACTAAATAATACAACTTCACATGTACCCCATAAATTTGCACAAATAAAAAAATGAAAAACCAGTAAACCATTTCAATTAATAGCTTTTAAAATTATTACATTATTTATTCATTGAATTAATAATTATAGATTAAACACCTCTGAAAGTTGTGGATGTCTTTTTAATAACAATACTGAAATGGACAACATACTGTTTATATGAAGGCTTAGCTTGCATTTACTCAATATTTGCATAAAAATTTCATTACCACATATATGTGACAGATTCTGAAATTTTGAGAAAAATGTTGTAAGTTGGCTTATTACATACACTTGATAATTTCCAACCATATTTTTATTTTCTGATTATCACATGGTAGATGATCTGTGCCCAAGCAATTAAATTGTAAAATTATATATCAAAAAATAAAAATAAATGTAATCCCAAAATAACTGTTTATGGTTTAGATATAATCTCATTTCATTAAAATTATCATATAGAAAATAAATATTTATACTTTATGGAGCATTTCCACAAATAAAACCAGGTTAAAAATTAATTAATATATAGACGAAATGATCATATTAGTTTCTTAATAACTGACTGAGGTTGGGTAATCCTTAAAGCCTTAAAAAATAGACAGACATAACATCAGAAGTGCATCACTCTAATACCATATAAACCAGACCAAAGAGTGGGACAAAAGATAGAAAGATATGCTACAATCAACACAATTTCCTCTTGATGTACCATTTATATAAGTGTGTGTGTATATATTATATATACCATATACAATTATATATAATATAAACAAATACTGGGAGAGCTTGATGCTCATAATTGTGAAACTTGATCACCTGTCTTTCTCCATGAAGTTGTAATATTATTAATAAAATTATATACAAATTTTCATAGCAATAATTACAAAAGTGGTAACTATAAATTTAAAAATATCAAAATATGCCACATTCAAATAAATTATTTACCAGCAGATCAACATTTTAGCATATTTATATTAATATCTTAGACTTTAGCCTTAGTCACATCTAGATTTGAATCCAAATTCCAGCATGTATCTGATGGGTGATTGTCGAAAATGACTTAACTATAGAAGTCTCAGTTTCTTCAAAAAGAATTCATATTTTTTTAAGTGTATACTACATGTCAGAAACTGCTACATTATTTCAACTACAGTGACAATCAAGATGGATGCGGCTTCTGGTTTCGAGTATTCTACTATCTAGACTGCTTTGAGAAAAAATAACTAATCTTACTCATAGAGAGTTAAAACACTGATCGAGAGGTTTAACACTTTACAGACTTAATATCATTCATTAGTTTGTGTGTAGATCAATTAAATCTTTATTAAGAAAAGAGTACACACAACAACTACAAAAAGAAATGAATGGAAATGAGTTGGGTGTTAAATTTCTTGTTATCCACCAGTATTAATATATTTTTTACTGCACTTTAAAATCCCTAGGCAACATGTAGCTTTGGGATCACTTCCATGGCTACTACTGGATTAGATATTATTTTACCACACTTTTCTTATTACCTCCTAGGCTAAGTCGTGCTTTCTCAACATTGCCAAATGGTCTTATTCCCTTTTACTTCAAACTTAACCAGGCAACCGAAGAGCGTGATGGAAAATATTATCTGCTCCTTTCCTGAGACATTACATGTCAACTTTTCACCTAAGGCAAAATTTAATGGCTAATTTGTGGATCTTTATTTCTAGAGATTTACTACGGAAAAACTGACATAACCTTTAACCAGAGCAAAACAGGCACTCTAATAAGCAGGCGACACCAAACCTAAAAATGCACGAGGAACAGAAAAATCCTGGCAAGAATTAATCTGCCATTTTCACACATCTGCCCAAGGGGGGTATTGTAATTGCAAAAATTTACTCTAAGACTGCTGAGACTCATAGTAATTATGTTTCTTTTTTTTTAATAGAAATAGCCACAGGTGGTAACAAATTGAGTTTTGAGATGGGGAACTGGGCACGCATTCTAACCCAAATTACTATGTAATTGTCTTGATTATAAAAAATCGTGGAAAGTCTATTGCTCAAAATCAGAAGGAAAAAAAAGTCTCTATAAATGTATTCTTTGTCTTTTCTAGTTTCTCTCCACTCAGGCATAGTGCTTCATTTGTTGGTATTGGCACATCTGATATCAGAGCCACACCATAGAATAGACTTCTGCCAAGGATCCTTAAAATGTCCTGTGAGTGGGATTTGTTTAATAGGATGGTTCTCTTATTTCCATCCTTATGACCATATAGGGATAAACAGCAGCTTTCCTAAGAAGGTTGGAACCTGGAAACTTAGCTAATAATTACTACCCGTGCATCTGCCAACACTAAAAAGTGAAAGGTTATGAATATTTTTTCAAGGTATGCATTGATATTAAAATAGTTACTGTTTTCTGATATATCTGCTTTTAATAATCCTGTATCTCACTCTACACTTTGGTTCATGACACAGCACCAAAACATTTGTATTGTTTTCTAAAATGATAAATGCATTCTATGCATACCATGCCAAATAACAGTCAATGCATATCTATAAGCTTACTTCTTTAAGTCAGGAATTTCTGATTTAATCAACCAAGATTACAATATGAGGCAAGGCACTGACCTCTCACAAAAATAAAAAAATTCATTAATATAACACAAGGTCACACAAATCTTCAAATAATAATTAAAACAATCAAGTGTCTTGCCGTGAAACAATGGGAAGGTAAGTTTGTATGGAATCCTTAATATTACCACAATGAAAATGATAATAAAGACGGACTAGTGATTTATCTTTTTTGTATGACTTATAACTGCTCTTATTCACATTCTTAATTCAATAAAAGGACTTGGGATATACTATTTTAAAATAGATGCAAAACTGCAAGAGCAAAATAGAAGGCATGAATTCTGGTGGGACCCAAGAAGACACTATTATAATAGAATTCACCAATATTTAGATGATATTGTGTTTTGTTTTTGTTTTGCTGACAGAACTATAGAAATTGAAGTAATTATTTTTAACATTTAGTTTTTATGACTAATAATTTATATAAAATGTATCATTAAGCACTTATTCAAGTTTGAACTGAAAAATATTCTTTTAAACAAATTGCCTTTTCCAAATTACTAAAATAACTTTTTTCTTATTATATTTTGCTAAAATTTTAAGCATATTATTTCTCAAACATTCTAATGTCTTAATTTCATTTTATCTACTGATAAAATAAGAACATCAGTAAAAATTTCACACAGCCACTTTACACATGTGGTTAGGTAATTCTTTTCATGATTGTCAAAGGTGAATTGCTTTATAAATTCAGTAATACATATGCAATTTCTATGTCGCCGTGAAAAAATAGCAAAAATATATCAAGTATTCAGTTAAAATAATCTCAGTATACACTGCTAAAATATGTTGTGTGAAAAATAAAATGAACTATTTTAGCAAAGGCATTTGTATTGGGGACTATGATTTTTAAAAGAATGTTGTAGATTAAGGGTGAAAACTACTTTTAGATGTTCAAAACTGATGCAAATGTTTGTACAGCAAATTCAAATTTAAGAATTTATATGACATGCATAGTCTGAAATTGTATTATAACAATAAGAAAGCTATTTTGACTCCCATAACCATTTCTGCCTACAATAAATACCTGTTGCATTTTCATTTGATCAAAGCAAATTATTGGAATTTCAAATATAACCTAATTATTTCATTTATATATTTTAATTTGAGTTTTTTTCTGAATTGGAGACCATGAAAATTTTAGGCACGCAAAAAACCAAATCATTGTTTAGCATCTGTTAAGTATTTAGGTGGAAATCCTAGATAATGAGATGTAACAATTCATGACTCAGTGCCTAAATTATATTTTTAAAGTTATTATCAAAAACAGCTGAATGAAATATATCTAAAATACCATAGTTGTTGCAAAGAAATTACTTGTTTAGAGAAGTTGTAAGGTAACTGTAAAGCATAGATGCTATGAAAATAGCATCAGAATCTTTCAGAATATCAAGTCATTGTCTAAATTATGTATCAATATAATTTACAAACATGTAACCAATGTTTTTTATAAGAGTATATATCTACAAAACAATTATGAATGTATAGCTTTGAAATTTCAAATTGATTTTCATGCTCTAGCTTTCAAACCCTACAAAGGCTGCTTTTAGCTGAGAGCGTAAACAAGAAATGGTCCTTTAAATAGTCCCTTTAATGTGTTCCACTAATTAAAAATCAATCAAAAACATTAAAAGTTTAAAAAGTGTTAAATATTGTTCAGACAGCATATATTTCAGAATCAAACAGAAGTTTACAAAATTATATTTATCTTTACCTTGGCATTTTTCATACAACTTAAATATGGTGTATCACTATTATATTAAATAGAAACATAAAGAAAATAAGATAATACAGATCGTTAAACATTTCAAGATAACTGAAATAAAGTAAATTTCTAATACCATTAAGTTATTTTAATATATTCCACTCCTCTAATCAGACCAAAGTCTATTTATGTAGATTAGTTACATCTAAAGTGTCATTTATCCAACCTGTATTTATCCTTTGATCACAAAGCTTGTTAACTTAAATGGTCTTTTATTGTTATGATTCGTTTTCCCGTAATTATGCTGTTTAACTGCCTTATTTTTTTGAATAAATATATGCAAACGCGCCAATCATATTCAGCACAGTTATGCTAGATGCTCAATGAACTGTAAGAACCATTTCACTACAATAAAACTGCTTGGAATAGATCCAGGGCAAGGCCTACAAATACCAGTAATCAGAATGTCACTAGGACCAGAACAGATGAATAGAAGTATGTCATATATATATATATATATATATATATATATATATATTTTTTTTTTTTTTTTTTTTTTTTTTTTTTCTCTCAAACACTGTCTGAAACCAATTTTATAGTCTATCCCCGGAAGAACTTGGTACATACAAGCAAAGGATGCCACCCACAGAGCCACAATTTTTCATCTATATTTTGTTATGGGATTTTTGCGTGTTTTTTTTCTTTTTTTTTGCTTTACCTTAAATATATTGATCTTAGTATTTCTGCAGTAGCAAGGAAATAAAAGCATGCTTCTGCTTAGTCACAGTAGGGATGTTGATGTCATTAAGGACTTCTTTATTGTAGATAACTTATTCCAGAAGACCAAAGATCGCAGTATATCATTGTCAAAGCTAGTGGTGAAAGCTTATGACTAACTATAAAATACTGTATGTCATTGAAGAAAATTATTGTCAAAGCCTCCTTTACTAAAGTAGGTTGACAATAGGTTAATGCAGGTCTGACGAAGTTTAAAAGTGCTTTGTAGGTGGGTTGCAGAAGTCACATTATCTTCAAAATGATAGGCAAAAGGAACTTTATGCTATTCTCTAACTAATATACAGTCATTGATTGAAGGAATTTAATACACAAAAAATCCCTCCCTAATGGCTTTACTAAAATACAACCTTAAGATAATGCCCTATGGGATTTATTAAACAGAAGTACCACTGAGGGGAATACATTCTAGTGCAATGACTAATATTGTAATTAGCGGGTGCATTTGTAAGAATTTACCCACTATTGAGTGTATTGCAAGACTTCTCAGCATTAGGGAGTTAAGTTTTACTTCCTAACTGGCATGGGCCCAGTTATAGTGGCTTCTTCTTCCTCCTGTTGTTGTTTCATCATCAGGCTCACAGCATACATTCTCACATGCTTCCAGCTCTCCTGCCATCTTCTCAAAAGAATCAGGAACTTGGGTGAGATTTTTGTTTCTCTTCGTCTACATAGGCTTCAACCTATTGCCCACTGAAGGCCACGTGTTAAGTCCCCCCGCTCTAGGGTCACTAGCTCTATTTTATGGGACTTCAAATTGTTTGAAACTTTAAAACAGTAAAATAAAGCTTCAACATATTTTCAAAGAAAAATAAAAGCTTGAGCTGTTCCTTAGAGAAGAAATACTTTTGAACTAAAATGTATAAAATTGGACTAGTATTTGTGCTTGAGCAAGTACTTACATACACTATATTGAAAATATAAAGACATATACATTTATACACATATTTAAATTTACCAAAAAATTATTTGTATATTTTCATAAATACAGGCATAGCCAAATTTCACTGCAATAAATGCATGTGAATTTTCATTAATCTTAAATATATTTTTTCTTAATGTATGCCCTTTATATTTGTAGATACATTTCTATTGTGTTATAGTACATAAGCAGCAAGCAGCACTAACAGTGAAAAACTTGAAACCTGAAACCCAAGAATAGTCCTGAAACATGATAAAATATAAATGCTATATTTTTAAACAGGATTAAATATTACCTGAAATTTTTGAAGGTTTTTTCCTCTTAAAATATGTGTATTTCTTAGTTTTTTGAAGAGAGATGATATTTGGGATTATTTTAACCTCATATACAAAATCTGCATCTATGCACTTGAAAAAAGTGAATGATATATGTTATAGCATCAACTTTATGGAGAAAACATTCTGGAAAATTGGGGGATTTTGTGTGTTTAGTATGTTGAACAATATAGTCAAAGGTGGTAATGTAAATTTTCTCATGACTGAAACAGTATATTCAGGTAGTTGAGGTAACAATTTTAGGGCATACTTTTCTATGCCGATCTTTTCATGATCACACACAGCCTTAAATAACATGAAGATGCCAAGACTAAAATTCCAAATTTTTTGGCATATACTTACATATGGTAATATTTATTGAAATTATAGAACTCACACAACTCAAGTAAAATTAAAAATTATCTTACTCCTGACATTTTCAAAAGACTGAAGGATTATAATCTCAATACAAGAATGGTAAAATATTACCTAGCTTGCATTTTGAAAATTTTATCGAAAACCAAAAGCTAATGGAATCAAGAAGTTAATACATTACAAAGAGTTATATTAGTTAATATTAAAAACAAGATTCTCTGGTTTCTAGCTTTATACTTTCTGTGTTTTCATTTATTGGGAAATAGAGAAATGCCACATTAAAATTGGAGCTAAAATTTTCATAAATGCATATAAAAATAAAAGTAACAATATAATAATGATGATAACAATTTTTGGACTTTTAGGGGTTATAAACTCTTCTCCAAAAAAACTCTAAACATTGAATATCTGATTATATTTTAAATTAAGTTTATTTACTTTACACTACTTTTAATGCCTGATAAAACAGAAAAAGAAATATGTAATTATTGTGTACTCTCAAGTAGGAATTACTCATTCTACCTTTTCAAAATATTTAAGAAAAAGGATGAGTGAACTAAACAATCCAGAAGGCACAGAGTAAGAAAGGGACATTCCTTTCCTACTCAAGATACCAGAATGCCTACAAGTAGAGATGTATATATAGTTTATGGAAACTAATGCATATACTAATTAAAGAGCTGTCTTAGAATAAAAATCATAGCAAAATATCTCCAAAATTATAAATACCAAAATAAATTGTTCACGCACTTTGTATTTGTTACTGAAATCATTAATAGGCTAGAGTATGAAATTTTGAAGATCATGATCTTGGGAACTTATCTGAATAAGTCCCCATAGTGAAGATCTTCCTGTACTAGAGCAAAGTGGGAATAAAGGCATACAGCGGGTAATGTTGCTATTAAAGATGGAGTCTCCTTTCACCTTTTTACTCTGCAATATTGAGTTTATTGTTTACACTATGATACGTTAGTCCTCTACACTTCAATATCATTTTTATATATTTGGATTGGCTCTAGGTATTTACCATATGCTTAATTCCCTGTTATTGAAAAGGCCATGTACATCTATCAAAAGGATTTTATCTTCCTAGCATAAAGACTCTAAAGTCAACCCAAATGTGAATCGTTTGAAATTGATTTGTAAAACACTGAGTAAGAATGTATTCCTTTTCAAAATTTATTTTAGTAGATCTTATTCTGCTGGCTCAATGTATTTCCTTCTATGAGAGCATATTAAAATGATTTGTAGTAGTGCTACAAAAAATGTGAAAACACAGATGTTCAAACAAAACTGGGAAGTCTCCCATCAGTGAGAAGTCCCCAGCCTCCTCCTCTCTTTCCTACAAGGCCTTCATTGAAAACACCTGTTGAGAAGTCACCCTGAGACTTAGCACTTAATTCTTGATAAATCACGATAAGCAGTTATTCTTGAGAACTAGTAATAAACTCTTTACTTGACTTTAGATTTCATATTAACACATAAAATAATTCACAGGAATATTGCTCCTATAAAAAGTGCTCTTATAAATTTGTATAACAATCTATTTGCCTTATGTACTACAAAACCTGTGCTCCTATTCTTCAAAATCAGTTTTATATGTTTAAAAAGACTTAAATATTTAATTATAACTGTGTTTTATTATGATTCACACTATTGTGGGTATTTAGTTGCTAATCTATTGTTTAAACACTTTATACTTTAATTTTTCTGAGGAACTTGAAAAACACCTGAAATCAAATCTCTTCTCACAAACATCACTGTTTCTGTATCAGCTTATATGAATGCTTAGCATCCATACTCAGTAAAAGTACTCCTATGCCTAAGGAGAACCTACAGGCATTAACCTTAACATTTTAGGCCCTTTGACCCACACAAAATGCTTTGATACTTAAATCTTAACTTTAGCTTTAATGTGAGCTTCATAAATCATAAAGTTCCTAAATTTCATATCACCGCACTGTACCAGTGTATCTCAACACAATTATGAAATTCTTTTCATTCCATCAATAGAATACTCTGTACTTCCAAACAGAACACAGATGCTATAAAATGAAGATGAACCAGACCTAGTAGCAGTTAGGCTAAGTGCACTCTGTGGATTAAAATTCTACCTTCAGAAATACACATGAGATTAATAGTGTGTTTCCTTAGGATGCTGTATTACATATATACACTAATAAAAGCACCTGAAACAAGATTATGGGATACCTAAATGCTTTAATTTAAGCATGTCACTTTAGCACAGTGTGTTTGCGACACACTAGTTTAAAAAAAAAAAAGACTGTCCCTGTAGTTAATTTACTCTGCTCCCCATAATTAATATTGAGATAAACCTGATATATTTGAAAGAGAATTAACATATTAAGAACTTACAAAGCATCCTTTAGACGATTACAAAAACTGAATTAAAAAAAAGTTTAAACAATGCATGTTGAGGATATTTCTAGGGTAGAAGCAATATGGGAAAATTAGCCACTGTGCAAAACATTTCAAGGACTTAAAACAAAAACATAGTTTGTGTCTTTATGGCATGAATTAAGAATCTAGAAGAAACAGAATGTTAAAAAAAGTTTTCTCTTTACATTCTGTGTGTGTGTGCGCACGTGTGTATTTGCTTTGGCTTGAGTTTTACTGTCAATGAGAGGAATCATTATCCTATTCCTCCTTAAGCAATGACCACCTTCAAGAACAGCATGGTGCAATATACTACAGGTATCACTATCTCTCAAAATCTCTGGATATTTCAATCCAAGATTGTTCCCCACTAGTCTAACAAAGGAATCAGGCTTGTTGAAAATTCTGCACCACCTTCATTTTTACTGGAAACTAAATGAAAATTCAACTCACAGCACTTTAAATGGAAGACTAAGCATTAACCCTCTGTGACATCTTTGTAATTCTCAATGGTAAAAATATAAGAAAGGTATTTAACATATGTGTATTTATAAAATGACTGTAGCAAATCTTTAAATATGTGTTTTAATATTTCCTTCTAAATACGTATTGATTATCATAAATACCAGTTTTACACAGTCACAGAAATACTTTCATAGAAACCACATTTTTTTAAAGTGGAGAATTTCTTTTTCAGTTTTATATAGACCTTAAAAAATTATGATTACTGATGTATAGTAAACACTATTAGAAGTGAGATTTAATACTACAATTGATATTTTAATATTTAGTAGTGTCAAGTGTGAGATTGTTTTACAAGGACATTATACTATTATAGGAAAATATATTTTGCTAAGTATTAGTATTTGGTATACTTATTATGTTAGAAAGAATAAGATTATGAAATATTACTGCTCCATTTTAACAATAAAAACATTATTGAGTCCAGTGTCATCAAAAGTTATTTGCTTTTCAAAGCATAACATTATGAACAAATTATTTCCACTTGCCCCAAACTAATCTTCCTCTTGCGGTGTCACTTTCAGTTAAGCTCAATTTTGAATTCCACATACTGCTCATCCAGAGTAATTTGTTGCAACATACAATTATAATAAGCAAGAATGAAGTTTTTCTGTGACACAACTCAATAGTAGGTAAAAGAAACAAGACAATGACTAGACATGGTATAGTCACCTGCTGCTGTTAGAATCTATGTCCAAGCTGGGTCAGTCATTTAGTTTTGTGGTATTATCAATAACTTTGAAGCATACTATCTTATATATATTAAATATCACTTAGATATACTTAATATACACACTATGCAAACTAAATGCATCATGAATTCATTTTGGCACATCAAGTGCCTTCAGTGTAACTTTGCCTCCTTTTTTCAGTAGCGCAAAATGAGCCTCTGGTCCTCTGCTGTATTCCTTTCATTCCTCAGTGACTCCAAGAAACAGATCACGGTAACCACAGGACAAAACAAATACAAACTTTTCATAGATAGTTACTAGTCATTATGCAGAGCCTGCATGTATTCAAACTTTTCAAAGTGCTTCAGAGTATAACTCACATTTGAAAAGCTTAAGCTGTATTAATGCATTATGCTGCAGTTTTACCATAATGTAATGATGAAGAATAAGTGAGATTCATGTTCTTTAAAGCACCTTTAAAATATAAAGCTGACTTTTTAAGGATGAAAAGTTAGTTCAAATTGAATGAACTCTGAAATTCTGACTGGTTGTTATTCTGTACTTAAAGAAGTTAACTTCTTAATAGTTGGGTATAAGTTCCTTTCATTTTTGGCATCATTTAAAAAAACAGAATAAAAATATTTTCAAGACAATTAACTAAAACATTTTTTTCTGCTCTGGGAATTCCTTTTTATGAAAAGAAATGTAAACCAACAAATAAAAGTAAGTAAAATAAGCTATTATTATTGAACACTGCTAACATTTTTAAACCTATAAAAATAAATTTTAAAATGAAACAGTAAGATATTTACGTTTGGTAGAGTTTAGACTATTTACATGGGAGGGGTTATATGTAGAATATGATGTATACACAGTGTCAAAAGTGTAAACCGTTTTCATTTAATTATTTTTCCCCCTCACTGCTGCTGGCAGAGTGGCTTGCCCTGTTCCAAAGGTTTCAGGACAGCTCCAAAACCAGCAATAAAGTGAACTCCCAGTTATGCTAAAAGTCTCCTACCTGAATTATGGACATCCGAGTGGCAGGGGTCTCGCTTGCATTAGTCCCTTGTCCGGTGAAGCTGGTGTGGCAGCCCGCGTGCCCCTGAGGGACAGTCAGGTTGTTGGAGGCCGGTTTGAGATACATCACCTCCGACCGGGGCGAGCTGAGGGGCAGGCGGGTCTGGTAGTCGAAGTACATGGGGGAGGTGGCCAGGGAGGGGCTGCTCACCACGTTCATGACGTTCATGGCGTTCCTCTCCTCCACTTCGCTCTGCACCAGCATGATATCATTTTTGTTGATCTTCTTCTTCTTGCCCTTGCCCCCACCCAGCTGCGGGTGGCTGTACTCGGCGATGCGGCAGTTGTAAGTGCGGATCTCCTTGTTCTCGCGCTTGCACTTGACGGCGATGGTGATCATGGCCGCTAGGAGGATGATGGAGATAGTGCTCAGAGTCACGATGAGCGGCAGCGACATGTCCCAGTGGTGCTGCTCGCCATTCACCCGTGGTACCCCCTCGGGAAGGGATCCGCTCACCGAGCGGATGATGAGCTTGGCCACTGCGGACAGGGTAGGCTTGCCGTGGTCGGTCACCTTCACCACCAGCTCCACCACGGGCGTCACGTCCTCCCAGAAAGGGTGCAGCGTGCGGATCTCGCCGCTGGACGGGTCGATCTCAAACAGGTGGTCGTCGTTGCCGTCCACGATCTCGTAGGTGAGACGCCCGCTCTCGCCGAAGTCGCTGTCTAGGGCGCGCACAGTGCTCACCAGATAGCCCAGGCCAGCGTTGCGCGGCACCTGCAGCTCCGCGGTGTCGTTCTGCAGCGTGGGGAGCACGATCACTGGCGCGTTGTCATTCACGTCTAGCACTGTCACCCTCACCGTGGCGTTGCTCTCCAAGTGCGCGGGCGCCCCCGAGTCCTTAGCAAGCACCTTGAACTCAAAAGCCTTGGTCTGCTCGAAGTTAAAGGAGCGCAGGGCGTAGATGGCCCCGTTCGTGGGATTCACAGACACATAGGTGTAGATAGACACGTCGCCGATGTGCGAGGGCAGGATAGAGTAGGATACGGTGCCGTTCTGGCCCAGGTCGGGATCCTGGGCGAGCACAGAGCCCAGGTACTCTCCCGGGATGTTGTTCTCGTGCACCTGAAGCACGTAGAGCCCTTTGGTGAACCGAGGCGGGTTGTCGTTCTCGTCTAGAATCTTGATCGCGAACGACTTGGTGGAGTTGAGGGGAGGAGAGCCCCCGTCCCGCGCCACGATGGTCACGTTGTACTCGTCTTGTGTCTCGCGGTCCAGCGGGCGGTCAGTCACCACCGTGTAGAAGTTGTCGTAGTTCTCCTCAAGCTTGAAGGGGACGGAACCCCCGGGCCCGCCCAGGCCCCCGCCGCCGCCCGTCCCTCCTCCGCCTAGGACCCGACACTGCAGCTGTCCGTTCTTGCCAGAGTCCCGGTCAGTGACCCGCACCAGGGCGATGACGGTGCCGGGAGGGGCGGCCTCGCTCAGCGCCCCCTGGCGCACGGAGACGAAACCGATGGACGGCGCATTGTCGTTGCGGTCGATGAGCTTGACCGTGACTTTGCAGTGGGCTGGGATAGGGTTAGGCCCCAGGTCTCGGGCCTGCACGTCAATCTCCAGCATCCCGTTTTCCTCATAGTCCAGATTGCCCTTCACACGGATTAGGCCGGTCTTGGGGTCGATGGAGAAGAGCTCCCGCACGCGGTCAGGCACGTAGCTGCTGAAAGAGTAGAGCACTTCACCATTGGGACCTTCATCGGCGTCGGTGGCGTTCAGATCGATGACCACTGTACCCAGCGGAGCGTTCTCGGGCAGTTCCACCAAGTAGGATGGCGCCTCGAAGACCGGGCTGTTGTCGTTGGAGTCAATCACCTTCACGTTGATCTGTACGGTGGCGGAACGTGGAGGCTCGCCACCGTCCAGGGCAGTCAGCACGAGCGTATGGTGATTCTGTTGCTCGCGGTCCAGAGCCTTCTGGATGACCAGTTCTGGGAACTTGGTGCCGTCGCCGCGGGACTTAACGTCCAGTCCAAAGAGGCCGTGATCGTCGCGCGTGAGCAGGTAGGTGCGGAGCCCATTCTCGCCGGCGTCGGGGTCATGTGCGCTGGTGAGGGGGAAGCGGGTGCCCGGAGCAGCGTTCTCCGAGATGTCCATTTCGATCTGGTCCGAGGAGAAGGAGGGCGCGTTGTCGTTGATGTCCTGGATCTCTACCTTGATCATGCAGATCTCCTTGTCGTTGGCGAACACCTCGAGGGACAGCTGGCACTTGGCATTGTGGCGGCACAGGGACTCGCGGTCGATGCGCTGCTTGGTGTAGAGGAGCCCGCTGTCTGCGTCCACGTCCAGCAGGTGCGGTGCGGAGTTCTCCAGCACCCGGTAGCTACCCGACTTGCTGCGCCCTCCGCCGCCGCGCTCTGCAGGCGGAAGCCCAGGCTGCAGTCGAGCATCCCTGCCGATGTTCCCGATCACCGTGCCGGCCCCTTGCTCCTCCGGCACGGAGTAGTTGAGGTTCTTGAGAGTGAGGGCAGGGGCCCATAGAAGAAAGCAGCAACAGATGGAAAGGTACATCCCAGACCTGTAAGGTGGGGGCAGGAGCAATCGGACTGGAGGAGCCAGAGAGGGAGTGCGCGCCAGCCTGGGGCCCTGGCGCAGCGTGCGCGCGCGACGCGAGCCACAAGTCTATGGGTCCTTTTTTCCCTCTGCACCCGAGCTGCGGCACCCGGTGGTCTCTCCTTATTCTGCTCAAGTTCCCTGAACCTGTTGATCTACAGCATCCGCACTGGGTGAGAAGCTGCGGTGCAGCAGAGCTGCAGGGGCTTGGAGCAAGGCGGTGGCTTCCTGCGGCTGGGGGTGAGCCAGGGGTTTCGTCTCTCCCGCCCGGACTTCGGGAGGCTCAAACTTGAGCGATGAGGCAGGCGATAAGAAGGAAATCTCGTCTGGGAGAGATGATAATGAGCTAAAGAATCAGTAGGTTTTCCTCGCTCCCGCTAGGGTGCTGCAAATCTACTCCCGCCCGGAGACTCCGGAATACTCTTCACATCGAGTGGGGGAGGGAGCAGGGAGGTGTGTCTCTAGGCAGATCCGAAAGTGAAATTCTTACTTGCTGCTCGCCTCCCGTGATGAAATTGATGGGGATGAAGAGCAACGAAGACAGAGTCACAGATATATTTTGAAGCTTCCCCAGCGCACCGTGAAATGTCTGCTTGCTGCGCGGGCCGGTCTGTTTTCAGGCAGTGTTTTGCTGCATTTAGAGATCTAATCTTGCATTGCTGGCTGAGGCAGCGGCGGCGGCGGACTGCATCTACCAGCCAAGCGTATTTTTTTTTTCCTCTCTCTCCTTTCCGAGCAGCCAAAGGGAGGGGAGGAAATGCAGCGTAAAGAACTAGTGTCCCGATTTGTAGTTTCCTCTCCCCACCAGGCTCCTCCCTCTCTTCCTCGGAAAAGGCTCTCCCCCGAAATCAAGAAAGCCACAGCCTGATCAGCATTTGCTGTGTGAGTCTATTGGGAGGGGGGAAGTAGAGAGATAAATCTTCGCCTCTGTTCGTAGAACACACTCTCTGATTTCTCTACGCCAAGCCAGTAGCCTCCGCTACCATCCCATCCTCTCCCCGCGAGCAAGGACTTCTCTCCAAGCAGTTTAATTCCAGTTTGCTTTTCTTCCCAGGCGAAGGGAAATCAACAGGCAACTCATGGTTGGACGTGCACATTTAAAGGAGGAGGGGGGAGGCCGAATAAAAAGGAAGGGGGAGCCTCCCTCCCAGTCCTTGCACACACACTCTCCCTGTCTCTCGCTAGAAGGGAAACAGTCTCTGCATTCACAGGGCTGGGCTGTCAAGTGCCTCTTTTCTTTCTATTCAGCATCTCCTTCCAATAGCCCTGCCTCCCAGTCCTCTTCATCTAGAAAAGAAAACCTTGGCGAGGAATAAAAGTGATGAATATTTGAAGCAAATAAAGTACGTGTTTTTTTTTTTCCTTCAATTTTCTCTTATAGTAGGAGGAGTGGGCTGGATGAAAGCAACACATCAAGGTTTGGCGTGATGCATTCTGCAGTCTCTCTTTCAGTTTTTCTGGGCGACTCAGGGAGGGCAGGGGGTGCAGAGCTGCGGCCGCGGCGGTCCAGCCAGGGGCTCCTACCCCGGGGAGCTCCCTCCGAGGGGATGTTAGACACAGGTCTGTCTACACATTATTTCGGGTTCTGGAGGCGCCTCGACATACGGGAATGACACATCCAGAAATGCAGGTGTTCCGATCTGCCGGATGAGTCAGAAGCAGCGGAACGAATCGTATTCACTCTCGCCTCATGGTCCTCCCTTCACAGACATTAGTTGCGGCTTCTTCCTAACGCTTTCTCTGACTCAGTCTATAGAAAGAAAAACCAGATTCATGTTTTTGGGGAAAAAGAAAATGCAAGAGAAAAGGATGGAGGGAAGAAGGTGAAGCTGAATCTAGCAGCACTTTTACTCTACCTCTTTCTGCCGGAGTCCGAGGTTCTGGAAAACAAGGCGTCTGCTTTGCTAGGTGTATTGGTTTATTTATTTTGTTTATTTTTTTTAAACCTTTCCTCTTGGTTAGGCGAGAGGTACCCCGAAATTTTTCAGAGTCTTGGAAAAGGAAAAACAAAATCAGGTTTCCAGTAATTGTTCCCAGCTTAGCCTCGCATCATAGTTCAAGATTTTCCTCTCAATTTTTTCTATTCACAAAGTCCAACATCGATGTGTACAGTTAATTGTGCAGTCTGTTGTGGAGGTTTTTTTTTTTTTTAATTCCTCCTTTTCTGTCACGGGTGGTCTCTTTCAGTCTGGTGTCTGCCGGGATCACCCCACAGTCTGAGAAAGATATGCGGATTTCAAAGCAAATAAATCCATCTCCGCAAGCAAAGCAGCGGATGAAAGGAAAGGTGAAAATTCAATTCAACAGTTGGAGTAGCGTCTCCCCAGCCGCCTTCCGCCGCTGCCGCATCCGCCGGGCTCGCGATCCCTGCTCTCTCCCCAGCGTCTCTTGCTGACTGACTCTATTCACCTCACGCCGCCGCTTAAACATTGATACTGATTCCCTGTCAGCCAATCCGAGCGAGGAGCAAGGCCCTGCCTTCTCGGCCCGCGTCCAATGGGAGGCGGAGAAGAGGATGGCGGGGGCGGGGCCAGGAGCCCCGGCTCTTCGGAGTCATTGATTAGATCAGTTAGATGGGGAACCAGTCCGGCTAGCGGAGCCCAGCGCTCCGCCAAAGCGGACGCGCCCCAGGATTCGCCACCAGGTCTCCCGGGCCTTTAACCACCGGGAGTAGCTCTTCCAGCGCCTTCCTTCGGAAAAGAGAATTTACAAAAAAAAGTTTAACAGCGATTTAATTTTTTTGTGGTCCTACATACACGGAATCGGGAATCGCAGTATGCTTGCAGAATAACGTAGCTGCGGTCTGCCTAAAGGGTTTCTCTACACACACTCTCACACACGCACGCACACACGCCCTCGCCGCACACACGCCCATGCCAAGGGAAGCGCAGCCCTGACTCCGCGTGGACCCATCTGAATGAGGTGCGGAGGAGTGTACGTGGGTGTGTGTGAATGCGCTTCCACGGGCTGAGATGTGTATTTCGGTGAGTGTGTGTGAATTCGAGGGCGCTCGTGAGCCCGTTTCTGCCCGCGCTGGTACGAACATGCCGCGAGCAACAGCAATCAATATGTAACTTTCTTCATCCTCTGAGAAAAATCAGCTGTCCTCAGGCACCTATGCAAGGAAAGTCACTTAATTATGAAAGTGTTTCAGAAGAAAAGCAGACTCCCGTTGAAAGAGAGGCTATGTCTCTTAAGAGAAATAGAGCCTCTCCTTTAAGGAGAAAGGCTCACTGTCAATACAAGCTTTGTAAACTCAAATCCGGCTAAATACTACTTAAGGTTCTACCCCTTTTGGTCATCCTTCCTCACCATCTCAGCCCAGGTTCAAGGTAAAGTGGATACCCACCCCCCAACCCCCGACACACACACACACACACACACACACACACACACTAGTTTCGGTGTTTTGTTCACCTCCATTCTTGTTATTAAAGTGTCACATTGCAATTTGATTTTTTCTCCTTAAGATCAAATAGCCATTGATAACCGCATTTGCTAAAGATCCATGAAAACAAAAGTATAAAACACGAAGGCCAATCATTAGGAGATCTAAGATTTCTGTTTTGTAAGCCATAACACACACACACATATATACACACACACACACACCACCACCACACACCACATACACAAGCACACATACACAGGCCGACTTCTGATTCATCTATTTATTCTCCAACTTCATTTACTAATCTCAGAGAGGTTTTTTTCCCTAAATATTATCACAAACATCTGCAACTGGAGACTGGTTTGCTCGTGATCCAGCCGTTCTGAGAAAGAGTTAAGAACAAAAAAGAAAATTGAAGTATTGAAATAGAAAAGGTGAGTGTTTGATTGCTAGAGTATTGATCGCAATTCATAAATACTGAAGTTGCCATTTATAAATTGTGAATGACTAACATACAAGTGTGTAACATGAATCATTCAGCCTTCAAAGAAAATCAAATCCAAACAAATTACAAGATAGTTCTGAAGATTTTTATTGGGATAATTGCTTAAAGATTCAGGTATAGGAGCTGTTTCCTGGAGTATTCAATGAGATAACCTATAGTCTGAATTTGCAGTCTGATCTGTATCAAAAATTCGCCATTCCCTTAAGAGACTCTGACAGTTTAAAAACTCAAAGAGAAGCTGTTTACAGCCAGACTTTTAAATCCTAAAGTGTCTTTGTATTTTCTAAACAGGTAGTTTGTCACGCATATACTATTGCTGAACGGGAGAGTCAGAGCTTTGTAGAAATCTAGATTGTTTTCCTGAGTGAGTACTTAACCATGCTGCCTTGGGAAATGCCAGTTTTATGTCTCTTTGGGGTTAATACCTCTGTCCCAAGGCACGTATTTTGGAAGCTGAAGATCAGAGGTTTTAAGGCTTTAAAAGCAGCAGCTAACTTGAATAAAGAATAGTGACTGCACATTCACTTATTATTACTTTTTAAATACAGCAAATCTATGTCTTTTTTGCATTACATACTAATTCAAAGAAAGTAATAAAATATCCTTGAGGTTTGTTTGCCATAAAGCAAAAACAAGAGAATGGGAAAAATTCCAAGGAAAGGGTATTATGATTTATCAATTAGACTTAATGAGATGTGCTGGCATGCAACTGAGAGTTGTTAGAAATACAGCTTCTAAGAGACCCAGTGATATGAGAATACATCCTCATAGAGATAAATTTGCTTACGACCCCTCCAGAGTAATTATGTCACATCGCCCCCTAGTGTATATAAAAAGAACTACCATGCTTTAGGTGAAGACCACAGCGTGTCTGACTGAAATGTATCACATATTTGTATTTTATTTAACCTATAGTATTAAATTTTATTGCTGAATACTGACATATACCCAAGGTACTTAATTTTCTTCCTTATGTCCCATACCTAGTTTATGTTCAAAGGGAGTGAAATTAACTGATATTTCATTTCCAATGGTTTGGCTTTCCTTTAACCACAATAATCACTCCTAATTTTTAACCATCTCTTAAGACTTGTATTTTTTCCCCAAACAGTTTTTTTGTTTACAACATAGTTATTGAGGAATGTATTTTTCACTGTGTTTAAAGTATTAAACTTAATTTTAAAAAGAGAGATAGTATAAATATAGCTAAATCGTTCAGAAATATGTTTTAATACCATAGAAGGCTACATAGAACCCGAAACTGAGGAATCTAGAAGAATATATGTTTGTATAAATAGCTAAAGATACTTGCAGTCTCACGTCTCAAGAAGAGACTGATTGATAGTTGTTATTTATAATTACAAATGATAGTCTTAACCTTAAACAGAAATTATATCTTTTAATACACACACATTAAACATCTAAAGATTTGTAAGTTATTCAAACCATGTATGTGTGGATACTCATTGAGAAAAGTATTTGGAAAGACATATAATTATAACGTGTCTAATAAAATATGCTAGTCTAGGTGAGTTTTAAAGGTAAATTGATTGTTATGTTGGAATAGCTTCAAAAAGACAACTATTAAAATCTATTTTTATAGACTGATAAAAATGATTAGTACTGCTATAGTATTCCAATAATTGAATAGCACTATTATTAAAGAATAATGTTGAAATGCAATTTATGGAATTTTATGTAACGTAACTTATTTAATTTTGCCTCAGAAAGACTCCTTAAAATACATATTTATTAGTTGTAGTTGTAGTTCTGAGAGTTTATGCATGCAGTCATAATAGCATCAGTTTTAACATTCTTCAGCCACTTGTCCTACTTGCTGTGTTCTTGAGTTCAATAAAATACAGTTCTTAAGAGACATTTTTGATGCTGATGTTTTCAATGCAGTCGTTGTTTATATGAATAAAAAGTCATTCTCTCCACAATTATTCTCTCCTTCTGTATCATTTTTACCATCAATTCACTGCCTGGTTTCATACATTTTTATTCATTAACAGAAAATTTTCAAAAGTAAATTTAATAGCTAAACTGTTTTAGATATAATATGTATCAAAGATTTCCATGTCACATTTAAATTATCAAATTAATGATAGAAGTTCCTTCATAGCTAGTTCTCCTAGCTGCTCTTCTCTTTTAGAGATATGTATGGTTCACCTCTAATACACAGCCATCAACCATTTTATAACTTTTCTTTTTTTTTTTTTTTTGAGATGGAGTCTTACTCTGTCACCCAGGCTGGAGCGCAGTGGTGCGATATCAGCTCACTGCAACCTCTGCCTCCCGAGTTCAAGTGATTCTTCTGTCTCAGCCTCCCGAGTAGGCTGGGATTACAGGCATGTACCACCATGCCCGGCTAATTTTGTATTTTTAGTGGAGATGGGGTTTCTCCATGTTGGTCAGGCTGGTCTCGAACTCCCAACCTCAGGTGATCCGCCTGTCTCGGCCTCCCAAAGTGCTGGGATTATAGGCGTGAGCCACCGCGCCTGGCCCATTTTCTAACTTTTTAATAAAAGCTTTACCTTTTAACAAATGAGAAATCCACACTACTAACAGGACAATCGCTAAAACATATCTTTCTCCTTGATGATAAACGTGGACTGTATAAAAGCAACATAATTTAACAAGAATTTTTAAAATTCTGGAAAAAAATTTAATAATTTGTTCATAATTTTTAAAAATATAATTACTGTTTATTTTTAAATTTTTTGAAAACTCAATCTTGCCTACAGAACAACACAATAAGAAAAAGTATAAAATATTTCTATAAACAGACAGCATTTTAAATTTAATATAGAACTTTTTTGTTTTTATTACAATTGTGAAATGTTGCTATTAGAAAAAATATTTAGATCAGGAAATGTATTTTAATTTTCTTCAATATTACGTCTATGTTATAATATGTAATATATGATGACATATACATATCTATTAATATGCGTTCTCCTTGCTAGTATAAGAAGTGTGTTGCCGATGAACACTCGAAGTCACTTTGTAGGATTAACCCTACAAAGACAGGCAAGTTACATCTTCAAGAGGTTAATTTGTAATTCATGCAATAAATAAACTAAATTTACAACTCGTATTTTTGTACTTTATGTACAATTTTAAGTTTGTAAGTCAGAAGTAAATGTAAATTAGTAACCAATGACTCTTGAAAAGTGACACATATTTCAGGGCATACATTCTGAAGTACTGAGACATATTTAAAATTATTTTAAGACTTTTATATTTAAGTTTTAAAATTGAATGTCATTTAGTGTGGTCAAAATAAATTGTGTATGTATAGATAGACTTGACCATGGATAAAAAAGAGTTGTCCAACCAAATAACATGTTATACTCTATCTGATGTATTAGCTAGTACATATTAAGAAGAGGAGTTAGATTAAGTTGTGCAAAATGTAATTCAGAGAAAAACTGTCTTGAGCTTCATGAGTTTCAAGTGGCATATTTCCATTCTTTCCTAATTTGTCAGCCAGAAACAAGATCAATTCATTACACAACCTCAATGCTCCTGCCCCATAAGAAGTTACATGCTAGCTCCCCCTTGTGGTCACTTTGACAGTAGAGCGAGACATTCCGGCATTAGGGAAATTTACTTCTTAGGAAAATTAGGTTTGTTTAATCTTTGTATACTACTTTTTAAAAACAAATGAAAAGCTTATGAATTAAATAGTTAATTTACAGATGTGACCGCTGGATTGTTAAAATAAGGTGGCTAAAGCTGGAAACAAATATGATGATTTCATGCATGGTGCAGCAATCTCATTGTTTCTTATAGCTAAGCATGTTAGGACAATTCTAAAGCTGGAGACCAGCCCTTGGAGGCAACCCGGGACATTTGATTCAGTAGGTGGCACTCTTTCCTCAGAGTCAGTTTAGCAACAATGACCTAAAATGATGTTTCAAAAAGCTGTGTCACCGGAGGTCCTGCCTTTCAGGTGAGGCAAAAACCAAAAACTTATAATAACTTATGGATATAACAAGCCATATATTTCTTTCCATAATTCTGAGGTATTTAAGCAGCCTGTTGTATAGCTCTCGCACAGAGATCAATGAGAAGAATATAGAAGTACGCTGAGCTCTTCAGAAAGCAAATAAGTACTCTACAAATCCCTGCATTTTAATTATCATCATAATCATTAACCCTCCCAAGTTTCAGCGACAAGGTCTTACTTGGATAATTACGTTCTGCTTATGTAAATTCCTCTTTTCAGTGAGCTAAGCATATTATTTTCTCTTATCTTTTAAAATTCGGAGCATTTCAATTGAAAACTAAGCGCTGTTAAACAGCTATTGTCTGTCACCCTCAAAATAGCACACTCTTGTTTTAGGTAAAGCACCTTTGTTTATTTTTTCCCCCAAAAATATTCATAAACAAATACACATCCAATAAAATAATTTCTGTTCTTACTTGAGTGATGTTTTTGAAATGATGTTAGATATTAAATAAAAGGAACCACTGGAATGAAACTTCTTGAAAATTACCATGGCTGAATTCATTTTTGGAGCTACTGAAATCTAATCTATCTCTATACTCAGATTTTTAAAGAGTATCTGTAGCTTTCTGAGTCAGTGTCACTTGTTACCAGTGATAAGAGAAAAGGTAAGAAGAATATGTAGGAAAAAGGCCATAATCATTTAGAAATGGACAATACTAAAACAGAAATAGAATGATTTATATAATATTTTAATTAAACATTGAAAGACTTAAGTAGAACTTTGGTAGTAAATAAGTGAGATATCTTAATTTCTTACCAAAAATGCTTTTTGCAATATATGTTTGATATGTGACAACCATAAATGTAGTATTAGAAAAAAGGAATTTAGATTCTCAAGTGCTTATTTAAATATTGGCCAATTTTTCTCAGAAAAATACAGATCAAATTCAGAAACATATTGGTTATAATAATTATATGAGTCAGGGTGATCCATTTTCCCCTCCGAGTCATATACTAAGGGAATAAGACTCAAAGAAAGGCATAAAAACAGATTAATTTAAAATTTATTGTACTGCTCAGCCATTTATACAAATATAAATTAATAATATTCTGAAAATGTATCAATAAGGAATACCGCTAATTAAATTCCTTTGTTACAAGGATCCATTCAAGAATATGCTTGAATGCTACAAGACCTCTTTTCAATAAATTTGATGGTAATCTATAAATTCAATGTACACAAATATTTTCATGAACACTTGTAGGAATTGTATATAGTTGACTAGCATACGCATTGTTTACAATGAGTAGCTCAGTTTCAACAATTTTCAGGAATTAGCTTTAATCTGCTAATATTAAAATTTTAAGAAAAGTGAGACAGGTTTGTGTAATACATTGCACAATATGATCATATTTTAATAATTGAAAAATCTGTTTATAAAAATAGCTTCCTGTGCTTATGACCAGAAACTTCATTTACAATTGGAAGCTTGTAACTATTGTGGTTCAAGTGCATCTCACAACCAGGAGAGAATAAAAAGATTGTCCAGGGTGCAGTCTTTTCACTTTGCTATTCAGGATTAGCAGCAAAAAATCCATTGAGATGTAGAGATCTTTCTCACTCTGGTGAAAGATGGATGGTATAAATCTGTCTAGTTAGAGGTAAAGGGCACTACTGATGTGAACGGGCAAAAGCAGTAAGAGAAGGGCATAAAAATGGGCTGAGACGATGGGGTTTTCTAAATACACAATCATGTCATCTGCAAACAGGGACAATTTGACTTCCTCTTTTCCTAATTAAATACCCTTTATTCTTTCTCTTGCCTGATTGCCCTGGCCAGAACTTCCAACATTATGTTGAATAGGAGTGGTGAGAGAAGGCATCCCTGTCCTGTGCCAGTTTTCAAAGGGAATGCTTCCAGTTTTTGCCCATTCAGTACAATATTGGCTGTGGGTTTGTCATAAGTAGCTCTTACTATTTTGAGATACGTCCCATCAATACCTAATTTATTGAGAGTTTTTAGCATGAAGGGCTGTTGAATTTTATCAAAGGCCTTTTCTGCGTCTATTGAGATAATCATGTGGTTTTGGTCTTTGGTTCTGTTTATGTAATGGATTACGTTTATTGATTTGCATATGTTGAACCAGACTTGCGTCCCAGGGATGAAGCCCACTTGATCATGGTGGATAAGCTTTTTGATGTGCTGCTGGATTCGGTTTGCCAGTATTTTATTGAGGATTTTTGCATCGATGTTCATCAGGGGTATTGGTCTAAAATTCTCTTTTTTTGTTGTGTCTCTGCTAGGCTTTGGTATCAGGATGATGCTGGCCTCATAAAATGAGTTAGGGAGGATTCCCTCTTTTTCTATTGATTGGAATAGGTTCAGAAGGAATGGTACCGGCTCCTCCTTATACCTCTGGTAGAATTTGGCTGTGAATCCATCTGGTCCTGGACTTTTTTTGGTTGGTAAGCTATTAATTATTGCCTCAATTTCAGAGCCTGTTATTGGTCTATTCAGGGATTTTTCTAAGAAGAAATGTAAGCACCTTAAACTACCTAAGATTAAACACAGTTTAAAACCTTGTCCTAGTTCTAAATTGAGTTAGTGACATGTGCAGTTGTCACGTATTACTCCTTTGCCTCAAATCTTGCTAAACTGTCATTAAAAATATCACTAGAAAATAAATGAATACAAAGAAAATTGTGCATGATAATAGAAAGAGAAACAGTGACATATTTGAATAACTAAGAGTGATTTATAGATACAGGTGAGATGGGACTAGTCCCATCTTGACGTTTCTCAAGTCTTAACTCCCCAGAGTCACTTCCCTGGGAGTAAGAGGAAGGAGACCCTGGAAGAATGTAAATATCATGTCCATGAAGAGAAGAAGCACAAATAGTAGGCTGTGGAAAGCAGTGGATGCAAATTTTATTTTATCAGTAGCTATAGGAAGTGAATCAGAAGTTTCAGCCCTCACTTTTGTCTGGATTTGATAAAAATCTGCAGTCTCTCAGGGAATCTGTCTTAACCCCCTCAAGGATCTCTCTCTGTGAAGATGAACAAGGTAAGTGTATCATTATGAAAAATAGTACTACTGTTAAGTTAGAGTTTCAGGACCACATTAAGGAATCAAAGTATACATTCTCTTACAAAGTGGAATTAATGCAGAAACAGAAGAAAGTCTTCATAAAAATTGTACATCAAGGTCTCAAAAAGATTTTTGGAAACAGTGAGTCCATGAAACTTGAATAGGTAATCATGAAGACAAAGTGACAATATTTAAAATGTCATGACTGAGGCCGGGCGTGGTGGCTCACGCCTGTAATCCCAGCACTTTGGGAGGCCGAGGCGGGTGGATCACCTAGGGTCAGGAGTTCGAGACCAGCCTGGCCAACATGGCGAAATCCCATCTCTACTAAAAATACAAAAATTACGTGGGCGTGGTAGCGGGCGCCTGTAATCCCAGCTACTTGGGAAGCTGAGGCAGGAGAATCACTTGAACCTGGGAGGCGGAGGTTGCAGTGAGCTGAGATCATGCCATTGCACTCCAGCCTGGGCAACAAGAGTTAGACTCCATGTCAAAATAAATAAAATAAAATAAAATATCATGACTGTAAAGTGAAAAACTACAGTAAGTGCAGTCAATAGCAGAAGAATATTGCAGAAAACTTGGAGAAATACAAGAGAAAGTTCAGATATTTTTCTATAACTCAGAGCAATGGGGTGGATGAAGAGATAAATAAAATCAGAGAAAAATAAATACAATGACAAGAACAGGCTATTACCAGAATATAGTAATAAATGACAGAAATTTTAAAAGAAGAAAACAAAATAAAATGGGGAAACTGAGGAAAATCTATAACCATAAAAATATGAGGAAAAAAGGTTGAAAAGGCCTAGGTTTATAAATTAGACCACCTCATTGAATACCAGCAAAATGTAAAAACAAACATAGACATATTCCCCCGACATGTGAAATTCAAAGATGATGAAAAAATTACTGTTAAGGGGTAACCCCAATTTACACTTCCCAGAACTGCTTTGGGTGGTCTCCTAATTTCTTTTAATTTTCATTAACTCACTTTCATGTATTTTTCTTCTTCTATAAGAGAGATTTGTCTTCTGAATGTCTCATCCTCTATGTATTTAATACCTGTATAGAACTTTGAGCTCCCACAAATCAATAAGAAACGTGGAATTATTCCTCAAGGAAAAGAAAAAAACAAAACTTCAGCAAGTGATAGTAAAGAACAAGCTCCAAAAAAAGGAATATAATTTATTTATTTATTGACCTAGCAAATGAGATGTAAATTTTAGGGTTTTAGGGCATGGAATTATAATAGTGAAGGAGGCAGACAAAGAAGGTGCTTCATCCAAGATCCAAGGTTGTATAAATTCAGTGTTACTGTAGGAGTGGAGGTCCACATTTCCTTGCTGGTTCTCAGACAAGAGACTTCCTCAGCAGTTTGCATTCTTTTTTTGTTTTTCTTTTTTTGTTAAATTATTATACTTTAAGTTTTAGGGTACATGTGCACAACGTGCAGGTTAGTTACATAAGTATACATGTGCCATGGTGGTGTACTGCACCCACTAACTCGTCATTTAACATTAGGTATATCTCCTAATGCTATCCCTCCCCCGTCTCCCCACCCCACAATAAGCACCATTGCCCTTCCATATTCAAACCAGAAAAGCCTGTTCCTTCTCAAGCTTTAAATCTGTCTGAATTCCCCTTCTGTGCTATTTCTTTGGCCTCCAGTAGAAGAAAATTCTCTGCTTTTAAGGGCTTATGTTATTAGATTGGGTCCAGTCAGACAACTCAGGACAATCTCTCTGAATCAGTCTACAATCTTAGTTAAATCTGCAAAGTACTTTTTTTTCCCATATAATGTAGTATTCTGACTACCCACAAAAGAATTGGATAAATACATCCTACAACTTATATGATAGCATTCAATTGAAATGTTAACATAAAAATTAATAAAATGGAAACAGTTAAAATTTATATTAAAACAGGATAGGAACAGAGTATATACTATTAAAACATTCTTAAAACTTGTATATACACATTTGTATGTAGAAAAATAAGTGGTGAGATAAACATCAAGCATTTATAAAGACATACTGTGAGTATTTATGTCTGTGTGATAGAATGGTGGGTGACTTCTTAACATCTTATATTTTATAAATTTTGTATTATGAACACATTAATTTATGTTAAAGAAAATGTATAAATAGACAAGTAGTACAATTTTCCCTCACCAATACATTTAGTCTCTTATTATTTCACTACCTCTCATATAAGTGATATCAATTTCCATGTTTGCTTTTGTTCTTTTCACCAGGCAAATCTTTTTTTTCACAGAAATCTGTTTTCCAAAACCCGAGAGTTCCAACTGATTGCTTATACTACTTTCTCTTGCTTTCCATTATAAAAGTTGTAGCAAATAATTTATCCCCAATGTAGAATAACAGCAACCTGGGTGTAGGTGCATGACTAAGAATCTTTTTTTATTTTAATGCATTGCTGAGAGACCAGTTAATGTAAAAGAGAAATTAATTTATAGGTAAATGAAATAAGAACCTATTGATATGGTATGCTGTAACTTAACATTTCAAAGGAAAAAAATACTTGTTACTACTTCCTGCTTTTAATTCTGTTACTTAACTCCATAGATTAGGTATACTAAATTGTTATATTTTAATACTGTTGTGTATATAAGGTCCCACATCTGATGAGTTTCTTTATTGGATCAATTAGATTAGTGGTACATTGATAAACTATTATTTATGAAAGTATGAATTAATTTATTATAACTCACAATTCTCTGTGTATCTTTTTTTTTTTTTTTTTTTTTTTTTTTTTTTGAGATGGAGTCTCGCTCTGTCGACCAGGCTGGAGTGCAGTGGCGCGATCTCGGCTCACAGCAAGCTCTGCCTCCCGGGTTCATGCCATTCTGCTATCTCAGCCTCCCAAGTAGCTGGGACTACAGGCACCTGCCACCACACCCGGCTAATTTTTTGTAAGTTTTAGTAGAGACGGGGTTTCACCGTGTTAGCCAGAATGGTCTCGATCTCCTGACCTCGTGATCCACTCGCCTTGGCCTCCCAAAGTGCTGGGATTACAGGCGTGAGCCACCGCGCCGGGCCACTCTGTGTATCTTTTCAATCAAATGTATTTATCTTTTATCCTGAGGGGCTTAAGATATCTATGACACAAGGCCAGGAGCAGTGGCTCATGCCTGTAACCTCAGCACTTTGGGAGGCGGAAGCAGGAGGATCACTTGAGCTCAAGAGATCTAGATCAGCCTGGGCAACGTAGCAAGACCTCATCTCTGTTAAAAAAAAATAAGTAAATAAACAATTAAAAAAAGATGTCTAAGACACAGGAACAAGCAAAGCTCACTGATTTGTGTGGACTTGGTATACATTTTCAATAGAAACATTAATAAATTCATTTAGCAATGCAGTCATAATAATAATAATACATAATAAAGCACATGGAATTACTGGCAGTCTTAATTGTACCTAAATGTTTCTAATAACTTGATGTGGGGAGGGGGTGGACTCTTCATTAATGAGGTTGAAAATATTATCAGAATACCTTGGTTTTAATCTAGTCCAGTAGGCAAGTTAGCTAACTTCACAGAGACTAAATTTTCTAATCTCGAAAATGCTTACAAAATATCTGATATTCCTTCTACCCACATTTGTGGGAACCACATTATATTTGGAAAAATTTTTACTAACTCTAAAAAACAGTTGTCACTATAATTATTGCATTAGTAGTCATTTGTAGCTAAATTATGACAGAAAGGAATATAATGAGCATTTGAGAATTAGAGATTTGTGTTCATAAGATATATAGTTTTCATATCTATTTAAAATTATGAATCTCTTGACCATACTATATGCTGTTTGTTCTCAAATATTCCAAATGTTTTGAAATATGCTTTCTAGGTTGATATTTTATTTGATTAATTAGTTATATTTTTATATATTTGAGATTAACTTGCTTTTGATTTATATGTTGATCTGTAAATAGCTAATGCAGTCATATTTTTACTCTTGTTTACTTTTTCATTTGTTTGCTCCTGAATGTGTGGCAGCATAAACACAACTGTAAAGAGCACAAATAAGCTTTCAAAATGTTACATGGCATTTTACCCAAACATCTGTCAAGTGAAAGGTTAGAATTTTCACTTCTAAAAGAAAAACATATACCAATTAGCATCAATATTCTGCTGGCTATTGCATGATTTTTGTGGGGGGAGATTGACATGCTAGTTTATTATACAGATGACATTTCTACATGTGACTTTCTGCTAAATGTCTATAAGTTGATTCAAAAGATAATCACATTATTTTGATAGTTATTTGATATATATACAGTTGCAGCCTGTAATTTGTTTGATTATATACTAGACATATTACCAAAAATTATTTGTTAAATTAATAATAATCTTACATATTTCAAAACACCAGTGGATACTCCTTTTCTAAATTTGTAAAGAGATTTTGCTATCAGCAGTCCTATATTGGATAAAATACTTAGGATTATAATACTTTTAGATGTCACTAAAATTGTTATAAATACCTAATGTCAGAAAATTGTGGAATAGTAAACTTAAAACTCTTTTTAGAATTTAGGAGAGGTTTTAATTATTTAGATTAGTCCTAAAGTAACTTGAGAAATATTTTAAATTTATGTTTTTGATACAAAATAATGTTGACATAAATTTTTGAAATTTGGTTGTCAAGGTTTTTATAAAAGCAGCAATACCTTAGCAAATTTAAATGAGACGTAATAATTACTTTTTTTAGGATTTCTTTTTCTTCCAGTAATGATATACTAAGAATATCTTTCAGTAGAAGAACATTGTACTTTTGAATGGATATGTGGAATTTATTTGTGTAGATATTAGTATGTAACTAATTCCCTCTTAATAGGTATATAGACTGATTCTGATGATCTTTTTTTTAGTGTTGAAATTGACATAACATCTTTTTCTATTCTATATTTGTAGGAGTATTTTTCACATGCAATTATTTTGCAAGAAATTAATTATCCATATCAAAAGAAATGCACATTTCATAACTAATTGGTGTGTTCTAATAAAAAGTTGGGGGTACTGCATTCTTCAAAAATTTATGTCATGCAAGACACAAAAAGGCTGTGGAAATATTTCAGATTAGAGAAAACTAAAGAGAAATTAATTAACAATCCTAAACAGGATTCTTTACTGAAATTTTAAAAATACTCTAAATGACAACATCGGATAAAATGACAAAATTTGAGTGCGCTTAGCTGATTGGACAAAAATAAGTACATACTGTACTTATAGAAAATACTGTATTTTCTTTTTTTCCTTTTTTCTCTGTTTGAGACAAAGTTTTGCTCTGTTGCCCAGGCTGTAGTGCAGTGGTGAAATCACCGCTCACTGCAGGCTCAACCTCCCGGGCTTAAGTGATTCTCCCACCTCAGCCTCCTAAGTAACTGGGACTATAGGCACCTGCCACCACAGCAGGCTAATTTTTGTATTTTATAGAGATAGGGTTTCACCATGTTGTATAGGCTGGTCTCAAACTCCTGGGCTCAAGTGATCCACCCATCTTGGCTTCCCAAGGAGCTGAGATTACAGGCATGTGCCACCATACAGGGCAGAAAATGCTGTATTTTGATCCACGGTTTGTTGAATCTGTGAATGTAGAATTGGCAGATACAGTGGGTCACACTATGTCATTTTATTTATTTATTTATTTATTAAGACAGGGTCTCACTCTGCTGCACAGGCTGGAGTGCAGTGGTGTGATCATAGCTCACTGCAGCCTGGAGCTCCTGGGGTCCTGGGCTTAAGCGTTCTTCCTGTCTCAGCCTCCTGAGTAGTTGGGACTACAGATACGTGCCACCATGCCCAACTAATTTATTTATTTTTATTTTTTTGTGTCATTTAAAATAAGGGACTTGAGCATTTCTCAAATTTGGTATCAGCGTAGGTTCTTGGAGGTTGTTGGAACGAATTTCTCCACCACCCATACCAAGGGATGACTGTATCAATGTTATATTTTGATGGCAGTAAGTCTACAGGGGGTTATTTAAGGCAATATCCTTATTTTAAGGAAATACACATTAAAATATTTGGGAGTGCATGGCTGTGATTTGTAAACCTTATTTTCAAATGATTCAGAAAGTAATGCATGTGTATACACAGATGATATGTATATGCATATACACTTAATGGATGCGTATGTTTATACATACATGCCATGTAGAGAAGAGAAAGAAAGAGAATGAGAAAGCAAATGTGACAAAATATTTACAAAAGCTAAATCTAGTAGAGGGTTTACAGGTGTTCTTTCCACCTTGTCTCTTCTACTCTTCTTTACTTCCTTCCATTGTCAAAAATCCATTAGACAAATCCAAATGAGGTAGGCAGCCCGATATTAGGCACGTTCAAGTCAGTGTAGGGCCCAATGTGAGGGTGTAGCAGCATTAACAGCATTGGGAGGTTGGCTACATACAGGAGGATTAAGATGATGCAAACATATTTCACACTCCAGGAAGCAGAATATAAATTTGGAAGTGGGTGGAAGTCGTGTGACTCCATAGTTTTGCAGTGGAATTAGAAGTACTGGTATTTACTCATGGTTACCAACATTGATATAAAAATAAATAGGAGTGTGTGTATATCATATACTTTTGCAGTACCTCATCCCAGTATTTAAACTTTTTCTGCCTTTTGTTTTAGGGGAGTTGAGTTCCATCTCTCTTCCCTATCACAATACTCTTGAATAAAATTTTCCTGCTGGTAGAATTGTTCTTTTGTACACCTTATCATAGAAATTGTCTCCAGAATTAGATAATTTATTACATATAAAAAGATTATAGTAGTCTTAAATGTTCAAGGAAGAGAGTCATCAAAATTCAATAAGAATTTATATTTGTATTTTCATTTTAGGTAGATGGTTATCAATTTTGTCATTATATGTTGAATACTTGACAAGATTAATTTTGGAATCATTTTATGACATGTCTTAATTTGCTTTATTATTTCAATTATCCTTATGAAGTTAATTCCATTTTTTACTGAAGTGGCAGTTCCACAAATTTTAGCAAACTGCTTTATTCATATAAGTCATACATACAAATGACTTGATGTTACACTTTAAGATGTGTTATGATAATTAATCAAGTACTTAATTCTATTCTAAAAGGGAGACTCAAGAAAGCATTTTTATTTCTTTAGTCATTAGCTGGATCATAGAATTAAAAATAATGTATGAGATACTAAACTGTCATAAGCAAAAGTACTTGCTGTTAAAAAGTTTTAGTTACACTTTTCGTGGTTTAATCACTACAATGAATGTAATATTTACATTTCCTTGAACTGTTATAGAGATTCCATGTCATAAATGTGCTAAGTTTTCTATAACGTATAGATGATAAATGATTTGATTGGTAGGTTAAATGAAGGGGTATATATTTAATGCCACACATAGGGCAGCAGTAGGTACTGAATGGATGCCTTTGATCTTTTTCTCTCTAGCTTTTCTTAAATTCTTCTTTTATTATTTTCTTTGGGCACAATAGAAATGGTTAAAATGGCACAGGTGATGTTAGAATGGTACATAAGATTGGCATAAAGTTGATTGGATATGGATATAAATAGTAGTAACATGGTTTGAAAGATAACATTACTGTATAAAAGATCAATTAAAACTTGAGTGAGCATTATGTTATTGAACTGAATATTGTTTATCTCCTTGCTATCATAATGAAAAAAGAAAAAAAAATACATGACTGTATGTTCCATTCAGTAATATGCCAACAAACTTCTGTTTTTAAGTCCAGTTAGGATTATACCTATTTTTAATGACCTAAATATAATAAAGCATCATTTATGTCCCAACATAGGAATCTTATAAATAAATCTAACAAAATTAAAAAGTGAAATGGAAGGCAGTAAATACAAGAAAACTGAATTATCCATCAACGATTTCACTGTGCAGTTAAAAACAATATGCATTATAACATACAAATTTTTAAAATGTGGATTTGAAAAATTTGTAATTATAAGCACAAATATGTAATCATGATTAGACCCAATTTTTGAATTTTTCTTACATTTTTATTGATTTTACAAGAATAAAGATACTCTTGGATTTCAACTTCAAGAAAAATACTGGTCCAAAATATACTTATTAACAGATTTTGAATTCATAAGTAAATTTTTTTTCTATTTTTTAGCTTGTAAACTATTTAATGAAAAACAAGGCTTCCAATTACAGTTGCAAAAGGACAAAAAAAACTCACATAAAAACATGACTTAAGAATAATTTTCAACTTTAAGCAGACCATAGTCATTTTATATAATTTGCAGGTGTCATTTTAGAGACACAATAAACTATGTACCCAATTACATTCCTTTTTCAGACAACAGTTTGCAATCAGGAGAATGTGTGATGAGGTTTAATCAAAGATTAGAACTTTTTAATTAAATAGGGCCTTTTGTGACTAGTCATTTGACATTAATTACTGTTTTAGTTGGATTCCTTTTGATTTGTAAAGGGCCCTGAGCACTGCAAAAATTATATTGCATCACAAAAATTGTTGATAATTAAAACAAAAGCTTGTCTTCATTAGCCCATCATACACCTTAAAAAGAAACATCATTTTAAATGTTAAATGGCTGCCTTAAATAAACAGACTACAGGGTTTTAAAGAAAAAATAACAGATGGCATGTCAAGCCAGTCGCTTTGGATGGACAGTTTGAAAGTTGTTAATTGTAATGATTTATAAGCTGTTTTGAAATGTTCAATCACACTTTTAGGGGCTAACTAATGGTAAGAGGTGTATGTGCAGTTCTAAAGGCTCAACACTCCTCTGGGAATCATAAACCTAACTCATATACTACTGCTATGAATAGAAGTCATCAATCAAACTTAATGGTGAAACAGAAACTGACCTAAAAGTTCAAATAATATTTTTATTTGTGGGCTCATGGAAAATAAAACAAAAGTTAAACTCTTTGTAAGAATTCTAAATCTAGGTATCAATAGAATGCCCATAATAAAAACTACTATTCATCTCTCTGATTCGGAGTATACATGCACGGGGTATTCAAATTAAAAATATTCAAATTAAAGTGATTTAAATATCAATGAACTAATTTGTCTCAAAGTAATCTGAGAAAAAAGCAAGAACCTAGAGAAATAAAGGTAATTAAAAATAATAATAATGTGCTGTGTTTATGTAAGTCTATAGTGATTTGACCTGTACCGACATGGACACTGAGTTGTATTTCCAGTTGGGATAAACGAATCACATATGTTCCATTTCTGGCTGCCTCGTAATAAAGGGCATTCAATTTTAGCACAATTTGCCTTAGTTTAGTGTTATGGTCTGTTGGCAGAGTAAAACTAATTGGCCCGAAAACTGATGTCACCCATGCCCTTGGCTTCATTAGCAATGTGCACTAACCACCTGAGTAAAATAGACATGGTGTTAATAAAACTGAACTTGAAAAATGCCTACTTATATGAACAAAAGATAAGCAATACCGAGAATGAAACATGTTGTGACTAATTTTGCCTTTATTACTCTATGTGTAAAAGCTAGTTAGCTAAAATGTGTTCAATATAATTGTACTCAACTACCTTAAGGAAAAAAATTCTCACAACAGTAAAAACTATTTAAATTATATCAATAACTTAGGCCACTTCAATCTCTATCTAAATAAAAACTTTAAATACAAATTTATAAAAGTGGATAATCTATGTTGCTTCTAGATGTACAGGATGTGCATTTAGACTTTTATTAGCAAATATTCCAAGTTTATATTTTATTCTATTTTCATGTCCAATGGAGAACTTCGTATGAAAACATCCCAGAGAGGAAATTAATTGCTCATTATGGTAAATAGCTTGAGAGTGTTGAGGAGATTTTATTGACCTCACTCCTCTCATCTCTAGCCCTGGGATTAAACAAGCTGGAACCACAACAAAGGAAAGCTATGTGCCAAATTTTCCAAGATAATAATTAGGTAAATGGACTGTGCCATTGTGATATGTCCAAGCTATCATGAAAACAGACATTATATTTAGCAATCTGCAGAAATGTAAAAGTACAAAATTAAAAGACTAAAGCAAAATTTACAATAAATCATTAATAATAGTCATTTATTTTTCGCTACTTACCAATTTACACATATCATGCCATTTAATCCTCTCAACACTTTGAAGTCTGATTGTCCACATTTTACAGATGAAAAAAATCAGAGGTTAAAAAACTTTACAAGATTACATAGTTAGCATGGTCTACTTAATTTAAAATTAAAGTAATATTTGAAAAAAATTTTAAGATTAAGAAATAAGATTGGAAAGATTAGCTTCAAATGCACTATTTGGTAATGTAATAAGTAGATTACATTTATCTTAAATGTTGAGATATTGCCTAAGATATGGAAAACTGAGTAGAAAAATACAAGGCAAGAGACATAGGGTTGAAAGAGACAATGACATTAGAAATGTGTTTGTACATAGAAGTTTCATAAGAATGGACCAGGAATTCTTTCCTGAGTATCTGTGTATTTAATCATAGCCTGTCCAGCTCACCTCAGTAATTCCTGGCCAGCCTTGGCCACTGGGTTCCACTTTGGCTTTTTGTCTGGTGCCAGTATCAAGGATGTATTACTGTCATTGTCTATCCTTCATGCTCTTTCTCACTCACATAAACATAAATGCCTCTGGAAAAATCAAGCTTCCAGCCCTTCTTTTACCCTTTACAAAAGAATTCCACAACTCCATTTGGTTAAATATAAGCCCTCATGTGAAGGGAATTCTGTTTTTGGGTTCTAATCTCTATTCTGCTGTCTAGCCTACTCCTGTAGGTCCCACAAGCTCCCTTTGGAATCAGTCATACAAATTCCCTTTTGTTTAAATAAAACCAAAGCTTTTCATTAATATTCCTTAAGATAACATTCTCTTGTCCCCTTTAATAACTATGTTCAGGAATTTTGTGCTCTTCATTTGTGGTAGGAACACTGTTAGTGGTTCTTTCCAAGGGTTTTTGCCTTGTAGATTAAGAAACTAGGAGACAAAAATAGCAAACTCAACAAAATTCCTGTGAAATATAGCAATCCTCTGATTCCTGTTGTCTGTAGATAATCTATAATATTTAGGCTTGGGGAGAGAACCTTTCTCATTTCTCTTGTAAATAAAGGAACTGATTCCATATCACTCATTGATAGCAGCAATCTTTGGCAGAGCATTAATCAGAACAAGGTTAAACTAAGAAAAAAAATATTCATCTTGGTGTCAAACTCTACCACTACTAATTTTTCCTTTTTTGGTAGAAGAGCTGATGACCTTGCACTTTATCTAATTTTGCTCCCCAGGAAATGAAGAAAAGCTAAAAGATAGAAATAATAGTTTTTGTAAAAAACCTGATTTCATAGTCTTGCGAATACATTGGTGTTTTAAGTTTACAATTGCAATTAATTCTATTTCTGTGTACCCATGAAAGACAGGCTCAGAGATAATCTAACCACATAAAACATGAAATAATTAAAATTACAATTTACATGTTGCACTGCATTTAAAAGTAAAATGGTGATAATTTTTTTATTCAGTGTTTTAAAACTCAGAGATACATCTTATTAAGGACAATTAAACATAAAATCAATAATTATCATAAGCATGTTTACAATTGAAATAATTAAACTATTTTTCCCTTAAAAAATGTATTTGGGAAAACAACAAAATTAAAACTGCATTTGGTATTCTTTGCATTACTTATTTTCCCGTATAAAGCCTATCAGTTAAAATGATGAATTTTAACCTTTTCCATTTCTCCGAGAGAACACTTAATTCATATTCTTCAAGCTTTCTGAAACTGGTTTCTCATACTGATGAAGAAATTATTGTTTTTATAATATTTACTAAGGCCCAGTTACTGAACCTTTCTCAAGGACATCCATTTGCTTTTAATGTGTAAATTTCTGAGAATCATTTTTTTTTGGGGGGGAGGGAAAGCATAGAAAAAGCATTAAAATATGCAGCTAATTGTGTAGTTTAATGAATTTGAATTAAGCCATAATACATTATATTAAATACAATGCATGTGGTGAATAGGAAATAAAAAGGTCATGATATCTAAGAACAGTAAGATCAAGAACTGGAATACTAATGGACAAAAATGTTTTGTATAAAATATTCTTTTGCTCTGAGTCCCAATTTTGTTTTTTCCAAACTGACTGTTCTTAAAACTGCTCAGTAATGCCAGCAATATGATTCTTTTGTGTTTTCTGACTCCAAGAAGGTACAGAATTAGGCTATACATTAAAAATGTGCTATTTTCAGAAATAATTAGTTAAAATATAATGTTCTGAACATTAATTATCTGAAAATGTGCACAATAAGCTATAATTTAAGAAGAATGACTTCTTGACTCTCTTTAAAATGACAGACATTGAAACATATTGCTCAGAATATGTTGACTCATCTAATGGAAAGTACAACTGCAGATGGTTGTCCCAGAATAGTTACCTAAAAAAAGGTATATGTGGAACCGTGGTAGCTGGAGTTGGTCCTCATGACTTTTTTCAGTTTCTTCTTACCTAAGGAAGTTTTCACTCAGGAATAAAGTGAAAAACATCACCTTCAAATCTTTACTCCATGACCCTTCTGGTGTATGATTGGAAAATTTCTAAAGTGCATTTTAAGCCCAGTGTGGTGGCTCATGCCTGTAATCCCAGCACTTCAGGAGGCTGAGGCCAGTGGATCACTTGAGGTCAGGAGTTCAAGACCAGCCTGGCCAATATGGTGAAACCCTGTCTTTACTGAAAATACAAAACTTAGTCTGGCTTACTGGCACAGGCCTGTACTCCCAGTTGCTTGGGAGGCTGACGCATGAGAATTGCTTGAACCCAGGAGGGGGAGATTGCAGTGAGCCGAGATTGTACCACCGCCCTTCAGTTGTGTGACAGAGTGAGACTCTGTCTCAGAACACAAATATAGTGTATTTTAGTGAAACAAAACCAAGATACAAATTGTTAAATTACATTACATTTGACCTAAAACTGCCTCTGTATTTTGAATTTCTACATAGAAAACTGCAACCTAACTTAGTATTTAAAAAAAAAAAAAGTACTGTAACCTAAGAGTATATTTTTGTAACAAACATCTGTGTCTTAGCCAATCACAGCAGCCAAGCTTTAGCCAATCACAGGTGGGCAACCTACCAGATCATGTTCATATAAGGCAAATGCTAAGCTATAACCAATAAAGCTGCTTCTGTGTGTCAATTTCTTTTTCTGGCTACAAATGCTGCCAGTCCATGTTCCTGGATGGAACTCTCTAAACCTCTCCTGGATTAGAGTGCTGCCTGATTCATGAATAGTTTTTTTTGCAAAAATAGACTCTGTTAAATTTAACTTGTCTAAAGTTTTTCTTTTAAATATATATATATATACATACATATATATATATGTATGTGTATATATATATATATATATATATATATATATCTGCTCCATCTTTCTCAGCTTTTACTTCTCTTATGGTGACAGGAGAACAGGATTTTGCTTTTCCAGAGTGAAGGTTGAAAAAGAATAAGGTAGTGAAATAAAGCAGTATTCATTAACACACAGCACTTACATGCATTTCTGATCCTGAACTAATTGGCATTTCTTAAATATGCCTTATGTTTTCAAGTATTTTCCTTTTTAATTAGAATGCCTTCAGCACTTCATCTCTACATATGAAAATTATATTAATCCTTTTGTTTTAAAATTTCTTAAAGTCATCTTTTAACATCCCTGTAAGTCCCACCTAAGTGAAAGTCCTGTCCTAATTGCTTATAATTGGATGTGATTTCCCCTTTCTTGGACTGCATAACAATTTATTTATAATTTCTTATGACACACATTTTATTTTGTTTTTCATTATCATTTTTATTTAATTATTGTTTCACCTTGATCCATTGCCACACTTTAAAGACCTAGAGGACAAAGATGGTTTTTTAAAACTCTGCATACACCATTGTATCTAACAGAAATAGCTTCCCTTCAATAAAAACTGAATTAAATTGGTCTGCCATATTTTTTTTTGAGTAACCTTAACAGTATTATGTTCTCTCTGTCAGGATACTAGTTGAACATCTGAAATTCAGAAATATAGTTTTCCAATTATCTTAGTACACAATAAATACAAGAGAAGAGCTATGTAATTATGGCCTCTTGACGGACTTCAGCAGTCCAAATGCCAGGTATGAATATCACTTATTACAGCTGAGTTAAAATGGACTAGTGAGAAAATGTTTAATAATTATACACAACATTTAACTCTATAAATTAAAAAAAGATAAAAGTATGCCATTCTTATTATTTATAAGTCATTATAAATGAATGACATTAAATAAATATGAATAGATCCAGAATACATGAAAAATAAATGGTAGAGTCACAGATTAAAAGTCATCTTCTAAAATCATGGCTAATATAACCCTTATTTTGCAAATGGAATGTCTTAGTATATTACTTTATTGTCCTAAAACTATTGCTTAATTTTGAGGGACTTCATCTAAGCTTCTTAAAATATGACATGGTAATAATTAGCATAATTTGTATGAATAACAAATAACAATGATGATACTGCCGTTCCTCTAATGAAATAATTCGTTATTTAAGCTGTCTAAGCATTATGCATGACAGCTACCCTATCAACAGAGGAGTTAATTCAATGCACATGGAAGAACAGTTTAAATATTAAACAATCAATCAATCATTCTTTCATCCTAGTTAATGAATAAAGACTATTACTTCAGTTTTTTCCTCTTTACTGAAAGTCTCAACATAATCAAATTGGAATTTTCTAGATAATAAAGTGAGTTAACATTTATACTCCATAATCATATATGTTTACATAGATTAGAGTTACTTAGAACTAATATATTTGGTAATAATCACTCAAATTGTTATGTGAACAAAGCATTTAGTTTGAATCCTTTGCATATATTTTATTAAAATGGAGGGTTTCTTTTAAAATTAACAGAGGTTGGTTACTGATTTGCACAAATATTGTATATATAAGATAAATTTTGCTGCGTTTCACAATATGTAAGAAAAATTTTTGTTACCACATGGCTACGGACTAATACTAAGGAAAACCTGAATTATATATAGAACAATTCCAATTTTGTAAATGTAGGCTATAAAAGCGAAGTAACTTAACCAAGATCCTTACTGGACTCTTGCAAATATATACGTAGAGAATATCTGTAGATAAGGACATGTACTTCAATAAGGGCAAAAGGCTAAAAAATATTTTAACAAAAAGAGATATTGTGCAGTTATGCCACAGGCCTCCTGACAGTGTCCAAGAAATCATCATATAAAAATGAACAGACTGGTAAAGTAGTAGACCTTCTGTTGATTGTTGATAGGCTGGAATTAGAAAGTCTTATCATGGATAGCAGGCTTTCACAAAGAAACCAACAATCACTCAAGCCTTACTCTGTTAAAAAGAGTTATGGTGAGGAAATGTTGGGGATTCTTCCCAAAAAATTACATCTTAGGTTGCCTCTTACTACTAGTTGGTGGTATAAATTAAGTGTGCAATAAAGAATATATGTATATATAATATATAGAAATTATTTAGAATGAACTTTCATGATAAAATAATGCTCTAAAAATGAGAACCATTAAGAGTTCATCTCTAAATTATTACACTGAAAAGTGATTATGAATTAATTTGAAGCAGCTTTATAAAAAGGACGGTAAGAAAAAACATTCCAGAAGATTCAACCGTTATTAGCCATTTAACTATTAACTATTTGAGATCATTGATTTTTATGAGGTCTAGAAAATAGAGTTTGTGACTTACAAAAGAAAAAATGTTTACAAAATAATTTAAAACATAAAAAAGTACAACATAGTTTTTAAAAATTTTTTCATTCTACTGAACTGATGGAATACATATCATTTAATATTAGCTATCACATCACAATTTTGTCAGCTATTTTCTCCTTCACAGTCCTATATTGTGAACAACCCATAATCTAATATAAATATAATGTACATTTACAAAAATCAAACTTGAAATTCTAAAGATATATGCAGGATTTCTTGAAAGCAATGGAAGTAATACTAGAAAACGGCAGCTACTGGAATTGCAAATTATGCAAAACTAATATAATACATGGCGGTATTAAAACAGCTTTAAAACAGCTAACCACTGATGAAAAAACTTACCAAGGATCTTGAAAATATTTAATTTTTTATTTTAAGCTAATTTTCCAAACAAACTTTATTGTGCCCTCTCCTTATATAAAATTTTAGTCTTTGCTTTAAGATGATTTACTTTGAGTGACTTTTTGTTTTTCCTGGAACTGATCATCTTAGATAATGAGAAGCTCCTTTATTAAAAGAAACTAGAAAGATGTAACCATAACATGCTAAAAGACAGACAAACAAACAAAAGTATGCAGAAATTGTTCAGAAAGATTTTTGAATATGTAAAAATAAATTAGGTTTGAACTTAGGAAGAGGAAACAGAAAAGCAACCAGCGCCTGTGAACACCAGAGAAAAGGATTCCTTCCCATGTGACTTCAGACAAGCTCTAAGCTTAGGGTCAATAAATCCAAAGAACAAAAGATGAGAAGAAGAGATCGTCTAGGTAATTTATTACAGAACTTTAATTAAAACATCTCAGCCAGCCTGAGCTTTCCTCCTTTTATCCCACTGCCCTACTAGGGTTGCAGCTGGATTTAAAACTAAGAACTGCTCTTTATTCATGGCAGATATAGTACACAGGTAGCTGCAAATGTAGATGTCAAGGCCCCCCCAGAAAAGAAATCATAGCTTCTGAGGGGAACATTTAAAAAAATGGAAGACCATGACTTTTGCCTAGTAATGAAATTTACCGAAGGACTATAGTCGGAGTAAGTCCTCCTCCTTTGGAAACTGTGCTATGTTTAGGCATTCTGCAGTGAAGCAACCTCTTACATGGTGCCTGTCATAACCTTCCTTACTAAGGAAGAGACCTCCTGTGGAACAGACCCACAAAACTGAAAAGGAAGTCTTTATCAACTCTTTATGTTAAACACATGGTCTTTATATGTAAAAATGAACCAAAAACCAATGATTACCATACCTATGTGGAATAACAAAGACATGATAAAGGACCACATTGATACCAAACTATTCAGGAAAAGAACATTAAAAATAACAATACTAACAACACATGCTAATGAAATTCTGTGGAGAAGTTAGGTAGTCAAAAATATACTGAAAAATAGACTAAGCTATATGAAAATAAACAGCAAAGAGAGCAAGTAAAATTAACCAATTTTTGGAATAGAAAAAAATCAATGAATAAACCAAATAATATATTAGCAGGGCTAAAAGCTATCTCCTTCATAAAATAAATAGATAATGTTTTTCTTCATGGTTATAAAGGGTTAAGAACTGTTCTATACACTTGATATTATTCTTAACTAACCCAATTCTCACAATAAATCCATAAATTTGATTCTCCTATCATCTCGTTTATAAATGAGGAAACTGACTCCGAGTGAATTTGAGTAACTTGCCTACAACAATATAGCTTGTTGGTAGGCAGCTACATTTTGAATGCTGGTGGCTCTGCGACTAAAACACACACACCTATCAATTAAGCTTCAATGATTTTGAAGGCAAAGTGAAAGGAGTACTCAAATGTTTACAATAAAAACTATGAAGAGTTTAAAAATACGAAAGAAAAATAAAGTGAAGAGACTGATGAGTTTGTTGTTAATTACAGCAAAAATAAAAGAAAAAAATTCTGATTAAAAAATGTGTCTTCATATTGAAAGAATCCAATCAATGAAATCAGAAGAAATTTGAAGACTTACTCTTTAATATAACTATGTCAAATCTTGGAACACAAAGCAGAGTGAAAATTCTAAATGTATCCAGAAGCAAAGCCAAGTTACCCACAATACAACAAAATAAGAATGACTGATTCGGTTTTGCATCAGCAGCAATTGCATCTGGAGGCACAATAAAATCTTTTTGGACGTGCAAAAATTTATAAAATATACTAATATGTTTAGCAACAAACACATATAATATTTTATGTTTGTGTTTTTCAAGGCTTTATAAGAAAGGTCACAAAGTGTATCAAGATTTGGCATTCCTGATGAAAATGAATATGAAAGCAACTGTGTTCAAACTTGTCCTGCCAAATGGGGAGAAATGAATGTACCACCTGCAGAGAAAAGACTCTCAAAATAACTCTTCAATAAGAAGATGACATTAATTTAGGAATACCTTTAAAAAAACTGAGTGGCACTTAACAATAACTGCAATATTAGAATTTGTGTTGAGGAAAACAAATTTATGAAAATAATGAGCAGTGGATTTAGAATGAAAAGGGATACAAGATTCAAGAAATGCTATAAATTCTATGTGGTCTAGAAGAGGTAAAATAAATTACATAAAAATTAAAAGATTAATCTGTGAGATATTCTCTGTATTATGACCACAGTTTAATCACTTGGTTTTAATCCTGTTTTTTTCCTTTGGGAGTAATCACATCACTGGATGTACAGTGACTCATATAAACATAATGTTACAAATTCTGTTTATGTGTTTTATAATTTTAAAATTGACCTGTAAAACATTAATAGCTTAGCTATAGCTACAGAGTTAAATGCAGTATTTATAGACAATATAAACATAAATTATTTCATATTCATTTAATTGTGCTTCTGTACAAACACAGTTTTCTATCACTATTTCAATTAAAGCAGGTGGGTGTTAGTTTAATTAAAGAAGTTATATGTCTTCTAAATGCTCATATTAGACTCCATAAATTTTGCTTATTTTGTATAAATACTTAGACACAGGATTACATAATAGATATCTATCATGTCTATTCTTTTTGTTACATATTCTGTATATGACCATAATGTTCCTTTATTTTTCAACATCTTGATACAGAAGCATTTTGAAGAGCAGGGTCTGGGAAGAACTAAATTGGTAGGCAAATTAACTCTGGTGCATTTTTATTCTATTGTAATTGCTTTTTCTATAAATGAGAAACATGTTCTCTTTTTGCTTTTCCATTTATTCTAATTCCCTCTCTTCACCCTGTCTTTATATACTAAATTAAGCCAAAATGAAGAAATGAAAGTCAAGTATAAGAAAAAATTGGTAGAGAATACCATTGGTTTGTTTATTTTGTTTGTTTACTACATTCCCAACTTCTCTGTAGGTAAATTAATTACCTTTAACTCTCCAAAATCAATGCTGATATTCAAGTTCAGGCAGTTCTAAATCTATTTCTGTTGCTATTATTTCAAAATCAGTATTTTGTAAAAGATATATCTCTAGTTGAAGGATTGTATGTGGGAGTGGAAATGGTTAATGTTATTAAAATTAGATACAATGATTTAAGAAATCCAAAAGAGATTAAGTGATATAAGGACAAAATAAATCAAATCATTATTATGGTACCTAACTTTACACCAAGTTCAAGGCCAATTTAATACAAAATAATTTGAAAACAGTGACATCTTTTGGTTGTGTTTTATTTTTAATTCTATTTGTAAATATGCAGTCTGCTTAACTACCAAAAAAATAGACTCTCTTTGGATTTCATGACTTTAAAATCCTACGACCTAAGTAGGATTGTCAGGAAACATAATTGTAGGATGTAGGAACAAACAGTAAAATCTCCAACTTTAGCAGCTACAAATTGTCACATTAATTATTCCAGAGCATCCCTCCCCTCTCAATAAAAATTGCAGTTGAGTTTAACATACTAACCCTTTGACTGCCGGAAGCATTGGAATTGCTTTACTGAAAATACTTTCAGAAACCTCAGGGGGTTTAATAGGGGTGAGCTCCCTGGTGGTTGATTAATACTTTGTCTCCTAAAACACTGCTAGGCTTATATGTTGTTTATACTAGCCATTCCACAGGTAACAATGCAGGATCAGCAGAGAAGTTTTGTTTGAAGTTTTACTCCCACTTTACAATAGTGGTTGTTAACAGAGCTTCTTAAAATTTCAGCAGCGATCTACCATGAGGAACTATTTCATTCACGAGTAAATGAGATTAACTTGGTTATCCAGTCCATAGCCAGATTTTGCTGTTTTGTTTCGCTCTTGTTTTCTCTGGGGCGGAGGAGGGTAGAATATCCTCCAGCTTATGTGAGAGCCACCAACGAGAGAATAAACTGCACTACCAGCCATAAAACCATTTGTATTAAGAATTATATTTCCCTTGTTGTGCTTTAAACACACATTGTAATTGCAATATCACTTTAACAGACCTTTCAACTATGTCATGCTCCAGAAATGAAATTTAATAAATATGACTCTAAAGTGGTATAAGTGTGTGGTATTTTATATCTCAATATAAAGTAGAGAGAATATTCTGTAGTCATCTTAATATTCTTGCATCTAAGAAAATCTAGTTAAAAATCATGAATATACTATTCTTTCAAGAAGAAAAATTAAGCTGATTTTAAGCAAAGAGCTTTACATATACTGTATTATAATAAATTCCTCATTAGGTATATCAATGCTATATGAAAAGTAAACATTTGGGTTTGCGTTTTCACTCAATTTTAATTCATTTGTTCTGAGGAAAGAAAAGCTCATCTGTAGTTTGGAAAAGATTTGATGCATTTGCTAAAGATGTGAAATTTCTATGCTGTCGTTACTTTTTGCTTTAACACCACTATCCTTTTTATAACACTTGATTATCTTCACTCCTTGCCTGTGAAAATGGAGATTATTGGTTTCAGAAGCATGTACTCGTATATTTTTATATTAGCTGATTAGTTGAATAGATCTTATAAATACCGTATGTGAACGCTATATCAGTTTAGAGGAGCAAAGATGATAATTATTATCATATTTTTGTAGGAACAAAACTCTGCCTAAATTTACAGTGTGAAAGATAGACTTTAGTGTATAATGATGTCTTAGAAGTTAATAGAAAAATGAGTACAGAAATCATGACAATAATAAATGCCATTTATTAGCACCAGCTATGTTTCAAACACTTTGCTTACCTATTTCTTCATTCTGTAGTAACTCATTCAAACAGAGACAAAAAACAAAAACAAAACAAACCCAATGTCCCAATTATGGTGCAATCAGGACTAGCCATAAAAACAATCAATCGCAACTGTTGAAGCAGCTACAAATAAAAAACACCGTTGGTGCAGAGCCATAATTTGAACCAAAATCTTCTCATGCTAAATTCAACTTTAAAAACCATACCATACTTCAAAGCTCAGGAAACAAAAGAAAAAAAAAAGAGAAAAAAGAAAGGAAAAAAAAAAAGAATATACCATGCCAATAATCCATAGTACAAAGAAAAATAACAATATTGCAGTTATTATTGTATATCATTAAATTTCAGTTTCTTGCTAAATATTCCTAAGTTAAAATCATCCTATTCTTTACCAAGAGTGCTATTGTTAGAGATCTGCAAGTAGTGAATATACCTTTTCAAGTTCTGTAAAATATAAAACTAAAATTGGTTTTTAATTCAAAGAAGCTTTGAAGTAATTTGAATTTTGTTAAAAAATAAAACTGGTTTTATACTAATTTTATGAAAGTTTGTTAGTACTTCTTGCCTTTTTTTTTTTTTTTTTTTTTGAGATGGAGTTTCACTCTTGTTGCCCAGGCTAGAGTGAAATGGCGGGATCTCAGCTCACTGCAACCCCCTCCTCCCAGGTTCAGGTGATTCTCCTGTCTCAGCCTCCCAAGTAGCTGGGATTACAGGTGCCCACCACCACGCCCAGCTAAGTTTTGTATTTTTAGTAGAGATGGGGTTTCACCATGTTGACCAGGCTGGTCTGAAACTCCTGATCTCAGGTGATCCATCAGCCTCGGCCTCCCAAAGTGCTGGGTTTACAGGCATGAGCCACTGCACACAGCCCTGCTCTTTCTTATATATCTTTTTTTTTTTTTAAGAGACAAAGTATCACTTTGTCACCCAGCCTGGAGTGCAGTGTGGCACCATTATAGCTCCCTGAAACCTCAAACTCCTACTCGCTCAAGCAATCCTCCTCACTCAGGAGCTAGCACTATAGGCGCACACCATCATACCCAGTTAATTTTTTACTATTTTTGTAGAGACAGGGTCTTACTGTGTTGCCCAGGCTGTTCTAGAACTGCTGGCCTCAAGCAATTCTCCTGTCTCAGCCTCCCAAAGCACTGGGATTACAGATGTGAGCCACCTTGCCCAGCTCTTTCTTATATATCATTTTAAGAGATAAACAGGATTTCTTTCTTGTTTGCAGATAAACATTTTAGTGACATTTCTTTCACAGGCAAATGAGATTAACTCAAGAAAATTTCCATGGAATATTTATCTCATGTTTGGTTTCTTAAAATGGAATTTTTCTTCTTCTAGCCTGCTGAAGGGATAATAATGGAATAACGCTGAGTGACACAATTATAACTTGATGGTTTCTAAATATGACCCATGCCATGGCCATTCAGTCATGTTTTTACTTGTCTACAGTCCATCTTTCTTACGTTTCTTATAACAACTATTACAAATTTTTACTCTGTACCGTTTCCTCACTCAACTTGGTCCAGAGCAAATTAACAAGACAAATTCAATGCTCAACCTTTTAACTTTCGTAGTGCTCTGAGACCAAACTTATGTATATCTGAATTCTTTTCCATTCCTCTTGCCTTGACCTCCTTTCTCTATTATTTTTTCTTTTGATTCACCTCACTTCCAGACCCTCTGAAAATAGTAACAAAAAATTTCCATTTCCTCAAATTAATTTACAGATCTACTGCCTTTGACTTCCACTCCAAAATTGATGCTGAAGTAACTGATGTAAAAGCCTATTTTAAGTTTTCATTTAATCTGACCTATTGTTGGCATTTGACATCGCTACTCACCCACTGTATTTGTGACTTTCCTCTTTTCCACCTCGTGAGTCTACTCTTTCATGTCCTCTCATTAATATAACTACTCTTCTTAGGGTTCCTAACAAATTTCTCTCATTCTTCACAGTTAATAAATTTTTGTTGCTCTCTGTTCATTCATTGGCCAATTTCTTGTACCAGATGTTGTTCCTGTATGGTTTCATCTTTGGAATAATCAATTCTTATGATTTCCAGGCAATGATGATAGCCATATCTAAACTCTTCCTCTGTTCTGGGATGCTTTACCTTTTGTGTATCTCATAGACAACATAAAATTGTGTTCTTTCAGTCTAAATTAATTACTTCTTAGCCTACTTCTAAATTTCGCTTCTTCTGTACTTTCTGTCTTGTTCAAAGATATCATTTACATAATTTTACAAGTAAGTATTACAGCAAACCTCAGCTGCTGTCTTTCCCTCCCACTACTTGTACAATCAAATCCATCAATATGTTCTATTATTTTATCAATTAAATAGATTTTGGAATATAGCTTAAATTTATCACCTAGGCATTGACTTCAATTATTATTATTTGTTTTTATTTTTATTTTTTTGCAGACAGGGTTTCACTCTATTGCCCAGGCTGGAGTACAGTGGTGTGATCTTGGCTTACTATAGCTTCAACCTTCTGGGCTCAAGCAGTTCTCTCACTTCAGCTTCTCTAGTAGCTGGAACTAGAGGCAAATGCTACCACACCTAGCTACTTTTTTATTTTTATTTTTTTTGTAGTGATAGGGTCTCACTATGTTGTCCCAGCTGGTCTCAAACTCCTGGACTCAAGTGATCCACCCAAAGTTAAAAATTAACTTTGATGAAATGTAAAGTTTAAATTGGTACCATACAAATAGCCAATATGCATATAAAAAAATGCTCAACATTACCAACCATTAGGAAAATGCAAATCACAATCACAATGAGATATCACCTCACCACAATTAGAATGACTATTATTCAAAAGCCAAAAAATTAACAATTGCTTTTAAGGATCCAGACAAAGGGGAACTCTTGTTCACTGTTGGTGGGCGTTAGTACAGCTATTATGTAAAACAGTATGGAGCTTCCTCAAAAAAGTAAAAAGTAGAACTACCGTATGATCCAGGAATCCCACTACTGAGCAATTATCTAATGGAAATAAAATCAGTATGTTGAAGAGATAATTGTGCTTCCATGATTATTGTAGCATTATAAACAATAACCAAGATAAGTACCCAACCCAAATGTCCATCAATGGAAGCATGGATAACAAAAATGTGTTATACATACACAATGGAATACTATTCAGACATTACAAAGAATGAAATCCTGTCATTTGAGGCAATATAAATGGAACTGGAGAACATTATGCTAAGTAAAATAAGCTAGGCACAGAAAGACAAATACCACATATCTGATTCACTTGCAGAATCTAAAAAAGTTGATATAGGAGTAGAGTAGTATAGTGGTTACCAGAGGTTGGGGAAGGTAGGGGAAAAGCAAGAGATGGGCAGAGATTGTTCAATGGATACAAAATTACAATTATATAGAAGGAATACATTCTGCTGTGCTATTACAAAATAGGGTAACTATAGTTAACAATATTCTATATATCAAAATAACTGGAGAGGATTATGAATGTTCTAACCACCAAGAAATAAGCATTTGAGGGAATAGATAAGCTATATATCCTGATTTGATCATTATACCAGCTAAACATGTATGGAAACATCACTCTTTACCTCATAAGCATGTATAATTCTCATGCATCAATTAAAAATAAAACTTAAAACATTAAATAACTAAATTGGTAGGTCTCATTTTCATATTTTTTCCTCAGCACATGATTTTTCATAAAATACGTAGTAACATTTTTTTTAAAAGCCAAGAGAAGAAAACAACAACAATAAAGGCAGTTTGAAAAATTAATCTCCACTGTAATAACATAAACCAAATAACATCAGAAGCAAAAATTTTACCAGTTTAAGTATAGTTTTGTTGTAAATAAATTGAATTTTTGATAATCAGGCCATTGTTTTACAGAAGTGTTTTTTGTTTCTTGTTTTCATTCTCCCTAAATGTAGTTATTGAGTGTCTATCTGCCAACATTGTACCCAGTATGGGAGATTTAAAGATGAAATGATAGCCTAGAGAGATGCACTAAATAGAGTTGTAAACACTGATAGGGTAATAGACACCCAGATCACGATAGTCTTCTCAGAAACATGTGGACTTGCTAATATGCTTTAATGAGCTATTGCGTTTTAGCACTACAAGCACTAGGAGTTTCAAATCTTCCTTATGGCTGTGTCATGTAAATCTACCACTGATCTTTTTATAAACCCCATTTGATGTTAATTACTAGAATTGGGTCACCAACAAGCAAAATATTAAATTATACTCTGATGACAACTCACTGCAAAGTAATTCTGGTACTCTTTATGCTATCCTTTAGAATACTACTTACTACCTTACTGACATATAGGGGTAATAATATTTGTTAAAATTTATTCAATGGTTGCTATGTGTGTTATATACCATAACTCATTTAATTCTCAACGCTATAAGGAATGCAAAAATTTTAATCCTGTTTAATGGACATTAGTTTGCCTGAAGACCTTTAGCTAGTAAGTAACAGAACAGGCACTTGGGCCAGGCCCCTGCTACTGATACCTTTTCTACAAATATCAATAGTTTCTGTGTTATAATGTGGAGCACCTATAGCATACATTTTGTAAAACAAGCTAATTCAGCAGTTTTCAGTGGCATACTAAGTACTAGTGTTGCAAAGATAAATAAGATGTAACCTCTAATTGAAAAAGAGCTACATTATAATTGGAGAGATAAAATACACAATTAAGTTTCATATAAAAAATACAGTGGTGGCTTTAAGAATATATTGGGCAAATCCATCTGGGTGATGATGGTGAAGGTTGTTAGGTAAATTTTAAGAAGGAAAAAATTATGAACTGAATTTAAAAATATTTGTAAATGACCCTTGCAACAAGGCGTATATATATATATATATATATACACACATATATATATACATATATACATAAAGTATAGACATACATGAATGAAGAGGAATATGAGCCACTTTAAACACCAAATTGCAGAAACAGTAGTTAAACCTTTACTAAGTAAAAGTTTTTAGTATTAGCAAAGATTGGACAAAGCAGATTATGTACTAGCAGGCAGAAAGACAGGGATATATAATAGATATTGGACATCAGGCCATACAAATAGTAAGGGTCGGCCAAAACTGAGGTTTGCAATCTTGCATAAAAAGAAGCCAAGCTACTAACATTATGAAAAACAGCCTACTTAACTTTGGCCCTGCTCGTTTATTCTTAGGTCCAATGACTCTGCTAGACACGTAGAGTATGATTGAGGAAACAAGCCTAACACTTGATTTGTGTTACCTTTCCATGTTTCAAAAATTACATTTTAACACACTTAAAATTCTACATTTTAAATTTCATTTTCTGGTGTGCAATAACATATATTTATAAAAATGTGTAAGATTACTCTATAGTTGGTGGGCATATAAATGAGCAAATCCAAGTATTTGGCCATAAACAACTTTGGGCCTGAAAGCATGCTTAGCACAAGACACAAATTTACACACAACAGTGCATGCTACAAATGGCTGTATGACTTCAAATCAAGAACTTTGATATGTATATGAAATATGAAGTAAGAATTTTTATTGCTCTACCAATTTTGTCTTCATAGTATCACTACACCACTTTTTAATCCATCAAAAGAAATTTATATGTGTCCCAAATTATGTTGAGTTCTATAAATGATTTAAAGGGTTCATGGAAGGAATTTTGTCCTGAAAAGGCTTTTCTTTTTCTTAGAATGATAATTACTGAAATAAAGAAGTATATTTATATCTCCCAGCCAGTAACTTAAAATCAGAAAAAAGAATTTTAACAGCAACCGAAGAACAGAAGGATACTCCTACCCCGTTGCTGGTCATGAAAATTACCATGCTAGGCTTGGATATTTCCCACTTCACTCAAGAATAAGTAGACACACAACTATTCTCTCCAATAATAATGTACAAACTAGATGACCAAATAAGACATTATGATAGCATACAAAGGGCATGCTATGGAAAAATGCAAAGAAAAGAAACATAGTAGAAATCTCCTGCCTTTTATTACCAGTAAAATTTCTCTCCCCCAACTGCCCACCAGAACACATTTTTAAAAAAATATATGTAACAGAAAAATTGGTAAAATAATATAGTAAATTACTAATTGTCCAGCTGAGAAGAAAACCAAAAGAAAACAGATCAGTAACTAGAGAAACAAAATATAGTATTAGAATTAAAGTCAACATGAATGACAGAGATGACTAAATCAGTATTGTATAGAGAAAATATGAGGCTATTGGTTTTGCTGGAGAAAAGAAAATACAGAGAATTGAGCATGAACAGCATTTAAAATATATAATGGAGACTGGGTGTGATGGCTCACACCTGTAATCCCAGCACTTAAGGGGGCCAAGGCCAAGGCCGGTGGATCATTTGAGGCCAGGAGTTTGAGACCAGCCTGGCCAACATGGTGAAACCCCATCTCTACCAAAAATACAAAAATTAGCCAGGCATGATGGTGCAGGCCTGTGGTCCCAGCTACTCAGGAGGCTGAGACACAAGAATCACTTGAACCCAGGAGGCAGAGGTGGCAGCTAGCGGAGATCATGTTGCTGCACTCTAGCCTGGGCAACAGAGTGAGACCCTCTCTCAAAAAAAAAAAAAAAGTATAACGGAAAAATAAAAATATTCTGCATTAAGATGCTTTCATAAGTCAAGATTTATTGTCTGTTAAAGATAATTAATTGAAAATAAAGCATCAGGTAGAAATATATTGAACTAAGAATATTACTCCAAATATTAAATATCATATAAAAATAGACCAACCTAAAGAGCTTTGAAGTGGAAAAGTATAACTGAACAAATAAATATTAGGCGACTGGCTCTTTTTGAAGGGGCTGTGTGGTGATGGGGTAGCAAAGGAATTTTGAAACATAAATGAATTCAACAAAGATGTCATAACATGCTCACTTTTATAACAAAATACTCAAAGACTCAATTGGTGAAAAAAAGGGCTAGAATTAAGCATGCAGAGAGAAGAGATTATGGTTTGAAACAAACCGCATAAATCAAAATAGCAACAAGGAAATAATAGAGATATAAGTAAAAATTATTAGTAGAATTAAAAATACAGAGAAAAATTATTTTTAAAAATTATTATGAAAACTTTTAAAATCCTAGCCAATTGGAGGGAAAGAAAGAAAACAGATACATAAATTTAAAACCAAGATTTTATAGAAAAACCATCAAACTATTTACTATATATATTTTCAGAAAGCATTTGAAAAATCGGAATCAAATGGGAGATTTGTAGCAAAACATAGATGATCAGTAGGTTTTATTTAAAAAATGAGAATAAAACTAGGGGAACAAACTTGAATAAAATAGAAAAATATGTCCAATAATTATCTCTAGTAGAGATAATTATTGTCGGATGCTTTTAAAAGTCAATTTTCTAAATTTCACCAAGAATAGCTATTTTTAAATATATTATTAAGGTTTTTCAACATATAGACTAGGATACAAAATTTCTAAATTGATTTTATGAGGCTGGGAAACTTCTGCTACCAAAATTTGACAAAAGTAGCACAAAAAAGAATCTCATGTTTGAAAATTAAAGAAATATCTTAGTTTAAAAATATTTTTAAAATATAGCAAAACAAATCCAGCAATACGGAATAAAGTAAATTTTGGTGGGGGAATTCTCATAAAATGTTATGTGATCAGGCTAGGAGCAGTGGCTCATGCCTGTAATACCAGCACTTTGGGAGGTCAAAGAGGGAGGATCACAAGGTCAAGAGATCAAGACCATCCTGGTCAACATGGTGAAAACCCCTCTCTACTAAAAATATTTTTAAAAATTAGCTGGGAGTGGTGGCACGTGCCTGCAGTCCCAGCTACTCGGGAGTCTGAGGCAGGAGGATCCCTTGAACCCAGGAGGCGGAGGTTGCAGTGAGCAGAGATCGTGCCACTGAACTCCAGCCTGGCGACAGAGCAAGACAATGTCTCAAAAAAAAAAAAAAGTACTCAATCTATTAATGTTTCAATATATTAATATAATTTGTTTCATCACTGGTCAAAGGGAAAATATATAATTATTTAATAGATTATAAAAGTTTGATGAAATTAAATATATGACATTAATGAAGGTTGTTAATAAAATATGAACAAATATTATTTTTCATAGATCATATCTGTTGGCATTCCCATTTAATCTTAAGAAATATGACTGCTATTGCATTAATCTTGAATTTTCATCCAATGTAATAAGTGAAGAAATAAAATAATACAATTATTACCAAAAAATACAGCTCAATGTCCCTTATTTCAAAAAGATGTTCTATATAGAAAGGGTAAGAACATTGACTCACACACTCTCAAAAACAATAATAGACATGTTACTAGTATATTTTTATAATAACTTAAAAACAATTATTTTCCTATGTTTCACAAAAATGTATTAGATAGAATAATAGAACAGGATCCCTTTCTTCACAATTGACTAAAAATGTAGATTTAAAAATATTATTTATCCAGAAATCTAAATCTCAACAGGATTTAAGCACTGAAAATATTTTCCATGTTTATTTTTTTCCAAAGCTTATTTTTTTTAATGTTTTCTGTTTGTAATAATTTAAAAATATCTTTTTAAAATGCTCAGTGAATGACAGAGATGTAATCTGCTCTGTGCAGAAGAGCAGGTGGTCAGGTCTTTCAGCTCAATTCACATGATAATGACATAGGTGGTGTGGATTATAGTTAATAGATTGTAAATGGCTCTGTCAAAAGCTTCTTCATGTTGCTAAAAAATGTTATACATTTCCTAGAACACAGGTCTTAAATTTTTGACCAGACAAATCCCGATATATACCTGCTGAAGTTGAAATGTCAAAAACAAAGTTATAATTAAGCTGATAAGATCATAAATGTATATTTTCAAAAGTGCCATTGTTTATTCTAATTTTCTGCAGATGATTTGAAATTAAATTCGATTGAAAAATTATTCTATAACTGGCTTAATATAAGATTTTCTGGTAAATAAACTGAATTATTAACTTTTAAAATTTTAATGAAGATCAGTGACTTTTGCAATGTTTGAGTCTTTACACAAGAACTGATAGAGAAAATGGATTATTTCTGCTTAAGTCTATATATTTTAATTTTTCATGTAACATGCTATTACATTTTCAAGTAAACAAAATTATTTAAGATGATTGTAAAAATGATGAAATATTCCTTATTAATTATTTCATTGAATAGTATTGTGCAGGGTTGGAGGACATCACAGATAACATGCCACTACTGCCACAGAATACAGTTATAAAAATTTGGAAGGGGGAATAATTAACAATCAGAGAGGTAGCAGAGAGCATGCTGTCCTCCAAACTCAATTCCATAACACGGAGGGGCATGAAGGGGTTCTGTATGCATCTCAGCCAAAGTTTCCACAGAGGGAGGCCAGCTTCAGCCAGAAGCAAGTGTAGGCATAAAGCCAGAGCACACCAAGAAGAGTGGGAAAAATACCTCCAGACCATATTTATAAGTTAGCACCCTAATAGGAGCTAGGAAACACCTAGTTTCTCTACACAATGATATCTCTGGGCCAGGAAGAGTGATAAGAAATGTATACAGTGAGCACTAAGGCCTGCATTCCTAGGCCTTGGAAACAGCCCTACCAGCCAGGAACAGTGAGAATAGTTTCAGTGAGCCAGTTTGGGCTAAGATACCAAAAGTGAGGAGAAAATGAGGTTCTTGGGACATCACTATCTGACTCTCATCAAATCTATTTACTGTATAAATAATATAATACAGTATAAACTTTATTTGTACATTTTACTAGTTTGTCTTCCTTCCAATGTCGATATGAATAATATTGAATTAGACTGTCAAGAGTACTTTGCAATTAGGAAGAAGATGGGCCTTCTTCCTGAAGGTTTATCCCCAAAAGCACTGACTGTGCCAGGTTTTAACACTTTAAATGCTGGATTAAGGACAGTGACTCAAGGCAGGGGCAGTTGTGAGGAATTGGGCAGAGCTGAGAGATTTAAACAGAATCAAACTTTGGAAGTACTTTATTAATTTAACATGCAGGATGGCACCACAAATGTATACTGGTTGAATTTCAGCCTTGTCTTATACTCTATATTACATACCACATCTTAAGTGGTAAAATTCTCTTTTCATCACTTTGATCTGAGACTGTAATGGAGTCATAGTTTGGGAATCTTGGGAGGAGATAAGTGTATTTGATATGTTAGAAGACTACAGATAATTTGTGAGCAGAGGGCCAACTATGCTGGATTAAAGATGGCTGCAGAATCTTTGCCACTTTTTTTTCTTCAGGCAGTGAGGTCTAGCTCCTTCTCCTTGAATCTTGGCTGGCTTGTGACTGCTTTGTCTAATAGAGCACAGCAAAAGTGACTCTTTGCTACTTCAGACCTATTTTTTATGAAGCTAGAAGCTTCAACCTTGGTTTCTTGAATCCTGAGCTGCCATGCATGAGGTTCAGCAACTTGTGGAAGAGTCCATATGGAAAGGCCCTTAGACTAAATGGGGAGGGAGCACTCCAGCCATCCAGGCTAAGGTATTAGGTATTTGAATAAAGTTGTCTTGGAATCTCCAGACTGGCTCAATTGTAGTGACTACCACCAAGTGACCTTAAACCTATGTGGAGCAGAACTGTCTAGCTAAATCCTCTTGAAATTATTGACCCACAGAATCACAGGATATCATAAAATATTTGTCATTTTAAGCCACTAAAGTTTGGGGTGTAGCTTGTTAAAATTTAATTGATAATCAGAAAAGAATTCTTTTTGAATGACTATTGCATTTTCATGCAATTGCAATACAAATTCAAAGGGTCTTTTAATTTATAGAAATGCCTTACATGGAGGAAGCATATGTGAAATCCAAATAAAAGAATAATGTTCAGGAAAATTAATGAAGAGCTGCAAAGATGAAAAATAAAACATATTCTAAACTTTAAATAATTTAGGGAAGTATGATGCTGGGCCTACAGAAAAAAGAATCAAAGCAATAGAATTAAACCAAAGGCACAGAAAACGATCATAGTTTAGACAATTGATTTCATGAAAAATTCGTCAATGAATAATTACTTTTATGCAGTATTTGGTATAGCACTGTGCATATGATAACATCTCAAAATTGAACAAAACTGAAACCTCCCAAACCAGAAGAAAATGTGGCTGAATATTAGTGTAGAATTTTTATAGTTATTTAAAAACAAATTTTTTCTTTATTTTTTAGTTTTCTAAGCTAAAAATGTTTATTCTGCAAAAATCATATATTTGTCAGTTTAAGCCGCTACATGATTATCATTTAATATTTTTCATGAAAAATGTTATACTTTCTTCTAAAAGTGAACATTTCTTTAAAAACATATTAATGTGATGATTTAGTAATAATCTTGTATTATATTGCTAAAACTTGGACAAGTTTTCCTATATAGTATAAGAAAAAATTACATGCAATTAATTTGTATTCTCTTGAAGAAGACTGCTTCCAAGAAATCAGAGTATAGTCAGATTTTTTCTCCTCTTCAGAAGGCTGTTCTTCCAGCCTAATATAGTGTCATATAGTAAAAATATATAGCTTCTCATGCGTAAGCTCTCATGATTTTGTCAACTGACATTTAGCAGCTTTTACCTCTTGGCTGCCAATTCTTCACTTTGCATAATATATTTTTTTCTTACATAAAAACTGAAACATAGGGGGATTGTAAGTTGGCGTTGGCCCTGTGAGATGACAGTATGATCGGCATCTGTGTAATAAATGCAGACTTATAATGTACAAAGACAGCCACACTTTCACACTCTGACATTTCCACACACCTCAGACTTACATGCTGAAATGCTGAACAATTACAGAAGAAAAAAACAATGCATGATGGAAAAAAGTGGTATAAGAATAGATAACACTAAGTAGAGTTGCCATATTGTATACTATTTAATATAATGACAGTTCTATTCTTTCTGGGAAGTACCTAAAATACTAGTTAGTGAATAAAGCGATAGATGCTTTTGGAAGAAATTTATATTTCCAGGCAATACTATAAAACATGTTTTAAGTGATAGAGATTGGCTAAACAGCATTTTAAGTTGAAAATTTTCTTATTTTTTTCTGACTTATTAGAAATAAAAATATACTTCTCTCTACATTTCCATTGAAACATATTCTGAAGCGCCATAATGTGAATACCAGTTGTTTAAGTAAGTTTACATTTTATTAAATTAATGCTAACACAGCTACTATCATTTGCCTGCTCACACAGCAACAGGGGTAGGGGGTGGAGTTGAAGCTAGATATCTCACACACGGAATAATCATTAAGAAACAACCACTGTTGAGCAAAGTTGATAGGCAGTAAGGAAATAAAGTGGACATAAACACAGCAGTACTAATTCATAGGCAGTAGAATATTATATTAGAAATAGGAGGTGTTTTAAAATTATATACTTTATTTCTTATAACCACTTTCTTAACTGCATCTACAAAACTTGAACTCATTTATTTACACAATTAAAAATATTTGGTATCTGCTACCCATCATCGACCAACGAATGATAGAAATTTAAAGATCAATATAGTCTTTAAGGAGGTCACAATTTATTAAGAGCTTATGCTCAGAAGATGTGTGTATTTTAATATTAATTATTTTACTGAGGCTATCAGTCAGATATAAAAGAAGGGATACGGAAAGACAGGAGAGGAGGGATTTAATCTAATTAATTCTCTCTGCAGAGGTTTTGTGGGGTTTTTTTGCAATGTTAATGAGCTAAGCCTAGAAAACTAAAGCTTTGGAAAAACTTCCCTATGGATATATATGAAGTGAAATGTGTTCCAGAAAGCAAAAGCCAGCAGAAAAGACAACATTTAGCATAACTATGCTAGAAAGCAAGGAACATTGGGATGAATGTCTTGAAGAAATAAAGCTGTAATATTAACTGAATCAGATGATGGAAGTCTGGGAAATTTTAGCTTAACTTTGCAACTGATTTTAGTTTTCTAGTAGAGATGTGACACTTTCACATTTAGGTTTTAGAAAGAAAACATTGACAAAACCACAAAGAATTGCTTGGAATTGTGGAATCTAGTTAAGATATTATTGTACAATCCAGGACAGAAATAACAAGTATCAGCTGAAATTAAGACTGTTAAGGCAGAAATAATTTGATAAAAGTTTCTGGAAGCCAAATGTGAGGATTGACCTAGGAAGACACACCAATAAACGTAAACTTGTTCCAAAATCTGTTACAAGTTGGAACGTTTTTATTTTTTATTTATTTTTATTATACTTTAAGTTCTAGGGTACATGTGCACAACTTGCAGGTTTGTTACCTGTGTATACATGTGCCATGTTGGTGTGCTGCACCCATTAACTCATCCTTTACATTAGGTATATCTCCTAATGCTATCCCTCCCCCTTCCCCCACCCCACAGCAGGCCCCAGTGTGTGATGTTCCCCTTCCTGTGTCCATGTGTTCTCACTGTGCAATTCCCACCTATGAGTGAGAACATGCGGTGTTTGGTTTTTTGTCCTTGCGTTAGTTTGCTGAGAATGCTGGTTTCCAGCTTCATCCATGTCCCTACAAAGGACATGAACTCATCATTTTTTATGGCTACATAGTATTCCATGGTATATATGTGCCACATTTTCTTAATCCAGTCTATCATTGATGAACATTTGGGTTGGTTCCAAGTCTTTGCTATTGTGAATAGTGCTGCAATATACATATGTGTGCATGTGTCTTTATAGCAGCATGACTTATAATCCTTTGGGTATATACCCAGTGATGAGATGGCTGGGTCAAATAGTATGTCTAGTTCTTGATCCCTGAGGAATCGCCACACTATCTTCCACAATGGTTGAACTAGTTTACTGTCCCACCAACAGTGTAAAAGTGTACAAATTGGAACATTTTTAAAATAAAATTTAAGAGAAGAGAAGGGGACTTCTCATATCAGAGTTGTTTTTTTTTTTTTTCATTGGCGGGTACTATACAGAGGTTACAATTGTTGGTTACAGATGACAGCATAATGGCTAAGATGCTTTATGCCTAAAACAATCTGTAAAATTTCACAATCCAGAAACAAAACAGCATAACTTCATGATTTAGAAACAAATCAGCGTCCTTCTCAATGGCAATAGGTTATGGATTAATTAGTACATCAACAGTTTGAAGAACTCACAATAAGATATGAGGGACTCAAGATACGATTCTTACTCAGGGATGGGATGTAAGCCATCAATCATAAGACCGTCCCCAGGCAGTTAATGTGGAAGCCTACCAAATGTGATGTGTAGGTTACCAGAAGCATAAAAACTTAAGGTACTAGGAATTGCAGTTATACAAAGGAAATGACTTATTTTTATTCATTTATTTTTATTTCCACTTTTATTTTAGGTTCGGGGGTACATGTGCAGGTATGTTGTGTGTGTATATTGCCTAGGGTATGACTGATCTTGTCACTCAGGTAGTGAGCATAGTACCCAATAGGTGGTCTTTCAGTCCTTGCCCCTTTTCCTCCCTCTTCTCTCCAGTAGTACCTGGTGTCTACTGTTCCCACTGGAAAGGACTTGTTTACTATGTAAAATATTATAATTTATGCAATTGAGAATATTGTAATACCGTTAACTAAGATAAGGAACTCAGGTCTGCAGGAGAAAATGCTGAGCTTTCTCTAAGACATGTTGAGTGAGGCTGGGGTACTCATTGTGTAATTGGATATGAGACTTGGAGACACCATACACTTCTGGTAATCACTTACAAAGATATGAGTATGGAAGTCATGTGAGAGAATGAAAGTGCTATAAAAGAGTTTGTGGATTAAGAAGTAAAAATGGATGCAACAACTTAAAATGTAGGTGGAGAGAAAGAACTAACTGAAAGGATCAAACAGATGGCTGGCAGCAAGTTGAAAGAAATACTAAGAGATCTGTGCCATAGAAACCAAAGAAGAAACTAAGGGGTGGGCAACAGTAAGTGCTTGAAAGAGATCAAACAGGTGAAGTCACAAAAGAGGCACCTGACTTCACATCAAGTTAGTTATTTGGTGATCTTTGAAAACGCAACTTTATTAAAGTTTAATAAAAATTAAATGTCAAAAGGTTGAAGAGGGAATTAGTGTAAAAGAAGTGATAGAAGTTGATTGTAGACTACACACCCAGTTTAAAGTTGGAATTTATGTGAACAGGAAAGATATTGATAGTTTGATACACAAGTTGATCTGAAAATATACTTTCCCCATGAAAGCAAATATTGAATATATTTACTTACATCAAGGAAGTAGCTAAGGAACATTTTAATGTTTGCTTTACTATATTATAAACTCACCTTAAAGTTAACCTAAAATAAACTGTTCTTATTTTAAAGTCTTAAAACTTAATCTTACTTTCCCATTGTTATTTGAAACGGTAGTAAACGTGGAAAAATATAACTCTAGGTTAATATATATATTTCATGGGTCACACAAGCCATTGTTAAACTGCTGTGATCATTTCTCACTTCCTTGAGAAAACATATTGTCATTATATAATGTTGGTGGGCTGAAGAGATGAGAACATTGTTTGGTCAATAGCTAGGAATAATTGTCCAACTTAATTGCCATATATCTTTTTATAAAAGGCATTAATTTTAATTTTATGTAGAGGGAAAAAAGAGGCTGCTTAATAGTAACTTCAACATTTTGGAATAAGAATAAATCTACTTTTTGTCATTGTTTTTAGCCGCTTTGTGGCCTTTTATATTAATTCACAGATGTTATCTATAGCAATATATTTCTCATTACCGTGTTAAATGGGTTCAACAAAGACACATTCATCCATTGCCACCTCCTAACATTAAAATGTTTAATGCTGCCTACAGCATCTTAGTCACTTGCTAGATACAGAGGCAGTGAGTGACTGAATATTTCAATACTGTTGCATTGTCTTCTTTTTCTGCACTCTGGTTGTGTATTTATTTGTGAGGAAGACATTCTTTCATAGTACACATAATATGCATCATAGAAGAACTAGATAGTTCTGTAGGATTTGTAGTGTGAGGTATCTACCCATGTAATTATAACTTTTCCTTAATGTTATTCCCATTATTCAGAAGATGGCTTTTGTTGGACTGAATCATATCCACTGGTGCAGTGAAACTTTATGTTAGCTTTCTTAGGCTTTCCACACCTCAATGCATGCCTGATCTGTAGGCTTAGCTTGTTCTATTGTGCTGCAGTGTATTTGCTATCCTGTGGTTTTTCACTGTTTTGATCATTTTGAAGTATAATGCTTTTCTCCCTGCTAGGACATTTCTCATAATGTTTCATCATCAACACGGTTTCTTACACTCCTAGAGAAAATAGAATCTCTCTCCTCTCTTCATATGTGTGTGTGTGTGTGTGTGTGTGTGTGTGTGTGTGAGAGAGAGAGAGAGACAGAGAGAGAGAGAGAGAGAGTATTTTTAGAGTAAATTTAACTACAGGAGTCCCGTCCAGCAATCCTGCTAAATTGCCTGAAGAAGCATGTAAGACAGTACGTACAGGTCAGTACTTAGGACTTTCTATATTATTTGTTATGGTATCACACAAAATTAAATCCTTGATGATTTGTGTGATGTTTTGTGATGATGAGGAAGATGATACAATCTGTTTCTTCATAGAACAAGGAGAGGAGAAGTTGGTGGAACAATGGTAGATTATCACTCAATTTTATAATTGGGAAACTCTATTCTGATGATTCTATCATTAATAAAATATAGGGAATTAGAAACAATCTGCAAGAAACTTACAGAAATAGCCTTTTTTTAAAAAAAGAAGAAGACGCAGGCTTTACTTTCCCTTATCTTACCTATGAGCAAATAAAATTCCCTTGTTAGAGTAAATTTGATTAATTTATGGATGATCATAATGTTTGCTCTTGGTAAACTTGTACAAAACATTTATCATCACCTACTGCACTCAAGGTCTTTTAGGGAAACCTAAACAAATAAATGTGTTTGATTTGACATTCTAATTATATTGTAAAGAAGGATTAGGTTTTGATTGGGTAAACTTTAAATCTTAGGTAAAAGTAGCACATAGAAGGAATATAACTTAAATGAAAGTAGTTTTATTTTTTACATTAAAAATAATATACTCTTAACTATACTAAGTAATAACTCAAATATCTTACATGTTCACTAAAAATATGAGAAACTACAATTTATATTGTACTTTATTTTCCTTCTTAGCTAAGAAATTTCCAAATACTATATTTTCTAAAAATCTAATGAAACATGACTAGTACTATAGGTATAAGAGTGTGTGTATGGATGTGTGTACCTAGGGAACAAATGGAGGGGACAAGATGGCCAACTAGATGTAGCCAGGAAGCACACTCCCACTGAGAGAGACCAAATTATCGACTAACCAGTATAATTTTGGCAGACCTCAGAGAGAAAAAGCTGAGAGTGGATAGACAGGTGACAGTGAAGTGCAGGCTGAAGAGGGAGCAAGCTGGGAACCCTCTGCTGGTTACTTGAATGCTAGGGCTAGTTCTGGTCTCTGAACAGTTCCTGGGAAAGGGGAGAGTGAAGGAACTGAGAGACAGGACACTGTTGACTGTGAGGTCCTAGCTATAGAACTAGCTATGGATGTGTGAGCTATAGAACCACCCATGGATGTGTGAGCTGGCAGGGGAATCTCCCCAGGAAACAAGCAGAGACAGAATGTTGGATGGCACAGAACCTTGGTGTTTTTGTGTGCTGGGCACCTTCGGCAGAGAGTGGTCATAGTTGCTCATCCTCCCGGGCTTCCCATCCCCCTCTTGGAGGTACTGGCCGCAACTGACCTCTGAGCCAGGAAAGAGTGGGGACAGATTCTTCGTAGGACTGGGCACTTATGTTTTGCAAGCCCTCCTGCCTGCCAGCCCCCAATCCCAGGCCCATGCCTAGCTATCCTACAGGAGTGGATGCACAGTACGGCCTCTGCACAGTACAGCCTGAGAGTATTGTTCCGCCTGAGTACTTTCCTAGGACCTGGGAGCACATTGGATCCTCAGTGTAGCTGGAAACTGACCTTGACATGTGGGATGCCCCAGTGCCCTCAGGACTGAGCGCAGCTCAGTAATACAGAGTCAAGATCTGAGGCCAGTGCTGGAGTGACAGAGAAGCCCACATAATCAGAGCACTGAAAAGGGCAAGACTTACAGGTTCTTGGGCTGGGGCTGGAGCAGGGTGTGCCTCCTTCTGCTGGGCTGGTCTAGAAAGAGTATGGCATATTCCCTGTCACAGCCTGTGCCTGAGGGGGCCCCACCGCGAGGGAACGCCTAAGAACAGCAACAAATACAAGCATGGTGCTGGTGTTCAGGCGGGGCTTTCCCAACGCCCAGGGGTGGACCTGGTGAGGGGGCCTCTCCTGTCCTACCACAGAGGATGCCTGTGAACACAGGAAGTCCAAGAGTCATACAGCTGGGAATCAGCCTACTCTTAAGCACCATCTGCTGGATCTCAACCCAAACTACAACACCAAAAATTGTCCTGCTAATACATATACCTGTGAAACCCAGTGCAAGAATTTACCCACACATAAAGATCGTTTACCTTTGGAGTCTGAGGAAGATAGTGAATAGGAGACAGGGCTAACGTGCAGCTCCCACTTGGATGAACGGAACATCATGTGGAGACTCACACCGTGAACTTTTGATCCAAGAACCACCACAGGAACACACCAGGAAACCGAAAGAATTGACAGATCCTTAGAAAGAAGTGGCAAGCCACTGCAAATTCTGCGAGACAGGTGAAAAACTGTGAGTTCCCAAAGTGTGAGAGGGGAAAGCCTGCCTCCAAACACGCATGTCCATTGGGGAATCTGAAATTCCGATCATGGGAGACGAATTTAACCATTCCTAGAGCCAAAATGGATTTAGGGAGCAGTGCAAAATATAAAAGTAGAAGCAGCTATGAGAAGAGCCTTGTAGGTAAGCACTTTCAGTCTTCAACTAGAGCCCATGGAAGCCATCCCTGACTACATTTCACACGGCCCTTGGGGAAGGAAGCCAACAGAATTATGGAGGGATCACAGGGTGAAAGAAGCTTCCAACTGAAATTTGTAGTAATTTTGACTGGGCATGAATTTTCTTGAGCAGAATTCAGGTGGAAAATGGGAACTGCTGCAGATAGGAGTGCAAGAGCTGCCACTGACAGTGGGGGCAAATGGGAAGGAGTAAGGCCTGAAAGCCCTGCTTGCTTTCTCGTGGGGAAGCTTACAACTTGGTGTAAGGTCTGAGTGGGGCGCTGCAGGAGCAAGACTGGCCTTGCCAACTGTGTCAGAGCTGGGTGAAGCCTCTTGTTACCAGCTATCCCCTACTTCCCTGGTAAGCTATATGACAGCAGAGGCAGCCATAATCCTCTCTGGAATATAACCCCACTGGTCTAAGAACCACCCACACCCATCCCCTATAGTGGCAGCAGCAAGCCCTGCCTAAGGAGAGCTCAGACACACCTAACCCTGCCCCCACCTAGTAGCCAAACACAAAACATATAAACTCTTAGAAGCTTTACGGGACTGCTCATTGCCTAAGAAACCAGAATACTTACCCTGACCAATTTAGGGAAAGCTTAGATTCCCCTACTACTACCAAAGCTGGTGCTCTTTTGAAAGCACCACCTCCTGGCTGGAGGGCAACCAGTTCAGGCCATTATAGCAACTTAAGACAGAATAATCTTGCTCCCAAGAAAGAGAAAATAACAACTAATTTAATTGCCTGCAACATCCTGGCTAGTCAGAGGTCCTGGGTCTCTCCACATGACAACTTCACTACTAGCATAATCAGCATTCAAGAAACGCAGAACATTAAACATCTACAACCGAGGACTTTCACAGAGTCTACTTCACCGTCACCAGAGCAGGCACTGGTATCCATGGCAAGACTTGAAGATGGATCATGTCACAGAACTCTTTGCAGACATTCCCCAGTAGCAGCCCACAGCCTGGTAGCTCTGCAGGGTGGTTAGACCCAGAAGGGCAATAACAATCACTGCAGTCCAGCTCTCAGGAAGCCCAATCCCTAGCAGAAAGGGAAGAGCACCACATGGGGCAAAAGAATCTGAAAGCAGGCCTTCAGTTTCAGATCTCTCCACTGAAATAGTCTGCCCAAATAAGAAGGAACCAGAAAGGTAATTCTTATAATATGACAAAACAGGGTTTTATAACACCCCCAAAAGATCACACTAGCTCTCCAGCAATGGATTAAAACCAAGAAGAAATCTCTGAATTGCCAGATAAAGAATTCAGAAGGTAGATTATTAACCTATTCAAGGAAATACCGGAGAAAGGTGAAATCAACATAAAGAAATTCAAAAATTATACAGGATAAAGATAAAAAATTCTCCAGAAAAATAGATATTATAAAGAAAAACAAGCATAACTTTGGGAATGAAAGATGCCCTTAGAGATATACAAAATGCACTGGAAAATTTCAACAGGAGACTAAAACAAGTAGAAGAAAGAACTTCAGAGCACAAAGACAAGGCTTTCAAATTAACCTGATCAGAAAAAGATAAAGAAAAATTAATATAAAAAGCTGAACAAAGCATCCAAGACATTTGGGATTATGTTAAATATCCAAACCTAAGAATAATTGGTGTTCCTGAGGAAGAAGACAAATGTAGAAGTTAGGAAAATTTATTTGAGGGAATAATCAAGGAAAACGTCCCTGGCCTTGCTAGAGAACTAGACATCCAAATACAAGATGCTAAAAGAACACCTGTGAAATTCATCGCAAAACGATTATCATCCATGCATATAGTCATCAGGTTATCTAGAATTAAGACAGAGGAAGGACTGTGAGACAAAAGCATCAGGTAACCTATAAAGGAAAACCTATCAGATTAACAGAAGATTTCTCAGCAGAAACTTTACAAGCCAGAAGGGATTGGGGTCCTATCTTTAGCCTCTTGAAACAAAATAATTATCAGCTAACAATTTTGTATCCAGAATAACTAAATTTCATAGTTGCAGAAGAGATAAAGTCTCTCTCAGACAAACAAATGCTTAGATGAACAGTGCTTAGAGAATTTGCCACTACCAAGCCATCACTACCAGAAATGTTAAAAGGACTTGTAAATCTTGAAACAAAACCTCAAAATACACCAAAATAGAACCTCCTTAAAGTATAAATCTCACAGGACCTATAATACAATAACACAATGAGAAAAAAAAGACAGTGTATTTAGGCAACAACTAGCATGATGAATAGAATAGTACCTCACTTCTCAATACTAACATTGAATGTAAATGGCCTAAATGCTCCACTTAAAACATACAGAACGGCATGTTGGATACAACTCCACCAACCAAGTATCTGCTGTCTTCAAGAGATTCACCTGACACATAAGGACTCACATAAACTTAAGGTAAGAGGGTGGAAAAAGATAGTCCACACAAATAGAAACCAAAGCAAGCAGGACTAGCTATTCTTATATCAGACAAAATAGACTTTAAAGCAACAACACCAAAAAAAAAAAAAAAAAGGCAAAGAGAGATAGTAAATAATGATAAAAGGATTAGTCCAACAGGAAAATATCACCATCCTAAATAGTTATGCACCTAACACTGAAGCTCCCAAATTTATAAAACAATTACTACTAGACCTAAGAAATGAGATAGACAACAACATACTAGTAGTGGGGGATTTCACTATTCCACTGACAGCACTAGACAAGTTATCAAGACAGAAAGTCAACAAAGAAACAAGGGCTTAAACTATGCACTAGAACAAAGGAACTTAACAGATACTTACAGAACATTTTACCCAACAACTGCAGAATATACATTCTTTTCATCAGCACATGGAGCATTCTCCAAGATACACCATATGATAGGTAACAAAACAAGTCTCCATACATTTAAGAAAGTCAAAATTATATCAAGGATCCTCTCAGACCACAATGGAATAAAACTAGAAATTAACTCCAAAAGGAATGCCCAAAACTATGGAAATTAAATAATCTGCTCTTGAACAATCTTTGGGTCAATAACGAAATCAAGATGAAAATAAAAATCTTCTTTGAGCTGAATGATAATAGTGTCACAACCTATCAAAACTTCTGTGATACAGCAAAGGTTGTGCTAAGAGGAAAGTTCATAGCATTAAATGCCTACATCATAAAGTCTGAAGATGCATAAATATACAATCTAAGCTCACACCTCAAGGAACTAGAGAAATAAGAACAAGCCAAACCCAAACTCAGCAGAATAAAAGAAATAAATATCAGAGAAGAAATAAATGAAATTGAAAAAAAGATACAAAAAATAAATAAAACAAAAAGATGGTTCTTTGAAAACATAAACAAAATTGATAGACCAATAATGAGCTTAACCAAGAAAAGAAGACAGAAGATCTAAATAAGTTCAATTAGAAATGAAATGGGATCTATTAAAACTGATGCCACAGAAATACAAAAGATCATTCAAGTCTACTCTGAACACCTTTATGCTCACAAACTGGAAAATCTAGAGGAGATGGGTAAATTTCTGGAAATATACAACCCTCTTAGATTAAATCAGGAAGAAATAGAAACTCTGAACAGACCAATAACAAGTAGCGAGACTGAAACAGGAATAAAAAAAATTACCAACAACAAAAAAAGTCCAGGACCAGAGGGATTCACAGCTGAATTCTATCAGACATTCAAAGAAGAATTGGTACCAATATTTCTAAAACTCTTCCAAAAGATAGATAAAGAGGCAATCTCCCCTAAATCATTCTATGAAGCCAATATCATCCTAATATCAAAACCAGAAAAGGACATAGAAAAAGAAGAAAATTACATATTAATATCCTTGATGGACATAGATGCAGAAATTCTCAACAAAATACTAGCTAACTGAATCCAAAATCATATCAAAAAAGATAATACACCAGGATCAAGTGGGTTTCATACCAAGATGCAGGGATGGTTTAACATATGCTAGTCAATAAATGTGATATATCACATTAACATAATTTAAAACAAAAATTATACAATTATCTCAATAGATGCAGAAAAAGCTTCTGACAAAGTCCAGTATACCTTTATGATTAAAACTCTCACCAAAATTGGCATAGAAGAGATATACCCCAAGGTAATAAAAACCATCTATGACAAACCCACAGCCAACATTATACTGAATGGGGAAAGGTTGAAAACATTTCTCTTAAGAACTGGAACAAGACAAGGATGCCCACTTTCACCATTTTTATTCAACGTAGTACGGAAATCTTAGCCAGAGCAATCAGACAAGAGAAAAAAGTGCATCTGAATCAGTAAAGAGGAAGGCAAACTGTCACCATTTGCCAATTATATGATTGCATACCTAGAAAACCCTTAAAAACTCATCCAAGAAGCTCCTAGATTTGATAAATGAATTCAGTAAAGTTTCAGGATAGAAAATCAATGTACACAAATAAGTAGTACTGTTATACATCAACAGTAACTAAGCTGAGAGTCAAATCAAGAACTCAATCCCTTTTATGACAAATGAAAAAACAAAAACAAAAACTTAGAAATACACCTAATCAAGGAGGTGAAAGATCTCTACAAGGAAAACTACAAAACATTGCTGACAGAAATCATCAGTGACACAAACAAATGAAAACACAACCCATGCTCATGGATGGGTAGAATCAATATTGTGAAAATGACCATGCTGCCAAAAATAATCTACAGATTCAAGTCAATTCCCATAAAAGTACTATCATCATTCTTCACAGAACTAGAAAAAAAAATTGTAAAATTCATATGGAACCAAAAAAGAGCCCACATAGCCAAAGTAATATGAAGCAAAAAGAACAAATCTAGAGGCATCACATTACCCAACTTCAAACTACACTACAAGGCTGTAGTTACCAAAACAGCATGTTACTAGTATAAAAAATAGTATGTAGACCAATGGAACAGAATAGAGAACCCAGAAATGAAGCCAAATAGTTAGAGCCAAATGATGTTTGACAAAGCAAACAAAAACATAAAATGAGTAAACGGCACCCTATTTAACAAATGGTGCTGGGATAATTGGCAAGCCACATGTAGAAGAATGATCCTGGATTCTCATCTTTCACCTTATACAAAAATCAACTAAAGATAGATCAAAGACTTAAATCTAAAACCTGAATCCATAAAAATTCTAAAAGATAACATTAGAAAAACTCTTCTAGACATTAGCTTAGGCAAAGAGTTCATGACCACGAACCCAAAAGCAAAAGCAGCAAAACCAAAAATAAACAGATGGAACCTAATTAAACCAAAAGGCTTCTGCAGAGCAAAAGGAATAATTATCAGAGTAAACAGACAATCCACAGAGTGGGAGAAAATCTTCACAAACTATGTATCCGACAAAGGACTAATATCCAGAATCTACAAGGACTTCAAACAAATCATCAAGCAAAAACAAACAATTCCATTAAAAAGCAGGCAAAGAATATAAATAGATAATTATCAAAAGAAGGCATACAAATGGGCTGGGTGTAGTGGCTTATGCTTACAACCCTAGAACATTAGGAAGCTAATTCCAGTGGCTCACTTGAAGTCAGGGTTTCAGACCAGCCTGGCCAACATGGTGAAACCCTGTCCTATTAAAAAGACAAAAATTAGCCAGGCATGGTGGTGTACACCTGTAATCCCAGCTATCTGGGTGGCTAAGATATAAGAATACCTTGATCCTGGGAGATGGAGGTTGCAGTGAGCTAAGATTGCATCACTGCACTCCAGCTTGGGCAACAGAGTGAGACTCTGTCTCAATAATAATAATAATAATAATAATAATAATAATAATATATACAAATGGACAACAAACATACAAAAAAAATGCTCATGACTAATGAATAGGGAAATGCAAATTAAAACCACAAGGAGATACCACCTTGCTCCTGTAAGAATGGCCATAATTTAAAAGTCAAAACATAATAGATATTGGCATGGATATGGTAAAAAGGGAACACATACACTGCTGGTGGGAATGTAAACTAGTCAAACCACTATGGAAAACAGTATGAAGATTCCTTAAAGAACTAAAAGTAGAACTACCGTTTGATCCAGCCCACTTACTGGATATCTACCCAGAAGAAAATAAGTCATTATATGAAATAGACACGTGCACACTTATGTTTATAGCAGTACAATTTGTAATTGCAAAAATACGGAATGAGCCTAACTGCCCATCAACCAATGAGTGGATTAAGAAAATGTGATATATATATATATACATACACACACACACACACACACACACACACACACACACACACAGACACACCATGGAATACTACTCAGCTATAAAAAGGAACAAAATAGTGGCTGTTGCAACAACCTGGATGGAGTTGGAGACCATTATTCTATTAATAAGTGAAATAACTCATAAATGGAAAGCTATATATCATAGGTTCTCACTTATAAATGGGAGCTAACCTATGAGGTCACAAAAGCATAAGAATGATATAATGGACTTTGGGGACTCAGGGGAAGGCTAGGGGTTAAAAGACTACACATTGGGTCCAGTGTACACTGCTTGTGTAATGGGTGCACCAAAATCTCAGAAGTCACTTCTGAAAAACGTATCCATGTAACCACAACAAGAGCAAAACAGACATTCTTTACAGAGCCCTGACCCTCTGCAAATACTCAGAAATGAAACTGACTATAATCAACTTACATCACAGTTAATGGAACACCAACCCTTCCAGATGAGAAGAAATCAGCACAAGAATTCTGGCAAATCAAAAATCCAGTGTCCCCTTGCATCCAAATGAGTCTACTAACTCCTGAGCAACGGTTCTTAACCAGTCTAACATGATTGAAATGACAGGCATAGAATTCAGAGTTTGAATGACAAATAAACTCATTACAATTCATTAAAAAGTTGAAATCCAACCCAGGGAATACAGTAAAATGATCCAAGAGCTGAACGACAAAGAAGCCATTTTAAGAAAGAATCAAACTGAACTTCTAGAGCTTAAATATTCATGACCAGAATTTCATAATATAATTGGAAGTATTAACAGCAAAAAGATCAAGCTGAGGAAAGAATCCCAGTGTTCAATGGCTAGTTCTTTGAATCAACTCAGTCAGATAAAAATAAAGGAAAAATAATTAATAAAAATGAACAAAACCTCTGAGAAATATGGAATTATGTAAAGAGACCAAATCTACAACTCACTGGCATTTCTGAGAGAGAAAGAGAAAGAATATGCAATATGCAAAACTTAGCTCAGGATGTAGTCCATGAAAATTTCCCTAATCTCATTAGATAGGTTGACATACAAATCTAAGAATTACAGAGAACCCCAGCTAGACACTACAAAATGACCATCAGATAGTCATCAGATTCACCATGGTCAATGCAATACAAAAAATAAAGGCAGGTAAAGACAGGGGTCAAGTTACATACAGAGGGAACCCCATGAGGCTAGTAGCAGACCTCTTAGAAACCGTACAAGCCAGAAGAGGTTGGGACCTATTTTTAGCACCCATAAAGAAAATAAGTTCCAACAAAGAATTTTATACCTTTCCAAATTAAGCCTCATAACTGAAGAAGAAATAAAATCCTTTTCAGACAAACAAATGCTGAGGGAATTTGTTTAAACTATACCAGTTTTAGAAGACCAGAGGTCCTTAGGGAATGCTGAACATGGAATCCAAAGAACATGTGCTACCACAGAAACACACTTAAGCACATAATCTCCAGATACTATAAAGCAACTACACAATCAAGGCATTATAACAACCAGCTGACAACATGATAAGAGGATCAAAATCACACCTATCAATATTAATGTTGACTATAAATGGACCACTTAAAAGACAGAGTGGCAAGCTGGATGAAAAAACAAGACCCAACCATCTGTTGTCTTCAAGAGACCCATTTCACATGTAACAACACCCACAAGTTCAAAGCAAAATAATGGAGAAAGATATACCATGCAAATGGAAAACAAAGAAGTGCAGGAGTTGCTATTCTTATATCAGATAAAATAGACTTTAAACCAATACAAATTAAGGAGGACAATGAAGGGCATTACATAATGATAAAAGGTACAACCCAATAAGAAGACTTAATTATCCTAAATATATATGTACCCAACATTGGAGCACCAGATTCATAAGGCAATTTCTTCTTGCCCTATGAAAAGTTCAGATAACTGCACAATAACCGTGAAAGACTTCAACACTCTACTGACAGCGTTGGACAGATCATCGAGGCAGAAAATTAACAAAGAAACTCTGGACTTAAATTGAACGCTTGACCAATTGTATCTACAAGACATCTGCAGAACAACTCACCCAACAACTGCAGAATAGATATATTTCTCATCTGCATACAGAACATATTTCAAGATTGGCCACATACTTGATTGTAAAGCAATCTCAGTAAATGAAAAAGAAACTGAAATTATACTGAATACACTCTCAAGCCACAGGGCAATGAAAACAGAAATTAATATCCAGATCTCTCAAAGCTACACAAATACATGAAAATCAAACAATTTGCTCCTGAATAATTACTGGGTGTGCATAAAAATTAATACAGAAATCAAAAAATGCTTTGAAATTAATGAAAATAAAGATACAAGTTACCAAAATCTCAGGGATGCAACTAAATCAATGATAAGAGGAAAGTTTATGGCCCTAAACATCTTTATCAAGAAGTTAGAAAGATCTCGAATTAACAATCTAACTTTGTACCTGAAGGAACTAGAAAAAAAAAAAAGAAAAGAAAAAAGGAAAAACCAATGCCAAAGGTAGCAGAAGGAAAGAAATAACCAAAATTAAAGAAGAACTTAATGAAATTGAAATGAAAAAATTTATACAAAAGTTAATAAAACTAAGAGATTGGTTCTTTGAAAAATAACATTAATAGCTCACTAGGTATACCAATAAAGAAAACAATAGAAAATCAAAATACAATAAAAAATGACAATGATGACATTAAAACTGATCCAATGGAAATACAAAAGATCCTCAGAGACTACTATGACCAAGTATATGCACACAAATTAGAAAATCTAGAGGAAATTGATTTGAAACACACAAACTCCCAAGATTGAATCAGGAATAAATTGTTATTCTGAATAGGTCAATAACCAACTCTGAAACTGAATCACTAATAAAACAACCTACTAACCAAAAAAAAGCTCTGGACAAGATGGATACACAGCTGAATTCTACCAAATATATAAAGAAGAACCGGTACCAGTCCTACGGAAACTGTTTCAAAAAATTGAGGAGAAAGGACTCCTCTCTAACTCATTCGATTAAGCCAACATCAGCTTAATAACAAAATCTGGCAGACATACAATGAAGAAAGAAAACATCAGGCTAATATTTCTTATGAACATAAATACAAAAATCCTTAATAAAATACTAATGAACTAAATCCAGCAGCACATCAAAGAGTTGATTTACCTCAATCAACTAGGCTTTATGCGTGGGATGCAAGGTTGGTTCAAAATACATAAATCAGCCAGGTGCAGTAGCTCATACGTATACTCTCAGCACTGTGGGAGGTCCAGGCAGGAGGATTACTTGAGCCTAGATGTTTAAGACAAGCCTGGGCAAAATACTGAGATTCTGTCTCTTCAAAAAATTAAAAAAAAAGTTGACTGGGTATGGGGGCAACTACCTATTGTCTCAACTACTCAGGAAGCTGAGGTGGGAGGATCACTTGAGCCTGGGAAGTCTAGGCTATAATGAGCCGTGGTGACCACTGCACTTCAGCTTGAGCAACAGAGTGAGAACCTGTCTCAAAATAAAAATAAATTTAAAATATTTTAATGAAGAAAATTTACAAATACATAAATCAATACATATGATTCACCACATAAACAGAATTAAAAGCAAAAAACCATTTGATTATTTCAATACACGCACAAAAAGTCTTCAATAAAATCCAACATCCTTTCATGATAAAAACCTTCAACAGAAAAGGTATTGAAGGATTGTACCTCAAAATAATAAGAGCCATTTATGAAAGACTCACAGGAAACATCACACTCAATGGACAAAAGCTGGAACCATTTCCCATTTCCCTTGAGAACTGGAATAAAAAAATGATGCTCGTTCTCACCACTCCTATTCAAACTAGTACTGAAAGTCCTAGCCAGAACAATCAAACCAGAGAAAGAAATAAAAGGCATCTAAATAGGAAAACAGGACGTCAAACTATCTTCATGGATCACATGATTCTATGCCTAGAAAATGCTCAAGTTTCCACCAAAAGTTTTCTGGAACTGGTAAATAATTTCAGTAAACTTTCAGGTTACAAAATCAATGTACAAAAATCAGTAGCATTTTTATACACCAATAACATCCAGTCTGAGAGTCAAATGAAGATCACAGTCTCATTTACAATAGCCACAAAGAAAATGAAATACCTAGGGATACAGCTAACCAGGGAGGTAAAAGATCTCTACAACAAGAACTGCAAAACACTCCCAAAACTAAACAAAGATGACAGAAATGGAAAAACATGCCATGCTCATGGACTGGAAGAATCAATATTGTTAAAGTGGTCATACCACCTAATGCACAGATTCAATGCTATTCCTATCAAGCTATCAATATAATTCTTCACAGAATTAGAGAAAAACTGTTCTAAAATTCATATGGAACCCAAAAGGAGCCCAAATGGCCAAGGCGATCCTAAGCAAAAAGAACAAAGCTGGAGACATCATACTACTAGATTTCAACTATAATATAAGGCTACAGTAACCAAGACAGCATGGCACTGGTGAAAAACAGACACATAGAAAAATGGCACACACAAAAAAACCTCAGAAGTAAAGTCATACACCTACAATCTTTTTATTTTGAGCAATGCCAAAAAAAAAAAAAAACTGCAGAGAAAGGACTTCCTATTCAATAAATGGTGGTGTGATAACTGGCTAGCCACATGTGGAAGAATAAAACTAGACCTTTATCTTTCACCCACCACATACGAAAATTAACTCAAGATGGATTAAAGATTTAAATGTAAGACCTCAAACTATAAACATCCTGGAAGAAAACCTAGGGAATAACTTTCTCAACATCAGCCTTGGCAAAAAAATTTTGGCTAGGTACCCAAATGCAACTGCAAGAAAAATAAAAAATTAACAAGTATGATCAGTTAAACTATAGAGCTTCTGCCCAGCCAAAGAAATTATCAACAGAGTAAACAGACAACCTACAGAATGGGAGAAAATATTCTCAAAGTATGCACCCAACAAAGGTCTAATATCCAGAATCTAAGAGGAACTTAAACAAATCAACAAGTTAAAAAACAAACAAAAAAAATTGTCAAAGGACATGAACAATCACTTCTCAAAAGAAGACATACAAGTGGCCAACAAACGTATGAAAAAATGCCTATCATCACCAATCATCAGAGAAATGCAAATCAAAACCACAAGGAGATACCATCTTATACTAGTCAGGAAGTCAACTATTAAAAAGTCAGAAAAACAACAGATGTTGGCAAGGCTTCAGAGAAAGGAAATATTTATACACAGTTCAGCCACTGTGGAAAGCAGCTTGGAAATTTCTCAAAGAACTTAAAAAAGAACTACCATTCATCCCAGCAATCCCATTACTGGGAATATACCCAAAGGAAATAGATTATCATACCAAAAAGATACATGCACTTGTATGTTTATCATCATGCTATTTACAATAACAAAGTCAGGGAATCTACATAGGTGCTCATCAATGTTGGACTGGAGAAAGAAAATGTGATACATATGCACAATGGAATACTATGTAACTGTAAAAAAGAATGAAATAATGTCTTGTGCAGCAACATGGATAAAGCTGGAGGCCATAATTCTAAACCAATTAATGCCGAAACAGAAAACCAAATATTGCATGTTCTCACATGCAATAAGTGGCAGCTAAACACTGAATGCCCATGGACATAAACATGGGAACAATAGACACTGTGGACTACTGGAGGGGGAAGCAGGGAATGTGGGTCAAAAAACTACCCATTGGGTATGGTGTCCACTATCTGGGTGCAATATAACCATTTAATAAACCTGCACATATCCCCCCGTATCTAAAATAAGAGTTGAAATTTTTAAAAGTTAATTTAATACATGAAGGCTTTATACTTTCAGTGTGTCTGAAATATTTCATTATCATCATAATAAAGAAATGAGGAAAAATAGAATACATGGAAGAATTTGAGTAATAGGCTTACAGTATAATCATATTACAAAGATGTAATGTGTGTAAGAACCTAGAATAGAAATAGGAAATCACTAGAAATCATGGGCTTTCTAAAAAGTGAATCAATCATATTTATAATAATTTAAAATACAGTTATTTAGGATGCTTTGATCTCATCAGCATTTAGTACAGTATCTTAATGTAAAACACACTTGATATTTTCTTGATTTTGTAACATTTTATCATGTTAATTGATTTATGATTTCATAGAATAGAGTACACACATTTAATCATGGTTTAAAACATGTATTTGATAATAAGCCATACTGAATATTTGCTTATTGCATAAGCAAACTTAATCTCATGCCCTTTGTGACTACCTGCTGAACTTCATGCTTCCCAGCTCTCTGTTGCACGTTGCACTTCACCCAAATGGAATTCCTCTTAGTTTCATAAATACGTTAAACTCTTTCTCTCTTTTATGGCTTTTCAAAACTTCTTTCTGATCATTTTCTTTTTCATACTTGCCTTGACCTGTTACTCAAGTTGATTCTTATTCAATGCATTCAAATAATATTTGTTGAGAGCTATTTGGTCAAAAAAGACTTAGTGTTTAATCTTCAAAATTTAAAGTTTAGTTGTGAAGATAAAAAGTAAAAAAAAAAAGAAAAAATACAAGTAGATATGTAATTATAATGTTTGCCAATTTTTATGAAAATTAGGATTCAATGAAATAGAATAAGAGATACAAAATTGAGATTAGAAGAAAGTACAAAAATGGCTACTGAAAAAGTGGGCAGGTAAATTTAGAATTGCAGGATTAGAAGAAGTTAACCAGGATAAGAGTTAACCAGATTGAAAGAATGCCTGTGATATAGCTAATCCTTCCAATATTACTATTTCTAGGAAACTCTGACTTCCTAAGTGGTTTAAGCTGCTCTGTGCTCATGCAACACCATTCACATCTTCTTATCATAGCTGGTTCTTAAATAATAACAATGTGTTTTTCTAGGTGACACTTGTATTTTCCATATTTTTTCCTATTTCTGGCTTAAGCTGCCCCACTGTGCTTTCTGATAGAATGTATAGATACATATATATATTCTATGTTATTAATAGATTGATATATAATATATTAACACCAGGAAGGCTATCACATTCTTATGGAAACCTATTTTGAAACCACACACTTGTGTATAAGAATAGGTTAATATGCCTTGAATTCAGATAGACTCTAGCAAATGTCACAGATTTTCTTTGTCACAGAGCACCTACCATAGGCCCTGTAGACTTGTGTCTTTGTGTCATGTTAAGGTCTTATTGCCATTCATAACATTTAATACAGAAGCATTATCCAGATGACCTGTCTGAATTCTAAATGCTTATCTGCAAGATTTTCTATTTATCTTTAATCACTGCTAAAGGCCAGTATCTTAGTCTGTTTTTCTGTTGCAGTAACAGAATACGACAGACTGGGTAGTTTATAGAGAAAATAAATTTATTTCTCGCATTTCTAGAGGCTGAGAAGTCCAAGAGCATGGCATCAGCATGTGGTGAGGGTCTTTGTGCTGCATTTTCCCATGGTGGAAGGAATGGTAAATGAGCACATGAGACAGAGAGAAAATGAGGGGCACACTTTTTATTTTTATTTATTTTTTCAAGTTTTATTTTAGATACTGGGGTACATGTGCAGGTTTGTTACATGGATATACTGCACCCTGGTAGTGAGCATAATGCTTAATAGATAGGTTTTTGATCCACATTTTCCTCCTTTCCCCCATCCTCTAATAGTTTACAGTGTCTATTGTTCCCATGTTTATGTCCATGGACACTCAATGTTTAGCTTCCACTTATAAGTGAGAACATGCAGTATTTGGTTTCCTGTTTCTGCATTAATTCGCTTAGGATTATGGCCTCTAGCTTTATCCATGTTGCTGAAAAAGACATTATTTCATTCTTTTTTATGGTTGTGTAGTATTCTGTGGTGCATATGTACCACATTTTCTTTTTCTAATCCACCACTGATAAACATCTAGTTTGATTCCAGGTCTTTGCTATTGTGAAAAGCATGTTGACGAACATACAAGCACATATATCTTTTTGGCATAATAATCTATTTTCCTTGGGGCATATACCCAATTTTGGGATTACTGGGTCAAATGATAGTTCTGTTTTAAATTCTTTGACCTGGTTTTCATAGTAGTGATTATCACATTTGTTTTACTTTTTTCTTTTATAACTAACCTACTCTTGTGATAACTAACCTACTCTAATGATAATGACCTTCACTCATTCATGAGAGTGGAGTCCTCATGGCTTAATTATCTCCTAAAGGCCTGACCTTTTGCAACTGCTTCCGTGACAATTAGTTTCAAAATAAATTTTGGTGGTGACATTTAAAGCATAGCAGTCAGTGGCATCATTCATGGCAACTGCTGGTTAGTCCTTTGCTGATTTATTGCTGAATGAATACATTTGAGCCATAGTAATAAATGTTTTGTTATACAAGTGTAATATTTGATAAAGCCACTTTGAACTCCTTGCCTTGAGTATCTTCCTACATTGTGCTTACTTTCTCTGGGTCCAGCATGCTCTTCCTCCCAAAATCAGAATGGCACACTCCATCACTTGCTTTCAGGTGTTCACTCAACTGTCATCTTCTCAATGAGACTTTTTCTGACCATGCTAATTTCCATAGCTCTCTCTGTTACGATCTATTCCCTTGGTTTTTCTTCATGGCAGTAAATCTAACACCCTTAAGTTTGATGAGATGGGATTAGTAGGCAGATACTAATATCTTTTTAGGCCTGCTGCTCATCCCTGTATAGAGATGATATCTTCTATATGCTTAACTGAGAAAACATTTTCACTTGTCCAATGAGAGTTTCAACTCTGTCCCCTTAAGATTCATAATTACCTTACATAGTCATTTATTATGTTTTGTCAAACGTCATTTCAAGACATTTCTCCACAGTCCTTGCAAACACAACATTGTCCATATTCAGCAGTGCTTCCAAATAATTCATATTTCAACTGTAAGAAAATGACATCTACCAGATGATCAAAAGCATTTTCTCAGCTATTATGACCCTACTGGATAAGGAAAGGCTTGTTACTTCTTATGCTTTTTTATAATGAGGTGCCTACTAGTAATGGTTTTAAAGATCTAACTCTGGCTTTCTACTAGAAAACTGAAAGCCTTCTGAATTTAGAGAAGAGTAATTTGCTATATCTTAGTTTACTATTCTTTAATTGACATGTATTCTAATTTTCCAGATTTTTTTAATACTGCTGCAATCGGCAATGCATACAAACTCTAAGAAGAGGATACAATGCTATTAATTAATAGCTCCTTAATGTTGTTTCTTAAATAATTGATCACAGGCCTGTGGGACTCCTGGATTGTTTACTAAAATGTTTTCTAAGTGTCCCATGCTGCTCAGCTCACTTCCCATTGAAGAAGAGAGAACACTTTGCTCCTAGTGTGTAGCTTTTCCCTTATCTTCCATTTTTGTTCCCCTGGCACCAGCAAATCTGTGAAATCAAAACTCTAACACTTGGAACTTTGGTGCCAATCTACCACTCATTTGGTTGTGACTTTAGTGATATCTTCCTCATGCTTCTTTATTACCATTTAAAGGTATGTTAGTGAACTGTGCATGTGGAGCAATGGGCAGAAAAAACGATTGTCTTGCCTGTTTCAGGTTCGTGGAGGCTCAGACATAGACCTTCAAATTCCTTCAGAGACTCTGGATTTATCACAAGCTTATCAACATACAGATCAAATTAAGGACTAAAACTTATTGTTACCTGAAGCCCACCATCAAGGATGGCTTTTCTCTTTCTCTCTTTATGAATATGTGAACATGCTGTGGTCTCCCTTGCCTTGAAGAGATAGGCCATGAAATGGGCAGTGCTGTTCAATGTGCTTCTGTTTTATTAATCAGAATTAAGTCAATTGTTTTTTAGGGCTTAGCTAAGTTTTGGCAAAATCTGCAGTCATATTTTCTAAAACCAATGTGGAATAAACACATTTTCTCAAAAACAGGGTTAATGTACCATCAAGCAAAATCAATTGTTTCAGCAAACTTGTCACCAACCCCAAAAGGCTTAAGAACTTCCAATTCTATTTGTTATTAATGCCCTAATTAGTAGCTTTTTCATACCTCGCCATATAAGACTTTGGCTCAGAGGCAAGATGCTACTGCAGTCATGCTATTCTGTTGTTATTGCTGAATGTAGTGTGTGTATGTGTATTAAGCAGTTCATGCCTTGCTATAAATAAATACCTGAGACTGGGTAATTTATAAGAAAAGAGGCTTGTCTCATGGTTCTGAAGGCTGTACTCGAAGCATATTGCTGGCATCTGCTTCTGGTGAGGGCCTCAGGAAGCTTCCAAATCATGGTGGAAGCAAAGGAGGAGCCTGTGTATCACATGGTGACAGAAGAAGCAAGGGGGTGGGGAGGTTCCATACACTTCTGAACAACCAGATCTTGCATGAACTCAGAACGAGCAGTCACTCCTTATCATGAGGACAGCACCAAACTACTCATGAAAGATCTGTCCCCGATGACACCAACACCTCCTACCCCACAGCCAACACTGGGGTTTATATCTCAATATGAGATTTGGAGGGGACAAAAATCAAAACCATATCACTCTGTGTGTGTGTGTGTGTGTGTGTGTGAGAGAGAGAGAGAGAGAGAAAGAGAGAGACCCCTTTTCTGTTTTGTAATACTCTTGATTTTTTTCTTCCATGACAATAAATTTTAACAATAGAAAGAATTCCAGGTGGATATGAGAGTTTTCTGTCTCTTGAGTAGCTTCAGTCTTATCAACCCGCAGGAGTCCAATTGGCATTTTTCCCCATACATTGCATGAGTCAAGCCATTCTACACCACCACCACTGGCTGCATAGCCTTCGTTCTATATAACATTTACTTTTATAGGAATATATCTTCCAAAAAAAGCAGGGGAGACAGTTTTTTCATATTTTGATCATCAAGTAGAGATTTGTTTTTCTTTCTCAGAAATACTTGCCTTACCAAATGCTTGTTCAGAGCCAAGGAGCCAAGGAAGCGGAGTCCTCTGTTTTTATCCAGTGTTCTATCTTCCCAACAGGGCCTTTATAACTGCTAAATTAACCTGATCATCACAGTTGCTGATGAATTCCTATCCTGTAAACTTCCTTTTATGGTGACTCCAAATTCTTCCTTTCTGACATTCTTGCTCTTTACTTTCCTAAGTCCTTGCTTTCTATCTTTCCCCCAGTCATAAAAGATCAGTATCTGACTGCATTGGGTACAGCTTCAATGATTGTTCTATCACTTGCCATGCATTTTTTCCAGAGTTCCACCTGAGAAGAGCTGTATTATGATGTCAACTTGGATCTTCCCTGAAGTTCAACTACTGAATTATTTTTAACTAAAGAATATTTTAAATACATAGAAAAAACCCCAGAAAATATAAGATGGGCTGTTGCATACATTTTAAAATTATATGTGTGTCAATGCATGGGCTTCTCTGTGCATCCCCTTCTTTTACTGTTGCCTGAAGAATATTTTCTGATGAGATCACTTTGTTTTCTTCATCCAATTGCTCAGGCAAAGATCACTCTCAAATTTTTTTTTGAATCATCTCTCCTGTACCTTCCAAGCCTCCAAAACAATAATAAGAATGAAATCCCTATAATAATAGCAACTAATCTACTTGATTCACTAATGTATGTCCAGGACATAAACAATGGTGATACTAGATAAATGAATGACAGAATCATGTCTGTTTCTTTCTGGCTTCTCTCACACTTCTCAGTATAATTAAAAATTGTCTAGTTATAAAATATAATCTTTCTGACTGTTTTTGGTAGCTGAATTTTGGATCTGTTAACAAGAAGTGACATTAACTGAGTAGTCATAGTGTCCCAGGCATGGTGCTACCAGTGAACAATTTACCACTATTATCTTACTTAATTATCCCTATTCCATAGGTTAGGTACTGGTTTTATATCCGCCTGCAGAGGTTTAAACTAAATAAATTCCCTTTTTGCCTGGAGACTAGACTGCCTTTGTGGGGCTAACAAATTAACGAAAGGATTAGAAATTATGGTCTAGGAGTCATGCAACTGGAGGCTACAAGGTTCTGACCCATCCCAAATTGCTCCTGGGGATAACATCACTATTGTAAAGCCTAAAATCAGTGCTTGAGATATTTTGCACACCCTGCACTTGAGGGATCTGCTGGCATCACCCAGATTGATAAACTGGCTCATCTGATCCTGTGACGCCCAGCCAGGAAATGATTTATTGCAAAAAGACAGATTTACTCCCTAAAATTTCATCTCTGCTCATCACCTCATCAATTCCTACTCCTATCTAACTGGTCTCCCCCAACACACCAAGGTGTCCTTAAAAACCCTGGTCCCTGAGTACTAAGGAAGGCTGATTTGAGTAATAATAAAGCTCCATTCTTCTGCACACACACACACACACACACACACACACACAAAAAAAAAAAAAAAAAAAAAAGAAAAGAAAAGAGACTTAATGGGTGACTTACCTAAGGTCATAAAGCAGCACACAATTTGAAACTAGCAAGTTCAAATACAATATGATTGACTTTTAGACCTGGGTTCCCACTACACTATTCTACCACCCTAATTTGCATACAGTGTATTATTTTATTTTCATGGAGTCTGTGTGGCATCTTGAGCACTATTTTATAGATAAAGAAATGAAAGTCCAAAAGGTTAAGTAACTTGATAAAATCCAAAACGAATTGATGGTTTGGTTTGTTTTCCTATTTTTTGATTTCTACTCACACTATCTGCTTGGGTTAGTAATGGGACCCTCACAAAGTGGCTAAACATTTTTAGTCACAGGTAAGTGAATTCTGTCAACTCAGTATCACACTTCTGCTCATCTCAGTTCAGGATGATAGGATGATGCAAATTTGCCCTCGTCTGGGTAAGAGGGCACAGAAAAGTAAGACTAGAGGAATTTTACCATTTTGAGTGCAGAACTAATTGCCTAGAAGATAGTTCTTATTTAAGGCTTCACTTAGCGGATAGGAGGTAAGAATACTGATGGAAAGAAGGGCCAAGAAAAAGAAACTGCTGGGATGTGTGCAGAAAATTATTGAAGAGAAGGAGAAACCCCGAGGAACTCAAAGGTAGGTAAGGGAAACTACTCCATCCTAGGGAGCACAGAAATTGCTTTCATTTCAGCTTGATAAAGAATGGTAAGTATATATCAGAATAAAACTCGTCCTAAATAATGGCAAAGTTCCCCTTTCACCCTGCATCACAGAACAAACTTCTCGTTCACTCTATGTTAAAATGATTTTTTTATTGTAAAGTTTTGTACTTTATATGTTTTAAGATCTCTGTTAGGACTCAGAAATAAGGACTGGGTAGATCTTATATCTAAGTAGAAAATCTGGGCTGTAGATCTCTGTGGATACTGAAAAAATGCTAATTGATGGTGGTAATTCAGATTTTGATCATCTTTTGGTGGTTGTAATGTAATCTGGAATTCTATTTCTGATACAGTTCATGCTTCTGGCTGCATATCAAAGGAAGTCTATGAGTAAGAGAGCACTAAATGATTAAAAAGGAAAGAAACTAAGCACTCTAGGCTATAGATAAAATTAAGTATTGCACATACATGAAAAGATTTCCACCCTATAATTTGAGAGTATATTTACCTTTATTTTTTATTTTATGAAATTTAATAAAATAAACTACTTTAAAAAATACTAGTGTTTTGATCAAACTATGTCTACAGAATAAAATATCATGATTCATTAGTAAGTAGATTCCAAATGACTTTTTTATAACAGATTTTTTTTGCACTGCTTGTCATGAAATCAGAAATGATATAGGCAGACAAGAAGATAATGTGCTAAATAATTTTAGTTTATTTTATTTGAATAGAAGATAAGCCTTCTTTAATTCTTTTCAAAATCAAAGAGAAAATAAATATAGATTATGGAGTCCCAGTTTGGTAATACCTCCTCTGTTTGCACATCCTACCAAAAGTATTGGCTAATTATATTTTACATGAAACAACAACATAATTTCCAATGTTTTGACAAGTAGCAAATTGCACATTAGTTAGTTGTAAATAAATTTATTAGAAAGATTTGTCCTTGTTCATAGATTCTCTTTTGAAAGGGTAAATTAATTTAAGGCTCATCATTCTGAAGAAATGTATTATAATATCAAAGGAATAGTTATAAACAACAGACACCAAAGCATACCTACTAAACAGCAGAAGAAATCTGATATTGCAACAAGATGAAAGAAGAAAGTGTATGAGGTCTATGATATCAGCATGGTGCTGTCTGGTAATCAGATTTTCAGTCATGATTCATTTGGCTCGATTATTCTGCTAATAATGTTATCTGTGCTATAATATAAACATAATGCTGGTTTCCACTGAGAAATGTAAATTACAGATTGTTAAGCATTTTTTTTTCTTGAGGATTCTTTCATTGTCAATTAATCGGGGGAAATGTCAGCTTCAAGATGTAGTACTATGGTTTTTGAAGTATATTCACAACAATGAGTAAATGAGGATCCTAATATGTCTACAATGAGATTTGAATAACCTAACTAAAACAGAAAGTTTACCTGGTAGCTGCCAATTTAAGTATGCAATTATTTAGCTTATGCAAAATTCAGTCATAAATATTATCTTCTCTCCGTGAGAGGATGAGTCAAAATTTGTCTGATTTTCCCGAAGGTATTTACTAATTGTTTTCCATTTGCCAGGAATTGAGTTATCTATTTTACATGCATCTTCCCAGTTAATCCTCTAATTACCTTCAGAAGTAGGACTAATGAATCCTATGTTAAGAATGAGGAAACTGTGGCTTTGGGAAGGTAAGTAACTTACCTAACTTCCCAAGAGATAGTACACGTATAAATTTCAAATGGGAAGGAAAGGTGGATAGATGTATTCATTTTCATTGGTTAGGTACCTCAAGAAGGAAACTCTGGCACAGAGATCAGCACATAATAAGTATATTAGGACATACTTGTGAGATCACCACCTATGGAGGAGAAGGGGGAAAAGCAAGACTGTCCAGAAAATAAATTTGGGCTAAAATTCATGCTCAAGAAGGCCTTACTTCACTCCCCAGGGATCTTTGAAGTTAGGGTAGACTTTTAGAACTTCCTAAATTTAGGAGAGGGGATCTGCCCATTATATCCTGGTATTACTTAGCCATTGGATATGGGGTGACCTGGAAAGGGGCATAGCCTGGAGCAAGCAAGGATCTTCAACCGAGGTAATTCCCAAAGAAGACTGGATGTTGAGTGGTCTCTAAAGGCAGAACTCTCCTAGAGGAGGAATAAACTTTCACTCCTGAAAAGGGATTTGAGTCTCATAAAAACTGCTCTTAAGCAGACAGAAATGTCTGCTTAAAACTCTTGTGCTGGTAAAGCTGTAGTTCATATTAGGAATTAATGTGTAAGGATGGGAAAATAATTGTATTAAAATGGACTGATTCTACAGTCATGACTGGAAGATAATTGCCCAGTAGTGTATTCTCTCAAGATTAGACTTTGAAATAAAGACAGTGGCTTTATGTATTAAAAAAGTGAAAGATTGGTATAGGCAGTAAGACCTAATGGAATTCTATCTTTAAAAGTAACCATTGAGCAACTACAACTAACTACAAGTCACTGTATTTCTGCTTTTGTTACTTTCTCATTCACGAAATAATAAATGATAAGAATTGTCTTAGATTACATGTCTGAATGAGTATATATTCATGGATTACATATAACACAAAATATTGACAAATACTTAAATTTAACTTTAATTGCAAACTATTAAAGGAAATAGTATTTTTAAATATGAAGGAAAATTTTTATGATAGTCAAATCATTATTCAATCTAAAGGAAGAAATGTATTTATAATGTATATTATACACACATACACATGCACACCTATATATAACATATATTATATATACAGTAGTTCCTTTTATCCATGGGGGATATGTTCCAAGACCTTCAGCAAATGCCTGAAACAATGGATAGTATTGAATCCTATATATATTATGTTTTTTTAAAACATACTTACCTGTTGTAAAGTTTATAAATTAGGGATAGTAAGAGAGTAATAATAACTAATAATAAAATAGAAAAGCTGTAACAATATACTACAATAAAAATTATGCAAATGTGTTTTCTCTCTCTCAAAATATCTTATTGTAACGTACTAACCTATTTTAAGACAGTGGTTTATCACGGGTGACAAACTGTGGAAGCCAAATTGTGGATTGGGAGAACTATTGTATGTGTGTGTATGGGTGTGTGTGTGTGATTAATTTCAAAGTAATAGTGTGATATTAAGGGATATAAATTTATGTAATATTGATATCTCTGATGTAATCTGTATTCTGGAAATGTCCTTAGATAATAATGACAGGTGACTAACAACAAAAATTATTTTAACTATAATGACTTATAATGGTCACAATAATAAAAAATGGTTCTTCCTGCTTGCTATTTCCAGTTCAAAATATTATATGCCCCCTATAGAAAAACTAAAGAAAACAAATTTACTTATTGTCAAGCGATCATATTTTCAAAGTAGAATACGGGACTTGAAAATTTGAAAATATGTCCAAAAGCAAAGAGGAAATATTGTAAAACAGAGTAATGTTTTATAAATAGAAATTATAGATCACACTCCGGATAATGTAAAGTGTTTAATTTAAAATCTTAATAAATTCTTGCATTAATATATATCATACATATTTTATCTTTGCCCCAGAAACCAGCACAGTGCAATAGAACTTTCTGGCTATTGAAGCTTTAATTTTAATTTAATAATTCACATGTGAATTGTGGCTACTATATTGGAGAACACATTTATAGATCCTTTTCTGTTTAAGATAAATGTAGACACTGTAATTGCAGTGGAAACAGGAGAGTGACTCATGTACTCAAGAAACTATTGACTGAGTAAAGTATTGTGAGTCCTAGATTAGCCATGTTGATCTAAATTACTTCTCTTTTGGTGAGAAGGCTCACCAAGTGCGCTTTACTGTGACAATGCAAGAAATCATGTTATTACTTTTATTGACCACGAGGAGGCACTGATTTGATAACACTCGAGGAACACCGAAAGAAAAACCACTCTGTAAAATAAACATGCCAGGTTAAAGCATCCTGACATTGATCAAGCAAGAATAAAGATAAGTAGAGCTTGTTTGACCATTCACTCTATGTTTCAGTGAATACTGTAAGTGAGCCAGAAATAAAGGCCTTAAATAACATGTGTGTTCAGACAAGCAATCCTCCTACAGTATTTCTGCTTTGAATGCTTCTCATGAACATGATAGGCAGGAAGCCATGGCAACTAGAAAGATGTAAAAGGCATCAGACAGCAAAGCTAAGCCACTCCTCGGCTATGACAATTACTATATTTGCATTTTCCTCATTTACCGAAATTAAAGCCTTTCAAATTCATTTGTGTAGCCTTTTTTTTATTAGTACCTTTAAAAAAAAAAAAAAGAGCACAACCCTGGAACACCGGGGGAAAGAAAAAAGAAAAAAAAAGGCATATACCAATTTGGTCTTACTTTATATTCTGTTTTCACAAATAATTCCTAAAGGAAAAGAAAGCCATTGAACAAATACTATTTTAGTTGATACTAGTTTCTAAAAGTAATGCATATTTTGCACAAAATGCTATTCATAATAATAAACATCAAAATGTCTGTTAACTATAGTTTGGAATTGTTTTAATTCTTTCTTCACATAATTTAACAAATGCTTGAGTGGCCATAAACTCAGACTTATAAAACTAAACCTAGCAAAGAAAATAAATCAAAGATGTAGAATATTATAGAAACGTTTATCTTCTATCTCCAGTCTTTACTTTTCCCCACTCAATTCATAATTCAAAGCAACATATTGACCTACTCAACCCCTATTTTAGATAAGGCTGATTTCTGACACAGTAGAAGCCCAAATTAATTTATTTTGGAAAGATTTTGTTCTATATTATATATTATATTTGAAGATTACTACTATAGTATTCTCAGTTTAGAACAGAAATAAACTAATGGCATACAAATTAAAAACTACAATCTTTGCTCCAAATGTGAAAGGAGCCAGCTGCTGGTGTGAAGATTGTTGACCCTAGCCTTTTCATTCTTCCTTAACTGAAGGAACATTTACCATTGCCCATTGTTAATTAATTATAATTTCCTGTTCTCATCAGAAATAATAGAAATGTGTCTTTGATGAAGAACTTTAATATATGATCCAATACCCTGAAAGTTTTTACCTGAGGAAGAACCCAGATTTTGTCTGTTTCAAGGGTAAATATAGTAGAGTAATTAAAATATGATCTTTGAATTCAGTTTGCCGAGGTCTGCTACCAGCACACTTTGTTTAGTTATACTAGCTTTCCCTGTACATAATGAAGGCTCTAATCTCATCCACTTTATAAGTTTCTAGATGAGAATTCACCTGGATTGTCTGGCACACAGTAAGCCCTTGAGAAGTGTTAGCTGCTGTCTGCATCGTATCCCTGTCATTATATTGTCATCATCCTCATCTTCATCAAAGTAATTTTCAGTCACTTTAGTTCATAAAAAGGGTCTCATTGACTATCTCAGTTATTTTCAGTAAGTTGGCAGTAGAACAATAGAAAGAAATTGATATAAGTACTTTTACAAAAAAGTAACAAAAATTGCGTACTTAAGTTTTCTAAAACATTGTGTTTATTTTTTAATGGAGTAGCATCATGTTAACAACAGAGGTCCTATGAATAGCCTGTGGTACAAACATCTTTCTTATTTTTCTCAGTTAGTTTTGCGTAAGTATTTTTCTCACTCAAATAGATTTTTTCACTCAGTGTTTGAGTTTATCTCAAACACCAAAACAGCCTTTTGGGGAAGTTTGACAAGCTTATATCTAACATTGTTGTCTGCAAACTAGCACCATGCAGGATAAAATGTCCCCTCATAAGAACGATAAAATGTTTTTCCAGAAAATTTGAGAGGTTAATTAAAGAATGTACATTAAAAATATCATTCGGGCTGGGCGTGGAGGCTAAGCCTGTAATCTCAGCACTTTGGGAGGCTGAGGAGGGCGGATCACCTGAGGTCAGGAGTTCGAGACCAGCCTGGCCAACATGGAGAAACCCCGTCTCTACTAGAAATAATAATTAAAAAAAGCCAGGAGTGGTGGTGCGTGATTGTAATTCCAGCTACTCGGGAGGCTTAGGCATGAGAATCACTTGAACCTGGGAGGTGGAGGTTGCAGTGAGCTGAGATGGTGCCACTGCACTCCAGTCTGGGGGACACAGTGAGACTCCCTCTCAAAAAAAAAAAAAAAAAATGCATCATTTGTAAAATCAAGAAAGGCAGTACAGCACCGTAGCTACAAACTCAGGCTCAGGAGCTAGACTGGCTTGGCTCTATTAGCTCTCTTACTTACTGTACCAGTTAGGATAGGGTAAATTTTGCTGTACTAACAAACACATTTCAAATTTTTGTTGGATTATGATAATTCAGTTTCTTCCTCATTCATGCCTCACTTATCTTTTTGTGTTTACAAAGGGCCTCTACTCTACATATTCTTTATTCCTGACCCAGGCTGACGAAAGTTCTGCTTAACACAACAATCATGATCACAGAAGCACGTAAAACAAAGCATGATCATCAACCATGATCACAGAAGCAGGTAAAAGACAACACGATGAATTTTAAACTGGTTCTGAAAGCTTATGCACAGAAGTGACAGATACTTCTTATACTTCATTGGCTAAACAAACATTGCCATATCTGAATTCAAGAAGAAGTTGTGTAATTCTTCTGAAGGAAGATGTCTCAAATATTTATAAAGTAAAATGCAGTCTACCAGTTTGGGTTCTATCTAGCAACAACTAGAATTCTAACAGGTGAATTTTTATCCTTTAATAATCTTATGAGTAATGTGGAAATCATTATAAAACCCAGCTCATAGTTTTGCTGTGAAGACAAAAATAAGACGATGCTTTAAAAAAATTTAAGAGATTTAGGCCGGGTGCGGTGGCTCAGGCCTACAATCCCAGCACTTTGGGAGGCCAAGGCGGGCGGATTATGAGGTCAGGAGATTGAGACCATCCTGGCTAACATGGTGAAACCCTGTCTCAACTAAAAATACAAAAAAATTAGCCGGGCGTGGTGGTGGGCGCCTGTAGTCCCAGCTACTCAGGAGGCTGAGGCAGGAGAATGGTGTGAACAAGGGAGGCGGAGCTTGCAGTGAGCCGAGATCACTCCACTGCACTCCAGCCTGGGCGAGACCCCGTCTCAAAAATAACTAACTAACTAACTAACTAAATAATAATAAAAAATTAAGAGATTTATTGGCACATGACAAGTGGTTAATAAGTAGTTACTGTAATTCAGATCCCATGTGAGAAAAATCATAATTTAAAAATAATGGCTTCTAAAAATAACTAATATCTTAATAGTTATTTCACAAGGAATAACTTACATTCAGAGCATTCTTTTTAAGGTAGAATAGACTGTAGTATTGTCCTCATTCAACAATGAGAAAATTGTTTAAGATTGACTAAATCACTTGTTTAAATCATGACTCAAATATAGCTTTCTGATTCTAGACAAATGAGACATAAAATTTTGAAGGATCTCCAAATATATTGTGGACAAAAACTGAGAAAAGAGCTATCTTCTCAGAAAAGATATGTATATTCTCAAAAATTTGCTTACAATTTCAAAAGTTCACTGACGCCCTAGAATTCAGGGAGGTTAGGAAAAGGGGTTGATTAATGGGTACAAATATACAGTTTGAGAGAAGAAATAAGACCTAGTGTTTTATAGATCAATAGGGTGACTATAGTTTACAATAATCTATTGTATACTTAAAAATAGCTAGAAGAGAATGATTGAAATGTTTTTAGCATAAAGAAAAGATAAATGTTTAAAATAATGGATATATTAATTACAGGGATTTGATCTTTACAAATTATATGAATGTATTAAATTATCACATATATCCTGAAAATATTTACATCAATTATGCATCTATAAAAAAAATTAAAAAGAACCTTTTTTCTAGAGTATATTATTTCTTTTTGGTGGAATCTAGTCCTACAGTCAACTTGTATTTTGGACGATGAAGAAAATAATTGCTCAATGCAGTAGTTTATGCCTGTAATCCTAACTGTTTCATAGGTCAAGGTGGGAGGATCTCTTGAGGCCAGGAGTTATGTGGACAGGTCTGTAGAAGAACATTGAGGTGTCAGACCTGTGTGTGAACCTGTCTTGGATCTTTTAATAAAGCCTGGATCCAGAAGAGCCACCCAGCAGAGCACAGTCAATGTGTAAAATGTTAAGAAACACAAATGCATGTTGTTTCAAGCCAAGAAGTTTTAGAGTGTCTTATTATGCAGCAATATATAATTGAAAGATCTATTAAATATATACAACTTATACAGTATAATCTTATTTATAGGGATTTCTTATTTAAAAAATTATGCCAGGAAATAAAAAGCTTATGTTGATTGTTTAATAAGATAGCTGATTTATTTCATATTGTTGCAATATATGTATTATGGGTGGGGCACATTTTTAAACATATATAAATAATTATTTCCTAGTATTTACAGAGTTAAAAGTGTTTTAAAAAGATACTGGCTACTAAAATAAAACCTGAAAACTATGCATATATATATATATATTTTTTTTTAGACCGAGTAAAAGAATGGCTTTTGTATCTCTTTCATCATTCTAATCAAGTCACTCATTTACTTCAAATTCTTCCATGTCACTTTCACACGAATTCTATGGCGATTTCTGCCTACACTTCCTGTCTCATTTCCTTGTATGTATTCATTTTATTCTAGCAATATTGACTACTTCTAGCTCCTTCCACACTTAGACTTTCACACTTCTGTGCCTGCTATAACTCCCTTTCCTTCCGTTCTTGGCTTTCTTACATTTTCCTACTTATTTTCTGCAAATGTTCTTAGATACAGTCTAGTGAGACAGACACTTTCTTAAGTCAAGAAAAGCAGATTCATTATTCATTACTTACAGATAGGCAACAAAAATAATCAGAATTCTAGGATCCATGGCCCTCCATCCCCTTAAGGCTCAGTAAAGCTGCCCAGGGTGGATGAACTCTCCTCTGCATGAGCTTCATGTCACATGGGAGTGGAGGGACCACAAAAGCACTCTACTCTAGGTTTATATAACCTGGAAGACATTTGGATTGCTGAGCTGAAATGTTACAGAATATCCTGTTCTTGGAGGAAGAAGAACATAGCCTAAATTGATCTGGACATTTCCTCCATACCTCAAGATGTTGCAATTTCAATGCATTGTGACTAAAAATTACAAGAGAAGGAAGAGCTGGGTGAGCCAAGGACATCTAGGGACCTCTATTCCTGCAGTCTTGAAATTGTGCTTAGGCTTAATCCTATCTTTGAAGGCTTCCATGAAATCCCCTATCAAAAATTAATCATTTCATCATCCATACTTGTATTATGGACTTATTGCTGTGTAACAACATTACCACAAATAAAGTGGCTTGAAACAACCCACATTTATTGCCTCACAGTTTCTGTAAGTCTGGAGTTTGGTCATGGCTTAGCTGAGTCTCCTACTTCAGGATCACAATGTGCTGCAATCAAGGTGTTGACCAGAGCTGCATTTGTGTCTAATGCTAGCCTGGGGAAAGATCTGCTTCGAAGCACATGTGGTTGTTGGTAACACTCACTTCCTTGTCAGACTGAGAACCTCACTTTCTTTCTTCTCCAGAGATCACCCTTAGTTACTTGCCCTGTGGCCATTTGTATAAGCCAGCTCACAACAACATGGCAGTTTGCTTTGTCAAAGCCACAAAGGGAGTCTTTCAGCAAGAGAGGCATTACAGTGCTATGTTGCGTTACCACTAAAGTGACAACCATCATTGCTATGGACTGAATGTTTTTGTCCTCCTCAAATTCGTGTGTTGAAATTCCAACCCCTAGTGTGGCTATTTTTGGAGACAGAGCATTTCAGAATATAGTTAATGTTAAATAAGGTCAAAAGAGTGGAACCTAATGCAATAGGATTAATGTTTTTGTAAGAACAGATACCAGAAAGTGCTCTCTCCCACCCTTGCATGTTCTTTTTCTCTTTTCTCTCCCTTTCTCCCACCCCTGCCATCCTACCCCAAGTGCATGAGCTGGTATAAGACCATGTGAGGATATAGTAAAAAGTCAGCTGCCTATAAGCCAGGAAAAGAACCCTCACCAGAATTTGTACTGGACTCTTCAGCCTCCAGAATTGTAAAAAATAAATTTATATAACTTAAGCAACTCCATTTATAGTATTTTGTTATAACAGGCCAAGCAGACAAAGATAATCATCATCTTTGTAATATTATTTGGTTAGAAGCAAGTCACAGGTCCCACTCACACTCAAGGGGAGGGGATTTATACAAGGCATGAATACCAGGAGGTGGAAATCATGGGGGCCATCATGGGGGCCACAATAAGGTCTTGCTACTTGCTACTAGTACTCCGGTTTTTTGTTTGTTTGTTTTCCCAAGCTGGAGTGCAGTGACATAATCATAGCTCACTGCAGCCTTCTACTTCTGGGTTCAGCAATCCCCTGGCCTCAGTCTCCCAAGTATCTGGGACTACAGGTATGCTTCTCCATGCCAGGTTGTTTTTAATTTCTTAGACATGATGTTTTGCTATGTTGCCCATGCTTGTCTCAAACTCCTGATCTCAAGTGATCCTTTCAATTCAGCCTCCAGATTAGCTGGGATTATAGGAACAAGCCATTGTATCAGGCCCACTACTCCTTTTTTACTTTGTGTTAATCTAGTATGCATGCATCCCGCTTCAGGGCCTACAGTAATCATTAGAAGTATTCACATATATTTCCCCTGTATTATACTTCTTGAAACCTGGCAAGTTTGTGTCAAACAGAAGGCCCTGTTTGAAGTTGGTTATGGTCATATGACTTGTTTTGAGCAATGAAGTGTCAGTGGAAGGTATTGTGTTATTTCTGAATGAAGCTTTAAAAGCCAATCAGTGTTTTACCTTGTTCTTTCCCTTTGCTGTGGTGATCATGGAATCATTAACACAAAATGGAGCCTCTCTCAGCCTGGGTCCTTGAGCCACGATGTTGAGAAGAACCTCACTCTCAAATTCTATCGGACACATAGCATCAACAAGGAAAGTATTGGGTAAACTTATGGAATGTTAGAGATGTTTTTTAGTGCAGCATAAATCAGGTTATTCTGATACAGGGTTTTGTACATAATTTTTACTCTCGTGTCTACGGTGCTAGATTCTAAGCTCTGTTGGAATAGAAACCATGCCTGCATTGTTTACCGCATAATAACCAGTTTTAGTAAGTATTTGGCATATAGTGGGCTCTTCACTAGTATTTGTTAAATGAATCATGAAAAATGCATCTGACTCAATTTCACTAATTCTTTCACATATTGTCTCTTTTTTCCTGGAATATAGTAGATATTACATAATTTTTATTGAATTATACAATTTATCTTAATGAACTCAGCACTCTGTTAATCCTTTTCAAACATTAGCATATTGTCCCTTGACTTACATTTCAAAGTCATTTACCTTATAGTTTGTTAAGCAACTCCTTTACATGCTCATACCCAGAACACACTCATTGTTTGAATTCTTAAATGTTTAATTTCTCCTGCTGCCCTCTTCTCTTCTTCTGTACTTTAATTGAAAACATCCGATCAGCTTGATCATGACCTCTAGCTATTTAAGCTCTCCTTTGTTTAACAGTCCATTAATAATTCTTGCCACCAAATCCACCATCACCACTGCTGTGGGTTTACTCTCTTTTCTGTCTGTCATGGACATCTCAGCCAAAAAGCATAGTATCCCTCCCCTGGGTCCTTCTGTTTCTAAACTTTTGTGACTTTTATAAATTTATTATAAATGTGTGTTTCTAAAATGGCCAGCTTTTTTTTTCTCTTCTCCTGATTCTGATATGTAGAATTCAATGGAGGTAACTCTTGAGTGGCATGATTAGCTTCTACATAACCTTATAGGACCTATCTTATTATATTGTGATTGGACGTTACTATGTCACCTCTTACTTTAGACGGACCTTATGAAGGAAGTTTATGTTTTTTATTCATCTATAGGATTTTTTTTGCCATAATCTAACATAGCAGGTAAACATAATCAATCAATAATGATCTATAAATAAATATTAAAAACTAAAGTGAAATAATGTTAAATAAAACCACCAATTTTTTTAGTCCTTCTTTTGATGGCTTTACATGTACAAGTTTAAAAGGTAAATCTAAGCACACTTCTTTAAAGATGCATGATATGCTGTTTTCTTTCAGTGAGTGGAACTATGTAGTGAAGAGAGAACTTTGTAATCAAGTATTCGGAACATGCTATTTAAGGGCATTGCTTCACTTTATTTCTAAGGCTTCATTTTGTTTGGCATAAACCTACATAAGTTTATATATGTAGGTGAATAATAAGGTGAATCTAAGTATGCTTCTTTTTAAAATTTTATTATCAATAAATGAATAAAGAAAATGTGGTATAGCTGGGCATGGTGGCTCATGCTTGTAATACCAGCACTTTGGAAGGCTGAGGAGGGCGAACTTCTTTGAGCTCAGGAGTTCGAAACCAGCCTGGGCAACATGGTGAAACCTCATCTCTACAAAAAATACAAAAATTATCCAGGTATTGGTGGCTCACACCTGTATTCCCAGCTACTCATGAGGCTGAGGCAGGAGAATCGCTTGAGCCCAGGAAGCGGAGGTTGCAGTGAGCTGAGATCACACCACTGCACTCCAGCATGGGTGACAGAATAAGACTCTATCTCAAAAAGAAAAAAGAAAATGAAGAAGAAAATAAAATGTGGTACACACATACAATAGAATATTATTCAACCATAAAAAAGAATAAAATTCTGTCATTTGCAACAACATAGATGGAACTGGAGGACGTTAAGTGAAATAAACCAGGCATAGAAAAACAAATATCACATGTTCTCACTCACATGTGGGATCTATAAAAGTCAGTCTTATGATGGCAGAGAGTAATGATAGTTACTAGAGGCAAGGAAAGGTAGTGCCAGAGGAATAAAACGGGGTTGGTTAATGTATACAAAGGTACAATCGAATGGTAGGAATGAAATCTAGTGTTTGGTAACACAATAGGGTGACTATAGTCAACAATAGTTTATGGTGTATTTCAAAATAACTACATGAGTGAATTTAGAATGTTCCAAGACAAATAAATGATAAATGTGAGGCTATGGATATCCCAATTATCCAGATTTGATCATTACACATTATATACATGTATATAAATATCACATGTACCTGATTAAATATGTATAACTATTATGTACCCCCCAAAATACAAAATACAAATAAATTTGTACTGACATGTTAACTACTATGAAAAGACGTATCTTCAGATGCTTATAATAGTTTGCTAAAGCTGGATGCAAATTTAAGCAGCAGAGGGTGAGCTACTTTTTTTTAAACTTAAGAACATATTATGACGACCTAGGTTAATATGCTTAATTAATGTGAAGTTCAGTTTTCTTTTAAATTAAATAGAAGAAAGTAATATTAAATATGCCATTCAGTTGATGTAAGGATTAAATGAGATAATATGTTTGCACATACTGCTTGCACATACTGTTAAGTCCCATGCAAACGTGAAGTAATATAAACCAACTTTTTAACATTCTGCAGAAACCAACTGCCTCCTGAGTTTAGGTATTATTGTTATTGCCATTGTTCTAAAACCTATGTATTTTCTGCCATGTTTTCTTGTTGCTGAAGGGAAGATGCAAATACTAGATACTTAGAGTGTTTTCCCCCAAAGTTTTGAAGACCTGTGGGTAGAATTCTAAGAAAATATATACAGAAAACAAAATATGACAGGATAATTACATGCCTTCTAATACTGGCTTCAAAAATATGTCAGAAAAATAAGCTTAGGAAAATAAGCCTGTAAGTTCAAAGAGGTGGTTATTTTGATACTATATTTTGAAAAATTGTTTAGGAATAGCTCATTCGTGAGACAACGTAATCCCTCTTATGCTACAAAATCTCTGTTATTCTCTAGCAAAGGTTATAGAATTGTTACACAATGTTCTGTCAAAAGCAGTTTTATTTCTTGGAGCTCCAGAGGACTATTTTTATGTTCCTGATTACTCTAAAACCCATAAAATATAATAACATATTCATTTCTAACTATCCTATATTTTCTAAGTTAGCCAGGATGGTCTTGATCTCCTGACCTCGTGATCTGACTGCCTTGACCACCCAAAGTGCTGGGATTACACGCGTGTAAACCTCTTTTCTTTATAAATTATCCAGTCTCATGCAGTTCTTTATAGCAGTGTGAGAGTGGACTAATACAGTATCTATGGAGTTTTATTGAGAAAATATACATATGTGTATTTACATGTGCTAAAGATGTTGCTTCTAAGCATGTACTGTTCTCGTTTTGCTCTATTGCAGCCTAGCAATTAAAAGTTTTAGAATTTTAGTTTGGATATTATGTGATAAAATGTGGTAAATGTAGAAGGAAGGGAGTCATTTTTTATGTCATGAATGCATTAATTTTTATTTTAAAGAAAAATGTTTCTAATACTTTTGTACAAAAATAACTCCTTAAATTATAGAAGTCACATAAGCTGTCCCTAGTAGATTTTTACTGTATTTGAGACTAAAATGTAGTAAGGGTCTCCTAAAGTAGGTTGTTAAATAGCAAGCTACTTCTGGATTAACTATTGAGAGAGTCAGCACCTTAAAGAATGGGATAATTACGGTTGCAAGTGACTTGAGATATGTAGACTCATTGAGCATTAATAATGACCACTGAGATAATTATTATTTCATATACTACTTCATTAGCTATAATTTGACATATAAATGAGGTATTTGAAAGATGAAAGATGGAAGTGAGTCGTGACACTGAGGTTATGTCAAAATTGAGCCTTCATGCCCTTCATTATTCCATCCTTTCAGGCACTGATCACTCTTCAGGGCCGGCATTCCCTATGCAATTTATACACTACTCTATTTTTTAGATTTATTTTTAAAAGGCCTTGCATGAAGCCACATAAATTTGGTCTCCTTAGAAGCCAGTCAGATTGAGGAGGGTAGTTAAAGGGATAAATGTCATGTGGTAAATTTTAGAAGGCATTGTCCCTGAGAACAAATAATTTTTAAATTTATGGTTATAACCATGCTTTCCTCTGAAGGTTAGCTTTTTTCTCCCTCTCACCTTTGTAAACTCAGTCACAGTTTGCAAATATTTGCTAAGAACTGCTGTTTATGTGCAGAGTTTGGAGGGACCTTTCACCTGATCTACCACCTCAAAAACATTTGCCTTCTTGTTTACTTGACTCAAAAATGTTAAGAAAACTGGAAGGTCTACTTAAATTTCAAAAATCAAATACTAGGGTGAGGAGTGGGGCTCAAGACAATCTGTATTGTTTTTATTGACTAGGGCAAGGCATAGCATGTATATAGATTTACATTGACCATTTTCAAAAACTTTATCCATTTTTCCACCAAATCCAAACTGGCCAGTGTGGGGTTTTTAGAAAGAAATGTATAAACAAAAATCAAAGTAAAACGAAAGAGACTTGTAGGAGCAAGAACCAGCATATTTCAGGCTCTGTATCCTTAATGGGATTTTGAATAAAACTTTAAAAAGTATATGTCTGGACAATGCAAAAGGAGGGAATATGGTATCATAAGCATTTTTTTGAAATAAGCTAATTTCTGTAAGTGAAAAGATTTTAATGTTATTTAAAAAATTAATATTCATTTTCCTTTTTTGAATAAGCAAAATTTATTATTTAGTACCTATACACAACCAAATCCAATGTTGTGAGACATTATTGGGCTCTTATTTTCATTATTGTGTGAACTTGTAAATGTTATATATATATATATCTATCTTTATTATAATTCTTGGAGAATATGTGGTTTTATATAATGTTTGTTGTCCATATATTCTCAGAATTGTATATATTGGACAAATGAACAGACTTGGTGTTTTCCTTAAAGCATAATTATTATTCTGGGTAACAGCTAAATGGTAATAGCTTTTTGCTTTTTAAAAATTCATGTTTATGATGGTGGCTTGCTGAAATATAAAAGTTTTTTATAATATTCACATGACTCTTGCTTTATTTACATATTTCTATTAGATTGTTTTATAAACTATAGTAAAAATTATTAGAGAAAGTTCTAACAGACTCATAAAATTAGACAATACATAATCACATGCATCATTGCATTCTGACTCCCACCACTGCATGGATTAGAAAACTTGGAGTCATAGTGTACTAACTGAACTTAAGTGCATAACCATTGCACTATTTCACTAGAATCTAAGAAGAAAAACAAGAAAGAGGAGACATAGTTAAGGTAGAAATACATTTTTTTGTATTCACTGAATACACTGACTACTTTTTCATTTTCTGTATTGACCAAGTTCCTTTCAATCTTAGGAAACTTGGCAAAACCCTGTCTCTACTAAAAATACAAAATTAGCCAGTCATGGTGGTGCATGCCTGTAGTCCCAGCTACTTGGGAGGCTGAGGCAGGAGAATTGCTTGAACCTGGGAGGTGGAGGTTGCAGTGAGCCGAGATTGTGCCACTGCACTCCAGTCTGGGTGACAGAGTGAGACTCCATCTCAAAAAACAAAAAACAAACAAACAAACAAAAATCTTAGGAATCTTGTTTATTCAGTTCACTAGTTGGATGAGTTTAATCTCTTTCCTGGATCCCAACCCTTTCGGTTTGACAATTCCTTCAAGTCTCAACTTAAATATAACTTTATAGGAGAGCTTTGACTGACATGTCAACCTAAATTAGATTTTTTTAAAACTCTGCCCTAATAGGTTTTCGCTACGTATCTTTTATAGCCAGAATCACCCTTATATTTGTTGAATACATAATTATCACTGTAATTATCAATGCTATTGTGCCTTAAATTTTAAGGGTTTTCATGTATCTTTAAAACAGTAAAGAACTCATGAAAGTTCCAAACACAAACAACAAATGCCAGTAAAATTATATTACTCAGTTTTCTGAGAGATAGTATAAAACCATACGTTTCTTTTTTTATCTGAAAATAGTAGTACATATAGAGTTTTAGAGTTAGAGGCACATCTAATCCTAATTAAGTCTATGTTTAAATATAATTATTTTAAGACTTTGTGTTGTGTCTTAGGTTGTGTTCCCTCAAAGCAGACCCTAAGGCAAGGATTCCTGGGCAAATGGTTTATTAGGGAAGTGTTCCTAGGCATATCCAGTGAAGGAGTGGTGGAAGCAGGACAGAGGTGGAGAAGAAATGTAGGAAGAAGACAAGAGTGCAATCTGAGGCCAAATCTCACAGAGTGTAACTTCAGCCTGATATGTCAGGGAAACTCCAGAGTGTAAATTATGATTCACTGGCTGTCTCAAACAAACTAGTGAGCTGGCCTTTCCTATAACTAACCCATCAATTCCTGGCCCAGGACTGCCAGGATTGTGCATGGAGGGGGATAAACTATTATCCCCTAAGCAATTCTGGCTATTGGGTTCTAACAGACCAATGTCAGCACACTAAACAGTTCCAGCTGTGGGTTATTGGAAGCAAAAGCAAAAGAATAGCAAAGTTCCCAGAAGGAAACCAGTGATGCTACAGTGGATCTGAAAATACCTGGGTAGAGCAACAAAAGTATTCTCTCCAACGAGGTTGACGTAACAGTTCCATTTGCAGTTATAGGTAAGAATCTAAACCATGAGAAAATAGTGATGTGCTCAAAATCATAGCCTCATAAGTACTTGAGCAGATATTGAAACATGAGCCTTCTGACTCCTTTTTTTTCATAATACCTAAAATTGTACCTTTTAGGTATTCGACTAGGTGTCATATGTCCATGCATAGGGACAAAGAACTAGGTTTATTAACGAAGCCCACCATTAAGACCAGAAGTTCTCTACATTAGACTCGAAGACTCAGTTCACTATGCTGGCTATTAAAAATGTAGATCCCTGATCTGTATCTATAGTCTTGAATTCCCCAGGCTGAGAAGATAGTTGCAGAAACCACTTACTATCCCTGTGGGTCTGTGGAGGGCTTCAGACTTACATCCACTTTTTTCTTCAGAATTCCTAGTTTTCACATGGTATCCTAATTCCTGTAGTTCATGCTTTCTGGTCATACATATAGGTCAAGTCAAAGAAGTTTTCAATAACTTGTGAGCTGGAAATTTCAGTAACTTTTTTTTTACTAGGCAAAATTGATATGCATTTTACTTATCCAGTGAGTAAGGAAAATCATCATGTTATTACCAAGATTAATCAAGTCTTTATTCGATCTGGCATTTGTACAAATTTACTTGAATATCAACCCTTACCCAAACACATCAACAAGTTTTAAATTGTGAAGTTTTAAAATGGCTACATTTGACATAGAACATTTTCTGATTATACTGACCCTTTTTTTCATCCCCTGCCCCTAGAAACCTGTAATTTTTATATTTACTATTGGTTCCAAGTTTGAAGTTAAATTTACAGGTTTCATACTATCTCTGATATCATTAGGATATACAGTTTGATTTGTATCTTTCCTTCACAAACCTTCCTGAGTTTGGCTACGACTCATTCATTTCAGTCCTATTATCATCTGCAGAATGAAGCAGGAGTGATTTACAGGGTGACTGCCAGGTTTGTGGCCTTCCTCACAGTTTTCTTGTCCCTGCTATGTGTGTATATATAGATCACATTGACACTTTTTACAAGGCTAGACATTTGTTTATTAACACGTTGTTCAGAATCTCTGTGATGCTTCCACAGTAAGATTGAATTAATTAGAATTTTTCTTTTACCATTGGCATAGAAAAAGGGTATTGGAAATTTGCTGCTGCTTTTTAATGTCCTTAAAATTATTCTCTGTTCGTTTTGGAAGGTGAAACAAAAATGAGTAAGCTAATTGTCAGGTAACTAAATTTACTCATTTTGCTTCTGCAAATCTAATAATTCAATATACTTTGGTTTTATTTACATTTGAAGAATAAGGTCTTCTGACATTTGATAGTTGTAAAATACTGTTGTTTCTAAAGTAGGATTTTAGTTATAACCATTCATTATTTAAGAGATTCATGGAAGTCAAAAGTTATTTGAAAACATCTTTATGTGCATAATTTCTTACTCTACAAAGATATAAAATATGAAATCATAACTTTGGTATGATTTAAAATAATGTGAATAGAAATAATGGTTCTTACCACAGACTTCTTAAATTCTTCATTTCAGATCAGAAAGCAACAGTATTGGATTAATACAAAAATTGAAGTGTTATATTCTCCCTAGATGTTCAAATACAGTTTTAATAATTGCTCCAAATGATTACAAAGAGATTTTTAATTCAAAAGAACAAATTAAAAATGATTAGTAATCATTTCACTTTTCTTCATTAATAAAATGTAAGAGTATATATATAAAATATCTTAGTCTATGGTAGACTAGTTCTACCTAATTTCTAAAAATAAAATGTTCAGTAATAGCAATAAGGTAAGAAGAAATAGTTGAAGTTCTTTGTTAGTTTTTGTTTGTCTTTGTCTTTTAGAGACTGAACTAAAAAAAGGAAAGATAATTACTAAATTTAACTGTATATTTATCTTCTATATGTTCTTTCTTTCTCCTGATCTGTTTTATTTAATGACTTTAAAAATTTTTATTTTTAATTTTAATTTTTAATGAATTAATCAACAAATTAATTTTTTATTTAAAAAATATATATGTCATATACCACATACTGTCTTGTAATATGCACATGTTGTTGAATGGCTAAGTTGGGCTAATTAACATGAGGTAATATGTATTACCTCATATTGATTTTTTGGTGTGTGGCAAGAACATTTAAAATCTAAGCTCTTAGCAGCTTTCAATAGTGTAATACATTATTATTAACTATCATCACCATGGTGTACAATAGACCTCTTGAACTTCACCTATGTAGGTGAAATTTTATATCCTTTAACCAACAACTCCCCAAGCTCCTGAACCCCCAGTTCCTGGTAACCCCCATTCCACTCTCTCTGCTTCCCTGAGTTCAACTTTTAGTTTCACAGAGATAATGGGGTACTTGTCTTTCTCTGCCTAGCTTATTTCACTTAATACAAAGTTCTCCAGGTTCATCCAATTTGGTACAAATGACGGGATTTCCTTCTTTTTTAAGGATGAACAGTATTTCATTGCGTATATATTCCATATTTTCTTTATCCATTACTCGTGCACACAGGTTGATTTCATATCATAGCTATTATGAGTAATGCTTCAATAATTATGAAAGTGCAGATATCTCTTTGACATGCTGATTTCATTTTCTTTGAGTAAACACCCAGTAGTGGGATTGCTGGATAACATAGTAGTTAAATTTTAATATTTTTGAGGCTCCTCCTTGCTATTTTCTATAATGGCTGTACTAATTTATATTCCCATCCACAGTGTGCAAGGCTTCCCTTTCTCTACATCCTTGCCAACACTTTTTTTTTGTCTTTATGATAATAGCCATTCTAACAAGCATAAAGTGATAACTCATTGTGATTTTAATTTGCATTTCTTGGATTAGTGATGTTGAACATTTTTTTGACATACCTTTTGGCCATTTGTATGTCTTCTTCTGAGAATGTCTATTCAGGAACTTTGTTCATGTTTTTAATTGGGTTGTTATATTACTATTGAGTTTTTTGAATTCCTTATATATTTTGGACATTAATTAACTCCTTAACAGATATGTGATTTGCAAATATTTCCCCCATTCCACAGTCTGTGTCTCCATTTTGTTGTTTTCTTTGCTGTGCAGAAGCTTTTTAGTCTATGTAATTCCATTTGTCTATTTTTTGCTTTTGTTGCCCCTGCTTTTGGCATTATCCAAAAAATCATTGCCCAGATCTATGTCATGGAGCCTATTCCCTGTGTTTTCTTCAAGTGGTTTTACAGGTTCCGGTCTTACATTTAAGTCTTTAATCCATTTTGAGTTGGTTGTGGTGTAAGATAAGGGTATAATATTATTCTTCTGCATGTGGATATTTAGTTGTTCCAACACCATTTATTAAGGAGATTGTCTTTTTCCTATTTTGGCACCTTTGTCAAAAATAAATTGGCTGTAAAGGAATGAATTTATTTCTGTGCTTTTTATTCTATTCCATTGGTTTGTCTGCTTTTATGCCAGTACCATGCTGTTTTGATTAAAATCACTTCATAAAATGCTTTGAAATCAGGGAATGTGGTGTCTCCAGCCTTGTTCTTTCTATTTAAGATTGCTTTGGTTACTTGGAATTTTTTGTGGTTCCGTATACATTTTAGAGTTGTTTTTTCTATTTTTTAAAAAATGATATTGAAATATTGATAAGGATTGCATTAACTTTGCAGATTCCTTTGAGTAGCTATAACAGAATGCCACATTCTAGGTAATTTAAAAAGAAAATAAATTTGTTTCTCATAGTTCTAGAGGCTAGGAAGCCAAATATAAAAGTGCCAGTATCTGGCAAGAGCAATCTTGCCATATTATCCCATGATGAAAGGCATCACATGGTGAGAAAGCATGAGAGAGAAGGATGGAAGGGCCTGAACTCATCCTTTCATCAGAAACCCACTCCCACAATACTAATCTACTTTTTTGACAACAGATTTAATTCATTCTTGAAGGTGTCCATCTCCCAATCATCTGAACCTCTTAACACTGATCTACAGGAGATTAATTTTCCAACACCTGAACTTTGGGGGACACATTTAAATCACAGCAGGTAGTATGGATGTTTTGGAATGTTGATTCTTACAAGCCATGAAGATGGGATATCTTTTTATTTATTTGACTCTTCTATTTATTTTCAATATTTTATAGTTTTCAGTGTAGCAACCATCTCCTTGGATAAATTTATTTCTTTTTTTATTTGTAGCTATTGTAATTGGGATCGTTGCTTGATTTTATTTTCAGATTGTTGTTAGTGTAGAGAAACAGTATAGATTTTTGTATGTTTTGCATACATGATTCTATGTCCTGCAATTTTATTGAATTTGTTTTTTAGTTCTAATTATATTTGATGAGATTTTAATGGTTTTTTAAATATAAAATTATGTTGTCTGCAGACACAATTTAATTTTATCTTTTCCAATTTGGATGTCTTCTATTTTTTTATCTTGACTAATTTCTCTGGCTAGGACTTTTAGTACAGATTGAATAGAAGGCAAGAGTGGCATATTTGTCTTGTTCCAGATCTTAGAAAAAAAGCTTTCAGCTGTTCCCCATTCAGCATGATGTTAGCTGTGAGTTTATCATATATGACCTTTATGTCCAATGCCTTTTAAAGGCTTCTCAAAAAACCTGACTTCTAAAGTCACCTCTATATAGCAGCAGTTTTCAAATTTTGTGAACAAAAATCACTTTGGAATCTTCCTAAAAATTTACCAGGCAGTATTCCCCAAGTTCTCATTCAACAGGTGGGAAGAGTCCCAGTGACCTATATAATTAACAATCAGTCAAAGCATTTGTATATAAGTGATCAAAAATGATACTTACTGGAATACTAAGATAGAAGCTGATAAAAATTTAGAATTCTGGGTACTATAATCTGAACATTGAGTTTTTAGCTTTTAGATCCTCTAAAGGAGGGGAAGCTAGGAGATCAGTAGGATATAAATAGAGGTGGCTCTGCCAGTCTTTGGTCTCTGAAGCAGATATCTGGGGATTTCTTCACATATCCACCCATCATAATGTTGTGTGAGCCCTTCAGATTTGCAGTGATGTAGGCAATTTTCAAGGCCTCCTCCTAAATTTTGTCTCAGTTATATCTGTTTCCTTTCTTACTCTTTTGTTGACTAATTCTGGGTTGGCATTTTAGCAGATATGGCAACCAGAATAATGTCCCTCTAAAGGTGTCCATGTCCCAGTCACCTGAACCTGTGACCAAGTTACCTTCCATAGCCAAAAAACAAACAAACAAACAGCAGATGTAATTAAGGTTACAGACCTTGAGATGGTGAGATTAACCCTGGTTATCCACAGAGGTACACTCTATCACAGTATTCTGTGATAAAGAAAAAAAAAACTTTTACCAACAGGGATAGAGCAAAGAGACTGAAGAAGAAAGTACTTGCTGCTTTGAAGGTGGAAGAAAGGGACCACAAGCCAAGAAATGTAAGTGGTCTCTAAAGGCTGGGAATGACCCTTATCTAATAGCCATAAGGAATGGAATGCTGTCAACGACCCAAATGAACAGGAAATAGATTCTCCCCTAAAGCCTCCAGAAAGAAACACAATTCTGCGAACCCCTTGATTTTAGTCTAGATCCTTATCAGACTTCTGACCTACAAAAAGTAGGGAATAAATTTATGGTATTTTCAGCCACCTGGTTTGTGGTAATTTGTACTGCAGCAGTAGAAATATGGAAGGCAAACATATCTGTTTTTCCTTGAAATATGTTTGCGTATTTTTTTTTCTGGACAAATTTTCCAGACTAACTTCTCTTTTCATCTGATTTTACTTGATTATTTGAGGATCTAATAGGCTTTTCACAGCTTATTCCAATTCTAATATAGAATACTATGATACACTTATCTTTCAACTATTAAATGCAAGTTATTCAACAAAGATTCTGGCCACTAAACTGGCAGCTAACAATGATTTTCTATGAAGTAATTTCAGCAATGTATTCACTAAGTTTGTTGGTGATTGTTTTTGGTGCAGGGTTCACAGTTCTGACTGCCACATAAATAAACCATGATGACTTAATTGTACAGCTCCTGTTGTCTTTCACCTTAGCGTACAAACCTATCTTCAGTATGTCGACTGTTGATTTAACATATTCCAGGCTTTGACTAGTGTTCTTATTTTGAAGTCCTCTTTGCACACATTATTTCTTCTTGTATTCCTCTAGTTCTTCACAGAAGTCTTATTATTCTTTGCTGTAAATATTTCCCAATAGAAAAGTCAGAAGGTTAATAATCTTACTCGTACTGTTGCTTAAATATGTGACCATAAATCTCTGTTGAAACTTTTATGTCAGGTTTTAGAGCTCAGCATCATTAAGAAGTTACTTTTCTTAGAAGTAAATAAGACTTTACTTGTAAGATGTTGGAATAATACTATCAATTTTCTCCGGAGACAGATATAAAACAGATGGTAAGGAGGCTTTGTTTGTCCTCACTTATCAAAAATACAAGGCCTATTACTCATGCTATTATAATTATTTTCAAAAACAAGTAAGTTAATCTTTCTATGGTTAAAAAAAGAAAAAGACAGTGGCTTATCACAACTTGTCAGTTTCAGGTATCTGTGTCTGTATTACACTTATCTTTCTCACAACCATAACCCAGACTGAAGGACCCAACTTTGTTTTGGATAAGATGTTCTTGTGATGCAGCTCTGGACAGAATGGTAACTTTTGAAATGTAATTCCATTTCATCCACATTTTCCTGGTCAAATCAAGTCACCTGCCAAGCTATAAGAGCAATGGACTGGGAAAGACCCCTCCCACAGAAAGCACTGAAGGTTTCAAGGCAATAGTTTGGATGTTACAAAGAAAGGAATAAATAATTGGGTACAGCAATACAATCTAGTGTCTTCATAATATGTTAAATATATTTCTATATCATGCCTTGTTTTCCCCTGTCATCTACGGGCAAGGAATGAAGCACTTCTTGCTTTCTGAAATGAATAAACCCTGTGGTAACCCAGTTTATTCTTCTCTCAGATAAGGTATAAGCAAATACTTCTAATCCACTTTTCTAAATTTCTTAAAATCTATAGAGTGGGACTTACAAATATGAAATACAGCATTACATTAATGAATGCCGTTCTTAGCTATTATTAATTATTAAGATTTTCACTGTGTCCACTATGTAGATTGTCTTTGCATTTGTTGTTAATAAAATTCAAATCCCAAGTTTCGAGGACTGCTGATGGGAGTGGGGAAGGATAGAGAGAAAGTTATATCTTCATTTTATAGAGGAAGAAAGATGAGCAACTGAGCAGTGTGCAGGAAATTAAGATATATAGACATTTGGAAAAGCAGAAAACTACTATTTTTGGTTTAATAGGTATGAGAAGCTTGGGGTAAAAATACGTCATTTGGCTCTGAAGTTTAGGGTTTATCCTGAAGTCTAGTTCATTTTCTCCATCAGACTGGGAGGTCTGAAAGAGAAATATGTATATATATGTGTATATATATATATATTTGTGTGTGCATTTGTGTGTGTGTGTGTGTGTGTGCATACGTGTGTGTGTATCAGAAAATCAGAAAGCTGGAAATATTTCCTGATAAGGGTTTTATTTTTCCATTTTGTTTTTCTTTATTGGAACCATGAGGACAAGTACTTATGCTCTCAAAATATCCTTCATGTGCAGCCCAACCAAAATTCTTCTAATTACTACCTCACAAATATAAACAAATATATGCTGCTGTTGGGGCTCAGAAAACAGTACCCCCAAAATGAAGGCCTCAGCAGCAGCCTCAGAAGCAAGCTTTTCTCTGACCTTTACCTGCCCTCCCGTCTCTCACTCCCATTCTTCCCTGAGGCTAGCCACAGAAACTAGAATCTCTCTTCTGCAAGGCGAGTCATAGAAAACAGAATTCTTTCTCCCCAAAGCGAGTCATAAAACCTAAACCATTACTCTAATTTTCTCTCCACCTTTCTGTGTAAAAATTTTCTATAAAGAAATTATCTGATGTACCTTGTATGACTGTAGATCAAAAGACCCCCATTCCAGAGAGGGTACTGCCCCATACCCAGAAGGAAGAAACGCTGCTGAAAGAGGCCAAGAAGAATCCAGGTGGACAGGCCTCGCTGGGTTTCTCACTCAGTTCGTTCGCAACAGATCATACCCTTTCAGTCCAATCATATTTCTACATGGCTGCTTGTACTTTGTTGAACCTAAGCATAAACATGGAAAATTCCCTTTGCATTTTTGGGTCTTCTTTCTGAAGGCTCATGTGATTAGAAGTTAAACATATCTGTATGCCTTTTCTATTATTAATTAATCTTCCTCATGTCAGTAACTTGCAGCAAAACACTAGGCCCTTGGCCCCCACACTGCACAGCTCAGAAATACTTACCAACTTCTTAATTTCTTAAATATATTATCTGTGGATTAATAAGACACATAAATAGCATCGCTGTTACATAATAAGATTATATGATGTAGACTTGTTAAGAATAAATATTTAAAATGTTATAACATTGTTCATTTGCTTGTTTTTGTTTGTATAATTTTTTATGGGAGAACAGTACTATATCAGTCTGGTATATGATTACACTATTTTTTAGTGTGAAAAAAAGCATTAAAGCAAGATGACAATCCTGTCACATAATCTAATTATGAGATAGCTCTTTTTTAACCTAATAAACTTAATATTACATTAATACTCTTCAGTTACTTCCTTTACTTTAAAAAAATTCAAGAAAAGAAAAATGAAAGAGAAAAGGAAATTAAAATGAGTAAATCATACTTAAATTCACATCTTGTGATAAATATTGTAAAGAAGATAAAAAATTATTTTTGTATTTTTGGGGGATAATTCACACTCAAGTTTAAATTACATTCTAGTGACTATAAATTTGAAGCCAAAAACTGAAAATAAGTAAATAGACCAAGTGTGGTGGGCTGATTACTTGAACTCAGGAGTTTGAGACCACCCTGGACAACATGGTGAATCCCCATCTCTACCAAAAATATGAAAAAATAGCCAGGCATGATGGTGTGCGCCTGTGTGATCCCAGCTACTCAGGAGGTTGAAATGGGAGGATCGCTTGAGCCTGCAAGGCAGAGGTTGCAGTGAGCCAAAATTGCACCACTGTACTCCAGCCCAGGTGATAGAGTAAGACCCTGTCTCAAATAAATAAATAAAGTTGAAAATAACTCTCTAAGATTTTATACCATACGGATAATATTGTCCAGGTATTCTTCTTCACTCTGAATATTTCTCTCTTCTTTTATCAACCATATATTTAGTGAGTAGTTGACTATGTGTTTTAATGATGTACAGAGGCGAAAGGTCCTGGTTTGTTCAGAAATCATAAGGAGAAGTGGTTTTAGATATTGATGAAACAAGAGTTGCCATGAGTTGTTAATTTTTTAATATAAGTGACAGATGCATAAAGGTTTATAACAATTTCCTTTCTACATTTGTATATGTTTGAAATTCTACATAATAATCTTAAAGTGGTACAGAACTGAAATAGGCTTTGCAAAGATTATGACAACAAAAGAAGTCTAGCATGGCTGAAGCCATATTCCCTCTCACCCAGCAGGTTGCCTGTCCTCACTCATTCCTGGGTATAGGCCAAGCTAACCATGAGAAGAATTTAGTTTATAATTTAACTTTGAAACAAGGATAATCGTGCCTTCCTAAAACTGACCCCCTCCTTGTTCAGGGATGGAAATTGCCTTTGTAAGACTAATGGAAGGCCACAAGATTAGGATTACGAGAAAGGCCTGAATTCTGCTAAAATGTAGACACAGTTAAATGATAAGCAGCCATTGTTCCCTAGCTTGCTTTTCTATAATCCCTTCCTATTCAGGAGTCATGTGGCCAGAGGTCACAAGATTTGTGACTTCCTCAGTGGCTCCTGTAGAAAACATTACTATTGTAGAACCTGATTTGTCTTTTGAGAGGTTTTCAGACTTTTGCATGCTGGTGACTGACTGACTTCAAGCAGATCTGTGACTCATGACTCAGTTGGTCCTCTGGCCTCCATCCACAGGCTGATTTAGTGTATGAAGACCATTTTCCATATGCCTATGATTTCAATCCCAACCATTCAGCAGCACCCACTTCCTAGACCCCTGCTTACCAAATTATCCATAAAAACCTTTGCTTCTGAGTTCTCAGGGAGGCTGATTTGAGTAATAAACTCCTGTCCTTCCAAGTGGCTAGACTTACATTAAACTCTTTCTCTACTGAAATACCGCTGTCTCAGTGAGTTGGTTTACCTGTGTAGTAAGCAAGAAGAACCTGTCAAGTGATTACAAATTTGAGAACTCACCCAGTATTCCCCTTGCAAGGCACCTGCTGGCAGTTCAGCAGTCTCTCACTGGTACAGCAGACTTCGACAGAGTCCTGGTGGCTGCTCATTTCTCTTGAACAGAGGGCCATCTCTAGGGCTGTCTCTGCTTGTAAGGCACTGTCAACCCATAGTGGTTGTGCCCGCTTACAGTAGAGAACGGGTTCAATTGGTCTAGTGAGTATTCTAAGTGTAACCAACATTCCCTTCCTTCTCCTGATCTGGTTGGTCCCTTTTGCAGGTTCTGGTTGGCCCCACTGTTGGTTGTGTTTCCTCCCCTTTGAAGCTTCTGGTTGGCCCCTTTTGTAGCTTCTGGGTGGCTCCTTTGTGGGTTCTGGTTAGCTCTCCCTAGGTTGTGGGAAGAGTCATGGTTTGGGTAGATTTATCCTCCCTTGAAGCGAGAACAGGATTTTTTTTGTTAGTTTGTTTCTGGATTTTTTGTTGTTATTGTTTGTTTGTTTTTTTGGAAGAACATGCTTTCCTTGTTTGGAATCTGGTTCTGGAAGGCCTCTGGCTTGTCTTTGATGTCTGCATTTCATTGTGTGTATTTCACTGTGTCTGATATGAGAAATCTTAATACAGTTCCCCCCATGCAGCTTGTTGGACAGAACCTTGCAAAATTGGGAGTCTGTTGCCTATGGTTTCATGAAATGAAAAAGGATGATTTTTCTTTTGTAACACAGCTTGGCCCCCACAGCTATGATGCAGTGGGCAGGGTCATCAAAAGCTGCTCCATTCTTCTGGAAGCCACAAAGAGAGGAAACCCAGGAACCTGACAAGCCAGCAAAATAGTAAAAATTTCTTACCACCTAGGCTTATGTCCTCTCTCTGTGCACAAACTAGTTGAGTGGACGGTAAAAATCACTGCCTCCTCTGCAAAGTTTTGATTAATGACAGAAAGAATTTGTGTGACTAGTCTTAGGTTGTAGCAACTCTGATGTACTTTCAGTACTTTGTGCTATGAATGTTCATATTCTTTGACCCTCTTTCCTCTCAGAAATAGCCCATATTTGACTATTATCCTTTGTTTTTGTCTTTCTCCATTGTTCTTTCATAAAGAGGGGTACTATAGAATAGAACACAGGCCTAGGATTCCTATAAGCTCACTATTCAAGCCAGCCCTGCAGATTGGTCAGTTAAGAACTTTGCTGTGGGTCCCTGAAACAAAAATCAGATGAGGCTTCCCTCTTATCTTGCTTTATAACCTTGAGAGTTTGACCTTATGACCATGTAAGAGTATGCTATCTTTTATCTGGAGGGCATGAATTTTGGGGTTTATATCAAAGAGACCAGTCTGAAAGGACTGGGAGTCTGAGGACCATCAGCATATTTTTTGTTTCAAATGTCTTAAGCCCTTAAATGAGTTTTGTCTTTCCAATCCCTATAGGGCTTTTGTCATCTTTTTCTATTCTAAGCCCATTCCTGAAAATGAAGTTTTGGGGATCATGAGGATGCCTCCTCTATGCTTGCTCTAGGAATATTTCCTATTTATATGGTGAAAACTTAGAAAATTAGCATTTGGTCTTTAAAAAAGATTTTGGATTGAGTCACTATTTGAACTAAGTACACCATTAGAAGAAAAAGAATTTTAGAGATCTTTTATTCTAAACAACTGGAAAAATGGTTAAGTTAAAGAAGAACACATAATAATGTCTTGGCTAGCTTTAAATATTATCTTGAGAGTTGAAATCCTTTGCAAAGTCAAAAAACTCCTTTAGATTCCTTCTGGGAAGAGAAATGGCAGGCATCCCAAGCTGTAGCTCAGGAGCTAAGTCTTTCACTGTGGTGGCTTGGGTTTGATTCCTGGCTTTGAGAATGAGTCCTTTCTGGTTTGATATTTGTGTGACTTTTGCCACTTACTGATTCTTTTCCCCTTCCTGGACAACTTCCAATGTCCTATCTTGAATTTTCTATTCCCTGAGCCACCTTTGTGGTAATTCTAGATCTTGCAAAAACTGCTTACTTTGGAGACATCTCTTGCAACCATGGTTAAGTCATAACCTTAGGACTTAACTGGTTTCCTGTGGGAGGTTACCTCTGATAAAGAAGTTTAAAAACCAGAAATATTGTTTGTCTTGGCTAAAATTTGGTAATAAAATATCTGGAAAAATTTCCTTTAAGAGCTCCATTGTTAAAATCAATTTAACTGAAAAGGTTATTTAGGCTATGTATGTACGTATATTGTCTTAAAGCCTCTCCTCTCTTTCTCTGTAAAAACCTAGTCAATTGAATTCTGCCTGTTTCTCTGTTTGCTTCTGTCCATCCTTCCTTCATCTTTTCACTATTGATGCCCACATGAAAGGATCTAAAATAATTTCTAACAGACTGGGACCCCCTGGGGAAAACAGAAAAAGCAGTAAAGACTCTGTTTTGGGAGGAATCTCTGTTTTCCTCATGGAACCCCCAGAGTTCTAAGTGGGCAGATTTCTATGAAAATCTAAAACTCTGCTCTCTATTGCATTGCTTTTCCTGATGTTTTTGACTTTGAGGGGGCATTAGAAATTATATTATGAGAAAATTTTAACCTTGGTGTGTAATAAGTAGGTAAGGGATATGCTTTTAGAAATGGCTAATGGCAGTTGCTTACAGTGAGTGATTATTACTACAGGGCAATACTCTCTTCTTTGTGTGTTTATGTAAGAGAAGTGTGCTCTTGGGCACTTAGAAGGTATGGAATGAGGGATAAGACTCCAGTGGGGGATGGGCGGCTGATTGGCTTTCTGTTGTCCACCAGAATGTCCTTGCAATAAAGTGTACTGTAAAGGCATTTTCATGTCTCATCCCATAGTGTTTCCCTCTTTTGTGATCCAGGATTCAGTATAAAAATAGGATCCTTGATTTTGAGGAATTTCTTCTGTCTTCCATCTGTGCCTGCATATTAGGCCCTAAAAATTGCATGTTTTCCTGGTCCTGTTCTTTAAAGGGTTCCACCCTAAAGCCAGTAATCCAATTAAGAAACATATCTTTAAGGAAATCTCCATGTGTAAGACAGTCTGCTTTTCCTGGCTATCTTAACTGAGCTTTTACTCACACCATTTTTCCTTGGTTTGAGTAAAATATAAATTCTCTATTTCATACCACCTAAGAGTTTTCCCTTTAGAAATGCAAACTTGGAGATGCCTACTGGACAATTGTTTAGGGCAGAGAACAGGTGATCAAGAGAATACTAACCAAAAATGAGGAAGAGATACTTTAGGAAATGATACATGAAGACTTTTATAAATCTACAAAATCTGCTTCTGTCTGTGTCTATGTCTATGTGATATTTCACTATAAAATGTATAGAAGAGCTCTAATTGATTGGATTTAATGAAAAGTAAGTGCTTAAACCAAATATTTTATCAGAAAAATAGAAACTCAAATGCTTTTTACTTCATATGACTTTAGTAGTGTTTTGTAAATAAAGGTGGTTTTAAAATTGGTAAAATAAAATAGAAATTTTCAGAATGTAGACATTTAGTCTGAGTTAAGTCTGACACAGTCTGCTGGATGTTTTAAGGTCATAAACTACTTCTATAACATTTTTGATAATTGTATGAATTGTCTGTTTTAGAGTCATTAGATTTTAGATAAGGCCTGGGGATATGTGCTATTAGGCAAGCCCCTTGGCTATGCTGGGAAGATTCAGACATTGTCTGCAGCTCTGTCCTTTTCCTGTGCTCTATAATCTGATATATGATTAAAATGCCTACTTACCAGGTTTTTCATTAAAAATAAAAATTGCTAAGAGTAAATGTTGTAACATATGTAATTTAGACTATGGGAGAAACAGTTTACATGCAAGTTGTATACAGAAAGTAGAATGTGTATTTGGTAAAAGGTTATAAGAAGGTGTGAAAATATGGTTTTTGTTAAAGGGAAAATGATTTTTAGTTTAGAAGTTTTTAAGAATTGTCTTAAGTTAAAAGAATACTAGGACAAGACTGAAGTTGTAGAAGATTTGCAAATGATTGATCTTTTAAAGGAAGTTCTGCGTATGATCGAGTTGATCAAAATTTGAAGATTTTTTAGTTTTTCTATAAATTAAACATTAAGATAAAAAACACAGTGATTCAAGGCCAGAATCTGGGCCCATGTCTCAGAATAACAGGGTTTCCTCGGAGTACTGATCTGCTCATTGACACAAAATTGTAAAGTGTTATAAACGGCTTATGGAAATCTTAACTTATGATTAAATTGATTAAAATTAGATAGATTTGTTTATAAGATTTTTTTAAAAAATTAGTCTTAATGTCAACAATGCACTAATTTATAGGTGGAATTTGGTTTTCTCTTTTGAGCAAGATTTTTGTGTAATATTGAGAGATAATAAAGATTTTTGTTTGCATTTTGAGTAAACTACAGAAAAAATAGGAAATTAAAAAAAGGAGGGAGAAGAGAAAAATTCAGTTGGCTTCATGCTGTCTTTATTGGTCTTGTTTGGAAACCTGTTTTCCCTCTATCACAGAGTAAAAGGTTTTGCTTTTTTGAAATTTTTGAGTTGTTATTTCAGTTAAATAAATGACCTGTGATCCTATTTTCTGATATCAAGTGTTTAAAACCTTTGATATTTGACAAACCTCCCAAAATCAAAATTTCAAGTTCTAAATTTAGTCCTTTTGACCTCATTAACTTTTTTTTAGATATCAGAACCTCTGAAGTCCAAAAGAGACATATTTGGCTTATTTGGTAAGTTACAATTATACAGCAAGCATTGTCAAGTATGAAACAATGTTTGGCTTTCTTTGAGTGGTATTTGCATGAATTTGTTATTGGTATGTATTCCAGAATTGTGTGAGACTCATAATTCTGATGACTGGGTGCATGTTATCATTAAGAATTATGATTGTTATGTTAAATTGTTGTATGCCACAAAGATGAACAGATTTCCTTGTCAATTGTGTGTTTGACCATGGCTATCTTTTGTCATTCACCATTATTATTTTACTTTAATTCTTTCCAAAAGGCAGTTTTGTGATCAGCTATAGGACTCTCATGGGTGTTCGTGAATGCTGGTTTCTGATAACTTTGTAAATGGTGTCATTGGAATAGGGAAAAAAGCTTCAAAGTTACTCTTGGAGAGCTAATGTGTTCATGAGTATTGAATAGAGAAAGCATTTACTGCATGGACTGAATAGAATATTGAAATAATCTTTATAAATTTTTGCCTGAAACACTACTGATTCATTTTATTTTGCTTTTCAGAGTTAAGAAAACTTTTTTTTGTTTTGAGCAATTTAGAGTTTTTAACAATTGAATAAAGTATACTCTTGTAAACAACATTGAAAAGTTTCTCTTTACCTGATTTATCCAGAATTTGAAAACTATTTGTAAGTACTCTAAATTTATAGCAATATCATTATTTGCATAAGTTCAACGAGGCTTTGACTGGAATGGCATGTTTTCAGATATGAGTAGACTGCTTTAAAGAATTGAGGTTGACATATAGAGCTAATAATAACCAACTGGAAAAATTGGCCTCATTTCTTGTCTATGCAGTCTCTTTGCAGAGCTCTAAGTTACTTTCTGACAGGCCCAGGAGCTCCAAGTTATTTTAGAAACTTGAGAGGAGATGAATTCACCTGATTCATACAGGTATTTTCAGGCACAGATGAATTCTTGGCTGGGCTCAAGAGGCTTTTAAAAGGCCTAATCAGATACCTTATGAAAATATTCCAGCAAAGCCAATTTAGAAAAAAGAGCCTATATGGCAAGTGATTATTCTTGCTGTACTTTATGCAAATAATCTGGCCAAAAATAATGAGACTGTAATTTATTTTTCAAAGACATTGGTCCTACTATGATTTCTCTTTGGTAAAATGGGGAACCAGAGAGAGAAAATATGTTTCAGGAAAAAACTATAGTATACCTCTTATTAGATTCTAGCTTTGTTCATTGTTTTTGATTCTCTACTGATGACCCCATATCTGACTGATTCTCAGTGTCATTCACCTGGATGCCTCAAGATTTTAGGTCAGTTCTATAGGGACTCCGGAAGCTAGTGCTTTCACTCCTAATGTTAGTGCCTATTATTTATCTTATGGTTTGCTGTTGACTGAAGTGCTGTGCTAAAGCTGTGAATACGAGAACTAATGTCTTTGCCATACAAACATTGGGATCTTAGCCAGGCACTTGTTAATAAACACAGACAACTCCAAAGTGGTTTTATTCTTCTCTAGATAGGCCCAACTTCAACCCCAACCATGCCCCTGTCATCAGGTAGAAGTTGGAGTGGTCATCAGCCTTCTACTAGCTTTATAGTTTACACTTTGAAGTATGCTCAAGCCAAAGAGGGGTTAAAGAGGGGTGACTGAAGCTGCATTTGCAAAGAATATGTCAACAGAGAAGTTTAGCATGGTAGACTTCATAATGCTTCTATCCCCACAGGCTGGCTATCTTCATTTATTCCTGGGTGTATGCCAAGTTAACCATGGAAAAAAATTTCCTTTGTAGTTTAACTTTGAAACAAGGATAATAATAATTGCCCCCTAAAAATGATCCCCTCCTTGTTCAGGGACCAAAGCTGTCTTTGTAAGATTAATGTAAGACCACAGATTATGATTATGAGAAGGGCCTGGACTCTGCTAAAAGGTAGGCATAGTTTAATGATAAGCAGCCATTGTTTCCTAGCTTGCTTTTCTATAATCCCTTGTTGCTCAGGAATCATGTGGCCAGAGGTCACAAGATTTGTGACTTCCCCAGTTGCTCCTATAGATAACATTACTATTGTAGAACCTTAGATGGGTCCTTGAAGAGGTTTTTCAGACTTTTTTCATTCTGGCAATAGGCTGACCTCACCCAAACCCATGACTCATGATGCAAACAATCCTATATTTCCCACTCAAAGGCTAACTCAGTGCATGAGAACCATTTTCCACATCCCTGTGATTTTATCCCCAACCAATCAGCAGCATCTATTCTCTAGCCCCTGCCCGCCACATTATCTATAAAATCCTAGCCTCTGAGTTATCAGGGAAGCAGATTTGAGTAATAAATTCCTTTCATGGCACTTGGATGGCTCTGTGATTATGAAACTCTTCCTCCACTGCAATATTGCTGTCCCAGTGAATTGGTTTTATCTGTGCAGTGGGCAAGAAGAACCTATTGGTGGTTATAGAATTTATCTGTTAGCTTTTATTCTGTGCAAAGTCCAAAATTTGTTGGTTAAAGAACAACCACCAGTTATTATTGCTCATGGGTGTAGAGTCAGTCATATGAGTAGCTCTGCTGCTCTTTGGTAAGAAATAATTAAGACATCTGCCAATGCAAAAATTCCTCTGCAAAACATACAGAAAAAAACTTCTTTATCAAACCGGCCTTAAACCAGACAAAATTGTGCATCACAGACAATCCACTAAAAGGACTAAAAAGACAGAATAAAATCTTACTCAGTTACATATTCAGGAAGATGAAATCCATCACATACATGTTCTCATAATAAACTATAGTCCTCACATTTGCATATTGAAGTAAGGGGACTATTTGTCATATATAGTTAGTTGTATACTCATCTCCTAATTAAAATGCTAATGACTTGCCTTTATCCAAAAGTAAAATAAACTTTAACATCTTGATGACAAGAGGTAGCTTTAACAACTTGCAAACCTAGAGCAGAAGTTAAGCTAGTTAGGCTCCCGCCCACCAGGCTCCTATTCACGACTGGCAGATAGCTGCACAGTCTTTGTTCATGATTACATTTCAAAGAGATGGCTTCTAGGTCCTTACAAAAATCATTCCTGGGTTTTAAAACTGGCAAGAGGCTTATTTAACATTTTAAAAGAGATATTTATATAAATATATATATTTCAAAGGACAGAGAAATAATTTACAAAGAAAAGTTTTCTAAGAATTGCTCTAAGAAAAGGGAGGGGTGGTTGGTTTTTTTTGTTTTTGTTTTTGTTTTTTGAGATGGAGTCTGGAGTCTTGCTCTGTCACCCAGGCTGGAGTACAGTGGCATGATCTCGGCTCACTGCAACCTCTGTCTCCTGGGTTCAAGTGATTCTTGTGCCTCAGCCTCCCGAGTAGCTGGGATTACAGGTGCCCACCACCATGCCTAGCTAATTTTTGCATTTGTAGTAGAGACAGGGTTTCACCATGTTGGCCAGGCTGGTCTTGAACTCCTGAACTGAGGCTATCCGCCCACCTTGGCCTCCCAAAATGCTGGGATTACAGGTGTCAGCCACTGAGCCCAGCTGGGAGGGGTATTTTCCTCCCCTTTTTGTCTCATGGTGAATGACATGTTTTTACTTTTGATTTGTATGTATCTTTACAGGATTGAGGCCAGGTTCATCTTGATCTGGAATGGGCTGGCACCTGAGTCTGCCATAACCTGACAGTTATGTGGACTTTGGCTCATCTAGAGAGTCTTCACCCATGTTTAGTGCTTAGCTTGATGTGAGATCCTAACCAGGAATGACATGTGTCACTCTTTATTTATTTGTTTAGCCCAAGGTTTCCACATAGCACTGGTGAGTTTTCAAGAACCAGTAGAAGCATTCAAAACTCCTTGAGGCTTATGTTGAGAACCAGCACAAAACATTTCACCAGCATTTTGTTGGTCAAAGCAAATCATAGTGTCAGTCTTTCTACCTTTTGATACAAAGAGTTCATGGATGCTTGAAATTAAAAAAAATACTGTTTCTTTGTGAGAAAAATCCTAACATATAGAAAATATACAATTTTCAAATACATTCATTGTGGTAGAGAGAGTTCTTAACAGTTACTTCATGTGGTTCTCAGATTTCTTACCTTCCCATGTGATGAGATTGAGATCATTTGCCTAATTCTGGCCAATGGACCACAATAAAGTGACATGTGTTTCTTATTCTCTGAGAGAGTCAAGATGAAGATCTGCCTCCTTCATCATTCTCTTTTCTTACTGTGGCAACTTTGGAGACCACATAGTCCAATTAGCATAAAACTCAGGAAGGCACTTTAGTTACTGTTACTGGTTTATTGCAAGGGATACAAATGAACACACAGGTAAAGAGGTACACAGGGTGAGGTCTATAAGGGTTCCAAAGAGAAACATCGGTCCCATAGTATCTCAGTGTGCCACACTCCTGAAATGTGGTATGTTCTTCAACTCAGAAGCTCCCTGAATAGCTTAGCAGTTTTATGGACGTTTCATTAAGTAGACATGATTGACTAAATCATTGGCCATTGCTGGATTGCTGGAGCTCAATCTCCAGCCTGTTTCCCATTCCCAGAAGTTAAGGGAGTGGGGCTGAAAATGTCAAGCTTGTAATGAAGTCTAGGTCTTTCTGGAGACCAGCCCCCATTCTGCAAGTATCTAAGAGCGAGCCTTCCAAGAGTCACCTCATTACAAGAAATGATTCTTCTATCACCCTTATCGATCAGAAAATTTCAATGGCTCCAGGTGTTCTGTACCAGAAGCCTGGACAAAGACTAAAGGTCTTTATTATACCATAGTGCTTTTTTTTTTTTTTAAAGATTTGCATGAAAATGTTTCTCTAGCAATGTGTTTTTATTTTTTTGGAGATATACATAGCAGTGGAATTGTTAGTTGTATTTGATAATTCTATGTTTAACAATTTAAGGAACTACACAACTATTTTCCAAGGCTGCTATACCATTTCATAATCACAGCAGTAATGCACAATGATCCCAATTTCTTCACATCTTAACCAACACTAGTTAGTGTCTGTAGTGTCTGTCTTTTTGATTATACTAACCTAGTGGTTATGAAGTAGAGTCTTGTTTTTATCTGCATTTCTCTAACAGCTAATGATGTTGAGCATCTTTTCATGAGCTTATTGGCCATTTGCATACTTTTTTGAGGAACATCTATTTGTACGTTTTGCCCATTTTGTGTTGAGTTTTTAGATCTTTTGATTATTGAGTTGTAAAGTTCATTATATATTCTGCATATAAGTCTTTTTGCAGGCTTATGATTTGCAAATATTTTATTTCACTTTGTAGGTTGAGATTTTAGTTTCTCATGGGTATAGATTACAGCAAGAAAGTGTTTACTTTTGGTGAAGTACAATTTATTTGTAATTTTCTTTTGCATATTTTTTTCATATAGTATTAATGAAGCATTGCCCAATCCAAGGTTACAAAGATTTATTCTTATGTTTTCTTCTAGAAATTTCATATTTTTAAATATTAAAACTATGTCTATGATCTATTTTTGTATTAATTTTAGGTTATGGTGTCAGAAAGGAGTCTAATTGCATTTTTGGTATGGATGTATCATGTTGTCTCAATAACATTTGTTAGCATTAGCATTCTTATAAAAATCACTTGTAAAGTATTTGGACTCTCATTCCTAGCCTATATATATATACAGGTTATATACATATTATATATATATACACTCATATAATGAGTGCAACACTGTCTTGATTCATTGTGCCCATATACACATCCATATGAGTGCAACACTCTGTTGATTAGTGTAGATTTTTAGTAAGCTTGAAAATGAAAAGTGTGAGTCCTCAAACTCTTTCATTTTTTCAAGATTTTTTTTGATAAATAGCTTTCTTTGAAATTCTAAATTAATTTTAAGGTCAGTTTGGGAGTTTCTGTAATTTGTGAAATGTGTGCATCAATATGGAAAGTATTGCTTTCTTAACAAAATTAAGTCTTCTGGTCCATTAAAATTGGATTATTTGCCTAATTTATTTAGATATTAATTTTCTTCAACTATATTTTGCAGTTTTCAGTGTATAAGTTTTGTGCTTTTTTTGTTAAATTTATTCTTAAGTAGGTTATTCATTTGATGCTACTGCAAATGAATTGTTTTCTTCATTTTACTTTTGGATCATTCATTTTTAGTGTATAGCAATACCACTGATTTATTTATTTTATATTATTTTCAATTATAGATGGACAAATTATAGTTGTATACATTTATGTGGTATTTGGGGATGTAATAATTTATAATTACAATGCAAAATAATTAAGTCAAAGTAATTAACATATTTATCACCTCAAATTCTTGTCTTTTTAATAATAGGAACATTTAAAATCTAAACAATTTTGAAATGTACAAGACACTATTATCTACTATATTCCTGGAACAAATTTAAAAAGCTACTAGAACCAGTAAAATAATTTGTAAAGTAAATACCATGGATTTTTATATACTGTTCTTGCATCCTGCATACTTTATAAATTCTCTTATTGATTCTAGTAGCATTTTTGTATATTCTATCAGGTTTTCTGTATAGATAGAATGTTTTCTGAAAATAGATATCTTTGATGAAAGCTGTCACTCTTTCATTAAGTATTTTGCTGGGTTTTTTTTTTGGTAGATGACTGTTTATCATGTTAAGGAATTTCCTTCTATTTCTTTCTGAAAAAAATATTTTTATCATAATCAACTATTAAATTGTAAGATGGTTTTTTCTGTAACTATTGAGATGATTATGTTTTTGTGTCATTCATTCTGCTAATATGTAATAAATCTGTTTGAATTATCTCATTGTTATTGAGTCATTTTTAGTAGCTTATGCCTTCCTAGGAATTTATTTACTTACAAAGTTACTTAATTTATTAGCATATGTTTTTTTCTTAATAGTACTCCTTTTTAATTCTTTCTTTTTGTCTTGTAAGGTCAATAATAATGCTCTCTCTGTAATTTCTAATTTCAGTAGTATTAAAGTCCTTTTAAATTTTCTAATTTAGTAAAAAATTGTCAATTTTCTTGAACTTTTCAAAGAAGCAGATTTTGGTTTCATTAATTTTCTTGATTGTTCTTTTATTCTCCATTTCATTTGTTTCTTTTGTAATCTTTATTATTTTCATTTTTTAACTTGTTTTAAGTTTTTATTGCTGTTTTTTTTCCCCTGTGTCTCAAGGTGCAAGACTATGATAATGATTGGACATCTATCTTCTTTTTCAACTGAGGTATTTACAGCTATAAATTTTCCTCTAACTGCGGATTTAACTGCATCTCATGAATTTTGCTCATGTTATATTTTCATTTCAATTCAGCTCAAAATAATTTCTCTTTTCTCTTTGATTTCTTCTTTGACCCAGTGGTCAAAGAAGTATGTTTATTTAATTTCTATATATTTGTCCAAATTTCTTTCTGCTACTGATTTCTAATTTCATTGCATACAAAGTACAATTCTTTCAAATTTATTGAGGTTCAATTATGGTCTAGAATATTGTCCATCAGAGAATATTTCATGTGCATTTCCGATGACAATACATTTAGCTTTCTTGAGGTAGAATGTTCTGTGGATGTTTGTTAGGTCTGGTTTTACAGTGTTCCTCAAGGATTCTATTCCCTTGTTTCTCTTCTCCCTAGTTGTTCTAGGCATTATTAAAAGTGAGGCACTGGATGTCTCCACTAGTATAACTGAATTGTTCATTTCTTTCCCCTTTATTTCCTCCAAGTATTTTTGTTACATATTTTAAGCCTCTCTTTTTTGGTGTATTTATATTTATGCTTTTTATGTCTTTCTGATGGATTTATATTTTATTATACAATGCCACTAATTATTTCTCTTAACATTTTTGGTTTTAAAGTCTATTTTGTCTAACATTAGTATAGCTACTTCAGTTTTCTTGTGATTGCTATTTGCATGATCTATCTTTTTTGTTTGTTTTTTATCCTTTTACTTCCGATCTGCCTTTTTTCATCTGACACCTACAACCCAGAGAAAGCATATAGTTGAGTTTTGTTTTTTTTTAATCCAGTCTGATCATTTTTGTTTTTAATCAACTTACTTAATCCAATCACATTTAATTTTATTATTAGTATAGATTTAACTCTACCATTGTCTTTTTGTGTTTTAATTGTCTCATATCTTATTTGTTCCTCTAGTCCTCCTTTATCACTTTCTCTTGCATTAACTAAATGTTTTCTAATGTAACATTTTAATTATTTTAGTATGTTTTCTTTCTGTTGCATTATATCTTTAGTGGTTGCCATAGGACTTACCCTATTGTCTTAATTTATCAGAATTTACTTCAGATTTATACTAAATCTAATGAGATTATAAAAATGTTACTCCTGCATAGTTCTACTTTCTTCTTTTTGTGCTATTATTGTTACACATAGTCCATTTATGTGTGTTATAAACCCTATAATACATTGTTTTAGATATCAGTTTTATAATTTGATGTCTTTTAAAGAAGCTTAGAGAAGAAAGGAGAGCAAGTATATATTTATAGTGTCTGTTACATTAAACTTATAATTTTCCATTTCTGTATCTTTTCCTTTCTTCCTGAGGATTTAGTTACCATCTGGTATCATTTCCTTACTCCAAAACAGCTTTATTTCTGCATGCTTCCTTTGAGCTCTTAGCACTAAATATGTTACATTCCTGCATGTTATAGGCCAAACACTATACTAATGTACACATTGTTTTATAAATTGTATCTTAAATAAAGATAAAGAAGGCAAAGTAATATTCATTTATACAACCTTGTATAATTACATATAATATACATATATAATTCCCTGTAAATACTTTTGCTTGTGTTCTTTGTTTTATTTGATGTAGGTTTGAACTTTTACCAGTGTTTTCATGCATTCTGCTCAAAGAACTTCCTTCAGGATTTTTTATAAGGTGGGTCTTCTAGCAATGAATTCTCTTAGTTTTTGCTTTTGGAAATGTGTTTACTTCACCTTCATTTTTGCAACATACTTCTCCTGGATATAGGATTCTTGACTTCTTGACATTATTGTTTGTAATGAGAGATCAGCTGTTAATCTTATTGTGGGTTCATTGTAAGCGATGAGTTGTTTTCCTTTGCTGCTTTCAATATTTTCTCTTTGTTTTTTAGCTTAGCAATATATTTATCATGATGTGTCTGAATGTGTCTCTTTGATTTTATTCTACTTAAAGTTAATTGAGCATCTGACATGTGTAGTTTAATCTTTTTCATCCATTTTGAAAAGAATTCAGCCATTATGCTTTAAAGTATTTTTGTCTGATTCTTTTCTCTCTTCAGTCCTTCTTACACTCCCATTACAAGTATGTTAATGTCCTAATGGTTTCTTACATTTCTTTGAGGCTGTGTTTATTTTTCCTTATTCATTTTTCTCTTTGTTCTTTAATATGTGATCACTATTGATATCTTCAAGTTTATTAATTTGCAGGACAGTTCTCTGGGTGGCCTTGGACTGACCTAATTTTCTCCTAACCCCTGTCTCCTCCTTGCTTACAATTCTACAAAATAACCATAGAATGTGCTGGGAATGCAATACCCTGAGACAGGGAGGAACTGTTTGAAACAGCCTGGGCCTTGTTCCTGTTCCCTCCTGGAGAACATAACATTTTGAGATAGATAGGAACTACAGGGACACCGGCGGCTTTGTTCCTCTTTCCTCTGGAAGCCAAGATGTTCTTCAAAACTTTTCCCAGTGAGTTTCATGGCCAATGGGATATATATACAACCGCAGGTGGGATGCCTTTTGGGGTCCCTTGGCTGTGATCCAAGTGGAGCATGTGAATCAACATTCTATCTACCCTGGGAAGCCGTCTTGATACTTGAGGGACCAACTCACAGTGGATCTTAGGCTTCTTTGTCCCTTGCTGCATATCTGTAAGTAATGAATCTATTTCATATAACTTTGTATTTGAGCGTGTTCTGTCTCACTCAAATAAGTGGGTAACAAGTCCATGGTGAATCTGCTTCACAAAATACTTTCTTCTGCCATTTCAAGTCTTCTGTTGAGCAACTGTAGTGTATTTCGCCTCAATTATTATACTTTCTAACTCCAGAATTTCCGTTTTTTCAATAATTTTTCATCTCTTTATTATTTTCTATTTGATGAGAAATTGTCATTATGCCTTTCTTTAGTTTTTGAAACATAGTTTTCTCCAGATTTTTTAAACATATATATAGTTACTACTTTGTAGTTTTGGTCTCTAAAGCCAACATTTAGGTTACCTCAAATGCAAACAATATTGTCTGCTCTTTGATTCCTGTCTATGGGCAACACTATCTTGTTTCTTTGCATGTCTCATGTATTTTTATTGAAAAAGAGACACTTTTTATTATGTATTTTAGCAACTCATGATATTGATATCCTTCACTCTATTGGATATCAATATCATGAGTTGGATAATATATTGTAGCAACTCTGGACACTTAGTCCTACTCCATGCTCCAGATCTTGGTGGTGGTAGTGTTATATGTATTTTTGATTGTTTATTTGTTTCAGAACTTGGCTGGACTAAGAACAACCTGGGGTTGTCTGCCTCACTTACACTGGGGACTAGATAGAGAGAAGGCAAGGCAAGTCTTCTCATATGTACCTTCTTGGTATCTTTTGCAACATCAAACTGAGGAGGATGATCACCTCTGATCTTCCCTGCCTGGGGTGAAACTGTACCCGTAGACCGAAAGCTAGAGGAAGAGAAACCTTACTTTCTTGACAGGATCTACACAAAGTAGAGTTTCTTTTATACTCATCTAGTGGGGGAAATGGGACTGGGTGATTGCTCAAATACTATAGATTCACACTGCCCTTCTCAATATTTATTACACCTTCTTAAATACATTTTTATCCATTTCCTGTATGTTATTAGGACACTTCACATAAATTTCGAATGGTTATTTTAATAAAATGTTTATCAGTAAATGGTTGCTCAGCTTGGAAAAGGGCCTGCCAACCTCGTATCAATGCTATTCTGAATGTTCTCCTACTTTACTTTCTTATATATTTATATATTATATATAATATATATGTATACAATTCAAAGGTGTCTATACTATCATTATAATTTCTTTTTCTCACTATTCTAAGTTTGCTAACTGCTATTTAAACTGCTCCTTAAATGTTATTAGTTGCTCCATGGCTTATTTAAGTTTGCTAGTCTCTGGCAAATTAATATTTTAATATAGGAAATATTACTGATTTGTAGAGTTGGTATTTAATCCACTCATTATTCATATGAATTTTAGAAATTTTTATTATAGTCAATATCTTTTGGTCTTTGGCTAGGTTTTCTATACACTTTCTTTCCTTCCTTTTTTTTTTATTTTTATTTTTTGAGACAGAATCTCGCTCTGTTGCTCAGGATGGAATGCAGTGGTGCGGTCTTGGCTTACTGCAACCTCCGCCTCCTGGGTTCAAGCGATTGTCCTGCCTCAGCCCCCTGAGTAGCTAGGACTACAGGCATGCACCATCACACCTGGCTAATTTTTGTATTTTTAGTAGAAAATAAATACAATTTATTTATTGTATTCACCATGCTGGACAGGCTGGTTGCGTACTCTTGACCTCAGGTAATTCACCAGCCTTGGTCTCCCAAAGTGCTGGTATTGCTGGTATTACAGGTGTGAGCCACCGTGCCCAGCCCACTTTCCTTCCTTTTTTGGCTTTCTTTCTTGCTTGCTTGCTTGCTCAAATTATACAAATATATAGAAAAACGATATTGTTATTTATTAAAAATATTTGGTAAAAAGTTTACATTGTCACTTGCAATATATGTCTATTTTATAAGTAATAGAAAACTCAATAAATAGAATATTATCACAACTACATATGTTAATCATTTCTAGATGTGAATGTCATATGGGAAATAAGTTTTTTAAACTTCTTTAAGAGTGTTCATATTTTAATCTATTTGAAATTAAGAAATAAGCTCCTCCAAGTCTACCTTCAGGGATCACTGACCCTCTCAGGATGTGAATGACAATTTTTAAGGAAAAAAACCATAATTTTCCTAAAGAAAAGCAAATTGTAATTAATTAAAATGGCTAAGTTATTTGACAACTTGAAAAAGAATTTCAATTAAATTGACAAATTTTTCAGCAATATTAATTTAAAATTAAATGTAATTACTGATACATAGAAATAGAAATTTTGCCTTTGGTGACATTTTAACACAGACTGTTTATGTACTCATTACAGACATACAATTTAACAAATGAGAATATCTGAAGCATAGAATATTAAAAAACCTAAAGTACAGTAATAAATAAGACTGTGTCCTCAATGGTCACCTCTTTCACAGACTAACCCAGAAATCTCAGTATTCCAACAAAATAGGTGTAATAGGTGTTTGTTCCTTGTTTATTTGAAAGCCTACAAAACTACTGTTTTGTAAGCCTGTGTTCCTCAAAATTACTATTTTATAAGCCTGTGTTTCTACTTGTGGTTATCTTTCCATGTTATTGTTTTAGTTCCTTTGTCTTTCATGACCCTGCTGCCCTATAGATTGGAGCCCTGTCTGTGCATCATAGAAAAAAGCATGAAGAATCATACTGGGCAGGTCTGATATCACACAAAATGTGACATATTCTATTTGTTTGTAGTCATACCTATATTCAAAAGAGGCTGGGATGTGAGTTCTAGCTGTGTGTCCTGCAGGAAAAGAAAACAGATTTGGGGAACAGTCATTCAGTTGACCACAATATGCCACCCAGTGGCCTGACCTGCAGAAGGGAAATTCCTAAGTTATTCAGAAAATATTTCTAATATTTTACTTAGGAATTTGCAATCCACCAGAGACCGAAAGACAATCACAATGTTCCATTTCTGTGTTTTATGTGCTCCTGAATGCTTTACATTAAAATCATTTTCTCATTTTTTTGGTAATTAATAATGAGGGGGACATAAAAATAGACAATGTGATAGCTGGAAGGCATGTTTCCTCATTTTGCAGATGTTAACAAGAAGACTTTGAGAGATAAAGTGACTTGATCACATCACAAAACTAATTAGTGGAAGATTGTAATTTTTGAAAAAATTCCTAACTGATGATAAGCAGTGAAACAATATAAGATAATGAATAGAAAATCAGATTAGTTGAAGGAAACATGGATTTTACACTGGATCTACCATAAACTTGGGGTTTGAGTGAGAATTCTTTAAGTTTCTTTTCAGATCACTCATTTTACAAACTCTGAACATAATAGTTCACTTTATGAACCACAAAAATTAAGGCAGAAAGGATTAACGGAAAGTAAAACGTATTTATGTTCTCAAAAGATACCTTCTCATATCCACCCAGTTTATTCTGAACTTTTTCTCTGTGTTGATGTCTCCTGAAAGTTGAAAGTATGTTTTAAATGTGCTTCATTCCTCAGTTCTTCCATCACATTTCTCATTGTGAGTGGCCCGGATAACTCTATTCATTGCTCCTGTGATTTGGCAATGCTCAGGCTGTTGCTTTATGAAGTTGCTCCTAGAGGTGAACACTATATTGAGCAGAAGTTAATTTTAAAGCTTCTTTCTAAATGTATCAAAGATAAGCTTCTATTAAGTAACTTTTCTATTCTAAAGGTTGAATTTAAAGACAAGAAACATTTAAAATATTACATAGGAAAATATAGGCATTTAAGTTAAAATGAAACACAAGCTAAAAAACGGACACTGAAGGGATTTTACTATAAAATGTATTCAATAATGATATTTTTCTGATAGTTTTTGTACTGTTTCACATTTAGATTTTAGTATTGGCTATTTGTTCTGGCTTTGAGTAAAATCACATGGGATTAATATCTCCCTGATCTCAGGCTTATGCTTTAAAACTTAAAATTGTATTACCTCATTATTCTTGACTGGTATAATTATAAAAGTGGTTAGCAAGATTAAAATATAATCACACAATATCCCAAATAAAGGGATATTAAAATTTGCCTATTGAAGAACTATCTGGCCTCTCATGTTTATTGCAGATATGGGATATGAGTTCTAGCTCATATTCACATATTCACATAAGTAAATGGATCAAGAAAATGTGGTGTGTATACACGATGGAATATTATTTTGCCATCAAAATGAATGAAATTCTGTCATTTGCAATAACATGGATGGAACTGGAGGATATTATGTTAAGTGTAATAAACCAGGCACAGAAAGACAAGTGTTGCATCTTCTCATATGTGGGAACTAAAAAAAGAAATTGATCTCATGGAGGCAGTGAATAGCATGATGGTTACCAGAGGGTTGGAAGGGTAAAGTGGGTTTCACTAATTGGTAGAAAAATACATTTGCATAGCAATAATAAGATCTAGTGTTTGGTAACACAATAGCGCATCTATAGTTAACAATCATTTATTGTAAATTTCAAAATAACTGGAATAATAGGTTTGGAATATTGCCAACACAAAGAAATGATAAGTGTTTGAACTGATGGTTAGTTCAGTTATCAGATTTGATCATTATACATTGTATGCTTGTGTCACACGTACCCCATAAATATGTACAACTGTATTAATAAATGTTTTAATTGTGGAAAATACAATTATACTGTTCATAAAACTATCCAGTGATTTTTCTACATTGGAAATTCACCAGTTGACACTATGAACAAGACATTGCTTATATTTCTTTTAGTTCTATCTCTATATTTTTTCAATTATTCATCCTTTTAAAATCCATTAATCACCTTATCACCTCCCTACTGCAACTTCTCTTTCATATATATCAGATCTTGCAATTTTAAATCAATATTGAAATTGCTGGCTCAGTATTACATTAATTCATTATCATAAATTATGAGTTTCACATATAAACATTTAGGTCCCACATTTTTCTATGCTCTGGTAAAATGTAAGATGAATGAAATATAATTCTTGGTGACTCAGTTTAAGATTAAAATAGACATTTAAACAGATATTTGCAATATAATGTGGTAAGTGCTATGAAAGAAACATTTATCCCTAACTACAAAAATCTGAGGCTGTCACTTGAACAATAGCTTCCCGGATGGATTGTGAGTATCTCCAGGAGAAATTAATTGATCAGGCAGACAGAAAATAAAGTTCTGTATATCAGAGAGAGGGAGCAACTAAAGCACAGGTACTAGCAGTAAATAATACATATGAGTAGGAAACTTACAAGCAATTTAGTAGAAGTGGAATCCCCAAGGTACAGTGATATGTTGGAGCTGGTTCCCACCAGTTCACAAGATCTTATTGTGTGCATCTCTTCCCAACACTGTCTCCAAGGACAGTAACTTATTAGGCTGGATATTGGCCATGATGAGAGTATTTACATCATGGAAATTGGCAAATACTACAAATCAAGGTTTCCCTCCCTCCCTCCCAACCCGCCTCCTTCCTTCCTTCCTTTTTTCTTTCTTTTTTTTCAATTCCTTCTTCTTCTCCTTTCCTTCCTCTTGGAGAATTGGTTTACAAAAACATTTTAAAAAACATCATTGCTTTAGTAGTAAAATATTTCTAATAAAATTATACACTAAAATGTGTGCAAAAACATACGGAACTATAATTAAGCCACTGTGAGGATGGGCCTGAAAATCTCTATTACTCATAAGTATATGTGATATTCCTATGATCTAAGGATTGGAAAACATTGATAAACAGGATGAAAGGCCACTAGGGAATCAGAGTGTAAAATGAATCTGATGGATTTGTAATGGGAATGAAAATGATGACCAGGAAACCAGTTATTCTTCATGGTTTATATTTTTTTTTTAAAAAAAGAAGCTTTCCTCTTTTCTGGGAGCTTTCAAATTAATTGCTTGAAAAGGTTTGGAAAAGAAAAGGAACACTGCAAAATCAGATGCAGTGCCCAGGTGTTCTCATGGAGAATTTTAGAGGTTGACGAAAAGTAAATAATGTGTCTGAAGGAGAGTAACTTTTATTTTTCCCTAGGTCCTGCAAAGGGCTTTGGCATAGCATGGGGAATGGAAGCACTTATCTTCTTTATTGTATTATAATGGCAATTAGTGGATACTATTGTCAAAATCTGCAATGATTATATTTAATAGAAGGAGAATTTAGAAGAGAGGCATAGAACACCTTTAAATTATGGATACAGAAACTATCTGAGTGAACTATACAATGTATTGCTTAGGCAATGGGGCAAGACTATGCTTAAGTCAGGTTGGTAAAGAGTTATCAACACTTTATAAACTATTGAGATAATGTCTATCAGTAGAACATTGCATTGTCTCACCACTTAACTTTCACAACTTTGTCTTCTTTGAACTATTTAATTTCTTATTATGATCTTGAGTGCTTGGCAGCTAGATGTATATAAAATGACATAATGGACTTTTTATGGGCTATTCAACTAGTGATCTTTGAACTCATATTGCTAAGTAGTCTGCAGAAAATAAGCCATTTTAGCACAATTTTTAAAGCAATCTGCATTTCAAACCACCCTGATAGCGTATTTTTTGGTTCTAGTAAGATATTACACATTGTTAAACTTTAAAATATGATATGAGACTCTGTCAAGTTTAGAAAGGAGCAATTATATTCCTTTCAGGTCACCAATCATAAATTTCATGATTGAATTCTGGTATATTACCTTTCCCACACTCATTTTGGTTGTACTCTGGAAGTCTGGAAGATTCAATTTAAGTAAACTGTTAATATAAGTATAGTCTACATGAATTATTTTAAATATTAAAGCCATAGTTTCAAGAACCCTTGTATAGGTAAGCATGAGGATGTGAAGTACCAGCTGACAACTGTATTTGTCCTTAAAAATACCAAGTTTCTGAGTGTCTGTAGTAGTAGAGATGGAGATCCTATGTAGTTTGGAAAACTCTATCTCTTGGTCATCCTCTTTCAGTAAAGGGGGAAAATGAGCCAGAATGATATAACCCTAAACTCCTAGTATCTTGTAAATATCCAGAACTGGACTGGGACAAATCATGTTAAGAGCTGTAAAAGTTCTGAGATCTTCCCTACTTGCAAGCTAACAAATTGTCCTGCCACTTTTTCATAAATGCTGGCAGAAAACACAGGGATCCTGCGTCAGAGACAAAAGACTTTATTACTCAGCACACCCAGCAGTATGAGCTTCAAGTTTTGCATCAGTTCCTATTGCACACTGTGATGAACAGACCTTAAGGTGGCCTCTTCTTTCCACAAAGGTTTCTATTTCCTGATGTTTATGTATTTGTGTAATCCCCTTCATTTGGGTATTGGTGACAATTATGACTTACTTGTAACAAATACGATATGGCAAAAACTATGTGATAGCACTTTTATTGTTAGATTATCATATGCATGAGCAATCAGATGTCACTATTATGATTCTATTTCATTAAGTGACACTCTATCTTAGCAGTTTGGAGATTCTTCCAGTAGGCTTGACCAAAAAACAAAACAAAACAAAACAAAACAAAGCAAAACAAAACAAAGCAAAGCAAAACAAAAGGCTTGTTGGAGAATCCATATTTCAAGGAACTGCTTGTGGCCTTTAGAAACTCTTGGTACCCGCTAAATTCCAGCCAACTGCTTATAAAACCTGAGGTTCTCAGTCATACAACTACAAACAACTGCCAATAACCTGAATGAGCTTGATAACAGATTTTTCCTCAGTTAGGCCTGAGAGGAGTGGGGACAATAAAAGCATGTTGTTTTAAACAACTATATTTATGGTCATTTGTTACATGACATAGAAAACACTCTCAAGTCCCATGGGAGCAATGAAGCGGCAGACCCAAGTAGATGCTGCACACATCCTGGGTTTGTGTTGTGGCTGAAGAACTCAGACTAGGAAATTTTAATTTTATATACAGGACCATTAGAAAAATTTGCCCAAACTTTATCACTGGAGGGAAACATTAGCTTGATTATCCCAGACAGTAAACAAATTTTCTTTCTGGCTGTGAGGAAGATACTATCTTAATCCTCTAAGGCTGTTTACTATGCAAATATTCTTGCAAAAACAGTCTAGAAAAACTGCTGTCACAAGTTGCATAGAAATGCCATGGAGAGTAGTTGCCCATAGGGCAGAATTTCTTCCAGTACTCTAGGAGAATTTCCATACAGTTAGCTTTATACAGTTGGTATGGAAGAGACACTGTTAAATCATATCCATGCCAAAAGTTCCAACTGGGGCTAAAAAAATGGTAGACAAATATCTGAACACATATTAGAAAATCATATGAGGTTACCTATGGTTTATCCTTTATAAAACTTTATTTACAGTCACTGTTACTAATATCATACTTAGGTAATATCATACTTTGGTGTAGAGCAAATCTGGGAGTGTACATGAACTTAAAAAATTCATACAAATACAAAGGAAGAAATAAGCCACACACAGAAAGACAAAAAAATACTTCCTGATCTTACTTATATGTACAATCTAGAAAATGTTAAACTTACAGTAACAGATGATAAAATGGTAGTTACCAAGACCTGAGGAGTGGGAGAAAAGGGGAGATATTGCTCAAAAAGTACAAATTTTTAGTTATAAGATGAATAAGGTCTGGAGATCGAATGGACTGCACGGTCACTAATAATGTATTTTATACTTGAAATTTGCTAAGAGAGTAGATCCCCATATACGCATACACAAAAGGTAGCAATGTGAGGTGATGGTATGTTAACTAGCTCAATCGTGGTAATAATTTCACAATGTATATGTATATCAAAATGTGTTGTATACCTTCCATATATATCATTTTGATTTGTCAATCATACCTCAACAAAGCTGAAAAAAAGATAAAGGACAAATTTTCTGCTTTAACTGCTTTAAATATAAAGAAGACATAAATATCATTTCTTTTTTATTACTCAAAATACTGGTATTTTAGGATAAATAAACTTAAGAATCTGAAAATACTACCTAACATTAATACAATTTAATTGATTAATTTCAAATAATACATTTGATACTATAGTTTTTTTAGTTTTTAATATTTGTAATACAGAGAATAGTGGTTTCATACATGCATGACAGGTGAACTTAAATTCTAGGGTGTTTGATTTTGAAGGCTGAAACATCAGATAAATGAGCATTTGTTGATTGAGGAGTATTAGCTCAAGATACAGCATTTAACATCCCAACAAGGGTCTCAGGAGATGATGTGAATTCTATGTAAATTACTTTTAAAAGGATGAAAAAAGTGATGGTCAAAATAAGTGAGTGCTTAAGAATGATATCACTCAACTTTTACACCAAGAAGACATTTTGAAAACATGATTATCTGGAAACTGAAGGAAGTTGCTTTATTAAAAAGTTAGAATTGTTTTCCTAGTTTCTGAATTTGAGCCACTATTTGATTCAGAACTCACTTGTTAAAGAGGATGGTAGGTCCTTTGGGAGAAAGATTCTGCAACAGCATGGGAAATGTTAAAGATAACGATTCACCTACTTTTTGCCCAGCCATTTTAGTCAAGTTAATGTACACTGGGAAAAGAGAGATATCCAAACATTTTGAGTTCTTGTGAACACTGACATCCAGAGACTAGAAGCATCAGTATGTCTCCTCTTTAAATGTGTTGCATATGTAGGTTAATTAATACCTAGATCACTGGATAATATGCAGCTCATATTAATTCCACAGACCAAACCAAATCTGCTAAGGTAAAGATAGATATACTTGATTGCTAGTGCAACCTTCACAATAAGTTCTTGGTCTATGAGGTAATAACTATTATGGTGGGAAGCCCAAATAGGAGCCCCTGAAACTGCAGTTCCCATCCTAAATAAGATAATCAGCAAAAGTATCACATTCTAGGAGAGGAAGGTAGAAACTTGCATCACTCTTAAACTAGCACCATTTGAAGTGTTGATTTCTTTCAATTGTCCATTTAATTCACCAATATTTCCTTAACAGAAACCTGGAGGGATTCTAGAGGATGACCTCGCACTACCACAAACTCAGTTAGTAGCACCCCCAGTGCAGTTGCAATGGTCAGACATGGTACTTGTGCTAGAGCTGAGTTACATGGCCAAAATTCATGACAGCCATCAATAATAGCAAATATGCTATTTTTATCCATATTAAAAAGAGGCTTATAAACAGTGTTTATTAATTTGAGTGGATGTGGTATTTATTTACAGTTTTTTTCAGGTCTATGTTCACTCTTGTGTTCTTTAATATGACACTTCCAAATATTTGGAATTTTGCTATTTTTGGTATATTGGTATTTGCCCACATATGTAGATTGCCCAAAAAATAAAAGGTAAAAAATGCCATCCATTGCATAGAGGACATCTTGCTAATGGAATGGGATGAACAAAAGTACCTAACAATTTGAAGGCTTTGGTAAGACACATATTCCAGGGAGTGGAAGACAAATTCTATGAATTTTTAGGGACTATGTTATCAGTAAAATTTTTAAGGGCCTATTGACCAGAGGTTTTCCAGGATATCCACCCCATCTAAAGTAAAAGCATTCTGCATTTCTTTGCAAGCAATCCTGCAACTTGGACCAAAGAACCTGACAATTCTTATCTTATTAGGTCTATTAGTGAAGTTTATGGCAAGTGTCTGTGGGAAAAATCACAAAGCAATTACTGAGGAATCTAAATCAAGGTCATTTGATTTGTAGCAGAAATATACACCTATTGAAAAACAACTCTAGTGAGCCCAGGAAAGAAGTAGCTGAATATGGAAAACGTGATATGTGTCTGGAACTGTCCATAATAAGCTGGGTTCTAAAAGATGCTCTAACTGATATAATTGGTCAAGTTCAGCAAAAATCCACCATCAGTGTGAAGTAGTATAACCAGAATTAAGTATGACCAGGAAAAAGGATGCAAACAAACTTATTGAATGGGTAGCACAGAACCCATGCCATCAACAACTTAAGCATCATTGCCGCTTGCTCAGCACACATCTAAGGCTGTATTTGGAATTCCATACATTGAGCTGATGAAGCAGAAAAAAAGCCTGAGCTGGATTCCTGGATAGTTTCTCTCAGCAAGTTAATATAAGCCAAAAATGGATAGCAGCTACACTAAAAAGCCTAATTCAAGGGTGGCCTTGAAAAACTTTATAAGAGAAGTTCTCCCAGTGGGTAGACTTTCAGGCAGTACACGTGGTCTTCCAATTTGTTTGGGAGTAGTTTGAAGTTAGAATATATACTGCCTTGTGAACATGAATAATCACCTGATCTACTACTCAGGGACCTAGGTTGAGAAAAATTGGAAGCCTGGGGACAAAGAAGCTTTACATAGAAGCCTGTGAATGGACACATAGGAGTGGGGAGAAAGTGTAAAGGTTTTTGTATCATATTAACACCCACCAGAAAGCATTCATCACAAAAGGTGACACTAAACCACCAATTAAGCAAAACTATTTTGTCACCTGTTTATTTCAGCAAGTCTCTTTCATCAGCCACCCAGTCCTGGAACCTTAGGTCTGCCACCATGACCACTCCATTAATATGGTCAGGGTGGCAGAGATGTCATTTCAATGGCCTGATAATATGGGCTCCCACTTAAAGCTAATCAAGCTATTGCAGTGCTGAGTGCTCAACCTGTCAGCAGTAGAAATGCTAAGTCTGCAACGTGGCACAAACCACTGAGGAGACAAACAAGCCACTCTGCTAAGTTGACAACATAAATCTCCTTCCACCCTTCAGGCTAGAGTTCACTCAGACAAGAATAGAGACATATTATGGACATGGATTTGGTTTATCTGCCCACAGGACCTCAACCAACACCACTGCAGGAGAGGGCTTATAGCGTATTTGATCTAATGGTATGGGATGACAAAAAATATTGCTTCCAACAATGATATGATTTTGTCTGAAAGGATATATGTGAATGAGCCATGACTCCAGGTCAACTTATTAAGTCACGTGACCTAGAAGCTGTTGTTCTGATAGAAAATTGGAATGGTATTCTGATGGCAAAGCTGAACTGGCAACTCAGAAGTGAGACCTTAAGAGGACTGGAAACCATCTTCCAAGATGCAATATACACTTTGAAGTGAAGATATTTATATGAGTCTATGTCATCTTTAGGGGAAATTTATAGAGAAGACATCCACATGGAAAAAGACAAGCCAAAGTGACCATAATTTCCAATAGTCTCTGGAAGAATACAGACAGATGTTGCTTAAAGATGGGGATGCATTCTGATAAATATATCTTAAGACAATTTTGTCATCATGCAAACATTATAGAGTACACTCACACAAACTTAGGTGGTGTAGTCTCCTACACACATAAGCTATTTAGTATAGCTTCTTACTTCTGAACTACAAACTTGTACAGCATGTTACTGTGCTGAATACTGTAGGTAACTGTAACACAATGGTAAGCATTTGCATATCTAATCATATCTAGGTATAAAAAATGTTCATAAACATACAGTATGCACATATAATCCCATAAGATTATAATCTTATGGGACCACCGTTGTATATGCAGTTTGTCGTTGACCAAAACATCATTATGTAGCACATGAATGTATTTACTTCCTATCCCGGAACATCTAGGCTCTACGGGATTAGAAATTTTAGTTCTCAATGGGGGAAACACTCCAGCAAGGGAAACAGCAAGTCATATTGAAATCTAGGAGACTAATCCTGTTTGGTGAGGAATTCAGCTTCAGGCTAAAATCTGGTATGATTTTTCAGACAGGCAATTAAATAGTCTGCCTATTAGGTGTCATGTGAGAAATCTGTCCCATCCACTGTAGATGTAGTGCAAGGCCACAGCCTTCCAGTGTTCTGGAGGGAGTGCTGCCAAGGACCCAGACCCCCTCCCCAGGCCAGTCATGCTTATATACATATCTGCATACCTAGGCCAGGCACCACCATTGTAAGGGCTCTTTATTAGGTGGCCTGAGCTGAGGCTTTTTTGCTTTACCTCCTCATCAGGAGCTCTTGACTAAGATATTTCTCCACTCTGACTCAATTCCCCTATCTGTGCTGATCCACCTGACTCTCACTGGGTTCTGTTCCATAGGGGAAAATGGAACATTGAGAAGCCAGTGCTTATTTTGTCTCTTGCTTACACAGTCAGAGCAAGTAACCAAATACTTGATGGTTACTTTAGTTTGACTCATTGTTCTAATTGAGCATCCTGACTCTTGGGTCAAGACTTCATATAAGGGACCAGAAGGCAATAAAAGGAGTCACCAATCTGTCATGGATAATTGACCCAGATCATCAGCAGGAGGTGGGCCTACTGGGCACCTAGATAACTCACTGCATGTCTTTTCATACACCTTTGCCCAATTCTGAAATTGGGCAAACTGAAATTCTGAAATTGATAAGTGAATTAATCCTCCAAGGTGACCCCTTGGAGATGAAGGTCTGTGTCATGCTAACAGGAAATACTACAAGACTGGCAATAGGTGCTAGCTGATGGGGAGCAGACTCCGGAATAGATAAGAGTGAAAGAAGACAAATATCTGTTGCCACATCGAGGCATTGGGGACTGTACTTTTCTTACTAACCTCCCACTTCTAAGATTCTCTTAGCTCCCCTGGGGTGAAGGAAAAAAAAAGATTCTCCATGAAGACAGGCCAATCTGATACCTGGAAGAACTGCCATCAAAATGCATATGAAATGGATCCAACATTACAAAGGGTGAACTGTAGTGGACACTATCATGTACCCTAAATTCCAGTTAAAGGAAGGAGTGAGAGTCCTGATGGGATTGGTGTTGGAAGGTGGTCCTCTACTCTCAGCTCCTTTAGGGAGTGCCTCTCCTATGGAGAGTTGGCTCTTTCAAGTCACACTGACACCACAACAGCCCATATTCAGTGATTGATCTAGGAACAATATAAGCGTCTGACTGTTTTGGTCCCAAATAGGAAAATTCTGATGGTTCATTCTAGATCTGAAGATGACTATAGATTTGCTCTCAAGACTTATCCCTCTGCATAATCCAGCTTCTTTCCCCTACATTCTGTAGTCATTGATTCCAAGCACACTCACTGAGTCTGCACAGCAAACTCCAATGTGTGCCTGATACCTGACTACCCACCTGTGCCATTACTTATTTAGAAATATGAAAAGTCTGATGACTCATAGGCTGAGAGTGTAATCTACCTTAGTCTAGTTATATTTTCCAAATTCACTTAAATGTCAAATATTGAAATACTTAGATATAAGATTGATAGTGGAATTGCATTTACACTTAATACTATAACAAAATGTTTCATGTGTTTGCTTCTGAAAAAATTTGCGCTATGACTATATGAGAACATATATGAACCAATCTGAAAATAGAATTAAATATATTTCCTTGGATTATATATTTGTATAATACTCAAAGTTTCTAGTTTATCTTTTCATAAATGGCAGTTATACTTGTTTATTGAAATGATGAGTTCCAGAAATTTGCTGCAGAACAAATTAATTGCAAATGAAACATGCTTTTGCATTATTAAAATGTTATTCCACTCGGGACCAAGTTTTGCCTGTGGAAAAAAATAAACTTATACTTTACATTTTTTGGTAAATCAAATAAATACAAATTTTAGGAGATGCCGGCATGGCAACACACTTGTATTGTCACACACACAAACAACAGTGAAAATGAAAACACTTATAACTGCCTTATTTGTGTCATTTTAATGATGAAACAGCCTGCAGTTCAGATATTCACAAAATAATCATAATTATATGTAATATATAACATATTTATGTATTAAATATAATTAATCATATAAATATAATTATATTATAATTAGAAAGTATAATTATAATCATGTTATAATTACAATTCATCATAATATGAGTCTTGGCTAATATACAAATTCCCAGGTCTCAAGTTATAGACCTACTGGGAATCTGTGTCTTTAATAAGAAACCAAGGTAATTCTTACGTGGAGAAGAGGTTTCTCATTTCCCCATGGCTCCTTGCTATGACAGTCTAGAATTCCACTACTTCCATTCTCCCTTAAGATGATGTTAGTCCCAGTGCTGGGGCCTGAGTAGAAAGGTGACTCAAGGATAATGCCAAATTGTTCTTTTTTCTGTCCCCAAACTGAATTACCCACCATAGTTCACCAGTGTAAATGTGCTATATGTGCAGTAGCCTTTCCTGAAATTGGAGAATTAAAAAGAGAATTATAATTTAGGGGGAAAAGTCTTCAAAATATGTTCCAAACAGACTGCTAAAAATTGGTTCCTCACTATTACCCTTTATTCCTCAGGGTAAACTTATCAGAGGTGAGGTGAAGGAATGTGTAAATAAAACTTGTACATTTGCCTACTAATAATAGTGCCTTATTTAAGAATTTGCTTTCCAAATGCAACAAAAGCAAAGATAAATAGATGTGACTTAACTAAACTAAAAAGCTTCTGCACAGCAAAAGAAACAATCAGCAGAGTTAACAGACAAGCCACAGAATGGGAGAAAACCTTCACAATCTAGAAATTCGACAAAGGACTAATATCTAGAATCTACAAGGAACTCAAACAAATTAGAAAGAAAAAAAAACAATTCCATCAAAAATTGGGCTAAGGACATAAATAGACAATTCTCAAAAAAAGATATACAAATGGCCAAAAATCATACAGAAAAATGCTCAACATCACTAATTGTCAGGGGCAAGTCAAAACCACAATGCCATACCACCTCACTCCTGTAAGAATGACCATAATCAAAAAAAAAATTAAAAATAGATGTTGGTGTGCATGTGGAGAAAAGGGAACACTTTTACATTGTTGGTGGGAATGTAAACTAGTACAACCACCATGGAATCTCCATGTGGAGATTCCTTAAAGAACTAAAAGTAGATCTACCATTTGATCCAGCAATCCCACTACTAGGTATCTACCCAGAGGAAAAGATGTTACTGTGTGAAAAAGATACTTGCATACACATGTTTATAGCAGCACAATTTGCAATTGCAAAAATATGGAACCAGCCCAAATGCCCATTAATCAATGAGTGGATAAAGAAAATGTGATATATATATATATATATATATATATATATATATATATATATATATATATATTCCATTATATATATATTCCATTATATATATATTCCATTTTATATATATTCCATTTTTTATATATATTCCATTTTATATAGATATCTTCCATTTATATATATATATATATAAAATGGAATAATAGGCATAAAAAGGAATGAAATAATGGCATTCGCAGCAACCTGGATGGAATTGGAGACCATTATTCTAATTATTCTAAGTTAACTAACTCAGGAATGGAAATCCAAACATCGTATGGTCTCACTCATAACAGGGACCTAAGGTATGAAGACGCAAGGGTATAAGAATGATACGATGGACTTTGGGGACTTGGGGGAAAGGGTGGGAGGGGAGTGAGAGATAAAAGACTACACACTGTGTACAATGTACACTGCTTGGGTGATGGGTACATCAAATCTCAGAAATCACTGCTAAAGAACTTATTCATGTAACCAAACATCACCTGTTCCTGCAAAACCAACTGAAATAAAAAATGCATTAAAAAAAAGTTCAAAGTATTTGACATAAAGGTTATATGTCATAAATATTTCAGGATAAAAATATCATTTTAAATAGAATTATATTTAGTAAATTTTTATATATTCAAATTTAAAAACAACTACTCAATTTAAAGCAGCTCTATTTATTTTGAATATTAATCACCTCATTACACATATGTAAACCAGTTTTTAAGATACACATGCTAATGAAACCACACAGGCAAGAAATACTTAGGAAATTATAAATATGTATAAAATGAACAATTACTTATTTTTTGCCTCTAGCATGGTTTGATACGGCCTCTTCAGATTAAGGAAGTACAGATTTCCAATAACTAGCAAAGGCCTGGGTCCTGGAGGAGAGTTACTTGGAAGCTTTAGTCATAAATTTTTTAATATTTAAAATAAAAATAAGAATCAGGACCAGAATTGGAAGTATAGCAGAAGCATCCAACTCATTCATTACCTTTAAGTTGAATTATTAAAACAATAGATATCATTGTGATTGCAATTAAACAAAATTAGCAGCTTCCAATGCAAGTCACAGACATGAAGATGTTGCTAATAGTCTCTTTGCTGTACTCTATAGTCTATCATCTGTTTTATAATTAAAGTGAATTAAACCTTAAAAAAATAAAAAATGTGCTCTCCCATCTTTTCATTGCTTTCTGTCTCTACTTGCTAGAGAAACTCCCCTCTTCAATCTTCCATATTTTGATTTTTTCTCCCTAAGTTGAAAAACTTTAGGAGTTTGTCTGGACATCTACTTCATTCACTTTTGCCTACCAAGATTATTAACATACACTACAGTCTATAACAGTATGTGACTCCATCTCTGTGCTATTCAAAGCTTGTAGTGTGTAGAGTAGAAAGGTACTTACACATAGACAGAGAATGTTTATCCAATTGACTAATCATTATCTTACATGCAGCTTGTATATTTGAAGTCCTACATAAGGGTTGCAAACTAAATTTAGCTTTTTGTTTTGTTTTGTTTAGTTATGACCATACAATTAAAACAAACACATGAATAATAGTTGTCAATCTTTTTCAGCAATAAAACGATGGAAAATTTTCTAAGAAAATGGAAATATCTTCACTCTCATTGTACAGCCATAGTGTTTGGCACACTGATGGGCACCTATTAGGAATTTGGCTGGTGAAGAAAATAATGCAGACTACACAATAAATAAGATGAATGGAGCAAAGAGATTAGAGAAGTAGAGAACAACTTCAAAAAGTCAATTTGAAGACATAATCAAGTATAGAAAATAAGAAATTTTCCTAGATGAGGGCATTTATAATCTGCAGATAGAAAGAACACGCTGTAATTATGACAAAGAATCAACATAGGCATGCTTCCAGGTGAAATTCACAATTAAGAAATAATCTTATGGCCAGTAAGACATAAATTGCAGGTCACCACTAAGGGGAATAAATCAAGTTAATTTAATTCTTCCACAACAATATTCAAAGGCTTTGTAACATCTACCAATATCTGAGGAGAAATATAAGTGTTACTCTAGAAATTTACACCCATCCAAGTTTAATGAAAGCAGAAAAACAATGAAAATGCAAGGTATACACAAAAGGACTCCAAAGTTATAACAGCTAAGAGCTCTTCTTGAGGATGGAGGAAAGAAAATACTACTTGATAATCAAATATATACAACATAAAATTTAAAAAGTAAACAAAGAAGTTGGAATAAAGGAAGATATTACATGAAAGAATAGTGGGAACCATTTGTTTAGTTAAACATAGATGTAAAGCTAAACATCTGCAGACTGAAAGAACACACTGTTATTATGACAAAGAATAATCATATTCTCTGTGGTGCCTTGTAATTATTTAATTGAATGAAAGTGTTCTAAGTTTAAAAGAAAAAATACATTAAGAAAAAAATTATAGCAAAAACATAATGCACCAGAAAAGTGCAAGAACATTTTAGTAAAAATAAGGGATTAGAGATAGATTTCATGGCAGTAGGAAAGAGAATGCTTTTATCATTTTTTATTGGGTGTTAAAAGGTATGATTTCATCTTTAAAGAAATATATCAGTAAGAATAGTCAATATATTTTCTTATTTTAAATAAAGAACTTTGTTTCACCTAAACATATTTAGCTGAATAGTTGAGTATCATACTTAATGATGAACCCCTCGAAATAGTTTGATTACTGTCGGGAAAAATCCAAGCATATTGATGATCTTGAATAGTACTTAACATTGTTCTGGAAGTACTGACAAACACAATAAGACGTTTTTTAAAAAAAGAAAACACACCTTAAAGGAGGAAGAAAAAATATTATTTAAGGGTATTATACCTTGAGACACCAATAGACTCAGCTGAGAAACTACTAAAAAGAGGAACAAAATTCAGAAATTTGATCGATTTTTAACATGAACTTACAAAAAATTAACACCAGTTAAAATCAAGTAAAATAAAATATAAGAAAACATCATTCAGAATAAAAATTTAAAAAAAAATGGAATATAAAGATAAAACCTAATAAGAAACATATAGTATCTAAAGGAAAAAAATCAACTGAGAGGTAAAAAGTGCTTTAATAAATAAAGCCGTATCTTTTCTTAAGTGAAAAATAACCAAAATGTTAAGGACTCCAATGGTTGCTAATAGTGTTTCCAGTTCTCCCCAAATTAACAAATAAAAGCAATAAGTGAAGCTAACTGACAAAATATATATTATTCTTACTATGCACAAAAATTCTGATGTTAATTTAGAAGAATAATCGTGATTTTTTAGCCAATAAAAGTGGAACACTGGTACATTAGTTTCTCATTGCTGCTGCAAAAAATTACCACTAAGTTAGGGGCTAAAACAATACAAACTTATTAGCTCACCATTCTGCAGGTCACAAGATCAACATATATCTCTCTGGAATGGCTATGTTCTGAAGTTTGTGTCTTTCCCCAATTCATATGTTGAAAACCCAGTCACCAATGTGGTGGTAGGAGGAGGTGGGGCCTTAGGGGTGATAATTAGATTGTAAAGACCAAACTCTCACAAATGGGCTTAGTGCCCTTATAAAATAGGTCCCAAGAGTTGTTAGTCCCACTTACCATGTGAAATGCAATGAGAAGTTACCTATGAATCAGGAAACAGGCCCTCACCAGAGACCAAATCTGCTAGTACCTTGATCGTGTACTTCCCAATCTCTAGAACTATAGGAATAAATTTCTATTGTGTACAAGCCAACCAGTTTATGGTACTTTGTTATTGAAGCACAAATGGACAAAAAACAAGGCTTAAAGTCAAGGTATCAGCTTGGGTACATTCCTTTCTGAAGGCTCTAGATGGAAATCTGTTTTCTTGCCTTTTCCAGTTTCCAGAGGCTCTCTGCTTTCCTTGGATTATGGTCCCTTCCCTCCATCTTTAAAAAGCCAGCAATAGCTGGTTGGCTCTTCTAACATCACATTATGCTGAACCTCTCCTCTGTCCCCTTCTTCCACATTTAAGGACCCTGGTGCTTACACTGACCCAACTAGAAAGTTCAGGAAAATCTCTCTTTTTAAAATCCAGCTGATCTGCAATATTAATTTTAGGTTCAAGCTTAATTCCCCTTTGCCATGTAGCCTAACATATTTACAAGTTCCATGAATTAAAGCATGCATATCCTTGGGAGCACATTATTCTATTTTCCATAACTAAGTAATTTCATTCACTGTTTCTTCATGTTTCCCCTCTATTAACTTCCCCACCCCTGCCCCCAGTTTTCCTTAGTAAGGTCAAAAAGATCATGTGTAAAACTTCATAAACTATGAAGCACTAAGATAACATATAATCAATATTCTGATTGTAGAATTGACATATTCATTTATTCCACATCAGTGATAATCACTTCCATTTGCATTACTCCTGTAGCATATGCCAACAAGTGTATCAAGCATAGCAGCCAGAAAATAAACAACTAAATATGTTTATTTTGTGGTCAGATGAATAAAAAGCGGTGTCCTAATTTGCTAGGACAATATCTCATTAAACTATACTAAACTTCCTTTCAATCAAATGAGTTACAGAAAATAAATTCAAAGTTTTTTCAAATGTAATACCATGCAACTCTATCCCATTAAATAAATACACTGATCTTTGGTATATAACTGATCAATATTAATATGCAGAAATCATATTTCTCAATATATTAAGCATACCTTCTTAAAAATTAACACAGTGCAATTATTTGTAAAATAGTAAGTCAATTGGATAAATAAGTCAATAAAAATTAAGATCCAACACATGTTAAAGCTTAAAGTTAAGAAATTTTGCATTTATGCACTTTTTATCAATAATGTGTGATAGAGAATCTTACCTAACTATATTTACATATGTCCCACAGAGATTGGTTTAATGCCTTTACATTTTAAATAAAATGATTTCAATGGTTTAATTTCACTTCAATTCTGTTGTGTGAAAGTTATCATCTGCACATTACTCTGAAATTGATATCCTTTTCCAAAGTTAGAATGCCAGAAATATACAGACTGACTAAAGTCCTTTCTTTTTTCCAAAGAATATGTAGAAAGATGTAATCACCCTGATTGTTCATCTAGCCTGCTGTTTTGACCTGCTGTCAGGTTATTCAGTAATATTAACTTACTGACACAAAGCAAGCATTTTGAAAAACAGTATGTCATATTTCTGAATGAACTCATAAAATTACATTTCTCAATTCCCCCCCCACAGAAAACAGTGAAGTTATGTTGACGATAAAATGAAAAACTGCCTGAAGATCAATTTCATATTTTAGTCACTGCTTATCAAAATTCTTTTTATAACCATATAATTAGTTTTGAAGATTCCCTTGTTACATATTTCATCACTGAAGTAAAATATTGCAAAAGAGTAAAGTCTTAAAGAAAAATATTAAGAAAGAATGCAAGGAAATAAAGGAGGAAGAAAGGAAGGACAGAAGGAAGTGATGAAGGAGAGAGAAAGAAAGGGAGGAAGAAAGACGCAAACTTTTAAACTTCCTATTGCTCTAATGCTTCGTGATAAGAGTACAAGTCTCTCAAGTTTTAGAGCAGGCAATATTTCTCAAATCTCTAAAATCAAATTTTAGAAATTATTTCCTTTGGTGTGCTAAATGTTACCCAATTCCCTCAAAAAAATCAACGAGTGGAACACATACTTGTGTATCTCTATCTCTGGTTGATTTAAAAGTACTAAAAGAAATAATCCTTTTTTAAAAAACTACTTTCTTTATGGTCAGACAAAATTAACTTACATAAAACCATTGAAAAATCAATGGGATTTTAAAAGAATTCCAAGCACCAAATTGTGTGTTTCATGCTTTAACTGCTACCAAATTCAGAAAAGAGATAAATTCCTTTAGAATGGTTTATTCAAATACATTTTTTACACAAAAAAGTGAGGTTTGTCTGACATTTCTAAAAATTTGGTAGCACTTGAGTTGGTAAAGAGGAGACAGAAATGTTTTCCATGTATATGAAATGAGAAAGGCCATTCCCCTCTGGCAAAATGACAGTACAGCGCTAAACTAATTTCTTTATGATGTACCCCAATATCTTAAAATTAAATAACTGATTGAGTTTCTGGTAGGAATTGGAAGCTTTGTGTGTGTGTGTGTGTGTGTGTGTGTGTGTGTGTGTGTGTGTGTGTGTGTGTGTGTGTGTGATGGAGATCTGCAGCCATTCTCACCTTTAGTATGCCTTATGGCATCTTTCATTCAAATTCAGGTAGAATTTCATTATAGTAAATGTCCCTTAAGGGGACAGAGGTTATATAAGATCTATTGTTTTGGTTCTATATGGAATTATTTCTGTGACTTGTTGTAATATTGCTTTTTGATTCTGTGCAATAAATAATAATATATAACAAATATTTTCTTAGCCTTTTTCCATGCCACAATATCTGTGAGGAAAAAGGATCCGACTTATGCTGCTTAGGATGTAATTTTAAAATAATGTATCAGCAACTGCAAATGTATTAAATCAGCAACAATAAAATTAACATAGATAATTAGAAAATTACTTGGGTTTGCGTTCATCCTTGCTCATCTCAAAGGCAAAGCATCTAAAGCAAAAGAAAATTAATTTATTTTAATAATTGCCCCAGGAGGGACAGAGTCCTGCTGCCATTTACTGAAGAAAATGTATGGAAGAGGAAGGCTAAATGGCATCTATTCCCCTTTCTATAGTATAAGAAAGGAAATTTTCAATGAAGATGAATCAAATAAAAATAAGCTCTTAAATTTGTCTATTGTCCTTTGTAAATCATTTTTATTCAAGTACCTGCTTAAAAACTTGAAATTACAATAGTATATGACAAGAAGATTTTCTTCTTGGCTATAAACCTCATTTTGCAGTTTGCTTTTGCACTTTTAACAAAAGTTCTACAAACATAAAATAAACCTCAGTACCACTGATTAGATAAAATACCATTATGATGAGTATATACAAAAACAAACTAAGTCAAGTCAAAAAATAGAAATATGTTTGAACTTAGTGAAATTTTACAAAATTAATAGAGCTAGTATTAATAGTATTACTCTGGGGCAGTATTACTACCAGAGTACTACTCTAGCTAGTGTTAACCTATCCAAAAATTATATTTACAGTAAAATAATTTTCAAGAATCTTGGTCTCAGCTTTAAAACTGGAATTATGATATACACAATGCATTGTTAGAAAAAAGAAATTACTTTCTCTCTATTTAACCTGTTCACAAAAGTTACCCTTGAAGAAATAGTTTTAATTCACATTTTTTTAAAGTAAAGGGTAAATAAATGTCAGTGTAAAAGAAACCTCTTTGCAAAGCTTAATGAAGAAAAATAGGGATTTTTATGGCTGCAAAGTGTTCTATGGTGTATATGTATCACATTTTCTTTTTCCAGTCTACCAGTGAGGGGCAATTAGGTTGACTGCATGTCTTTGCTATTGTGAATAGTGCTGCAATGAACATACAGATGCATGTGTCTATGACAGAACCGAACATACAGATGCATGTGTCTATGACAGAACCATTTATATTCCTTCGGGGTGTATACCCAGTACTGGGACTGCTGGGTCACAAGGTATTTCTGTTTTTAGGTTTTCGAGGAATCGCCACACCTCTTTTTGTTGTTGTCAGGAACTGTTCTAGGAATATAGTGGTCAGTAGGGCAGACAAAGCCCCTACCCTCAAAGAGCTTTCAGAATGTAATGCAATGAGCCAGGCTCAGTGGCTCTCCTGTAATCCCAGCACTTTGGGAGGCCGAGGTGGGCAGATCACCTGAGGTCAGGAGTTCGAGAACAGCCTGGCTAACATGGCAAAACCCTGTCTCTACTAAAAATACAAAAAAAATTAGACGGGCATGGTGGCATGTGCCTGTAGTCCCAGCTACTCGGGAGGCTGAGGCAGGAGAATTGCTTGAACCTGGGAGGCGGAGGTTGCAGTGAGCCGAGATTGTGCCACTGCACTCCAGCTTGGGGGACAGAGCAAGACTCTGTCTCAGAAAAAAAAAAAAAATGTCATGCAATGAGAAATGTAGGCAGAAACCTGTGCTCACATTTTGCTTCTTTAGGTTACGCTGTTAATGGAATTAATGGATCAAAGGATATAGGATCATGTCACTAAATTGTTCCCCAGTAAGGATATAGCAATTTACATTCCCAGCAGCAGTCTGTGTTTTATCATTTTCTTAAATCTTTGAAAATTATTTTACTTTGTTTTAATCACTGAATTAAACATTTTTCTCTTGTCTTGCTAAAAAAAAAATAAATAAAAAAAATAAAATTCTCAATAAGCTAGGTATTGAAGAAACATACCTCAAGATAATAAGAGCCATCTAGACAAACCCACAGCCAACATCCTCCTGAATGGGGAAAAGCTGGCAGCATTCCCCTTGGAAACTGACACAAGACAAAGATGCCCACTCTCACCACTCCTATTCAAAGTAGTATTGGAAGTCCTGGCCAGAGCATTCCGGCAAGAAAAAGAAATAAAGGGCATCCAAATAAGAAGAGAGGAAGTTAAACTATTCCTGTTTGCAGATGACATAATTCTGTATCTAGAAAATCCCACAGTCTTGGCTCAAGAGCTTCTTAAGCTGATAAACCACTTCAGCAAAGTCTCAGGAAGAAAATCTAGAACTTAAAGTATATTAAAAAAAATTTGAATGGTTACCTATGGAAAGACATCTGGTAAGTGGCAAAGCCAGGACTCCAAAGCAAGAATTCTCAATATATAGCAGCCGTGTATTTACTTATGTGTTAATTTTGTGATAAGTTCAGTTCTGTAACCTGCTAAATAAGAGATGAAAGTAAAATTGTTCTAATTTCTGCCAATAAAATATTAAGACTTTTATAATGTGTTATTTATCTCTAAGGGGCTGTGCATAGAATGTATCTTTATTGTTTACTATTCTAATTTACAAATTCGATGAATTTTTTTGGGGGGGCGGGGAAGGGAGTCTCGCTCTGTCGCCCAGGATGGAGTGCAGTAGCGCCATCTCGGCTCACTGCAAGCTCTCCCGCCCGGGTTCACGCCATTTTCCTGCCTCAGCCTCTCTGAGTAGCTGGGGCTACAAGCGCCCGCCACCACTCCCAGCTAATTTTTTGTATTTTTAGTAGAGACGGGGTTTCACTGTGTTAGCCAGGATGGTCTGGATCTCCTGACCTCGTGATCCGCCCGCCTCGGCCTCCCAAAGTGCTGGGATTACAAGCGTGAGCCACAGGGCCTGGACACAAATTGGATGAATTTAAAGTAATTTTTGATTATCACATTCAAATATACTGTTATTATAAGAAAAAACAAGTAAAACCTCAAAATAATTAATGCCATTAAATACTCATCAGTTGATAAACGATTTCAAAATATTCTCTTATTGCTTTACTAAATTTACTTTTCTGACCCAGTATCAAACACGTTTAAAAGAAAAATTATATTTTCCTGTCTTTTTCCCAAACAGTAATGGGATCAGACAAAAATAACTTAGCTACACATACCAATAAATATATTACTGAAATTCAAGATGATGAGCAAACTAAACAGTTGTCTTTTTATTTTATTTTATTTTATTATACTTTAAGTTCTAGGGTACATGTGCACAACGTGCAGGCTTGTTACATATATATACATGTGCCACGTTGGTGTGCTGCACCCATTAACTCATCATTTACATGAGGTATGTCTCCTAATGCTTTCCCTCCCCACTTCCCCCACCCCACAACAGGCCCCAGTGTGTGATATTCCCCTTCCTGTGTCCAAGTGTTCTCATTGTTCAATTCCCACCTATGAGTGAGAACATGCAGTGTTTGGTTTTTTGTTCTTGAGATAGTTTGCTGAGAATGATGGTTTCCAGCTTCATCCATGTCCCTACAAAGGACATGAATTCATCCTTTTTTATGGCTGCATAGTATTCCATGGTGTATATGTGCCACATTTTCTTAATCCAGTCTATCATTGATGGACATTTGTGTTGGTTTCAAGTTTTTGCTATTGTGAACAGTGCCGCAATAAACATATGTGTGCATGTGCCTTTAGAGCAGCATGATTTATAATTCTTTGGGTATATACCCAGTAATGGGATGGCTGGGTCAAATGGTATTTCTAGTTCTAGATCCCTAAGGAATCGTCACACTGTCTTCCACAATGTTGAACTAGTTTACAGTCCCACCAACAGTGTAAAGTGTTCCTATTTCTCCACATCCTCTCTAGCACCTGTTGGTTCCTGACTTATTAATGATCGCCATTCTAACTGGTGTGAGATGGTATCTCATTGTGGTTTTGATTTGCATTTCTCTGATGGCCAGTGATGATGAGCATTTTTTCACGTGTCTGTTGGCTGCATAAATGTCTTCTTTTGAGAAGTGTCTGATCATATCCTTCACCCACTTGTTGATGGGGTTGTTTGTTTTTTTCTTGTAAATTTGTTTGAGTTCATTGTAGATTCTGGATATTAGCCCTTTGTCAGATGAGTAGATTGCAAAAATTTTCTCCCATTCTGTAGGTTGCCTGTTCACTCTGATGGTAGTTTCTTTTGCTGTGCAGAAGCTCTTTAGTTTAATTAGATCCCATTTGTCAATTTTGGCTTTTGTTGCCATTGCTTTTGGTGTTTTAGACATGAAGTCCTTGCCCATGCCTATGTCCTGAATGGTACTGCCTGGGTTTTCTTCTAGGGTTTTTATGGTTTTAGGTCTAACATTTAAGTCTTTAATCCATTTTGAATTAATTTTTGTATAAGGTGTAAGGAAGGGATCCAGTTTCAGCTTTCTACATATGACTAGCCAGTTTTCCCAGCACCATTTATTAAATAGGGAATCCTTTCCTCATTTCTTGTTTTTGTCAGGTTTGTCAAAGATCAGATGGTTGTAGATGTGTGGTATTATTTCTGAGGGCTCTGTTCTGTTCCATTGGTCTATATCTCTGTTTTGGTACCAGTACCATGCTGTTTCGGTTACTGTAGCCTTGTAGTATAGTTTGAAGTTAGGTAGCATGATGCCTCCAGCTTTGTTCTTTTGGCTTAGGATTGTCTTGGCAATGCAGGCTCTTTTTTGGTTCCATATGAACTTTAAAGTAGTTTAAAGTTCCGCATTTCCAAGACAATCCTAAGCCAAAAGAACAAGCCCATCAGGGCCCGGTGTGCGATGTTCCCCTCTCTGTGTCCATGTATTCTCACAGTTCAACTCCCACTTAGGAGTGAGAACATACGGTGTTTGGTTTTCGGTTCCTGTGTCAGTTTGCTGAGAATGATGCCTTCCAAGTTCATCCACGTTCCTGCAAAGGACAGGAACTCATCCTTTTTTATGGCTGCCTAGTAATTCCATGGTGTATACGTTCCACAGTTTTCTTATCAATACTCTGCTTCAATATTTAGGCTTTGTTGGAGCCACCAAACCAAAGCTATAAACTCTGTCATAACCTGCCCAATTTCAACCACTTCTCCACCTTATAAGACCCATGAAAAGATGTTCAACATCGTTAGCCTTCAGGTACATGAACATAAAAACCACAATGAGATTTCAAAGCACATTCATTAGGACACTTAAAATATAAAATAGTTATAATACTAAATGCTGATAAGGATGTGGAGAAACTTCAAATCTTTTAAAAATTGCTGATGGAATGATATAGCCATTGCTGAAAATATTTTGAAAGTTTCTTATAAAACTAACCATACTACCCAGAAATGGCACTCATGGCATTTATCTCAGAGACTTCTGTTCATATAAATACCTGTACACTGATATTCGTAGCAACTTTATTTTTAATATCAAAATCTGGGAACAGTCTCATTCTTCAACAGGTGAATAATTAAACAAACTGTGGCACATACATATAGTAGGATTCCACTCATCAGTACAAAGAAGGGAGCTATTCACAACTGCAAAAGTCTAACAGTCATGACAACAAGTGTAGGAACTCTCTGTACTACCTTTGCAACTTGTCTCTAAATCTAGAATGATCCCAGAATAGCAAAATTATTTGAGTGAACACAAATTAAAATATGTCTAGAGTTCTTAAGTGTTTTTTAATTGTAATATCATAAATGTTTTAAGCTGAAAAACACAGTGGAAGTTGGCTAAGATTCTGCTTTTTGTAAGTGAGAAAACTGAGATACAAAGTGATGAAACAGAAAGCTGCAAAGTCACTGTTAATATTTTAATTCGTGGTAACTACCAATTATAGTATTCTAGGTGATAAATTTATTTAAAGATTATTTTAGAACAATTTTTATCTTTGGAAACCAGGATTTATTTATAATTTTAATTATTTAGTTTTTTTCTGGTTTCCTACTTATTAATTTGGTCAAAAATATTTACTGAACACCACATTATATGCCAGCTCTTCTCTGGGCACTGAGGATACGATATCTGACTCAGCATTTTGTAAGCAAATGAGGGCTGGAAAATAGTTGTATTAAATACACAAAACATATAATTGTCACATTATTTACATAAGGAAATAACTAATACTTCTTACAAACAGTTAAGGTATCAACATTTTTCTCCAATAAAGGTGGTTTAAATAAAATGTTAGAAAATCTCATAACTTAATACAAATGATTTACCTAAGGATTTCAGAACCAAAACTGACAGGTGAAAAATAGCCTTAAGATGTCCATCAGTGAAATAATATAATTTAAGTATAAAAAAAGGAATGAACTGTTGGTACACACAACTTGGATGGTTCTCAAGGGCATTACACTAGTGAACAAAGTCCATCTGAAAATATTATATAATGTATTATTCCATTTATACAATATTCTCAATATGACAAAATTATAAAGATTGAAAGCAAATTAGTCAGACATTAGTTGGCAGGAGGAATGGGTGTGCCTATAAAGGTATAGCACGAGGGATCCTTGTGGTGATGGAACACTTCTGTATCTTGACTGTGCTTGAATTCACATGAATCTATACATGTGATAAAAGTGCATAGAATTATACACACACACACACGAGTTTTTATAAGAACTAGTGGAATCTGAATAATGTCTGTAGATAGCACCAATGTCAATTTCTGGTTTTAATATTGCACTACAGTTATCTAGATGGTACCATTAGGACAGATGGATGAAAGGTGCATGTAACCTTTCTGTCTTATTTTTACAAATTCCTGTGAACTTATTTTGTTTCAAAATAAAAAAAACAAAAACAAAAACAAAAACAAAAACAAAAACAAACCAAAAAAATGAAAAACATACACAGTCCAGGCCACACAACCCTATAAACAATCTCCCATTATGTCTATCTGAAGCACTGCTAAGGCTCTATTTATGTGCTGTTCTTTTTTCTCATATAAATCAAATAAATTTACCATTGCTTAATCAGAATGTTATTCTGATGATCTTCTGAGTAGTTAACAACAGATACAGGAAGTATTTATTGAGTCTCTACTGTGTGCAAGGAACTGCAATGCAAAGATAAAATTTAAAAAAAAAGACACTTCTACTTTCATGAAGCTTAGAGTCAAGGAGGAAGAGAAAGTGAAAAATGGATAAATCTACAAATAAATGAATAATTACAAAATATGTTAAGTATCATGAAATAAACAAATACAATATTTTTATTTAGAACAAGGGTTGGCAAACTCCTGTTATATTAAATAAAATTTTATTAGAACACAGCCACATTCATTAGTTTCCATATTGTCTATGGCCACTTTCATGCTATGAAAATAGAATTGAGTAATTGAAACAGAGATGTATGCCGCAAAAAGCCTGAAATTTTTACTAAGGATAAAGTTATTTTGAGTCTCAAGCAAGGCCTCAGTGCTCTTTTTCTTCTTCTTTTAGCCAGATAATCTCTGTGAAAGCCAGATAGAATTTTTTTTAAATGATTTTTTTACGATTTTCTTAATTCTCACATAACACATCAAGATTTAGGTCTAGTGGTCTATTATATTGTAGAGTTTCTTCTAATTATAGCCAGACTATGAACTTTACTGCCGTATGGCAGGTAGTAGGAGGGTGTGAGAGGACAGTAATTTTTAAACGGTAGGTAGACACTCATTGGTAGATCTTAAAATCAGTTTTCTGGTCACGACTAACATTTTAAAAAAGTGAAATTGACTAGGTTATAAAAGCAGAGTGCTATGTACAAAGTAAAAGAAAGATTGCTTATAATATTTTGTTTGTTTTCAGTTTGACATGCACACACACTTTTCTGGTTTACCGTTTATGGATACAAGTTTGAAAAAGTTGGAAAGTCTTTGTTTAATGAGATATGAAGCCTGCAGCTCAAAGTATTGTGGACCAATAAAAGTGACAAAATTAAGGGTTATAATCAGTGTTCCTAACTCACTCATTCAGGCCACAGGTTGGGAGAGGGAAGAGTGGTAGGGAATATTTAATGCAGAAGGACTTTGACACCTCTTCTTTGGATTCTGTAAGGAGATCCCTTTGAAGACTTCCCCATGCAAACATCCAAGGTCATATGCCAGGGAAGGCTGAAAGCCTCTACATGTATTCTGAACACATTCACTTCTACAATGGTGTGGACTATTGTATTGCAGTGTAGTTTGGATTGGGAGGTGAGTCTAAACCAACATTCTTGTTTTCCGAAGGCCCACTCGTGACATATGAACTTACATGATGCAGAGGGAATGTTTGGGATAATTAGGAAACTGATAGGATGACTGAGTTAAAAGCAATTAGCCCATCGTGTGCAGCTACTTTGAGACTGAAAATAAATGATCACAATGTAATTATAACATCCCTTTTCCTGTCCTACAAAGCCAGATGAGAATAGTAATCTCGGAAATGACCAGTGTAAGTTGTAGGCAAGCCATGCCTATGTGAAGACCATTGTGTTTTCAGAGGCTATTAGATGAGTCAAGGACCCTACCTGATTTCTGCTGTAATGAGATTGTGTAATACGTACTCTGTGAAGCATCCAGGTTTCGTGGGCTCTAATGCATATAGAGTCTTGGAAGAAATCTTTGAGGAAAAGAATTTAAAATTGTAAATTGTTGCAAGGGGTTTATGCAGATGAGGGTCCCACATGTTTTCTTCATGCTAAAGCCACCTTTGCAATTATTTCTAAAATACACACTGAGGAATACTTAGAAATAATGAGGCATGGATAGAGATCTAAAATACTGAGACAGTACCTGAGGTGAGCTAGTAAAAATTACCCAAAAAGAGGGTTTATTTTTCAGGCTAAACTTAACAGAGTTGACAGGATCTTATATTTTGTTTTATTTTCCTTGTACTTTATGCAGCAACAGCTTTAGAGATCAGAAGTTTTAGTAAGAAAAACATAAACCACATTTTATTTTTACATTTTTGGTATATGTAAATTTGGAAACATAGCCTATGGTATAATTAGTAAATCATAAATATTCAAGTATGCTTTGTGGACGATGGTCCAGAGCAAGAAGTGTATAGAATTGGTTGCCAATTCTATTCAATCAATATTACCCTTATCCCTTCTCTCTTTCCTATTCTTTTTGATATTAATTATTTTATTTTAACTATTTTATTGTATCCTATTGATTTGTAGACATCTACCACTATAGAGTCTGAAGTTGGCAGATACTTTCCAAGTCATCCTAGCAGCTGGGACAAAAGCTTATGACATATGGTCCTACACTGGCAAATAGGCATGAGAAATTTGATAAAGACCTTCTAGGAAAATAAAAAGACCTATTGTCAGGTGCCAACTCTCAATGTAATGCCTAAACGTGTGAAAGTCATCATGCAGTCTTAAGGGAACACACAGCTAAATTCCAAGTAAGTATGCTGAGAACTGCAGGACCGAAAAAAAAAAAAAGTATTAAGAATCTGGGTAATTGTCACAATCTGTAATGGAATAAACAAACTATTGTATTTTAAACATTTGGATATGTAAGTTTTAATTTTTTCATAGTTTTAGTTATTTTTACTTAGATATTCTCTTTCTTATGGTGGTAAGAAACACATAACATGAAATGTGTTTTCAACAACACTCTGTTACCCTCTTAACAAATTTTTAATTGTACATATGGTATAGTTAACAGTAAGAACAATGTTGGACAACAGATCTCTGGAACTTTTTCATCTTTCATGACAAACTTTTTATGATTGTTATATCATTCTGGTGAATTAACTCTTTTATCAATATATAACATTCTTCCTTGTCCCTTGGGACAGACAGTTTTTGACTTAAATTCTACTTTGTGTAACATAGGTTTAGCTTCCCCTGCTGTATTTTGATTACCACTGCTTAGATTATCACTATCAGCCTATGTGTGTCCTTAAATCTAAAGTGAGTGTCTTGTACAAAACATAGATGGATCTTTCAAAAAATTCATTTAGTCTCTTTTTGTCTTTCGAATGGGGAGTGTAATCCACTTAAAGTGATTAATGATAGCGAAGGACTTTGCCATTTTGTTGATGGCAAAAACATCTGTTTTGTAATTCTGTTCTCTCTCTGTTAGCATTACATATTCTGGTATATTCTAGCATGCATGCTGTTAAGAACACTTAACCAGAGGTATACCCTTTAACAAATAATCAAGTGTACAATACAATATTGATAACTATGGGCGTGGTGTCATATGACAGATATTTAGAACTTGTTTTGAATGACAAAAACTTTATACTTATGAAATAGCAACTCCTTAGGGGGAACCCTTATCCTTAGCCTCTGGCACCCAACATTGTACTTTCTGCTCCTATGAGTTTCACTGTTTTAGTTATGTCATATAAGTAGAGCAGTATTTGTCCTTCTGTGACTGGCTTATTCACTTAGTGTAATGTCTTTAGGATTAATTCTATTGTATCACATTGTAGATTTTCATCTTTTATAATTATGTATGTCATATTATTCAGCCATATATATGGATAGATATATCACATTTTCTTTATCTAATCACTCATTAATGAATATTTAGTTTCTTTCCACATGTTGGCTAAATATTGCTGCAATGAAGATGGAAGTGCAAATATTTCTTAGAAATATTAATTTGGTTTTCTTTATTTGTATACTCAGGAGAGTAATTACTGGATCACATGACACTTCAACTTTTAATTTTTTGAGAGATCTCCCTACTCTTTTCCATAGTGACTGAACCATTTTACATTCCCCTGAACAGTGTACAAGAGCTCAAATTTTTCCATATTTGCCAACATTTATTTTTTTATAGTTAATAGATGTTTTGTTAGGATCATAGGAATAATGACATCAAATTATGGTTTTATTGTTCATTTCTCTGAAGATGAATGTTCTCATAGACCTATTGGCTATTTGTATGCTTGCAGAAATGTCTCTTCAAGTCATTTACTCTTTTATTTAATACTTTTTATTTTGCCAATTAAATTTTTTTTTAATATTTCTCGGTTTTATTGTTGTCTGCTATTCAGTTGAAGTACTTTACATATTTTGACTATTAATCCCTTATCAGATATATAGGTTTGCAAATATTATCTCCCTTTCCATAGATTGCCTTTTTATTCTTTTGATTGTTTCCTTTGCTGTGCAAAAGTTTTTTCAATTTGATGTAGTTTAAATTGTTTATTTTTGGTCTGGTGACCTGTGCTTTTGATGTCATAGCCATGAAATTCCTGCCAAGACCAATTTCAAGAAATTTTCTCCAATGTTCTCTTAGAGGAGTTTTACAGTTTCAGATTATACATTTAAGTTTTTAATTCATTTTTTTTTTTTTTTTTTTTTGCTTCCTAGCAATGTTTTATTTATTTATTTTTTTTTTCTTTTTTAATTATTATTATTATTATACTTTAAGTTTTAGGGTACATGTGCACATTGTGCAGGTTAGTTACATATGTATACATGTGCCATGCTGGTGCGCTGCACCCACTAACGTGTCATCTAGCATTAGGTATATCTCCCAATGCTATCCCTCCCCCCTCCCCCGACCCCACCACAGTCCCCAGAGTGTGATATTCCCCTTCCTGTGTCCATGTGATCTCATTGTTCAATTCCCACCTATGAGTGAGAATATGCGGTGTTTGGTTTTTTGTTCTTGCGATAGTTTACTGAGAATGATGGTTTTTAATTCATTTTAAGTTGATTTTTGTGATTGGTGTCAGATGACAGCAATTTCAGTCTTTTGCATGTTGATATTCAGTTTTCCCAATGCCATTTATTGAAGAGACTGTACTTTCCACATTATGTATTATTGGCACTTCTACCAAATTATCAGTTGCCTGTATATGCATAAGTTTATTTCTGGAATTTTTATTTTGTTCCACTGGTCTGTATGTCTGTCTTTATGCCAGTACAATACCGTTTTGATTAATGTAACTTTGTAATACCTTTTGAAATAAAGAAACGTGAGGCCTCCTGATTTGTTTTTCTTTTTCAAGATTGTTTTGGCTATTCAAGGTCCTTTGTGGTTCTATATACATTTTAATACTTTTAAATTTGTGTAAAAAATGTCATTGGGATTTTGTTGAAGATTGCATGGAATCTGTAAATTGCTTTGGGTATTACATACTTTTTAAACAATAACAAGTCTTCCAATCCATGAACAGAGGATGTCTTTCCATTTATTCATGCCTTATTTCATTTCTTTTATCACCTTTTATAGTTTATAGTATACAAATCTTTCACCTTCTTACTTAAGTTTATTCCAAGGCATTTTATTCTTTGGATGTTATTTTAAGTGAGATTTTTTAATTTTTTTTTTCAGATTGTTAGTCTTTAGTGTATTGAAATGCAGTTGACTTTTAAATGTTAATTTCCATCCTTAAATTTTGCCAAATTTTATTAGATCTAACAAGTTTTTCTGATGGCACCTTTAGAGTTTTCTACATATCATTCATGTCGTCTACAAACAGATACTTTTACTTCTTTCTTTCCTAATTGGATGCTGCTTTTCTCTTTTTCTTACCTAATTGCTCTGGCCAGAACTTCCAGTACTATGTCAAATAGAAGTGGTGGAAGTGAGAATCCTGGAATTGTTCTGGATGTTAAAGGAAAAGCTTCCAGTTTTTCACCATTGAGTATGATGTTAGCTGTGAGCTTGTGGTATACAGTCTTTATTATGTCAAAGTAATTTTTCTTAATTCTAGTCTGTTGAGTGATTTTATCATTAATATGTGTTTAATTTTGTCAAAAGCTTTTTCAGCATCTATTGAGATGATCATGTGATTTTTATCCTTCTTTCTGTTAATGTGGTCTATCACATTGACTGATTGTTGCATGTTGAATCACCCTTGAATCTCAAAGATGAATCCCACTTTGTCATGGTGTATGATTTATTAATGTACAATTGACTTTGGTTTGTTAGTATTTTGTTGATAATTTTTGCTTATATAAAGAGATATTGGCCTGTATTTTTTTCTTTGTTGTAGCGTTTTTGTCTGGCTTTAATGTCAAGGTGATGCTGGCTTTCTTGGCCCTAAAAATGAGTTGGGAAGTGCTCCCTCCTCTTCTATTTTGTGGAAGAGTTTGAGAAAAAATTCTGTTAATAGTTTTTCTATTCTCTATTTTGTTTACTTCTGTGATTTTCTTCTTTCTGACAACTTTGGGCTCAGTTTGTTTTTCCTTGTTTTAACTAACTCTTTCAGGTATGGAGTTAGGTTGTTTGAAATTTATCTTTAATGTAGGCATTTATTGTTATGAACTTTGTACTGCTTTTGCTGTATCTCGCTAATTTTGGCATTTTTATCTCAAGGTGTTTTCTAAAGTTCTTTTTTATTTCTCCTTTTACCTAGTGGTTGTTCAAGAGTGTTTTATTTAATTTTCACATATTTATAAGTTCATCAGTTTTTAAATCTTCTATTGAGTTCTAATTTCATCTCATGAGGCTGAAAAATATGTTTGATATAATTAAATTTTACATTTTTTAAGACTTGTTTTGTGACCTGTCATGTGATTTCTCCTGGAAAATGTTCTGTGTGCTCTTGAGAAGAATGTGCGTTCTGCTGTTGTTGGCAGAATGTTCTGTGCATTTATGTTAGGTCCACAAGGTCTACAGTGTTTTTCAAGTCTGCTCTTTCTTCACTGATTTTCTGTCTGGGTGTTCTAGCTATTATTGAAACTGCAGTACTGAAGTCTCCTAGTATTATTTCGTTGTTATCCTTTTCTCTCTTTAGTTCTGTCAATATTTGCTGTATATATTTTGTTGCCCTGATGTTGGGTACATATATACTTACAGCTTTTACATCTTGACTGATAAAATGACACTTTTATCATTATGTAGTATAATTATTTAGCTCTTGTGATAGTGTTTGACTTAAAGTCTATTTTACCTGGTATAAGTATAGCCACATCTGTGCTTTTCTTTTCCTTGACATATTGTTTTTATTTTTACTTTATTTATATTTATATATGCATATATATATATTTATTATACTTTAAGTTCTACGGTACATGTGCACAACTTGCAGGTTTGTTACATATGTATACATGTGCCGTGTTGGTGTGCTGCACCCATTAACTCATCGTTTACATTAGGTATATCTCCTAATGCTATCCCTCCCTCTCCCCCCACCTCACAACAGGCCCCAGTGTGTGATGTTCCCCTTCCTATGTCCAAGTGTTCTCATTGTTCAATTCCCACCTATGAGTGAGAACATGCAGTGTTTGGTTTTTTGTCCTTGCCATAGTTTGCTGAGAATGATGGTTTCCAGCTTCAACCATGTCCATACAAAGGACATGAACTCATCATTTTTTATGGCTGCAGAGAATTCCCTGGTGTATATGTGCCACATTTTCTTAATCCAGTCTATCATTGTTGGACATTTGGGTTGGTTCCAAGTCGTTGCTATTGTGAGTAGTGCCGCAATAAACATACATGTGCATGTGTCTTTATAGCAGCATGATTTATATTCCTTTGGGTTCAACATACACAAATCAATAAATGTAATTCAGCATATAAACAGAACCAAAGACAAAAACCACATGATTATCTCAGTAGATGCAGAAAAAGCCTTTGACAAAATTAAACAGCCCTTTATGCTAAAAACTCTCAATAAATTAGGTATTGATGGGACGTATCTCAAAATAATAAGAGCTATTTATGACAAACCCACAGCCAATATCATACTGAATGGGCAAAAACTGGAAACATGCCCTTTGAAAACTGGCACAAGACAGGGATGCCCTCTCTCACCACTCCTATTCAACATAGTATTAGAAGTTCTGGCCAGGGCAATCAGGCAGAAGAAAGAAATAAAGGGTATTGAATTAGGAAAAGAGGAAGTCAAATTGTCCCTGTTTGCAGATGACATGATTGTATACCTGGAAAACCCCATCGTCTCAGCCCAAAATCTCCTTAAGCTGATAAGCAACTTCAGCGAAGTCTCAGGATACAAAATCAATGTGCAAAAATCACAAGCATTCTTATACACCAATAACAGACAAACAGGGAGCCAAATCATGAGTGAACTCCCATTCACAATTGCTTCAAGGAGAATAAAATACCTAGGAATCCAACTTACAAGGGATGTGAAGGACCTCTTCAAGGGGAACTACAAACCACTGCTCAACGAAATAAAAGAGGACACAAACAAATGGAAGAACATTCCATGGTTATGGATAGGAAGAATCAATATTGTGAAAATGGCCATACTGCCCAAGGTAATTTATAGATTCAATGCCATCCCCATCAAGCTACCAAGGACTTTCTTCACAGAATTGGAAAAAACTACTTTAAAGTTCATATGGAACCAAAAAAGAGCCCGCATTGCCAAGTCAATCCTAAGCCAAAAGAACAAAGCTGGAGGCATCACTCTACTTGACTTCAAACTGTACTACAAGGCTACAGTAATCAAAACAACATGGTACTGGTACCAAAACAGAGATATAGACCAATGGAACAGAACAGAGCCCTCAGAAATAATACCACACATCTACAACCATCTGATCTTTGACAAACCTGACAAAAACAAGAAATGGGGAAAGGATTCCCCATTGACAAAAACAAGAAATGGGGAAAGGATTCCCTATTTAACAAATGGTGCTGTGAAAACTGGCTAGTCATATGCAGAAAGCTGAAACTGGATCCCTTCCTTACACCTTATATAAAAATTAATTCAAGATGGATTAAAGACTTAAATGTTAGACCTAAAACCATAAAAACCCTAGAAGAAAACCTAGGCAATACCATTCAGGACATAGGCATGGGCAAGGACTTCATGTCTAAAACACCAAAAGCAATGGCAACAAAAGCCATAATTGACAAATGGGATCTAATTAAACTAAAGAGCTTCTGCACAGCAAAAGAAACTACCATCAGAGTGAACAGGCAACCTACAGAATGGGAGAAAATTTTTGCAATGTATTCATCTGACAAAGGGCTAATATCCAGAATCCACAATGAACTCAAACAAATTTATAAGAAAAAAACAAACTACCCCATCAAAAAGTGGGTGAAGGATATGATCAGACACTTCTCAAAAGAAGACATTTATGCAGCCAACAGACACATGAAAAAATGCTCATCATCACTGGCCATCAGAGAAATGCAAATCAAAACCACAATGAGATATCATCTCACACCAGTTAGAATGGTGATCATTAATAATTCAGGAACCAACAGGTTCTAGAGAGGATGTGGAGAAATAGGAACATTTTTACACTGTTGGTGGGACTGTAAACTAGTTCAACCATTGTGGAAGACAGTGTGGCGATTCCTTAGGGATCTAGAACTAGAAATACCATTTGACCCAGCCATCCCATTCCTGGGTATATACCCAAAGGAATATAAATCATCTGTGCTCTTTTGATTGTCATTTGCTTGGAAAGTTTTTTCTATTAATTCACTTTCAGCCTATGTGCAAATGTTAAGTCTCATAAAAAATATTGCTGTTTCTTTTTTTAAAAAAATCTATTTAGCTATTTTCTGTCTTTTGATGGGGGAGTTTATATTATATTTGAGGTACTTATTGATTGAAAGGGCTTTCCATTACCATTATGTTGTTTCCTACCTTTCTTACAGCTTTTTGAAAAAATCTCTTCACCTTTCTTGATGTCTTTTTATTTAATTGAATTTTTCCACCAAAATGTTTTGATTCCTTTTTCTTTTCTGTATCTTCTATAGGTATTTTCTTCTTGGTCATCATGGGGCTTACATATAACATCCTATTTTTAAAACAGTCCATTTTCATCTGATAACAACTTACTTTAAGGCACATATAAAAACTTTACACTTTTCTTCCCCCTCCCCACTTTATATTATTGTTGCCACAATTTAGATTTTTTGTATTTTTAATCCATTAACATATTTTTATATAGTTATTTAGTACATTGGTCTTTCAACTTTTATTCTAGAATTAAAAGTGATTTATAACAATTTATTGCTACAGGGCGAATATATTAATAGGCATATATTTACTGTAATGAGCCTTTAAAAACGTAACTAAAACCATCAAACCATCAAAACAGTGTAATTTAAAGTACACTGTTGTTTAGGATGAGGTTAGATTTTAAAATTGAGTTTATTTCAAGCTTTTTTAAATAAAGTATTAAAGAAATAATGGTACATATGGAACTTGGTTTGGATTTAAAAAAATATAAAGGTGGGAAATGTAGTACTGAATAGTGGTGGTGATGATAATGATAGTGAACTGTTTTGTAACACTTATTTTGTGACAAGCACTTTGTAATATTAAAGCATTTATTCTCATGACAAAAAGTAATTTAAATGCCACCATTACAATATTACAGTATTCTGTGTTTGTCTAGGTTTACACTTACCAGAAATTTGTATACTTTCATATGCTTTTGCATTGCTGTATAACCTCCTTTTGTTTCAACTTGAAGAACTCCCATTCATTACCTTTTCTTTTGAGGCACGTCTAATGGTAACAAAGTCCTTTGGCCTTTTTTGCTTTATAATAATGTCTTTATCTGTACTTAATTTTTAAAGGATGGTTTTGCTTTGTGGTTGACAGGTTTTCTTTACTTTTTTTTTTTTCACTTTGAATTTATCACCCTATTTCCTACTGCCTTCTAGCATGCAAGGGTTCTGCTGAGAAATTCTGTGATAATCTTGTGAAGCTTCCCTTGTATATGACAAGAAACTTTATAGGGAACATGTGCAGAACATGTGGTTTTGTTACATAGGTATGCATGTGCCATGGTGGTTTGCTGCACCCATCAACCCGTCACCTACATTAGATATTTCTCCTAATGTTATCCCTCCCCTAGCCCCCCACGCCTTGACAGGCCCCAGTGTGTGATGTTCACCTCCCTATGTCCATGTGTTCCCATTGTTCAACTCCTACTTATGAGTGAGAACATGTGGTGTTTGGTTTTCTGTTCTTGTGATAGTTTGCTGAGAATGATGGTCTCCAGCTTCATCTGTGTCCCTGCAAAGGACATAAACTCATCCTTTTTCATGGCTGCATAGTATTCCATGGTGTATATGTGCCACATTTTCTTAATCCAGTCTATTATTGATGGAGATTTGGGTTGGTTATAAGTCTTTGCTATTGTGAATAGTGCCACAATAAATATATGTGTGCATGTGTCTTTATAGTAGAGTAATTTATAATCCTTTGGGTATATACTCAGTAATGGGATTGCTGGATCAAATGATATTTCTATTTCTAGATCCTTGAGAAATCGCCACACTGACTTCCACAATGGTTGAACTAATTTACACTCCCACCAACAGTGTAAAAGCATTCCTATTTCTCCACATCCTCTCCAGCATCTGTTGTTTCCTGACTTTTTAATGATCGCCATCCTAACTGGCATGAGATGGTATCTCATTGTGGTTTTGATTTGCATTTCTCTGATGACCAGTGATGATGAGCATTTTTTCATGTGTCTGTTGGCTGCATAAATGTCTTCTTTTGAGAAGTGTCTGCTCATATCCTTCACCCACTTGTTGATGGGGTTGTTTTTTTCTTGTAAATTTGTTTGAGTTCTTTGTAGATTCTGGATATTAGCCCTTTGTCAGATGAGTAGATTGCAAAAATTTTCTCCCATTCTGTAGGTTGCCTGTTCACTCTGATGGTAGTTTCTTTTGCTGTGCAGAAGCTCTTTAGTTTAATTAGATCCCATTTGTCAATTTTGGCTTTTGTTGCCACTGCTTTTGGTGTTTTAGACATGAAGTCCTTTCCCATGCCTGCGTCCTGAATGGTATTGCCCAGGTTTTCTGCTAGGATTTTTATGGCCCTAGGTCTTAGTGGTTTAAGTCTTTGATCCATATTGAGTTGATTTTTGTATAAGGTGTAAGGAAGGGGTCCAGGTTCAGTTTTCTGCATATGGCTAGCCAGTTTTCCCAACAACATTTATTAAATAGGGAATCTTTTCACCATTTCTGGTTTGTGTCAGGTTTGTCAAAGATCAGATGGTTGTAGATGTGTGGTGTTATTTCTGCGGCCTCTGTTCTGTTCCATTGGTCTATATGTCTGTTTTGGTACCAACACCATGCTGTTTTGGTTACTGTAGCTTTTAATATAGTTTGAAGTCAGGTAGCATGATGCCTCCAGCTTTTTTCTTCTTGACCAGGATTGTCTGGGCATTGCAGGCTCTTTTTTGGTTCCATATGAAGTTTAAGGTAGTTTTTTCTAATTCTGTGAAGAAAGTCAATGGTAGCTTGATGGGGACAGCACTGAATCTGTAAATTACTCTGGGCAGTATGGCCATTTTCACGATATTGATTCTCCTTATCCCTGAGCATGGAATGTTTTTCCATTTGTTTGTGTCCTCTATTATTTCGTTGAGCAGTGGTTTGTAGTTCTTCTTGAAGAGGTTCTTCTCATTCCCTGTAAGTTGTATTCCTAGGTATTTTATTCTCTTAGTAGCAATTGTGAATGCGAGTTCACTCATGATTTGGCTCTCTGTTTGTCTGTTATTGGTGTATAGGAGCGCTTGTGATTTTTGCACATCGATTTTGTATCCTGAGACTTTGCTGAAGTTGCTTATCAGCTTAAGGAGATTTTGGGCTGAGACGATGGGGTTTTCTAGGTATACAATCATGTCATCTGCAAACAGAGACAATTTGACTTCCTCTCTTCCCATCTGAATACGCTTTCTTTCTTTCTCTTGCCTGATTACCCTGGCCAGAACTTCCGATACTATGTTGAATAGGAGTGGTGAGAGAGGGCTTCCTTGTCTTGTGCTGGTTTTCAAAGGGAATGTTTCCAGCTTTTACCCATTCAGTATGATATTGGATGTGGTTTTGTCATAAGTAGCTCTTATTATTTTGAGATACATTCCATTGGTACCCAGTTTATTGAGAGTTTTTAGTATGAAGGGGTGTTGAATTTCGTAAAAGGCCTTTTCTGCATCTATTGAGGTAATCATATGGTTTCTGTCATTGGTTCTGTTTATGTAATGGATTACATTTATTGATTTGCATATGTTGAACCTGCCTTGCATCCCAGGTATGAAGCACACTTGATCTTGGTGGATAAGCTTTTTGATGTGCTGCTAGATTTGGTTTGCCAGTATTTTGTTGAGGACTTTTGCACCTGTGTTCATAAGGGATATTTGCCTGAAATTTTCTTTTTTTTGTTGTGTCTCTGCCAGGTTTTGGTATCAGGATGATGCTGTTCTCTTTCTCTTGTTCATCTTGGATTTTCTTTTTGTGTATACTAGCCGACTTAATGGTGGTCCATAGTTTTTTGGTTTCTTCACTCTTTCTTTTCTTTTTCTCATTGCTTCTTTTTGAGTCCATGAATTCTTTCCTCTGTTTGGTCAACTCTGCTACTGCTGAACCACTTTATATCTTTAAGGTCCTAGGCTCAAAATATCTTTATGATTTCATGTTTTTGGTTGAAGTTATCATTTTTACATGCATTGTTTTCCTGAGCTCATCAATTGTCTTTATAATCATTATTTCGAATTTGTTGTCAGGTAATTTATATACCTCTGTTTTTAAGGATTGGTTTTGAGAGATTTATTTTTCCCTTGGATTGGGCCATTTTATATATATATATTTTTAACTGATCCTTATAAGTTTGTTTTGAAATCTGGGAGTGGTGGTCTATGCCTGTAGTCCCAACTTCTCAAGAGACTGAGGCAACAGGATCACCTGAGCCTAAGGGTTTGAGTCCAGCCTGGGCAACTTAGCTCCATCTCTGAAAATGTTGATATGCACACATTTGAAAAAAATATCTCTTCTCCCAGTCTTTATGGACTGGGTTTGTACAGGAGAAGACCTTTTACTAATTAGCCTAGCTACAAATCCCAAGGTCTTCTTAAAACTTTTCTGTGGGTATGTCTTCTTTGGTCTTGTGCATATATATTTTAATTAAAATAATTTTTTCTAGGAACTTGTAATTTCTTACTCCCTCTGATGTAAGTCTGCTCTTCCATGTAAACTTGGAAGCAGCAGTATGCCAACCAGCTCTTTTAAAATATTTTTTCTCAATAGCCCCTTGGAATCTAGTATATGCCAAGTTCCCGTAAGTGTCTTGGGTTGAGCTACATGGAAACTGATCTCTTAGGAAGCCCCCAAAATACTGGCCTTTTGAACATTTGCTACACCCTTCTTTTTCCCCCTGAAGGAGAAGTCACCACACTGTAAAAGCTTCTGTCTGCTGTACTGAAGATTCTATGGAGCAGTAACATGCTGAACAACTTTATTTGTCGTTGTTGTTCTCAGTGTTCTCCAGGCATCTAAAGAATGCTAGGTTATGTCAGTGCTTTGCAACAGGTTGAACAGAAGACAGTACCTTGTACAGCCCCCTCAAAAGTTCAGAACATTGGATGCATATTCTAACCTTCCACTATTCTTCCCCAGGAAAAAGCCAGGACCTGAGTTCCTCTGAATTGTGCATCTTTTTTTTCTGTGAAAGTGACTATAGCCAGAGGGTGCCACAAATTTTTCTTCTGTTTTGATACAACTAGTTAATGTTTGTTTTTGATGCAGAAGCCTCTTATCTGGTTTTTGGATGTCTCACAAAGGAAACTGGTCTATGGATTGTTGTTGAATGTGTGTCTTCATGAAAAGAAAGAGGGCCTGGAGCTTCCTATTTTAACCATCTCGCTGATGTAACTCGAAGTATCCCTTATAGCTGAAATAGTACTATCTGGTACAGAGACTTCAGTAAATTGGAAAACCAAATATCTCCAGAATAGGTTATAGTTTTATATAAAGACAAGAAATACAATAAAGTGTTGAAGCACGAGGTTAAACAAAAAATATTTTGATACTGAGATAGCTTGACTGGAAACTCTTCTCACAATTTTTTTTTTCATTTTGAACTTCCTGATGAATGCAGATAAATCTTTGGAGATTTAGCAACATGAGAAAAAAAATGTTTACCAGCTTCATAATCTCCAAGTAAATAATGTCATAGCATGTTAATTTAAAGTAAAAATGCAAATATGTTGTTCAAGTAGATAGCTTATTTTCCCCAGATAATGTACTTTGAAAAGATATTTTAGCTCAGCTGTATTTTAAGAATTTGTCTACGTGGGGAGATAATGCTCTTTCATAGATGCAACTGGTATGCTATCTGTTTTCATGCATTTTATGAAGTATCTTCTACCTTTGTTATCCTTCTTGGTCTTAAACTATCCTTTCATTGATTGTTCTATTATATTAGCACATCATAATCTTTTTATACACTAGGTTCATGATAAAATTTCTTGCCTGCACCAAATCTATATTATTCTGATTCTCTTTAGAATTCTTTTTTTTTACAGTGTCTATCTACATTTTTCCTTTAAACAAGCAACAAAACATTTAACACAGTACCTAAAACATTGTTAAGATGAAATAAATGCTAGAAAATTATTACTATTATTCTTTAAAACCCTATGTCTCAAACTGAAATCTCTTTTTCAGTCAGGTAACTCTGATTGTCTCAAAAACAGACCATACTGTCATTTCTGTAACATCTTTACAGGCTTTTCTCAAGCATATACCCTGTGAATCCTTTGAGTTCACCTCAAACTCCATCTCCTTCGTGAAGCTCCCCATTTTTATTCTGCCCATCAATGAACTTTACTTCCTCTGAATTGTATCATTCATAATGTGCTTCATGGACTTGAGGTATTATATAAAGTACCACATCAGATGTTATTATTCTTATTTCAACTATATTTTCTGATTCTATAGTGTAAAGATAATGTCTCATGCTTCTGTGACCCTCTCACATAAATCTATTCATAATTTAAAACACCTACATCAACTTATACAGACCATTCATTCATTTAATAAATATGTCATTCTTTTGTGTTAGGCAATGAATTGACAAACCACTACTTCTATAGTACTTAAAATTTTCCAGGGACTGTTTTAAGTGTTTTGTGTTTATTAGCTCACTTTACCCTTATAAAAACTTTATCAAATAGGTGCTATTTTTATTTTACCCAAATGTAAAGTTACAGAGAGCAAAACTGAGGTAATGACAGATTATATGACTTCTCTGCATTGTACACACAGAAAATATATTGTAGAGCCAGGGGTTAAGTTCGAGTAGGAGGTCTCTGCTCTTATTACTATTCTGTACTCTATCCTCAGGTGCTAAAAAATATTCATTTCATAAACTTATCTTTTCCCTCAAGGTGCTAATAATTCTATAAGGAGAGAGCCTTACATAACCAAGTAAGTGCAATACAAGTTCTTAAGTGGTAGTATAACAGTCTGTTTAAAGAACAGGAGGGAGTAATCAATTTTACATGTAGTGGTGTGGGTGGAGCAATGCATCTTGTAGGTAATCTGATAGTTGGGCTGAGACTTGAAAGGTGATTTAGTTACTTGGCAGTTTTATAAAGGCACATAGAAAAAGATGCAGCATGTTGTGTTTGGGAAAATTTCATGTCATTGGTATGTGGAGATAGTTCCTAGCCAATATTTATTCTCTATTTCTTATTCACTTTACAGCACGGATTTTGTTTGTAAGGGCAATGTAGTCAGCCTCCCTTTTGGCTGCTTTTGTCCATATGATTAATTTCTAGTGAATGAAGTGTAAAATAAAGGGTTGTGTAGGGCTCTGATAATACCTTAGAGCAATCAATGTCTAACTTAAAGCTTAAAAAAAAAAGAAAGATATATTTCTTTTTGGTTTAAGACACTGGTTGGGGATTCTTGTTATATGAAGTGGAACAAAATTCTAATTGATGTAGTGTGACTGAAACATATAGGGAAGGAGGAGTCCTTGTTTAGGAGAGAGATAATAACATGTATTGCACCCTGTGTTAAGGAATTTGTACCTTGTACATAACCAAAGTTTTTAATCCTGGCAACATTGTAATCATCAATGAAATTAAAACAAAAACATATACCTTCAAGGTCCCACTCCAAACCAATTAAATTAATCTCTAGGGAAGGAATTTTCAACCCTGGCTACCTATTTAAATTGTGATGCTCAGGACACACCCATACTTAGTATGTCGGAATCTCTGGAGGGTGGTGGGGGCATTCAGACATCACCGTTTCTAAAATTTTCCACAAGTTATTAAACTGTTCAGCCATGGGTGAGAGACACTGCTGTAAGCAATAGGTTTAAAGAGTCTCATAAGAATTTTAAGCAAGTTGAAGAGATTTAGTTTATGTCTTATCATTCTGGCTGCAGTGTAGAGGATTGACTGATTAAGAAAAAACATGTTTTAGAATGAAAAGTACTTCTTTTCCCTAAATTGTTCAAAAGAGGTTTCCTTAGAGTAATAAAATCTAAAAATTCTATCTTAGTATGAGTTGGTGAATTTTCCCAGGCATGAAGTGATTTATCTACATATATATATATATATATATATATATAAATTTTATTGTAAGTTGGCAAGTTATAATTGTATATATTTACAAAGTGCAAAGTGATATGATGTAATTTTTGAAAGACACTAGACAAGAAATCAAGGTAACCTAGGCTTATCTCAACCATATCAATTGGGGTGCTCATGACTGCAGCTAATGGCAAAACCTATTTAACAATGACTAACCAGTAAAGGTATTCATTATTTTATATTACAAATTCCATGGGTATGGTGCTTCAAGATTCAGTTTATTCATTCAATTAATGTTGCTGTTAAATCCATCCCTCTCACTCTTCTACCATTCATGGTGTAAGGCTAATGATTTGTTGTAGATCCAGGTGTTAGATGTAGATGGTGCTATCTGGGTGGAGAAAAAGAGAATAGCATGTCTTTTTGTTCTTTATTAAGAGAGTGGACAATTTCAGAGAAAGCCTTCTAGTCAATTTTCTCTAACATCTCATTGGTCATAATTACATTACATGACCATTCTTTAAGCAATCACACTCAAAAGGATGGATTGACACAATTGCCTGTTCTTGATTCTGTCTGCTGTCTGTGGATCTTATTGAAATTTGAGCTTAAAGTCAAGTCAAATTGTAGAAGACCCTCTAGAAAGGAATCTTTGCCATGATTGCTATATGGTTCATTTGGCCCTACCAAGTTTTGTGTTGAAATTTGATCCTCAGGTTGGAGGTGGGGCTTGGTAAAAGGAGTTTGTATCATGGATGTGGATTTGTCGTGAATGGTTTGGTAAGTTCTCGCCCATGAGAACTAGTTGTTGAAAAGAGCCTGGCACCTCTTATTCTATCATTACTTTCTCCATGTGACCCGCACACACCAGTTCCTCTTCACCTTCCACCATGAATGGAAGCAGACTGAGTCCTGCAACAGAAGCAGATGCTGGAGCCATGTTTCTTGTACAGCCTGCAGAGCCATGAAGCAAATAAAACCCTTTTCTTATAAATTGCCCAGCCTCAGGTTCCCCTTTATAATAACATAAACAGACTAAGACAAATATCTATGATAAAATATACAAGCAGAAAAAATCCCAACTACAGGAGATTTAAAACATAGAAAGACAATCATAACTGAAACTGTGAATGCCTCAAAAGCAACGAGTGCATGGAGCCTCTTTATCTAGAGTCAGCCAGATGGAGAGCATGTGGAGATAGAAAGCTGAGTGGCAGGGCTTCCAGTCCTAATGTTGTCAGCACAGTGTGGTAAAAGAGCACATAAGGGAGTCTATAAAGACCTACATTGACTCGGTTATTAATTATGCTGTGATCCTGAGCAAGTCACTTAACCTTTCTTGATCTCAGTTTCTTCAACATTATGATTATAATACTTTCCAGATTTCTTCATGTGATTTATTTGAAAACACATGAGGAAATTGGGTACTTACACAGTTTATCATCTGCAAATTACAATTATTATACAAGATTTTATGCATGTTTTATAGATAGATACCATAATAATAAGTACTTATAAGTAAAGGTTTATAACATCAGAATAGACTCAAACTTTTATCTTTTATGTAAGTTACATTGTTATTTTAACTTGAAAAGGAGAGAAATAGCATTTATGGATTGTCTGCTATGTGGTATAGCACTAGAAACTCCAGGTATGCCATTAGAAACTTTGCTTATTTCAAGTCTATGAAATGGATCTCTAATTTATGAAGTAATTTATTATCCTTTTTTTTAGAGATGATAGGAAAACTGAAACTCAAGTAAAGTTGCATAATTTGCTTAATATTACACAGATAATAAGTGGCAAAAGTTGGATTTAAACATAGCACTGACAAATTACATAGTTCATGTTCTTTTCATTTCTTTTTTTTTAAATGTGTGTGTTGGGGGAGATATCTTACTACTTTAACTTACTGCTCTTATACTTTTATATATTTACATTTTTTGTACAAGAAACTTTTTTAGAATGCTAAACATGGTGCTTAATATTAATAACACAAAGCCATCATTTCTTTTCTTATACCAGTATCTATACTATTTCCAGGTAAATATACAGCTCTAACACTCAGAAGAAGGGAAGGGAAGTTTGTAGGAACAGAAGAAGATAATTTTGAAACCTCAGTTTGCAGAAGAGGAGGGCAAGTTCAGTTAATGCAGCACACAATATTGGACAACACATATACGGATAGACAGAATCAATCCAGGCAGAGATAGGCAATACCAGGACATGAGGAGTAGGAAGGTTACAAGAAAAATTTTACCATTTTTCTTCTGTGCCCATCCCTTCTTCACCTCATATCCTTCCTACTCTTTGCTCTGATTTGCATGGTATGGAGATAATAAAGGGGTATAATTCTGTCAAAGCAGGCATGCCTTATGTGGACTGTGGAGACCAGAAGATTCTCAATGCATAGAACCATCTGTTATTCATGATGTGATTCCTCATCACCTGGCATAGTATCCAGCCCACAGGAGATGGAGAAGAAATAGTTGTTGAAATAAATCATTATTTCCTAATACTAGTGGTTCACATATAAATAAGCAGGTTGTGTATTAAATATAGAAATTGTGCAAAGAGTGTGTTATGACTACTGGGATTGAACAGAAACTAGTTAGTGGCTTCATGCTGAATCAGCATTTAGTAAATATATAATACGATCATTTCTCAGCTCTGGATTTGGGCTGATGCAAGATTACAATGATGAGTCAGAAAGACAAAATTGAACATCAGTAGGAGGAAGGGAAAGCAATAAATCTGAGATATCCAACATAGGCAAATAATTTCCATATGTGAGGCAAAAATTTTGTAAAGAGAGTCCTAAGATTATAGCAATAAGTGAGAAATTTCAAAATTTACAAGTGTGAAAGCTAAATTGTTGTAATAGCTTTGAATCTGGAAGCAATAAGAGAAAATAGACAAAATTTGATCCAGGTTTAGTTATTGGTAGGCCATAGTATTTTTTCTTGGTGTGATGATGTTTGTGTGAGAGCTTCTTGGAAAATATCTTAGAACCCTTTCTGTAAGACACAATTTTATCAACATTAAAGCAGACCTCTTTCTTTGGATTTTTGACATTTTCCATAGTTAGGAATTTTTTAAAAAATGTTAACATCAATTTAGTTCTTACTTCCTATAATATTTATAGGACATGAGCATTTAATGTTGTACATTTTCTTAAATGATTCATATTATTTAAAGAAAACAGTTTACACTTAGACCCTAAGTAAATGTTTGATTAACCCTTTTGGGCCCCAGTTTTTTCATCTAAAAATTAATGTTTTGACCTCAATTCTCTTAGGATTTGAAGCCTCTCTACAGTTGATAAAAGTAATGCATAATTGGATCATGATGCCCTAAGGTGTTCTGTTAAGTAATCCTTGTTGATTAAACTAGGTTGTTCTTTAACCCTAAATCCTAATCACACTAGAAATTATGTGAGTCTTGGCATAGAAAATGTTACAGGGGAACCACTATCCTAAATTTATATTTGCATAAAAAGCAGCCTTCTGTAAAAGACTCACATTAACAGAGAATAGAATTCAGATGCCATTTTTAAATTCAAAATTAATAAAAGATTCAGCAAAATGGGTAAAGAAGATTGAGCTCTGGCTCTATTTCCATAAGTTCATCTCTGACTTTTAGCTTAAGGTACAGCAACAAAACAGCAAATACTAAAGTAAATGAATTACTTACATCTTGAAGACAATGCAGCAGTTCTAGCAATTGTAGATGATTTGACAGTGTTGTGAGACCTCCTGTTGTCTGAGCATGAGCAGGCAGCTCCTGGTGAACACCTATAACCAGGAACTATAGATAGTTAGGGACATCAAGAGGACAGTTGTAGTTCTTCAGAGTGCACGTAGGTCCCACTACATAAGTTAGAGTACCTAGAACAAATAAAAATGTGGGATTTTGTTTCATAAACAGAAAAAAGTGTTTTCCTTTCTCTAGCAGTCTCTTGCTCTTTTGGGACTTCTCTCTCTCTCTCTTTTTAATTTGCAATTTGATGTGGTGTTCCTTTAGGCACAGGATACTACTCAGTGGGTGAGTGTAGACTCTCACAAGTGTCTGAGGCTCCCCCCTGACACTGTGTGGCGGGCCTTTCTGAGACTCATGTGGAAACACATGTGATTTGAAGCTCCTAGCTCCCAGCACATCCTCAATTGTCCCATTACAAAACTTACAAAACACAAATTCAAAGGTAAAAGTATTAAGAATCCCAAGACAGTAATCACAGGACATTAAAGCCCAAATATGAGGCCATCTCTCTATTTGGAGCCCTGTGTGACTGCACTTGTGGCATGCCCAATGAGGCCAGTTCTGCACACACACCCACAGTTGACAAATCCTAAGTGAGACAAAAAAGAACAGGAAGAAATGTCATTTGTAACATGGTCACCTGTAACATGGTCACCTGTAGAACGGCTTCATAAACATGCCTGCAATACTCATCTGGGGAATCCCAAAACATTTTGGAGGATTTTGATACGGCAGGAATGGAACTTCTAAAAATGAATTACTGTGTTCTGGTTACCACTGGGAAATAACTCAAGAACTTCAAAATTGTGCTTGGAAACAAATAAAATATAAATTGAAGCTAAGGTCAGAATTTATTTATCTGAAGAAACAACACTGATATCCAAAAATTAAAAAAATATTATTACTAAATAAAGATATTTGTTATCTTAGAAAGTATTTGATATTCAAAAATTTCACAAAGTGTATTGCGGTTTTTTTCTGCTGGATCACTTTTCTCCTAAACAGTATTGATATGGTTTGTCTCTGTGTCCCCACCCAAATCTCATCTCGAATTGTAATCCTCATGTGTCCCGGGAGGGAAGTGATTGGATTATGGGGGTGGTTTCCTCCATGCTGTTCTCGTGATAGTAACTGAATCTCACGAGATCTGATGATTTTGAAAGTGGTGGTTTTTCCTGTGCTCTCTCTTATTCTCCCCTGAGGTCTTGTGAAGAAGGTTCCTGCTTCCCCTTCCGCCATGATTGTAAGTTTCCTGAGGCCTCCCCAGCCATATGGAATTGTGAGTCAATTAAACATCTTTCCTTCATAAATTACCTAGTATCAGGGAAGTTTTTTATAGCACTGTGAAAACAAACTATTACAGCATAAAAATTGGAAACGACATGAGAAATCTTAGAGTGGGGTTTAGAAAGTAATGCTACATTTTAAATGTCTCCCCTTATCACCAACTAAAATGTTAAATATTTCTATAGTTATTACTGTTATTTTAATGAAATGAAAGGGGAAGTAAAGAATAAGTAGTAAGTTTTACATTTTTTTTTTTTTTTTGAGACAGAGTCTCGCTCTGTTGCCCAGGCTGGAGTGTGGTGGCACAATCTCGGCTCACTGCAAGCTCTGCCTCCTGGGTTCGTGCCATACTCCTGCCTCACCCTCCCAAGTAGCTGGGACAACAGGCGCCTGCCACTATGCCCGGCTAAATTTTTGTATTTTTAGTAGAGACGGGGTTTTACCATGTTAGTAAAAGTCCTGGGATTACAGGCGTGAGCCACCGTGCCTGTCCAGTTTTACATTTTTATATTATTTAAATTTTACTGCATTTAAGATAACATTTTGTTTACAATTCAGCTACTTTTTCCCCATTCTTTAAGAGTGTGTGTGTGTGTGTGTGTGTGTGTGTGTGTACTTACACAGTTGGCCCTCCATATCTGCAGGTTCCACATTTGTTGATTCAACCAACCATGGATCAAAAATATTTGGAAAAAATTTGCATCTGTTCTGAACACATACAGACTTTTTTTTTAACTTATCATTCCTTAAGCAATACACTGTAACACCTATTTAAATAGTATTTACACTGCTTTAGGTATTATAAGTAATCTATTATAATTTAAAGTATACAAGAAGATGTGCACAGGTTATATGCAAATACTATGCCATTTTATATTAGCAACTTGAGCATTCTTGGATTTTGATAACTGCAGAAGTTCCTGGAAACGATTCCCGACAGATACAGAGGGATGACTGTAAATATATGTGTGTATGCATATTTATTTATTTGTTTTATATCTTAAATCATTTTCAACAATCTCTTTAGTTCATTCATTTGAGGCACTATTTTCATGTCTGTGTGTATGTGGTAAATATCCTCCCTTTAAATTATCATTGTAAAATTGATTATTTCTGTTTTTTGTATTAAAGAGAAAAAATTTTTCAAATACTTACAATTTTTAAAGAATCAGCTCATATACAAATTTGAATTGTATTAATCTTTTTTTTGTACATTATCTGGCTAATGCTCATTTTAATTAAGATGTGCACAATACAAGATCAGATGAGGATATAAAAAAAGAAATGTTAGTACTTGCTTTCTTCTAAAATAGGGTGTTAAAAGAGATGGTGAATAACAAATATCTATTATGTTGCTGTTGATCAAACTGTTTAATTTAGAAACTGTTTTGTCAGACTACTTAGAACTTTTCCATGCTATTAGCCTAATAACTTTTATCCTTTTTAAACTTTCAAAATTTCTCATAGCAAGCAGCTTACTTTGGATGGCTTCTTTGCATTTCCAATTAATAATTATTAATTTAATTAATAACTCTTTTTTAAGAAGAATCAAGTATTAAATTGCAAACAAATCATTTAAAAAAATAAAGATACATGACATACAAGTACTACTTCTATGTAATAAGACAAAAAAAGAAAAGGAAAATTGGAGGCAAGGATGCTTTACTCTTGGGCTGTATTAGTTTTACATTGCTTCATAACATATTACTACAAATTTAGCTGCTTAAAACAGTACCTATTTATTCTCTGTCAGTTCTGTAGTTCAGAAATTCAGACATGGCATGACTACTAACTCTTCTGCTTAATTTCTTACAAGGCTGAAATTAAGGTGTCAATGCTGTGTTCTCATCTGGAGCTCAAAGTCGTCTTCCAAACTCAGGTGAATGTGGCAGACTTAATTTCCTTGCTGTGTAGACAGAGGTGCCTGTTTCCTTTCTGGATGTCAGCTGTGGGCCTTATAAGGTCCTTGAGGCTGCTCCACATTCCTTGCCATGTGACCCTCTTCATCTTCACAGCCAAGAAGAGAGAGCTTGTCATGTCAAATCTCTCTTATGCTTCAAATCTAACTTCTAGAAGGTCCCAGTTCCTCTTAAAAGTTCACCTAAGTCAAATCCATCCAGGATTTTAAAGTGAATTATCTTGAGAACTTAATCGCCTTGGCAAAAATCCCTTCACAGCAGCATCTACATTAGTGTATGATTCAATAGCCAGTAGAAGGTAAATTATACCAGGTGTAGGCGATTTGGGGGTTATCTTAGGATTCTATCTATCACAAGGACTCTGAAAAATATGCACAGATTTTATGCATTTTAAGGCATTTCTTGTCTGTGCCCAACCTTTCCTTCTTTTTTTATATACCACAAATCTCTATGCAAACTAATGCTATCCAAACTAGTTTAATTGCCTGTAAAAAGCCTTATGTTTTTCTACATTTGCCTTTTGCACATTCAATTTAATCTGCCAAAAGAACCTGATTTTCTTTTGTCTTGGTCTTTTCATCTTCTGTTTTTCATAAGGCATAAGTTCAAATTCTGACAAATCTATAATTTATTCCCTTAACATTTCCACCTAAAATGGTTATTTTTCTATTTAATTTATCTATGCGCATCACTCACTTTTAGATTTTTGCCAATATAGGTCAAGTATTTCAGAAGCAGTGTACTTTACTTTTCTAAGATAAAGAAAGGATTTGGAGGTCACTCTAGTGCTATATATTGTACATAAGTGTTATTTAATAAGAGGAAAGTTTTCAGTAGAGGATTAAAGGGACTCAAGTTAGCTTAAGTAAGGCATTAAAATACCTTCTTGTTATGACATTTTTCTTTGTTCTGATTCAAAAATACGTGACTTTTAAATATTAATTAACAACTATTTACTCATCTGTTTAGTATTTACATCTTAATTATCAAGCAAAACCGTAGCAATTATGCATATCATTAAATACATAGAAGATTAATATTTTGGGTTTAGTACTCTTTTTTGTCACTATAATGAATTGCTCACATTTAAGTTTCTCTGCTTATTGGACATAGTATATACTGGAGAGGTCTCTTTGGAGTTAGATCTAGGATTATATCATGGTTTAACATGTGACCTGGGCAAGTGATACAAAATGTATGAGACTCCATTCATTTGTAAAAGGGAGATAATAAATATATCTCAAAGGATTACTTTGAAGATTTGTGTGATATTTTCAAAGTGTGTGGAACAAGTAAGCAATAATTGTTTTCTTGTTTTCTTTCCTCCTTTTCACATTCCCATTAACTTGTAAAGATATGCATTTCACATTGAGTATTGAAACTTCTATGTGGCAATATGGGAAAATATTACATGTTACCCTACTCCAAATAATATTGAAATGTGACATAGAAAAACGTATTCTGAAAGAATATAAAAGCAACAAAACAGTCTATTCTAAATCCCCTAAAAGAGATGTAATCTGATTGAAGGTACTAGTACACTAAACAAATAACACAGTAGAAGACTAACAAACCAAAAATCCAAACTGAGGTGAGGGGTTTGGCTAACTGTAGCATCTTGTTCTTGAAGATTTATGTTTGAAGATATGCTTAAAATTGCAGTTTCTGCTTTAGTAAAAAACAAGGGAGAAAATACTGACTTAGAATAGTTTACACTGGTACATGTTTATTTCCTTTTCAATACTTTAAATATGTTGTAGTAATATAAACATGCTTGTTCTGTGAGTATAGATACTCTTCTCCACATGATAGTTTATTTTTTCTTGTAAGTTTATTCATTTTAATATGATATAAACAATCAGATTTTGTATGCTTGGTTAATGTGAGTCACCCTCTGAAAGACAGATTTGTTTTTACAGAGTAATGAATTTAGGTATTCAAGATTGCAAGACTGAATTCCAAACCCTTTTGTAGACTTCATTTTGGCCTAATGATGGAACACAGAAGTGTACAAGTGAGAATGAAGGGACAAAATTTGTTTTTTTATTCTATCATATGATCACTATATCCAAAAATGACGATATAAGTTTGGTGCTTTCTACAGAGGCGGAGTAAGGCACTTCTTTATACAGTTTAAAGCATTTTTTAAAAGTTACCTACTGTGTTTTAAAACTTAAGTACATTTAAAGTTTTTGTTAAGGTATTTTAAAGTATGATTAATCATTAAAGTGCTAGCAAGATAACCAGAGTTATGTACTATTTTGCCTGTAGGAGGAAACCATCTTTCTCTTCTGATCTGTTTGTTCTATAAGAAGTACTTTATAAGAGCACAGAAAGAGAGATTGTAGAAAAATCTTGAAAAATTGTTAGAAATGAATAATAATGTGTACAAAAAATGATTAATGATTAATGAATGCTGGGATTCTAAAAAGAGCTCTGGGAACAACACGGTGAACAAGAGGAACAGGACAAAGGACATAAGTAGGATAAGAAAAATGCCTACAGGGATGTGAAGAGGCTTCAACATCCATGTCTTTCTCAACACAAAGATAGAGACAAACCATGAGCTATACATTTTAAACTAAGTTTAAAGTTTTTATTGAAGTCAACAAAGTATGTATGGAATGCATATTATATATTAGAAACTATGCTAATTTATGTCAATTAAAAATGAATAAAACAGTATCCCAGTATTCTAGTGGTTTACAATAGGGATAAAATTTATATGGTGATTAAAAATTACAGTTCAGGGTTATAAGGCATAATAAAATGTGATAATAGTAGCAAGGTCAGCGTACTAGGAGATCATGAAGCAGGAGCTAAAACCTACCCTCTGGGGCAGACAAGTAAAGATTCACAAAATATTAAAACCACAGCTTAAATTTGAAAATAACTTGGAGTTCACAAACTAGATAAGGCAAGAAGGACAGATTACCTGGGAGGGTAATCTGGCTTCAACATCTGTTATCGCCTCAGGAGCTGACTCTGGTCCAAATGACCTGGCTGCTACTATCTCCCTGTTTGATCTGACCACTTCATGTGCATCCATCTTGAACTTGACACATCAGTCAAACAGTGTGACCTTTCTTAATTAAGGCATACTATTCTTTGACTACATTGTCTAAATTTTTAGACTATATTATCCTAAATTTTGGTTTTTATGCCTTAGTAGAAATGCTTAGTTCCTTCATAATAGTAGATTAATTCATGCAGAAATTATTCATTAAATCACAGAATCCATAAACAGACAAAATATATTTAAAATGTAAGCTTACCAATTCTCACTCTTCCTGTTTTGCAGAACTTACATTGCTTTATAGCATATCTGGTTTTCATTTCTAAATGACTGTGTGACCACTACAATTTTTTTTAATGTCAGGAGATATTTCTACACATTTATAAGTTTAAGTAATGTAGTGCCATTTATCAGGAAAACTATAGAGCCATGATGCGTATCAGTTACTTAAAAATATATTGATTCCAATTTGTAAAGAGATTGACAAAACCAAATGCCTTTGTCCTACCAGCAGTTACAACTGCTTATGTGCCACTTGCATTTTATTTACAAAATTGAGATTACATATATGTAGCAGAAATACTTAAGGTAAATTTCTCCTTTCTCCTCCTTGGACTTTCCGTAAATAGGTGCATAGTATTTCTTTGTAGTTTTCTGAAACTATATGAATTATAAACTTGATAAATAGTTCATTTGCATATGTCTATCTCTCATAAATTGTAGGCAGTGTCGATTCTTTTACAACTTTGTAGGTGCCTCTTATTGCTTCACTATTCATTTAAAGGAATTTTTTATAAAGAGAGAGATTACATTTAGAATACAATTGCCCTACTTGAATAAATACATGGAAAATACGTTTATTTCTGAACCAAGTATAACAGTTATTTTGAAGTATTTTGCTACTCTGAAAAGTTGATAAAATCTTAAAATTAAAAGTTATTTGTGCACAATAGATTTCTGATTATTTTCCTTCAAATGAAACCAAAATAACAACTGGAAAAGATAGGTCAATAGTTTTTATTCAGAAAAAAGAGACTATTATAATTAAGGTTAATAGGTATCAAATAGAGCTCATTTTGTGCCAGGCAATTTTCTAAGAATTTTACATTAAGACACACATGCAATATTTGGATCCTCTTTTCACAGAAGAGACACAGAGGCATAGATAATTAATGAACTCATAGATTTTGCACAACTAATAACAAACAGGGGCTCTTGAACTCAGGCAGTCTGCTTCTAGACCCCAAGTTCTTAATCACTGTACTTTCATACCTCTTAGGTATAATCAGATCTGCTTTTGTGGAAGAAGTACATTCTACTCCTATCTATAATTTTCAACCATGAATCAGGAAATGTCCCCGTTCAGAACATACAAGCAACATTACTAAAGCAACTACCCTTGGCAGAAATTTGTCTTACAGCCTATAAATGATAAAAAGAGTTATTATATTTACCAAAAAGATCTTGGAAATCTTTTAGTGCAATTCTTGACCTAGGCTTTTTGATACGGAAGCAGGTAATACTATTAAAGAATCTGAAAATATTTGTAAATACATTATAGGTTACCAACATGTTAAATATGGCATTTACTAGTACTAATTAGTTCTGTGTTAGCACTTTGTGATGTCGTGCTCCCTGAGCCCTGGACTATCTCAAGTGAAAGGTGGCTAGTTCCATTAGATTTTGCTGGTGAACTGTGAGTGTACATTATTATATTTTTCTATGTATTGTACTTTAAATAAAATAAACTTTATAAAAGTAATTATTTATATTTTTCCTTTGTGTTTATTGCAAATGTTTATAAATTTTATCCCTCTGCTAATTTTCTTATTATTTTTTCAAACCTGTACTCTCCAAGCATCTGTCTGAATATTTACTTAAGCCAAGGCAACACTAGCAGCTTTTGAGAAGTCTCATATGTGATATAGAATAAACACTATTGTGTAATGGAAAGACAGGATTTGGAGAATATAATCCTGGTCTATGATTTATTAGCTAGTGGTCTTGGACAAGTTATCTTACCTCTCGAAGCCTCAGGTTTTCACCAATAGAAGTGGAATTAACAATTATTTTCAATATTTTTCTCAATAAGAAAAGGTATTTAAAGCCTGGCACAGTTTAATCAATTATAATATCAATTCTCTCCTGCACAGTTCATATTTCTAAGGAATCATTTTCATTTTTATAAATAACTTCCACCCTTTATCAATACAAATCAGGCTTAAAGAATTTCAGGGCTCCAAGGCAAAAGAAAACCTAGAAATTATTTATCTTGGCTTATTTCATATTCAGAGAGTGGTAATTGTTAGAACATTAAGTCAAAATCTTCCCCTCTCTCCAATTTGTATCCCTGGATCCAATATGTGACCTCTGGGGCCAAGACAAAACAGATAAAATCATTTCCAATTATATCTAACCTGCCTTTACTGTTAATGTTTCAAATAGAAATTTTAAGAACTTGAAATCTATATTTTATTTTAATAGTAATAGTGTTCCATAATATGCAAAAATAATAAAAACTACAATTTATGCATGTTTCTCTGTAAAAGCTCATTGCAAATATTGTTATTAATGCCATGAATGAATATCATTGATAGTCATTTTTTGAGAACAAGTGCCTTACTAACATGGGTGAAAGAGAGATTTAGTGACTAATAAGTCAAGGATTAGTAGTACACAACCAAAATAGGAAATGAGTTATTTGATCGATCTTGGAATTTTCCCTTTTCCTCCCACTCCATCTTTATGCTGATGGTGAACGTGCAGCTTACACTACAAAAGAAAGTGCGGACTTGATAAAGGAGTCTTAGTATTATCACTTAAAAAGAAATTGTTATCTTCTTAAAGAGAATACAGAGATCTTTGTAGAAATTGTAAGAATTCTTTTCCCATACTTCCATTTGTTTGATTCCTTCATTTTCATGACTGACAGGAAGCTGTTTACCTTGTCACTGTTGTTGTTAAGATCTTGTATTAAGAACAAAACTGGAGGCATCACGCTACCTGACTTCAAACTATACTACAAGGCATACAGTAATCAAAACAGCATGGTACTGGTACCAAAACAGAGATATAGACCAATGGAACAGAACAGAGCCCTCAGAAATAATACCACACATCTACAACCATCTGATCTTTGACAAACCTGACAAAAACAAGAAATAGGGAAAGGATTCCCTATTTAACAAATGGTGCTGGGAAAACTGGCTAGCCATATGTAGAAAGCTGAAACTGGATCCCTTCTTTACATCTTATGAAAAAATTAATTCAAGATTGATAAAAAACTTAAATGTTAGATCTAAAACCATAAAAACCCTGGAAGAAAACTTAGGCAATACCATTCAGGACATAGGCATGGGCAAGGACTTCATGTCTAAAACACCAAAAGCAATGGCAACAAAAGCCAAAATTGACAAATGGGATCTAATTAAACTAAAGAACTTTTGCACAGCAAAAGAAACTACCATCAGAGTGAACAGGCAACCCACAGAATGGGAGAAAATTTTTGCAATCTACTCATCTGACAAAGGGCTAATGTCCAGAATTTACAAAGAACTCAAACAAATTTACAAGAAAAGAACAAACAACCCCATCAACAAGTGGGCGAAGGAGATGATCAGACAATTCTCAAAAGAAGACATTTATGCAGCCAACAGACACATGAAAAAATGCTCATCATCACTGGCCATCAGAGAAATGCAAATCAAAACCCCAATGAGATACCATCTCACACCAGTTAGAATGGTGATCATTAATATTCAGGGAACAACAGGTGCTGGAGAGGATGTGGAGAAATAGGAACACTTTTACACTGTTGGTGGGACTGTAAACTAGTTCAACCGTTGTGGAAGACAGTGTGGCGATTCCTCAGGGATCTAGAACTAGGAATACCATTTGACCCAGCCATCCCATTACTGGGTATATACCCAAAGGATTATAAATCACGCTGTTATAAAGGCACACATGCACACGTATGTTTACTGAGGCACTATTCACAATAGCAAAGACTTGGAACCAACCCAAATGTCCATCAATGATAGACTGGATTAAGAAAATGTGGCACATATACACCGTGGAATACTATGCAGCCATAAAAAGGATGAGTTCATGTCCTTTGTAGGGACATGGATGAAGCTGGAAACCATCATTCTCAGCAAACTATCGCAAGGACAAAAAACCAAACACTGCATGTTCTCACTCATAGGTGGGAATTGAACAATGAGAACACTTGGACACAGGAATGGAACATCACACACTGGGTCCTGTTGTGGGGTGGGGGTAGTGGGGAGGGATAGCATTAGGATATATACCTAATGTAAATGATAAGTTAATGGGTGTAGCACACCAACATGGCACATGTATACATATGTAACTAGCCTGCACATTGTGCACATGTACCCTAGAACTTAAAGTATAATTTAAAAAAAAAAAAAAAGGAACAAAGGATTCCCACTATGCAGATGTAAGGAAATAGTACACTGGAAGATTCACATTAGATCAGGCTTATCTGGATCCTGTGGCTGATTTGAAGCCATCAGGACTTGGCTGTCTCAGTTTCTTGGCTCTGTTTTACCCTGTGCCCCATCATGCAGGTGGGGGGATGTTGCAGTGAGTTATTAACAGCTCCAGGTTTTCACTCTGTCCTCTCAAGCAATAAACTAAAATATGTCTTTTTATTGCAATTGGCAGAGTGCTATGAAATAGGTCACATGGGGTCCTCGGCAGCAGCTTCTTGCCCTGGTTAAGGGATAGGGGATAAAATGTTCCGATTAGGTTTTTGGGTCACATGCCTACTTCCCAAGGCCAAGGGTGGGATCATTTCACGCAAACTACCTGGCCTGAGAATGAGTTAGAATGTTTCTTTCCTCAAGGAAAATGAGAGTGCTCTTATCAGATCATGAAGGAATTAAGGTAAGGAGTAGGAAAAATGTCCATTACAACTACCTTTATTGAGTCGTTAATAAGAGCATGATGCTTGGAGAACATATAAAACTTGCTTAAAGTCACACCACCAGCAATTGCTAGAATCCTCTTCCCTCATCCCTTCTCCTTGCTCTTCAGTCCAATGTTGCCTGTACAGCCGCCCCACCACTTGTGATGAAGTTCTTTTTTTTTAATTAAGTTTTTTCAAATGCTCAGATACCACAAAAATGTGAACATAGAAAATAAATAATCAGACTTCCACTTACAAGTAGAGTTTAGTAGCCAGCAAAAGAAAATCACTTCCAAAGCAACAACTAGGAAAAACCAAAGATGAATTAAAAATTAGTGTGTTTTAAAACACTGGAAGTGAAGAATACCAGATGAATGAAAATAGAGAGAAAAATGCCCTTTTAAAAGTAAGCTTGAGAATGTCAGACATTTTCTGTCCTTTGAGTCATTGGGTTGCAGGCTGAGCATCAGGCTTTGTCTAGGTAAAGATAGTTTGTGGTGGAGAAATCCTATAAATTTGTGATGGCTATAGGGGCTGATGTGCTGGATTATAATCTAGAGGAATTTCAGGTTTATGCTGTTTTTTTTTTTTTTCTCTGTTCTTTTCTAAGTGCTGAGATGATGATATGGAAGGCTGGAGGATTCAGCTGGACAATGAAACTGAGTTCTCCCAGTCCGATGGTGTTTAGGAGACACAGTTCCATGAAGGACAGGACCTAAAACAAACATAAAAACACATCTTGTCCTGGAGACATTAGAAAAGATAAGTGGGCTAAATGTACCTAAAACTGAAACCTAGACCTGATCTTGATCAATGTCTGATTGGATTGAGGTGATAGCTGCTCTGTCATCTAACAGGGAAGAAAGAAAATCCTCTGAGGAGGGTCATCTGAGGAGGGCATCATCTTCAGTTTTCACGTTTCTTTTGTGTACAATGTCCAGCAAAGAATCTTATATTTGAATATATAACTTTATATATTATAAAAGATTATATTTGATATTGTACAATAAATACAATATTATATAATTATATAAGTAAAATATAATATAGTATAGAACATATATAATGTATATAATTGAAAGAATTAAGACAATGTTGTTTTCTTCCTTCTTCATTGACTAACTTTTCTAAGTTTCTTTCCTTGATTCCATCCTCCTGTCTTCTCAACCACTGAATATTGAAGTGCCAAACTCCCAACTTTCACTCCTCTAACCTGTCTGCTTTATTCTTCACACTCACTCTTTTGGTGATCTCATCCATTCCCATGGCATTACATACCATCCATAAATTAATCATGTTCAAGTTTACATGTGTGTATATGTGTGTATACACATACACATATATATCTGTGAACTCCACACTTGCATAGTAATGGTCTACTCAAGTTTACCATTTAGATAGCTACAGGCAAATCAACTTAATGCTTTCCTAACTAGACTCCCAATTTCCAGGCAAAACTTGTTTTTCCTACAGTTTTTATTTCGGGAAATGCAATTCCCATTTTTCAGATACCAAGATAAAAAACCTTGGAGTCAGCATTCACACATTTCTTTCTCTTACACCAAACCTAATCTAACATCAAATCCTATTTTTATATGCTAAAAATATGGTCACTTATTTCATCCGCCCTGTTCAAACCATAATTATCTCTCATTTAGAGGCTTGTTATAGCTGCAACTGGACTGCCAGGTTACAACCTTGTTTTCCAAAAGGCTATTCTTGACATAGGGCCCAGAATGAGAAATTTTCCACAATGCTGCTTTAAATCCCACAGTAACTTCCCATCTTACTCAAAGGGAAGCTAACATCCTCACTATGCTCCACAAAGCCCTATACAATCTGTTTCTCTGTTACCTCTCTGAACTCATTGACTGTGATTGCCTCAACCATTTGCTACAGACCATGTCTATGTGCTTTGACACTTGCTGCTGCCTGTGTCTGAAACACTCATCTCACAAAAACCAGTATGGACATCTCCCCCATGTCTTTCAGGTTGTTAATCAAATGCTATATAAATGAAGCCTTTTATTATCATCATATATAAAAATGACACTCCCTATTTTATACTCTATTACTCCTTTGTGCTATTTCCTCCTAAAACCAAACGCCACCTCTCTCGCTCTCTCTTTCTCCCTATTTTTCTCTCTCTCCCTCTCACACACACACACAGATACACACACACTCTCACACAGATTTTACTTATGTATTTGTCTGTTGTTTTTTTACCATTACTAAAACATGACCACAGCAAGTGCAGGAAATTTTTGTTCTCCTTTATCTATTGCTATATGCCAATCACTCAGAACATGGACTGGCCACATAGTAGGTACTAAAAAAAAATAGTTGAATAAACAAATATGAATGTGATTAACATTTCCTTAGCAAGCTTTGTTTATATAATCTGATTTTCTCTTTATTGAAAAAATGTTCATAATCTTGAGTTATTCAGTAACAACTTGAAGAGTATTGAATTTATTTCAGGGTAAAATAAAGACATTATTTAAATCATACTTTTGAATTGTTTGTATAATGTACCTTTGGGAAGAAAACACTCAATACTTCTCCATGAATGTATAAAATACATGCAGAATTAACTTAGGTAGGTGGTAGCAGGAAGCCAGATATCTTTGTATTAAAAATTACTGATCCTTTCATTGAATCTTACAGAGTTAGACTAGGAAGAAAATGGAAAGAACATCTGATATCCATTATTAGATACTCAATTAACAATCGTGAGAAACAGCAATTCTCATTCACATTTCTGTTAGTATCCTGACAGTGGTCCTGTCTGACAATGCAGCCATGGGGAGACTTGTTTTGATCAAGTCTGTTGCTTTTTCTTTCAAAGTGAACTAGATAATGCACCTGTGTAACTTCACTTCTTAATCGGATCAGCAGGATCCCATTGAAACGGAGTGTAATGCTTCTATAAGTCGAGGTTTCCATGAAATAACTGTTCTAATCCCTTTTCTTCTTCAAAAGAAGAAACTAGATATACTCATTTTATGTCCCCTAAAGTTAGTAAAGCAGAGCAAAACTTTGAACAATATCACTTGCTGTCCTTGTATTAGACCTGGCACACACAATTTTACCAGTAAAATAATCTTTCAAAAAAATGTGCTACATTCAACTCCAAATCACAGAATTGTATAGAAAAAATTTTTAGTCTAAACTATGTTCTTAAAACCTCACTAATAATTTTGGGTTGCAATTGCTTTGAAAATAATATGCTGGCAGTAAGGCTAGCCTCTGGACTAAATAATTAACGAAGCAAAATTTATCCCTTTTTTTTCCTGGCTAACTTCTGTTTTTGTACATCTCTTTCCAAAATGTTCATGTTTCTTTTTCCTTTTTCTCCCTGTATTAAAATTAGATGATTCTAAATCAATAATTTTAAGTTAACCATTTACACACATTTGGGATATTTTCATCATTATTGTGTTTTACAATAGCATAATATGCTCTTTGTTATGCTACATTAACTATGGAGGCCATGGCAGAAAATAACAAAGTATTTTGGGGGTGAGGAAACTCTAAGGCATCTTCCTGATGTTGGTGATAGAGGAGAAAGTTTCAGAAAACAACAACAACAACAACAAACTACTATATTCAACCACTTTTATCCTCATGCAGAGTCATAGGTATACCTGCCCCTTAATTAGGAAATGATTATAGTTTATAACTTCTTACTTGCCTTGTACATTTTTTTTTTTTTTTTGAGACAAGAGTCTCACTCTCACCCAGGCTGGAGTGCAATGGCATGATCTCAGCTCACTGCAACCTTCACTTTTTGAGTTCAGGAGATTCTCCTGCCTCAGGCTCCCAAGTAGCTGGGATTACAGGCATGTGCCACCACGCCCAGCTAATTTTTGTAGTTTTAGTAGAGACAGGGTTTCACCATGCTGTCAAGGCTGATCTCGAACTCCTGACCTCATGATCCGCCCGCCCACCTCAGCCTCCCAAAGTGCTGGGATTACAGGCATGAGCCACCGCAGCTGGCCAGATCTTGTTTTATATATTAGTCATCAGGAAAAGTGTTAAGGATTTTGGAAAACTTAGGAAAACTTGAGTGGAAAAGAAAGACATCTGAACATTCAACTAAGATCACAACACCCAAAAGGAGATTAAGATTCTTATTTTGTGTATAAGGGACATATTAATTTAAGTGAAAGATAAAGCTCTTACAGCATATTCTAACTTCCCAAAGCTTTAATTTCCAGAATATTCATTACTCTTTCATCAGTTTTCAACCTTCATTAATGATTAATACAATCATCTTTGTTCTTTTGCACATGACCAACTGAATTAACTTAAAAATACTCTGGATCCTTCACAAGTCAATCTTTGGCACAAAGTAACTGACCTCCTTCAACATAATTGTTATAATTTCTGGTTTGTGTATCTCAATTCCTATAGATGCCATACATCTGTATCTTTATAGTTACATGTTAAAAACAATGATAAAAAAATTTTAGTATTTTAGTAAGTAAAATTATCATTTTACAAAGGCAAAGATTCAGCTACAGACATTTGCTGAAACACTTTATTACCAGGATGCATTAAACGACTTCTTTCTAATTTGTGTACATTTCCAAGTTGCTTATATGTGTTTGCACCACACCAAAATACATATTTCAGTAAAAAATAAATCAGTTCATGTCACTGTCAATATTAATAAATTATTAGCAAATGTTTATGTAAAATATTTGTTTGCAGCACTTGTCATTGGGCATCTACTCTGCACTAGAAACTACGTTATGTATTGAGGCTAACAGGATGACCTGAAGAAATATGGTAACACTAGAGCCAGGCTCGTGACTAGTGATAAGTTAATAAGTGAGGAAAAATTTTACTTGTATTTTTTTCTGTTTTTGTATTTTGCCTTGAATATCATATTTTAAGAGAAAAGTAAAGGGGTGAACAGCTAAGAGGTTTAGTAATCATATATACTGTATTGGTAATATGTGTTGGATACATAATAAAATAACAGATCCCTTCTAGAAAATAACTTCAAATCTCGTTGATTCCACAATGTTTAACATAAAAATGGGTAAGACACTGAACTACATATAAATATGAGGTTTATCCAGCTTTTGCCTTCAAATAATGTATAGATCAGTAAGTAAAATACCATGATTATATAAACAGTATAAGAATTGATGTGACAAATAGCCTTAGGTATAAAAATCAAGGCTTTAGTTAAAAGCCCTCAATTATTTTATAGAATCTGAGTTAGAATAAGGATATAGATGTTAAGACATTAGAAATGTCATTAATATTTATACTTGATTACTATCAAACTGACCTTTAAGTTAAAAAAGAAAGATCTATACTTAATCAAAATATGAGAGGAATTTTATCTAAGATTAAAGTGAACAGTCACCCTACTTTAACCTTCTCTTAAACATGAAGCCCAGTTAAGGCAACAATATATCTTTATGGATACTGGAAAACTTTGTCCCTGTTTTGAACAAAATATTACATTTCCTTTAAAATATCCATTTTTGGTCACTGCATCTTATTTACTGTTGTAAAAAAAGTTTTCAAAAATAAGCATGATTGTCTCCTGAGGCCTCCCCAGCCATAAGGAACTATGAGTCAATTAAGCCTCTTTTCTTTATAAATTACTCAGTTTTTGGTATTTCTTCATAGCAGCAATGGTTTTGTCCACATACAAAAAAGGAGGTTTATTTTAGAATTTGGAAAGTACAGTATAATGAGGCAAATCAAAGTCACACATAATCTCATTACCCAGACTTTACACATATCTGTTAGAATTGTTTTACTTACAGGTGACAGATATATGATCTGAATCAGCATAAGCACAGAAAAAAATATGTGAAAATTGTGTAGGGTTTTACAGCAAGAAAGTCAGAAAATGCAGGAACTCAGCAACAGTCGAAGTCAGACACTCAAATGCAAAGAGGCCTCTCCCTATCTTTCATCCTCCTTTCCTCACATGGCTTCAGTCTGTGTCCCCTCCTGTAACTGGACAAACTCTTCTGTGATTCACAGAGCTGGAAACATTACTTTTTAGATTCAGTCACAAGAAATAAATGATTGCATCAAATCCAACAATGCCAAGAATGGGGGCTGAACTGTTTTAGATTTCAAATGCACATAGTTGGAACAATTGTCTGTATCTAAGTCAGTGTCACGGTACTGTTCTTACTTGGAGAGGCTGATGGTAACAGTGTACTTAGAGGAAAAGAACTTAGAAAAAGGTGCTGAAGGGAAAAACCTGTAAGTTCCCTCCACAAACATTCTTAACGTCTTGAAGTTTTGTCTTTTCTGCTATAAGTCATGTTTTTTGTTTGTTTTTGTTTTATAGTTGAAACTCAGAAGTGATCTAGTTAATAAAAGGAAGTAATAGGATGGTATACAGAGGAAGTCTTATTTGCTCATGCCTCCAAATTTTCTAGCACACTAATGTTTTAAAGATATCAGGAACAAAGTTTCTTGTTTGTTTTTTTTATAGAGTTTATCACAGTTGTCAAAGGCTTAACAATATCAGGACAACTGATTAAAAAGTTGAAAATCATAAAGAACTGTTTCACTTTTATAGAAGTAGTGATTGGTATTAAGGTTTCAAAAATACTATACTTTCATATTAAGAAGTCTGGGAAAGCTAAAAATGCTAAGGAAAAAAATTATAAAGATGTATCCCTGTATTAAAAAAAGTGAATGTGTTTCAGGATTTTTATTTCAAAGGAGATAAGATTTCAATTTTCAAGACTGCAAGGGATCTACTCACTATAATGCTAGATAAAATGCCAGGAAACATTTAACTTTTTTTTTTTAATTAGTGTGCTATTGTTTCTTTGGTGCTTTAATTACAGGATTTCATAGCATTTAAGCAGACTGGACCTTTCTCTGATTTTTCCATATATACCATTACTTCTAGCATGTAATTTTGTACAATGATTTCTCAGAAACATATATGGCATATCAGCAGAAATGCCTGTAGATGCATTTCTGTTATTCTTTTTCTGTTGATGTATACGCACACACATGTACCACATATATACATATATGCATGTACATGTATATTCCCACAAATGTTTTTAAAAACTCATTTAAATGTATATACTCATATTATGTTCTTACTTGTTTCCCCTCCAAAATTCATATGTTAAAGTCCTCATCCCCAGTATCTCAGGATGTATTTGGAGATAAAGTCTTTACAGAGGAAATGATTTTAAAATAAGTTCAGTAGAGTGGGCTCTAATTCAATATGAGTGGTGTCTTTATAAGAATAGGAAATCTGAACACAAACATGCACAATGGGAAGAAAGTAGGAAGACACAGGGAGACGATGGCCATCTTTAAGCCAAGAGAAGAAGCTGGGAACAAATACTTCCTTTATGACCCTCAGAAGGAACCAACCCTGTCAGCACCTTGATCTCTGACTTGTAGTCTCCAGAAGTGTCAGAAAATAAATTTCAGTTTTTTAAGCTTCCCAGTCTTTTATACTTTCTATTATGCTAAGATGTAGGCAGCCCTAGAAAACCAATACAAATCACATACCTAATTTATATTTATTTCTTTTTTTTTAAAATCAATTGAACAACTTGTCTGTCAGATGTATTTAATTGAATAATTTGTTCCTGGATATTTGTACTAAAACATACTAAAATAAAAAGTCAGAACATCATATTAGTTAACAGGAAATTGTTCTGATATATGAAGTAAAAGAGAATTGGAAGCATTATTTCCAAGTCAATCAGATCACACAAATTTGGCCAAATATGAATCCAACATATCATGACACACTCCTCTCATGGCTTTGCACTGCATTTTTCATTTCATCTTGTTAGCATTCAGTGTTTTGGGTATGCCATCACTCTCAATAGCATTCAATATTTTGGGTGTGCACGCCAAGAGATGACACAAAATGGAAGTCGGTTATTATGGCTGACTTGAACATCTTTGAAACCAAGAGGAGACTGAATGTTATTATACCAGATGGATGAAATCAGAGTAGGTTTGAAGTATTCACAATAATAGGCTGCAGTGTATCTTGAAATAAATGTCTATTGATCAAAATGAAATAAAAATTGCCTCAAAATTAAACCACTAAAACGATTAAATTTGCATTTGTCCCACAGGTTTTATTACAATTGAGAAATCTGAGCTGCAGGGACAATTTTTCAATTGAAGAATCAAGAATCAATCAAAGAATTGTACCTATAAGGATAATTTGTTCAATTGTTTTTTTTTGGTCATATGCCTTTTTACTGTAAATTCTCTATTGTTACCAGTTATTTTTTGCTGGTCCCAAAAGAGGAATTAAACAATAATACCGCCAGTTTTTCCTACCTTTTTATTACTGACCATGGAACCTTGAATTATGTGAGTTATGTAGTCAAAAATAACTTAAAATCTCTTTGGAAGTTATATTGATCACATGACACTTGAGAAGCAAGCTTGGCTTTATCTCAAATCAGACTCAGAGAAAGACTCTGTCACAGATAATTTTATAGATAATTCCCTTATGAGAGTTCCAATTTCTGTTCCTTCATATAACTATCATGACGTATGTCTTGTAATAAACAAGTAGACTTACCAACTAAAGCGGCAAGATAGAAAGTTTTTCATGATGGCCTTTTCCAGCACCATTATGTAATGGCTTCCTGACAATCGAATTTCAGATAAAATGTGTAAAGTGCTTATGTTAGAATTATCCTAGACTTATTTACTCCAATTGTGAGTTTTTGCCTAGGCTCTGTAGCTACCCCGTTGCCTCTTTTTTCAATCTCAAAACGCAACTCCTCCCAGGTCCTCATGAATTATTTGACCTCTCAGTCAGTATCCTTCCACTGAACTTTCTTTTTGCTTAGAACAGCCATGTTGGATATCTGTTGCTAGCAAGTAAGAATGCTGACTTAATATTAGGTTGGTGCAAAAGTAATTGCGGTTTTCCCATTAAAAGTAAAGAAAGGTAAAATTGCAATTACTTTTGCATCAACCTAATAGTCGACTGCTGAAGCTGCATTTCTGGAGGTTGGGGGACTGTTAAATGTGCCAAGTTTTGGACAGTCTGCTGTGGATTAAGACTTTGCACAGAATATGAATACCTTGGAAACAGGCCATAGAACTTCTACAAGGTTTCAGGGAGATTAAAAGGGGATATGGGAGGATACCAAGGAGAGACATTATCTGCTTCACAATTTTGTCTAAAATGACCTTAAGTACATAAACCAAGCAGAAATATTAAAGCAAATTGAGCACAAGGGGCAGAAAAAGCTGGAAAAAATCAGAAACAGATGGTTCTGTGAAGAAATCCCCCAACTGAGGTCATGTACCTGAGTTCAACAGACCACTGGGCAAATGACCAAATGCCAGGCAGATTGCACTGTCCTTGATAATTAAGGCTAATTAAATTGTCCTTTCATATAAGTCCAATGTTGGAGCATTTAGTATATGTTATAGATAAATCTTATTTTATTGAGAACATTTATGTAACAAATATTTACTGATCACATACTATGTGAAAATTATAGTATTTTCCCTTAAGTATTGGTTTATCAATAGCTTAGGGTAAATTTGAATTGAAAAATTATAGATTTTCTTGACCTCTGAGTATTACTAGAGATTTTTAATTCTAACACATACATATACATATACAAAGATATTGACCAAGGTAATATTTGCTATTCAGGTGTATTTTTTAAAGGTTTCTCTACATTTACAACTTAGAAACTAAATTACAGAGAATTGTATGTTCTTAAATTAACCATAGCCTCATTTGCCCATAAACACAAAATTAACCTTCTTCTAAATATTCGGTGTTTTCTTGTCTTATATACACCCGTATTTACTCCACTACATTGTTTGAGATCGCTTTTGACAGTCTGCATTCAAAATAATGGGATTAAGGTTTGTACTTTTTCACCCACAAATGCGTGTTTCCTGTCTTGTATTCATAGATAAATTTCTTGAAATGATTGTTTTCGTATGCAAATTAAGTGCAATGTGTTTGCATCTCAGAAGACTGACTGATTTTCATACATTGTGTTTTATCTTTGTGGGAAATAAAATAAAACTTCATTAAAGTATTTTCATGCTGAGCTTTATTAGAGATGGATTTCCCCATTTCAGGGGCATATGCATTTCTACTTCATATATGTAGCTCATATAAAAAGCTGATTATAAGAACACACTCTGGATATGCCGCATTTTTACTATAAGAACGGGAAGCTATTTTAAGAATTTGCTTATTTTTGTTTCGTTTGAGAAAATAAAAACTGCTTGTATTACTTATTTAAATTATTTATATCAATTGTCTTATGCATTAAATATAGATTGATGTTTGCTGGCACATTCAATAAATATTCAAGAAATGTTTATACATTTACTTTTAAAATAACGACTTAACTATCTTCTCTTTTTGGGCCCTTCACATCTTTGTTCTTTTGCGGAATAGTTTGACACAAGGAATCTATTAAAGTAACTCAAATAGAAAAACCTGATAAAAACTCACATATATAAAAAACACTTGGGCATATACAAGCTTTGCTTTAACTCATACAAACACACGCACATGCACATAAATAGTATTTTTCAATATAGCCAACATGCATTTATGAAATTTTGATACATGCGTTTGCTTAAGAAGACTATATTTTTTCAGCCTTTTAATGTCTTCATTCTATTCTTTTAGTAAAAGGCTTCAGATATGTTTGAGCTTTTTCTTAGGTGCACATTCAGTATCTATCACTCAGCTGCTACTTCTGCCCATCTTACACTGAAACTGAATGTCCTCTGGAGTAATGGTTGGCTATTCTACTTGATAGTGGTTGAACATCATCATTAATCAGGCAATGCTTGCTACCCACAGGGCACACAGTAACTGCTGTGATACATTTTTTAAGGTGGTGCTCAGAAAACATAGAGGTGTGCTTCTAAATTATAAAGTGATAATTTATAAAGTTATAAATTAGCTCAAATGTTCACAAGAAAATATTTATTTTCTTGATGAATAAGGATTTTCATGAATGATTATCTGGATGAATAATTACTCTGATGAATGATTTCTCACAACTAAGCTTTTGGTGGTGACTACTCTCTGTTAACTAATTTATTTCTCAAAAATGACAAGAGAAAAGTATTTTATTATACAATTAAATCCTCCTAGTTCTTTCTTAAGATTGGTAAGTGAATGGAACACTTGTTCATGATTATAATAGTTTTGATGATTTTAAAATGTAAAATAGTTGATTCAATCGTTTTAAAAGCAAGGTATAAGTATTTTAGAATATAATAATCTCTAATAGAAATAATGGAATTAAATACATATCGCTGATTGGATTACATTGTTTATTACCACCTTGCTATTCCTGAAGAGGAAAGATGAAAGAACTGTAGTAGATTAAGAGCCTTCTTATTTGAATCTTTTATAGCAACTGTATATACACGTACATATCCTCTCCCCACACCAACACCACAATTACAACCCCACACACAGAGTTACTGCTCCTGAAGTTTACATAGATTCTACAGAATTACAAGTTAAATCTACAGGCAAAATACTTTCTGCTTGGTGCTATTTCTGTGTAGTATGACAGGACAAATCATAAAATGTTATGACATATCCTATTTATTCTCCTCAAACTGGGGAATCAATAAAGGTGAAGAAAAAGATTATTTATTATCTAATCTCAAATTTTACCAAAGTATTATGTAAATGTCACATAACCTGGTCTTCTAGATCTGGGCATAGCATTCAGATTTTTTTTAAGATCCCAGAGCAAGCCATTTATTATAACATGACTATTTTAAGAATGGTCAGCTAATTATGTCTTTAGAAAATGCAGTCTAGGCATTATCAAACAAATCTTAAATGCATGCATAATTGATTTTAAAGAGCAAATTGATTATCAAAAGGGGAAGTTAAAATATACTACATTGTTATTAAATGTGATTGTTTTTGTAACTGTTCTGAAACAAGGCCACATAGAAATCTCCATTTTTGTGCTCTTCTGGAGTATTTTTTTTCTGTTTTCTCCGTATAAATTCAGATAAAACTTTGGCAATAAATAAGAATCTTTTCTCACAAAAGCCAGGTTTTGCAAACAGCTTACATCTGTATAAGGAGGAATATTTTGCATATGAGATGTACATTCTTCTTTGTTCTCATTTGTAGTGAGTTGTCAAGTAAGGCTGTAATACAATTTTGAGTATTACCTCTGTGATTACGATCAAGTATGTGAAAACATCTTCAAGATAGGATGCCCATGACAATAACTGTTTCAGGTGAAGAACTGAGAAAATTATATAGATAGTGTAAGCAAAATCCAGGTATCTCAGTTGCATGTTAATTTCTCTTAGACTCATTTGGTGTCTGAATTATTTGTAAGATTACAATTTTCTTACTATATATGGACAGGATTGATCTAGACTTGCTTTCATTCCTCTTTATTAATAACATTTTTACTAAATTATATTTTCTCTTTTTAACAATAAAAAATTGTGTTTATGAAAATAATAAATTAATAACACTATTAAAAACCAAGTAATTAAGTTAAATATGTGACTGCTGTTTAGCAACCCTATGCAAGTTCCAGACTTTTCTGAGAAAAGGCTAAGAAGTTTATATTATTACCAGAAATTTGTAGTCCAGTGATGTGGACAAATGGACTACATTGAAGCCATTTAATTCATTAAATTTGAGACCAGAGCCAGATTAAACCTAAGCATCAAAAGGTGGAAGTCAAACATATTAAATCAATATATTATGTAGCCTTATGCAGTGTGGTTCCAAGCCATTAAAAATCTGTTAAAAACTGAAATATAAATTATTCACTAAACAAGAAAGTTTAACTAATAGTCCACAACACATTCAAATTCAAGATCTTATGTTCTGCACCCTGCAATAGATCCTGTTGCATTTTGCTCATACAAACCTTAGCAAAAATGTGTAGATTGCAAGTATTTTTAAATATAACAGTATGCTTAAGATTTTTCCAGGTTAGTGCACTTTAAAGATTTAAATAATTACTTAAAATTAATAATTCCTCTATTTGAGAGGCCAATGCTACTAGAGCAAAACATACAATTACTAAGTGCTTCTTTTTGACCCGATGGACTAAGAAAGACCTCTGCCCCATTGGTCCACTTTATTTTCAAATATATACTTCTGTATCTTGTTTAGAATTGAGAAGAATTAAAAAACACCTAAATTGGAGCTTGCAGTGAGCCAAGATCGCACCACTGCACTCCAGCCTGGGCGACAGAGCGAGACTCCATCTTAAAAAAAAATTAAAAAAAACCAAAAAAACAAAAAACAAACAAAAAAAAAGCCTAAATTATGAGATGAGTATTTTCCATATTGTCAGAAATAAAGTCATAAATGAAAAAAAATAGAAGAACCTGATGATTAAATTGAAGGATATAAATCTAACTCAATGATTATTTTAGGGGTTTTTATCCTTTTTGTTCACGGATGTATCCTCTGCACGCAGAAACGCTTCTGTAACATTGTAGAGGTTAAATAAATATTTGCTAAATGAGACCACTTTGATCTAATAGTAACTATATAAATAGATCTGCTAGCCTTCTCAATATTTTAATCAAACCCTACCTTGTTGTCTGTACACACACAGTTTCCTTCTTTGACCTCTATTTACCATCCAAACTACCATCAAGAACTACAACATAAACCAAATCACAATAACTTGGCTTGAAAGAGCCATCTATCCCCTTTCATATCCTATATAGATAAAAGTGTACCTATTCCTGGAATTCACAGTGGTAAATATCTTAATAAATGGGTAAAAATACTATTAAGAGTGTCCACATGATTATTGGTAAAGGACTTACCAGCATCATGGGAAAGTGAATTCTTTGGGAAATCTGAGTTAATTATTTAAACATGTTACAAGAAGTAAAGAAAGTTTAAGAGAAACTTTTGTAAGAAAACAAGACCCATAAAGTCTTATTGCTTCAAATCTCAAACCTGAATCTGATCAAATGTCTATATCCAACCAGCATTTTTTTTAACTTAGGAAATTCAAAACAAAAGAACAAGAATACCATCGGAATATCTTAAGCAAAATCCAGACTTTAGAATACACTTTGGGAAACTAACCTAAGTTTATCAATCAATAAGTTGCAATAAAGAGAAAAGAGAGAAATAGAAAGAAAGTTTATATATTAAAATCAATATCAACCAATTTCGGGGTTTAAGGAAAAATTTATTGTGTTAAATTTGTCCATTTCTGTTTCCTGTTTACTAACACTTCTTTAAGTGCTTAGAAATTAAAAAATTCTAAAGGTAGTTTTGAGTTTATAATCCTAGAAATATATTGTTGATTTCAGATTTTTTTTTTACTCCAAAAAGACTTGAGATACACTAACATCCAGATATTCTGGGATATATAGCAATATGGATCTCTAGGTTACTTCCAGTTTTCTTGGTTCAGTGTTTAACAAAGATATAAGTAATTTTATCTCTGAGAATAAACCCAAAATTTTATTGATAGTGCACTGTTTACTTGTCTGAGCCAACTAGTAAACTACATATATCAAATGTAGGCTGAATTTAAATCTAGCTCACTATAAATAAAAACTTTAGCATAATTTTGCTAAGAAATAAATATTCCTTTTCTAATTTTCACATCATAACCATGAAAAATTATTATATCTCATGAATGACAGATAACTGACAGGTAGGGTGCCCTTGTTAGATATAAACTACAATGAATCAGATGGCATCTGTCGTATTCATCAAAACGTGTGTCACTTTGATGATGTCTGATTTATTTTCTTTTGTAAGGTGAATAGCCTGACATGAACAAATTTTGATTTAATATGTGAAATGAGTCAAAAGAGAGCACAGTATATAATTTATTAATGGTATTCATTTTTATTATGTTTAAACTTGGGTTCCTATTTTCTTTTAACACTGTAATAAAAAAATAATTGTTTTAGTTCTCACGATTAAAATAGCTATGCTATGCAAAAATAGTTAACAGAAAATTACGACAAAAAAATTCAACAGTAACTCAATTATTGTATTGCTCAAGGCTCATAAATACCAATTTATGTTGAAATTTATTTGTAAACATGAACCTAATATATAAAACCCATTCTGGGCTATTTTAAAGGCACATTAGAAGACATTTTTAGAATTAAGCTAACTAAAATAATATGTGAAATAAAAACAAAGTAGGCCATATTTGAAATTCAGTACCTTAAATATTTCAAATTCACTAACAATTACAGACAAATTCAACTCAATCTTCAATTTTCCAGAGTTAATTGAAGTTTAGATACGGCTTTTAGGATGGCAACTTTAATTTTCTTTCATTCTTTGGTATTTCACAAGTTGGCCATTGCAAAGTAAAATTATTATATTAAAATACTGTATATTCAAGGTTTTCAGCATTTTTCTATTGCAAATATGAATACAAAAGGAGATGGAAGAAATCCAAGGCCACATGAAAATCCTAACTAGGCTTTTCTTGTACTTTTGGCTTTCTTTCTGAGCTGTTATTTTGGATTACACTCATTTTGCTTTTTCTTTTAATTGCTAGGGGGAAAACTGCTATAAGAAAAAAAAACCTTTTGTTATTACATATTAGAACATAAAATTTATTTCACATGGGCTGGGCATGGTGGCTCACGCCGGTAATCCCAGTATTTTGGGAGGCTGAGGTTGGCAGATCACGAGGTCAAGAGATCGAGACCATCCTCACCAACATGGTGAAACCCCATCTCTACTAAAAATAACAAAAATTAGCTGGACGTGGTGGCACGTGCCTATAGTACCAGCTACTTGGGAGGCTGAGGCAGCAGAATCACTTGAACCCAGGAGGTGGAGGTTGCAGTGAGCCGAGATCGCGCCACTGCACTCCAGCCTGGTGACAGAGCGAGACTTCGTCTCAAACAAACAAACAAAGAGACAAAAAAAGGTCTTTCTAATGATGTCAACTTTAAAAGCAAATTTATGTTATTTTGATTAGAGATGTACTGAACACTAACGAAAGAAATGCGATGGTAATTGGAATAAAAAGTTCATTTATTAATAACTGATACTTTTTTCAGACTTATCAACAGAATCTGTCATAGTAATTAAAATTCTGTTTTAAAACCTTCATTTTGTAGTATTTCCACAGAACTGTAGATACTTGAAAGAGAAGAGACCATTGGATTCATCTAAAAAATGCTGTCCAATGGAAATGTAATGTTAGTCACAAAGGCAAGTCACATATATCAATAAACTTTCTATAGCTACCTTAAAGTGAACATGTGCAATTAACTTTAAGAATATATTTCATGTAACTCAACAGCTAAAAATATTTTTATTTCAAAATATAATCAATGCAAAAACACTAAGATATTTTGTATTTTTTTGTTGTTGTTGTTCTACGTCTTTCAAATCCATGGTATATTTTATAGTACATCTCCATTTGGAATAAGTATTTCCCAGTGCTGATAGCTACATGTTTCTATTGCCCACCATATTGGATGGCAAAGATCTACAGCATCTCATTACCTTGATATTCAGATGTGAGAATACTTTTTTGAAGTGAGTCAGACAAAAGAAGGCTATAAATGTCATATATTTTGATAAGCACTGTTGACAATTCATATCCACCCATTTCACAGCCATAGATTCAACCAACCTTGGATCAGAAATATTTGAAAAATAAAAGCAATAAAAAATAACAATACAACAATAAAAATATTTTTTAAATACAGTATAATAACTTTTATATAGTATTTACATTGTATTAGGTATTATAAGTAATCTAGTTTGTTTAAATTATACATAAATATTTGCATAGGGTATATGCAGATACAGTTTTCCTTTGAACAACATGGGTTTGAACTGGGTCAGTCCACATATACATAGATTTTTTTAAAATATAAGTTACATTGAGTATATCTTCCTCTCCTGCTTCCCCCTCCACCTCCACCTCTTGCATCTCTTCCTTCTCTGCTACCCTTGAGACAAGAAGTCCAACCCCTCTTCTTCCTCCTCCTCCTCATCACTGTGAAGGCAATAAGGATGAAGAACTTTATGATGATCTATTTTCACTTAATGAATAGCAAACATATTTTTTCTTATTTATGATTTTCTTAATAACATTTTCTTTTCTCTAACTTACTTTATTGTAAGATGTTTATATTATTGCAAGGCTTCCAGTCAAAAGTAGGCTATTTGTAGTTAAGTTTTGAGGGAGTGAAAAGTTATACACAGATTTCTGACTGTGAGAAGGGGGTGAAGTCCTAGAATCCATCCTCTCTCGATGCCAAGCGACAACTCTACTGGTCTCCATAGAGGCAACAAGGTTACTGGAGACAAGTATAAACATTAGAGCCTACAGTGGCTGAGTCGATGTATTAGTTAGCATTAACTTTGGCATGTTATCTTTCCTCTTATTTGCTCACTTTACCCAACAATAAAATGAGAATAATACTAATACTTATTTCACGGAGTAGTGAATCCAAGTATATAATATTTTTAATACAATGTCTGGTACATAGGATAATTATTGTAGGTATTCTTGTTTTACTCGACTTGCTATCTTTATGTAGATCATTTAACCTATATCACTTACTTTTATGGTTAAAAAATCAGTTTGGAGTAATTATTCATTGTAGAATGCATTGCTACACAATAAGCGTTTCTTGGATGAATATGTGATGGTCAAGTAAAAGGTGTGCATTTTCTTTTGAATATACTCTTTGTAAGTCTGAGTCTCTCACCTTCTCAGAACTATTAAAATCCAAAATCACCAACTAAAATTTTGGCTATCTCTTCGATATATTTAATATTAAATGATATAGTATCACAAGATGCTACATATTTTAATACCAAGTGTATTAGTCAGGATTCTCTAAAGGGAACCAATAGGATAGGTGTATATATAAAGGGGAGTTTATTAAGGAGTACTGACTCACATTATCACAAGGTGAGGTCCCACAATAGGCCATCTACAAGCTGAGGAGCAGGGAAGCCAGTCCAAGTCCCAAAGCTGAAGAGCTTATAGTCTGATGTTCAAGGGCAGGAAGCATCTAGCACAGGAGAAGATGTAGGCTGGGAGACTAAGCCAGTCTAGTCCTTCCTTGTTCCTCTGCCAGCTTTTATTCTGGCCTCAATGGCAGCTAATGAGATTGTGCTCACCCAGATTGAGGGTGGGTGTGCCTTTCCCAGTCCACTGACTCAAATGTTAATCTCCATTGGCAACACCCTCACAGACACACTCAGCAACAATATTTCGCATCCTTCAATCCAATCAAGTTGACACTCAGTGTGAACCATCACACCAAGCTATCCATTTTTTTTCCTTCCATAGTATTTAAATCAAGTTTCTGAATATTGTCATGTAATTTTTTGGTTTTCACTGGACAAAGTGCTTCATCCTTGTTTATCCTCCACTCCATTTTACTTTATGTATGTATGTATGTATGTATGTATGTATGTATGTATTTATTTATTTATTTAGAGACAGTTTCACTCTCGCCCCCCAGGCTAGAGTGCAAAGGCACGATATCAGTTAACTGCAACCTCCACCTCTCAGGTTAAAGAGATTGTCCTGCCTCAGTGTCCCGAGTAGCTGGGATTACAGGCGCCCACCACCACACCCAGCTAATTTTTTGTATTTTTAGTAGAGACAGTGTTTCACCATGTTGGCCAGGCTAGTCTCAAACTCCTGACCTCAGGGGATCCACCTGCCTTGGCCTCCCTCTCCACTTCTTTTTAATCTTTATTTGTCATGCCACTTGATTCCCATAGTCATTGTGGGCTTTTTTTTTCTCTCTGAACTTCTAATCTATCTACATTTCTTTGCTACTGAAGCAGTTTAAACTGAATGGCACTTTGATGCAGTTCAACAGAATTACATAAGGAAGGCTATCACCCATGTGTCCCATGGTGTCATGAGTCTTTGCCTGCAGATCAAAGTAACAGTGAACATTTATGCATTTATTGAAGCATTAGCCAGATATTTTCGGTGGATGACTAAGGTGATCTTAGAAGAAAAAGTCAAAATTAATAATATTCAAGTAGAAGTTCCAAAATAAAATTTACCTGAAAACTTCAGAATCTTCTTTATTTTTTGAGAGAGAATTTGAGTGTAGAATTGGACTTTGCCAAAATTTATTTTAGAAAGATGATATTTGTCTATTGTAAATAAAAGTGGGGAAGTGAAAATAGGAGGGGAAAATATGAAAATGGTACATGTAGACATAACAATACAGTTTTGCATTCCTAGAGAGTTTATAAATAACTCATTTCTAAATGTATCAGTATACAGAAAATATATTGTCTAAATTCATTCTTTTTTGGTCTTTCGTGATGATAAGCCCAGATTTTTCTTGCCTACTATTTTAAAAGTGATTTACTAATAAGTTCATTTTTTTTGGTAATTGCTTAATTATAGCATTATTGTATTTTTAGTGCTCATAAATGCAATCAAATCTTTTTGCATTTGTGTTCCATTTACAAAATTTCCAGAGTACATACAAAGTACATATTAGTGAACTGAACTGCTTAGGCTATACAATTTCAATTAGCTGAAATCAGCCACCAAATGGTGGATAAGCTTATTGGAAAAATATATACGATGCTAAATTTTTGAAATAAAGGTGTTTTAAAATGACTTTCCTTCACTTTCAAAAAGTTGTGAATGGCAAAAGAGAATAAAAATGCCTAATGCATCAGAACTTATTAAGAAGTATAAGGAAACTATCATAGTTAGGCCACTAGCCTTCCTTGGTATTATTTTTAACTAATTAAAGAAGAGTATTACTTCAGTGATTCTTTGTGATCCTGTTTTGAGTCTTAAATTTTATTAAATTTATTTATACTTTTATTATCATAATGAAGCTTGCAAAAACAGAAAGTCTCATTTTTCATTGATTAAGTCCCAATAACTCGTCCAAAGTTAAGCTTTAATAACACGTAAATGCTGCTGAAGAGTAAGATAATTCATTTTGTAACTGATTATTGTTAATGTCTAGTACAGAAATTACTGAATAAGGCAAGAACAAACCAGCAATCCCTAGAGGACCCACAGGCCCTCTGAAGGAAGTGGGCTGCTCCTGCAGGAACTGGGAGACACCCCAAATACTGTGAGTGCCCCAGCTGTGGAAGTGGGAAAGGGAGACCCTCCTCTTCCTAACACACACCGGCACTGGCGAAGCTAAAGGTCTGTTTGTGGGAGAAGTTACTGACTTTACCTGGACCTGAGAAAATTTAGAGTGGAGTGTAATACAGGGGTAGAGGAAGCTGCAGAAAGGCCCTGGGAGCTCACTGGGTTCCCAAGCAGCGCATTCCTGCCTAGCACCACAGGGATCCATCAGGAGGGTGGCCAGAGAAGCAGGAGGTAAAACTCCACAGGGAGAAGGAAATCTCTAGCTGAACTTTGTATCAGTTTGAACAGGGCAAGAAGCCTCCTGGCCAGAACCTCAAGGATGGTGCAAATCTGCTGTGCAGACTCCACAGGCAGGGGAAGAACCAAGCCCTTTTCTTTCGCAGCTGGGAGGTGGGAGGTGGGCAGCCTCAGGCAAGTTTTCAAGCCTGTCTTGCCCTCCACCTAGAAATAGACTCAAGGCTATTGTGGTGGGGACATGGTGGGAGTGAGACTGGCTCTTTGGTATGCATGGGAGCTGAGTGAGGCCTGTGACTGCTGGATTTACCCCACTTCTATGACAACTTGATGACTCAGCAGAGGCAGCCATAATCCTCCTAGGTACACAACTCCAGTGACCTGGAAATCTCACACCCATCCCTCACAGCAGCTGCAGAAAGACCCACCCAAGGAGAGTCTGAGCTCAAACACGCCTAGCCCTGGCCCCACCTGATGGTCCTTCCCTCTCCACCCTGGTGGTGGAAACAAAAGGCATATAATCTTGTGAGTTCTAGGGCCCCATCCACAGCCGGTCCCTCTCCATACTACTACAGCTTTCTGGAAAGCACCACCTGGCGAGAGGCCAACCAGCACAAAAATAGAGCATTAAACCACCAAAGCTAAGGACGCTTACAGAGTCCATTGCACCCCCCACCACCTCCATCAGAATAAGCACTAGTATCCACAGCTGAGAGACCCATAGACGGTTCACATCACAGGACTCTATGCAGACAACTCCCAGAACCAATCCAGAGCCGGGTAGACTCACTGGGTGGCTAGACTCAGAAGAGAGACAACTGGAACAGGAATTAAAAGAAATTTAAAAAATGTGTAAGCAAAAACTCAGTTGTATGTAAGAAAAACCAACTCCCCCTGAGGAAGAGAAAGAGCTGAAGTCCTTTAACAATTGCCTGTTTTTCTGCGGCGAGTGAGCCTTATCTCTCCCTTTCCCAGGCATTGTGAAGACTGTTTCTCTAGCTGTGCAGCTGCAAGGTCACTAAACAGATAATCTCAAGTCATAAAACATGTTGTTGTTTGAAAAGTAAGAAATAATGTAATGCATGTCTTAATTGAATAACTGTCTTTGTTTCTTGCTTCTGTACTACGCTTCCCCCTGCACAAATCTCCCCCCACCCCACAAAATGCTAAAAAGGTAGCTTGACTCTTGTTCGGGGCTCAGTCCTTTGGATGTTAATCCGACTGGGTTGGTGCACCTAAATAATTAAATAATTCCTCCTCAACCCCTCAGTCTCTCTGATTCCTTAATTATCCCGCTGCACAACAATCACTGCAATTCAGCTCACAAGAAGCCACATACATAGGAAATGAAGGAGAGTATACTACATCAAGGGAACACCTCATGGGACAAAAGAATCTGAACGACAGCCTTCAGCCCTAGATCTTCCCTCTGACAGAGCCTACCCAAATGAGAAGAACCAGAAAACCACCCCTGGTAATATGACAAAACAAGGCTCTTTAACACCCCGCCCCCAAAATCACACTAGTTCACTGGCAGTGAGTGGATCCAAAACAAGAAGTAATCCCTGATTTACAGGAGATTAGTTATTAAGCTTATCAGGGAGGGACCAGAGAAAGGCAAAGCCCAGTGCAAGGAAATCCATAAAACGATAAAGAAGTGAAGGGAGAAATATTCAAGGAAATAGATAGCTTAAAGAAAAAAATCAATAAAAAATTCAGGAAACTTTGGACACACTTTTAGAAATGGGAAATGCTATGGAAAGTCTCACCAGTAGAATTGAACGAGTAGAAGAAAGAAATTCAGAGCTTGAAGACAAGGTCTTCTAATTAAACCAATCCAACAAAGATAAAGAACAAAGAATAAGAAAATATGAATAAAGCCTCTAAGAAGTCTGGGATTATGTTAAATGACTAAACCTAAGAATAATCGGTGTTCCTGAGGAAGAAGAGACTTCTAAAAGCTTGGAAAACATATTTGGGGGACTATTCGAAGAAAACTTCCCTGACTTTGCTAGAGATCTAGATATCCAAATACAAGACGCACAAGGAACACCTGGGAAATTCATCACAAAAAGATCATCACCTAGGCACACTGTCCTCAGGTTATCCAAAGTTAAGATGAAGGAAAGAATCTTAAGAGCTGTGAAACAGAAGCACCAGGTAACCTATAAAGGAAAACCTATCAGATTAACAGCAGATTTCTCCACAGAAACCCTACAAACTAGAAAAGATTGGGGCCGTATCTTCAGCCTACTCAAATAAAACAATTATCAGCCACAAATTTTGTATCCAGCAAAACTAAGCCTCATATATGAAAGAAAGATACAGTTGTTTTCAGACAAACAAATGCTGAGAAAATTCACCATTATCAACCCATCACTACAAAAACTGCTAAAAGGAGCTCTAAATCTTAAAACAAATCCTGGAAACACATCAAAACAGAACCCCTTTAAAGCATAAATTACACAAGAGCTATAAAACAAAAATACAAGTTAAAAAGCGAAAACAAAAAACAAAACAAAGTACACAGCATGATGAATGCAATAGTACCTCACATCTCAATACTAATATTAAATGTAAATGGCCAAAATGCTCCGCTTATAAGATACACAACCACAGAATGGAAAAAAACTCACAAACTACCTATCTGCTGCCTTTAGGAGACTCACCTAACACATAAGGACTCACATAAAGTTAAAGTAAAGGGGTGGTAAAAGACATTTCATGCAAATGGACTCCTAAAGTGAATAGGGGTAACTACTCTTATATCAGAAAAAACAAACTTTAAAATAACAACAGTTAAAAGAGACAGAAGGATATTACGTAATGGTAAAAGGCCTTGTTCAACTAGAAAATATCACAATCTTAAACATATATGCACCTAACACTGGAGCTACCAAATTTATAAAACAATTACTAATAGACCTAATAAATGAGATAAACAGCAACACAATAATAGTCAGGGACTTCAATACTCCACTGACAGCACTAGACAGGTCATCAAGACAGAAAGTCAACAAATAAACAATGGATTTAAACTATACCTAGGAACAAATGGACTTAACAAATATATACAGAACATTTCATCCAACAACTGCAAAATACACATTCTATTCAACAGCACATGGAACTTTCATCAAGACAGACCAAATGATAGGCCATTAAACGAGCCTCAATAAATTCAAGAAAACTGAAAGTATATCAAGCACTCTCTCAGAGCACAGTGGAATAAAACTAGAAATCAACTCCAAAAGGAACCATCAAAACCATGCAAATACATGGAAATTAAATAACCTGCTTCTGAATGAACATTGGGTCAAAAATGAAATCAGGATGGAAATTTAAAAAATATTCAAACTGAATGACAATAATGACACAACCTATCAAAACCTCTGGGATACAGCAAAGGCATAAGAATGATACAATGGGTTTTGGGGACTTAAGGGGAAGAGTGGGAGCGGCGAGAGGGATAAAAGACTGCAAATATGGTGCAGTGTATAGTGCTCGGGTGACGGGTGCACCAAAATCTCACAAATCACCACTAAAGAACTTACTCATGTAATCAAAAACCACTGTATCCCAATAACTGATGGAAAAATAAAAAAACATAAAAAATAAATTACTGAATAAGTAATTGAAGTCTCAGTTTATGACAACTATTGTGTTGTTGAAATTTACATGTCAACAAGCGAATAACAAGATAATGTATTTTTTAAACTTTAGACAATATGACTGATTTCTGAAACTCACAGTTTAATCTGCATGAACATATATTACTGTACTTATTTATTTTTTTGGACACAAGGTCTCACTCTGTCGCCCAAGGTAGAGTGTGTGCAGTGGCATGATTTCAGATCACTGCAGCATCTACCTCCTGGGCTCAAGCAATTCTCCCACCTTACCCTCCTGAGTAACTGGGACTAACAGGTTTCCATCTCCATGCCTGGTTAATTTTTGTAATTTTTTTTGTGTAGAGATGAAGTTTCACCATGTTGCCCAGGCGAGTCTCGAACTCTTGAGCTTAAGCAATCTGGCCACCTCAGCCTCCTAAAATACTAGGATAACAGGTGTGAGCCACCATACCAGGCTGGAAATTTTTGGAGTAATCTGCACTTGAAAAATATTTATTAGTATTTTAATGATTATGTCAATAATTGCAATCATCAAGATCAAGCTAATTATATTAACATAACTTATAAATTCAGTTAATATTTAACATATTACTGGTTGAGTATTCCTTATTCAGAATGCTTGGCGTAGAAATGTTTCAGATTTTGGAATTTTTCAGATTTTTTGAATATTTGTGTGTAAACAATGAGATGTTGGTGCTGGAACTCAAGTGTCAACATAAAATTTATTTATGTTTTATATACACTTTATACACATAAGCAGATGATAATTGTATACAATATTTTAAATAATTTTATACATGAAACAAACTTTGTGTACCTTGAATCATCAGAAAACAAAAGCGTCAGGTGAGGAATTTCCACTTGTGGTGACATGTTGGTGCTCCAAAAAATTTGTGTTTTGTATTTTTGGATTAGGTTGCTTAACCTGAGTCTATCTAATGTTTTTTGTTATCAATATTATACCTATAGAGGGAGTTTTTTTTTCTAACAAAACAAACATGCAAGCTAGTCACCTAATTACATAATTTTCAGACTGCATCCGGTGCATGATGAATCCTTACTAATTTCAGCTTAAAGTTTAACTTACCATTTCACATTATATTCCAAACTGAAATACACTACTACTGTTTTGAAATATTTATTTATTTATTTATTCAACTTTTACTTTAGATTCAGGAGGTACATGTGTAGGTGTGTTACCTGGGTATATTGTACAATGCTGTGATTTGAGGTACAAATCATCCTGTCACCCAGGTAATGAGCATAGTACCAATCAGTTAGTCTTTCAACCCTTGCCTTATCCCTCTCTGACTCCTCTAGCAGTTCCCAGTGTCTATAGTTTCCATCTTTATTCTATGACTACCCAATATTTGGGTTCCACTTATAAATGAGAGCATGCAGTCTTTGGTTTTCTATTCTTGCATTAATTCACTTAGGATAATGACCTCCAGCTGCATCCATGATGGTGCAAATAACATTATTTTGTTCTTTTTTATGGCTGTATAGTATTCCATGATTGTATATGTAACATATTTTCTTTATCTAATCCAGTATTAATGGGCCCCTAGATTGATTTTTTGTCTTTGCTCCTGTGAATAGCATGAATATGAACATATGAGTGCATGTTTCCTTTTGGTGTAATGATCTATTTTCTTTTGGTTACATACCTAGTAATAGGATTGCTGGGTCGAATGGTAGTTCTAAGTTTTTTGAGAAATCTTCAAACTGCTTTCCACAGTGACTGAACAAATTTACATTTCCACCAACAGTGTATAAACATTCCCGTTTATCTGCAGCCTTCCCAGAATCTGCCATTTTTTGACTTTCATGGTAGCCATTGTGACTAGTGTGAGATGGTATCTCATTGTGGTTTTGCTTTACATTTCTCTGATGATTAGCAATGTTGAGCATTTAAAAAAATATGTTTGTTAGACACTTGTGTGTCTTCTTTTAAGAAGCGTCTGTTCATATTTTTTGTGCATTTATTAATGGAGTTATTTGTTTTTTGCTTGTTCAATTGTTTAAATTACTTAATGATCCTGGATATTAAACCACTGTCAAATGCATAGTTTGCAAATACTTTCTCCCATTCTGTAGGCTGTCTGTTTACTCTGTTAATAGTTTGTTTTTCTGTGCAGAACCTGTTAATTTTTATTAGGTCCCATTTATCAATTTTTGTTTTTGTTGCAACTGCTTTTGAGGACTTAGCCAAAACTTCTTTTCCAAGTCTGATGTCTAGAATGGTGTTTCCTAGATATTCTTTTAGAATTCTTATAGTTTGAGGTCTTACATTTTAATATTTATATCATCTTGAGTTCAGTTTTGTATGTGTTGAAAAGTAGGGCTCCAGCTTCATTTTCTGCGTATGGCTATTCAGCTATCCCAGCACCATTTATTAATCCCCACTGATTATTTTTGTAAATTTTGTTAAAGATTAGATAGCTGTAGGTATGTGGTTTTACTTCTGGGTTCTCTATGCTGTTCCATTGATCTAGGTGTCTATTTTGTGCAAGAACCATGCTGTTTTGGTTACTGTCACTTATATTATACTTTGAAGTTGGATAATATGATAACTCTGGCTTTGTTCTCTTTACTTAGGATTGCTTTGGCTACTTGAGCTCTTTTGATTCCACATAAATTTTAGCATAGCTTTTTTCCAATTGTGTGAAAAATGACATTAGAAGTTTGATGTGAATAGAATTGAATCTGTAAATTGCTGGGTAGTATGACTATTTTAATGATAATTATTCTTCCAACCCATGATCAAGGAACATTTTTCCATCCACGTCATCTACAATTTCTTTTAGCAGTGTTTTGTAGCTTATCTTGTAAAGATTTTTCACCTCTTCGGTTAGATGTACTCCTAGATAGTCTATTTTTTTTGTATGGCTATTGTAAATGGAGTGCATTCTTTATTTTTCTCTCAGCTTGAAAGTTATTGGTGTATAGATATGCTACTGATTTCTGTACATTTATTTTGTATCCTGAAACCTTGCTAAAATTATCAGTTCTAATAGCTTTCTGGCATAGTCCTTAAGGTTTTCTAAGTATAGAATCATATTGCCATTGAAGAGAGATAGTTTGATTTCTTATTTTCCTATCTGGATGTCTTTTAATTCTTTCTCTTGCCTTATTATTATGGCTAGCACTTCCAGTACTATTTTGAATAGATGTAGTGAGAATGGGTATCCTTGTCTTGTTCCAGATATCAAGGGGAATGCTTCTAGTTCTTGCTCATTCAGTGTAATGTTGACCGTGGGTCTGACATATATGATTCTTCTTATCTTACGGTATGTTCCTTCAGTACCTGGTTTGTTGAGGGTTTCTATCATGAAGGAACGCTGGATCTTATTGAAAGCTTTTTCTGCTTCTATTGAGATGAACATATGATTTTTGCCTTTGATTCTCTTCATGTGGTGAATCACATTTATTGATTTGCATATGTTGAACCAAACTTGCTTTCCAAGAATGAAGCCTATGTGATCATGGTGATTTAACTTTTTGATGTTTTGTTAAATTCAGTTTGCTCGAATTTTGTTAAAGATTTTTGCATCTATGCTTATCAGGGATCAGGGATATTGGCCTGTAGTTTTCTATTTTTGTTTTTTTCTATGCCAAGTTTTGGTATAAGGGTGATGCTGGCTTCATAGAATGAGTTAAAGAGTAGTCCCTCCTCCTGAATTTTTTGGAACAGTTTCAGTAGAATTGGTACTACGTCTCCATTTTACATCTCGTAGAATTCAGCAGTGAATCCATCATGTTTGGGCGTTTTTTTGGTTGGTAGATTTTTTATTACGAATTCAAATTTGAAACTCAGCATTGATCTGTTCGGTGTTTCATTTCCTTCTGGAGTCAATCTTGGGAAATTATATGTTTCTAATAATTTATCAATTTCCACTGATTTTCTAGTTTTTGTGCAGAGTGGTGTGCATAATAGTCTCTGAGAATCATTTGTATTTCTGTGGAATCAGTTGTGATGTGACCTTTGTCATTTCTGATTGTGCTACTTGGATCTTCTCTTTTTTTCTTTGTTAATCTAGCTAATGTTCTATTGATCTTGTTTATCCTTTCAAAGACTCAACATTTGGTTTTGTTGATTCTTTGTATAAATTTCTGGATCTCACTTTTCTTCAGTTCCACTTTGAGTTTATAGTTCCCCCCCCTTTTTTTTTAACTGCTCACTTTAGGCTTAGTTTGTTCTTGTTTTTCTAGTTCCTCTGGCTGTGATATTAGAGTATTAATTTGAAATCTTTCTAACTTTATGAGGAAGGCATTTAGTGCTGTAAACTTTCCTCTTAACACTGCTTTTGCTGCATCCCAGAAATTTTAGCATGTTGTGTCTCTGTACATTTATTTCAAAGAATTTTAAAAATTTCTGCCTTGATTTTGTTGTTTACCCCAAAGTCATTCAGGTGCAACTTGTTTAATTTCTATGTCATTCCGTGGTTTGAAGAGATCTTGTGGTATGGACTTCTGTTTTTATTCCATTGTGGTCTGGGAGAATGGTTGGCATGCTTTTGATTTTTTTTAATGTATTGAGACTTGCTTTATGGCCAAGCATGTGGTTAATCTTTTTTTAAATAATTATTTTATTGTTTTGTTTATTTTTAAGTTGCAGGGTACATGTGCAGGATGTGCATGTTTGTTACATAGGTAAACTTGTGCCATGGTGGTTTGTTGCACTGATCAATCCATCATCTAGGTATTTAGCCCAGCATGCATTAGCTCTTTTCCCTAATGCTCTCACTTCCAGCCCTCCTCTGACAGGCCCCATTAAGTGTTATTCCCCTCCCTGTGTCCATGTGTTCTCATTGTTCAACTCCCACTTATAAGTGAGAACATGTGGTGTTCTGTTCCTGTGTTAGTTTGCTGAGAATAATGGCTTTCAGCTTCATCCATGTCCCTGCAAAGGATATGATCTCATTCCTTTTTATGGCTGTATAGTATTCCATGTTGTATATGTACCACAGTTTCTTTATCCAGTCTATCACTGATAAGCGTTTGGGTTGATTCCATATCTTTGCTATTGTGAATAGTGCTGTAATAAACATACACATACATGTATCATTATAATAGAATGATTTTTATTACTTTAGGTATATACCCAGTAATAAGATTGTTAGGTCAAATGGTATTTCTGGTTCTAAGTCTTTGAGGAATTGCTGCACTGTCTTCCACAATTGAACTAATTTACACCCCCACCAATGGTGCAAAAGTGTTCCTATTTCTCTGCAACCTCGCCAGCAACTGTTGATTCTTGACTTTTTAATGATTGCCCTTCTGACTGGCGTGGGATGATATCTCATTGTGATTTTGGTTTATATTTCTCTAATGATCGGAGATGCTGAGATTTTTTTCATATGTTTGTTGGCCCCATATATGTCTCTTTTTGAGAAGTGTCTGCTCACATCCTTTGTCCATTTCTTGATGGGGTTGTTTGTTTGGTCCTTGTAAATTTGCTTAAGGGCTTTGTAGATCCTGGGTATTAGCCGTTTTTTAGACAGATAGACTGCAAAAATTTTCTCCCATTGTGTAGGTTGTCTGTTTGCTCTGATGATAGTTTCATTTGCTGTGCAGAAGCTCTTCAGTTTAATTAGATCCCATTTGTCAATTTTTGCTTTTGTTGCAATTGCTTTTGGCAATTTCATCATAAAGTCTTTGCCTATGCCTATGTCCTGAATGGTATTGCCTAGATTTTCTTTTAGGGTTTTTATAGTTTTGGGTTTTACATGTAAGTCTTTAATCCATCTTGAGGTAATTTTTGTGTAAGGTGTAAGGAAGGGTCCAGGTTTTATTTTCTGCGTATGGCTAGCCAGTTCTCCCAGCACCAATTATTACATAGGGAATCCTTACCCCATTGCTTGTTTTTGTTGGGTTTGTTGAAGATCAGATGGTTGTAGACGTGGAGTTTTATTTCTGAGTTCTTGATTCTGTTCCTTTGGTCTATGTCCCTGTTTTTGTACCAGAATCATACAGTTTTGGTTACTATAGCCTTGTAGTACAGTTTGAAGTCAGGAGTGTGATGCCTCCAGCATTGTTCTTTTTCTTAGGATTGTTTTGGCTATGCAAGTTCTTTTTTGATTCCATATCAATTTTAAAATTGCTTTTTCTAATTCTGTGAAGACTATCAGTGGTAGTGTAATAAGAGTAACATTGATTCTATAAATTGCTTTGGATAGTATGGCCATTTGCACAACAGTGATCCTTCTTATCCATGAGCATGGAATGTTTTCCCATCTGCTTATATCCTCTCTGATTTCCTTGAGCAGTGATTTGTAGTTATCCTTGAAAAGGTCCTTCACTTCCCTTGTTAGCTGTATTCCTAGGTATTTATTTCTCTTTGGGGCAGTTGTGAATGGGAGTTCATTCATGATTTGGCTTTCTACATGTCTGTTGTTGATGTTTAAGAATGCTTGTGATTTCAGCACATTGTTTGTATCCTGACACTTTGCTGAAGTTGCTTATCAGCGTAACAAACTCTTGGGCTGAGTCGAAGGGGTTTTCTAGATATAGGATCATGTCATCTGCAAAGACAATTTGACTTCCTCTCTTCCTATTTGAATACCCTTTATTTCCTTCTCTTGGCATGTGGCTAATCTTGAAGTATGTTCTGTGAGCAAGTAAGAGGAATGTATATCCTTTGCTTGATGAATGGAGTATTCTTTATACGTCTAGTAGGTCCAATTGGTCAAGTGTTGAGTTTATTCTAAAATTTCTTCTTAGTTTTATGTCTTGGTGATCTGTCTAATGCTCTCAGTGGGGTGTTGAAGTCCCCACTATTATTGTGTGGCTAAGTGTTCTCTTATCTCTAAAAGTACTTGTTTTATGAATCTGGGTGCTCCAAGGTCAGGTGCAGATATATTTAGAATACTTAAGTCCTCTTGTTGAATACTTTATTATTATTTAATGCCCTTTTTAATCTTGTTTACTGCTGTTGGTATTAAGTTTGTTTAATCTGATATAAGAATGATGGCCCTTACTCTTTTTTGTTTTTCGTTTGCATGGTAGATTTTTCTCTATCCCTTTGCTTTGAGCCTATAGGTGTTTTTATGTGTAAGATGGATCTCTTGAAGGTAGCAGATGAATGAGTCTTGTTTTTTTATACAACTTGTCACTCTGTGCCTTTTAAATTTAGGCCATTTACATTCAAGGTTAATACTGATATGTGAGGTTTCGATGCTATCATAAAGTTGTTAGCTACTTGTTTTGTAGTTTCTATTGTGTCATTGCTTTATAGGGTATGCAAGATATGTACTTATGTATGTTTTTGTGGTATCAGGTATCATTCTTTTGTTTTCATGTATGAAACACCTTTTAGGATCTCTTCTAAGGCTATTCTTATAGTAATAAATTCCCTAAGCATTTGCTCATCTGGAAAGTATTTTATTTCTCTTTCATTTATGAAGCTTTGTTTGGTGGAAAATGAAATACTTGTTTAAAAGTTATTTTCTTTAAGAATGCTGAAAATAAGCCCCCAATTCTTCCTGGATTGTAAGGTTTCTACTAAGAAGTCTGCTGATGGGGTCCTCTTTGTATGTGATCTGACTTTCTCTAGTTGCCTTTAAGATATTTTTGCCATTGATCTTGGACAGTCTTTTGACTATACGCCTTAGTGATGTCTCAAAGATGTGCTCTGGATTTCTAGTACTTGAATATCTAACTTTCAAGTAAGATTATGGAAGTTTTCTGAAATTAGTCCCTCAAACATGTTTTCCAGGTTGTTTGTTCGTTCTCCTTCTCTTTCAGGAATGCCAATAATTCGTAGGTTTGGTCACTTTATATAATTCCACATTTCTTGCAGACTTTGTTAATTTTTAAAAATTCTTTTTTCTTTATTTTTGGCTGACTGGTTTGGTTCAAAAGACAAGTCTTCAATCTCTCAAATTTTTTCTTATGCATGGTCCAGTCTGTTGATAAGACTTTCAACTAGATTTTGAAATTTCTAAGATGAGTTTTTCAATTCCAGAAGCTCTGATTGATTTCTTCTTATGATATGCATCTCTTCCTTCATTTTCTGGATTTCTTTAGAAATTTATTTGTGTTTATTTTCAACTTTGTCTTGGATCTCATTGAGCGTCCTTACAATCCATGTTTTGAATTCTTTATATTTCATTTCTGAGTTCAGATCAATGCTGGAGGGCTAATGCAATCCTTTGGTAGTATCACTACACTCAGATTTTTCATGGTGCAAGAATTGTCACCACTGGTTCTTTCTCATCTGGAAACACTGGCATTTCTAATTTTTGTAGTTATTTTCATGAAGGTAGAGTTTTTAAAATGTCTTTCTTTCTCTGTAATATTTTTGAATTTTTCCCCTTTCCATTTTTCCCCATCCCTAGAAGGTGCAACTCTAGAGAATGCTGAGTAGGGTCTTTTTGCTTTTTTTCTATAGCTCTATATCACTTATTTTGGGAGGTTTTCTATTGGGCTGTGCAGTTTGACCTATAAGCCCATTGATGGACCTTATAGGTAAGAGACGGCTGAGGCCAATGTAACCGGGTATAAAGCATGAACCTTGTTTACTGGCAGAAACTTTCTGTTGCCTCAGGTAATGGGCTGATTCATGGAATATATAGTGGTTTGAGTGCCCTACTCAGCTCCAAGGGGCCAGGCTAGGCCAGTTCACCTACAGGTCTCTTGATGGCAGGCACAAACATCAGTGCCAAGGAAGAACCCAATCGGCAGCCACCAAGTGCCCAAAGGTGTGCCTACGCATGGAGCTGAAAAACCACCTCAGCTCCAAGTTCTCTGGACAGGAATGGGAGATGGCCCAAACTTCTAATTCAGAGAGAGGGCACTCCAGATGCCTGGAGATCTGCCTGGTCCTGGAGCAAAGAAAGCCTTGCTGCACCAAGATCTATGGCCAGGAAGAATGCGGCAGCTCAGGCTGATGAACCAGATAAGTGGGTATTCCAAATGCCTGGGGATCTGCATGAAGCAGAGATGGCCAATCAGCACAGAGATCTTTTTATCAATCAACATCATCACAGGGTCCATTTGCTAACATTCTCCTCTCTAAGATATGTCTTTCATGATTCCAGTAGATTCACAATTTTCTTCTTGAATTAAAGCCCACAGGGTTAATCTTTATATACTATCTTGCTGTTTCCAAGTATTTGAAACATGTTGAAAGCCTTTAATCCACCATTTATCCAAGATTATTAAAAACAATACAAAACAAAAGATTATTAAAAGCAAAACAAAATTCTACTAATGTTTAGTATTCTGCCTTGTAGGAAATGCAATTAGTAATCCATAGTGATTAAAATACAATTATTTTATAGGAGGACAATCAGAGTTTTGTTATTCTTATATGGCACCTTTGAGCATGAGTAAACATGATTTCTAATTTTTTTTTTTTTTGAGACGGAGTCTCGCTCTGTCACCCAGGCTGGAGTGCAGTGGCACAATCTCAGCTCACTGCAAGCTCCGCCTCCCGGGTTCACGCCATTCTCCTGCTTCAGCCTCCTGAGCAGCTGGGACTACAGGCACCCGCCACCACGCCCGGCTAATTTTTTGTATTTTTAGTAGAGACGGGGTTTCACCATGTTAGCCAGGATGGTCTCGATCTCCTGACCTCGTGATCTGCCCGCCTCTGCCTCCCAAAGTGCTGGGATTACAGACGTGAGCCACCGAGCCTTGCCGATTTCTAATTTTTAAGATTATTAGTTACCAATTAATGTTTCCTCATAGTGGATGTCTTCTTGTTTTTTCTTTAAAAGTTCCCTTTAAAATTAATAAATGGACTTGTAGTTGGCTACACACAGTTCTGCAATGTTAACAAAGATAGTTTCCTAGTGAGCACACTGAGGAGATAATTTTGCCCTTTGTACTTTGTGTCTATTAAACATTTATTTTAGGCTAGATGTGGAGCAATCCCAGCTACGTGAGAGGCTGAGCCAGGAGGATTGTTTGAGCCCTGGAGTTTGAGATTAGCCTGGGCAACATAGTGAAACCTTGTATCAAAATAAACAAACAAAAACAATTTTAAAAAATATTTTCCCTTAATAGTTTAACTAAACTCCTTTATTTAATACAATGAAATAAATACATGCCCTTTTTTTTTTCTCCAAGTATCCATGATAATTTGTCAAAAATATGTTGAGGCATATAGTTAGCCTTAACAGATAATCCCACAAAACATTTTTGGAGACTATTTTCTCAAAATTATGTATTCTGTCGTATTAAGGGGAATGTTATTAGCAAATGTTTGTCTGGAGAACTATGCGGTAGGCAACGGTTTCATGCCAATGTTGTATGGATTTTAAATATACCAAAAGTAACTATAGACGCCAACCAAAATAAGTTGAGTAAGATACCAGTTTAATTGAAAACTACAGATGACTTCTAAGTACAGATTGGATATTGTTTCCCCTTTGAAGTGGCTACTGATTTGTTTGCTTGCAATAATCGTCTGCAGTCACATTTGAGAGTTAAATTGAGAGTTGAGGGACTGCCTCCTCACAAGTAATTCAACTTGTCTCAAAATGTCTCTTCATTTTACATTTTATATTTACTTGATATTTCTTCGGCCACCTACATGGGTTAGCTAAAAGAGCAAACTATTAACAACCAAGTCTCTTCTTGGTGCCATTTACACAAAATCTATGTATTTTGTTAAGGCTTATCATACTATACTTGAGCTATATTTTATGTCTGCCATTTCCCCCCCTAAATATAAGCCCATTGACGGCAGCAATGTCTTATTCAGCTTCGTAGATTTAACACCCCAGATAGAGTCCCCCACCTAATATTTTCTTGATCAGCAATTAAAAATGACTCATTACGGCTCACGCCTGTAATCCCAGCCCTTTGGGAGGCTGAAGTGGGTGGATCACGAGCTCAGGAGATTGTGACCATCCTGGCTAACACGGTGAAACCCCGTCTCCACTAAAAATACAAAAAAAATTAGCCGGGCGTGGTGGCGGACACCTGTAGTCCCAGCTACTCGGGAGGGTGAGGCAGGAGAATGGCGTCAACCCGGGAGGCGGAGCTTGCAGTGAGCCGAGACCATGCCACTGCACTCCAGCCTGGGCGACAGAGCGAGGTTCCCTCTCAAAAAAAAAAAAAAAAAAATTAGAAATATGGGCATTATACACAAGTCAAAGTAAGTATTTTCAAAGCTAGGCTAATTATTTTAAAAACTTAGCTATTATTTTAGAACAAATAGCATAGTTGATTTTTAATGAAAACTTTTCTAGAAATAAATTTACAATTCATTTATACAGCTTACTGACTTCAATCACTCCCTTTTTATACTACTGTGATCATTGGAAGAGTTTGAGAAGTTATCATTCTTTATAGATGAAAAGCTATCACAAGTACTTTTTGCCAATTAGAGATTTGCTTCAGGAGGAAACAAATTACAAGAATTTTTATCTATCCCTAAAACTAGCTGCAACAGTTATTTCTTTATTACCCACATGGTCAGACAAAAGAGAATATTTCTTCTCAGGTGTATTTAACATTGTTCAAGTCGTGTGGTAATGAAAAAAATTTGTAATTCTGTTTGAAATAGTAACTGAAAAGTAACTTTAAAAATATGGCATTTGCAAATTTTCAACCAGGACTACTACAAACTTGGTGCATTCATAGACTTTTCTGTAAAACGGTACATGGCTTTGCCTTTATAGAGATACTCATGGTGTTCCTTCAAAACTTCATACTTGCATCCACTTTTCTTTGCAAGGAAATAAACTTCATTGTTATAAAAAAAGATCCGAGTAAGCATTTAATACAAAATGGAAGTCTGTGAAGAGTCCAGAATTGCTGATTTCCTCTGGAAATTCAGCAACTCGTGTTCCTTGTCTAAATTTAAAATTGGGTTTTAGACATCTGAATGTGAGGCGAAAATGGGGAAACTTGCATTATTAAAACAGTGAATTTTTATTTTTATTTCTTGTATTTTTAGTAGAGACGGGGTTTCACACCATGTTAGCCAGGATGGTCGCCATCTCCTGACCTTGTGATCCGCCCGCCTTGGCCTCCCAAAGTGTTGGGATTACAGGCATGAGCTACCACGCCTGGCCATTAAAACAGTGAATTTTGAAAAAATTAATTAAAATGAATTTCAAATTAAATGGTCTTTTACATACATGTATGCATATACACTAATACACTTAGAATACACTGCTGTCAACAGATGTCAATGCTGACTGGTATAGGTGACTCTGCCTCTACATATAGGCCCTGGCACACAAAAAAACAAGATATATTCTTTGAACATATAGTCAATACACTTAAAATGATTATATTTATTTGTACCTGCTTTAAACAGTTTGTGGTTTCCAGTAATTCTTTTTTATCTTAAATTAGAAAAAAATATTATTCACTTTAATAATTAAATGTTAAAATTAATAAGAATTTAACTTTTTGTTCTCATTTACAGTATTTTTTAACCATGTAATATTTATAACAAGTTTAGGATCTGCATATTATAAACCCAGACAGATAAAATAGATTTTCTTTCTAAATCCACCCCCGCATCCATTGCCAAATAAATTATAATCACAGATGTATCACGCCTCATTTAGGTTTCAACCCACTTTCACTTGATTAGGAACTTGACTACAATTTTCATTTATTCTGGAATTTCTCAAAAATAGCCTTTTAAAGTTTGAATGATTTTAGAACTTCTCTTTCTTTATCCACACATTCATGCTGCATCATAAGGTGTTTTGAAGATTACCTAACAATTAATATAAAACACAAGGCACGCGATATGACATTAGTAAATGGTAGCTATTATTATTATTGTTGCTGTTGTTATCTACCTCATCACAACATGCCAGGTAATGCCAGCACATCAGCAAAGCTCTAATTCTCTTATCTCTACATTTCTTATCTAGATTCAAACCAGTGGTTACATTCTTTGCAAGCTCTGTATTTGTTTTCTTAGCTTCAAAACTTTTACTGCCTTTCTCACAGAATTGGAGCTTAAATAACAATTATATCAATAGTAAAACATTAATACTGATAGGCATTGTGTTCAGTACTTTTTATGTACCTCATCTCATTTAATCTCCACAACTTTGTGCTACAGGTATTATTAGCTCTGTTTTACAGAGGAAATATAAAGGCTCAGAGTAGTTCAATAACTTGCCTAAGCCAGTATAGCTTGTAAACTGTTGATTCAGAATTCAATCCCAGCTCTGTTTCACTTCCAAGGCAAAAACCTTAAATACCCTGTGGCATAATTGTGGGGAAAAAAAAAAAAAAAAAAAGAGTTTCAGGTAGACCAATTCCTGTGCAGCAACACCTAATTAATGTTTTCTAGAAAATTACAATCTCTTAAATGGTAATATCTACATAATTCAGCTATTAATCTTTTACCCAGTGCAGAGAATTAAACACCTTATAAGCATGTAAGCATTGTATGAACTATTGAGCACACAGAGTCTAAAAATTGAAGGTAAAAATTCAGATTTCTTGGTGATAATTTCTTGATATTTCTAATAAGTCTGAGTTTCGGAAGAACTCTCAATTTAATTGGGCCCTTTCTTTAAGTGGAGATATTTAAAGTTAAATGTTGAGCTTCTGAATAGAAAATGCTTTTAAAGCAAAATGGCCTTTATTCTTTCTTTGCTATGACAGAAACCATCTTCTTAAAAAACTGAACACAAATGTAATGTGATATTTGTACATCATGGCAGGAGAAGCCTAAAGTTTTAGAATTACTTAAGTTCTATGTATTATCGGACACCATGACATCATGTTATTAGTGGAAATGATGTGTTCCTAGTGGTATAATTGAGGGATTTCATTTTTGCAAGATAATGCAACTGCCTCAATGACCTATTTCATTATAACCTGACAATTTGAAGTGTTAAAAATTTGAGAATTTTGCCTAGGTCCTAATGGCTATAGCATATATGATGCCTTATAATATTTAAAAGGACTATGCTCTTAGCAATACTTACCAAGAGGGAGGACAGATGGACAAAACCAAAGTGCAAGCTAAATAGTAAGTCACTGAATACATAATTACTCAAATAAGTGAATAATAAAAGTAGTTATAATTTTATATGATATTATATCTTATAATGTGCTTTCAAAAATATTCAGACACTTTTCTAACAAATAATTATGGAGCAATTATATTTGGTAAGCATGAGGTTATTAAAATGAACATGATAAGCTCCTTTTATTCAAAAATGTTATGGTCTAATAGAAAATACAGAAAAGTAGGTGATTTTAATACATTTCCTAGCACACCATCTCACACATAATAAAAAGTAATGCTTCTGCATTGAAGAAAGAGTAAATAATGAGCATAGCATAATTGAGTGATATTGACTAAAGTGGTATGATTAATAATGCTAACAACAATAATAATAATAACTAAATATAGAAATAAGCCTGGCAGCTGACATTTATTGAAGGATTACTATCTACAGGACACTGTGCTGATACTTTACTTGTGTTGTTTCTTTTAGTTCTTACAGCAGCCATATGATGTGAAACAGAAGTAGTTACATAATTTGCAAGGCCCAGTGCAAAATGAAAATGTGGGGCCTTTTATTCAAAAACTACTAATTTTAAAATAGCAAAAGGTAAGCATTAAGCCAAAGGCAAGAGCCTCCTAAATATGGGGCCCTATGCAACTATTTATCTCACATGCACGTGAAGCCATTAAAATCATAACTATCTTCCATGTAATAGTTCAGGAAATAAAATACGCATTTATTGGAAATGCTTGCTCATATATTTTTCTAAATGTTTGTAAACCACTGCTTTATGACAATATTCTTGCTATAGTATGTAGCATAACTTAAAATGGGTAAGATTGGATTCAAAGGCCAATTCAGAGGCTGTTGAATTAATTCAAGCTGGTGATGATCATCTAATTGGCTCACATGGAAAATTAGAGTTATAACACTAATATTGATGCCCTAGTATATTCCTTTTCAATAATGAGATTATAAAGCCCTGGCCAGGCGCAGTGGGTCACTCCTGTAATCCCAGCACTTTGGGAAGCCGAAGTGGGTGGATCATTTGAGGTCAGGAGTTCGAGAACAGCTCAGCCAACGTAGTGAAACCCCATCTTTACTAACAATACAAAAATTAGCTGGGCGTGGTGGCACCCGCCTGTAATCCCAGCTACTTGGGAGGCTGAGGCAGAGAATTGCTTGAACCTGGAGGCAGAGGTTGCAGTGAGCTGAGGTTGCACCACTGCACACCAGCCTGGGCGACAAGAGCAAAATTCTGTCTCAAAAACAAAACAAAACAAAACAAAACAAAACAAAACAAAACAAAAACCCTCAATACTACCTTTTCAAGGCTATTCTAGGACTTTTTATTTGTAATGTCCTAAGCCTAAGTATTCTTGTACCATTTCTCTCAGAGGAGAGTTATTATAAAAATATTTTACACTGTTCTAAGTAGTGTAATATTTGAATATTGCTCAAAGAATGAAATCTGCCAAAATTATCAAGCTTTTGGTGTTAGAACTTCAGCTTGAATGAACTGTACTTGTAAGCCCAGTTAGTGCAGTAATGTTACTTATCTAGGACACCAGTAATATCATAAGCCCCTCAACTTTCCATACTCATGCCACCATCACAATCCTGTTTGTGTTACATGATCCTACTCCAGGTGATTTCTTTCATTGCTGAACTCCTTCACACCCTTTATATTTTATTTCATTGAAATTGTCTTCCATTTAAAATACAGCACCTGGACTTTTGGCTAAACACAGAAGATGATATCAGCTTCCTATAAAAAACAAAGCACACTAAAATACTAAAATACCTGAGCTAGATATTAGAAACAAATATACCCAAAAGAACAAAGAAGAGAAGAGACAACTGAATATCAAAATTTTAAAGCATAAATGTCAATAAATTATGCCAAAAGGAAAACGAGAGATAAGTGGTCGCTGACAGAGCAGATGAAACTGAAACCTAAGTGTTGGCAGAGGGGAAGCCCATGAGGACCAAGTCAGTCTCTCACGCAGAACCTGCACGTGTGTGTGGAGTGGCGGCACCAAGAACTCAGAGTGTGGGAGTGAGGGGAAGTTCTGAAAGAGAATGATCTGTTAAAAAGCAACCCCACCCAAATCCACCTTGAAGGAGAGAAGACTTTTATGCTCTTGAGGTATAAAATCAGAGACTGTAGATCAGTAACTTCAGAACCTACTGAAAGGCTTGGTAGGTTCTGAAAGTGTGGTGGGTTCTGAAGTTACTGATCTATAGTGTCTCGATTTTATGCCACAAGAACATCAAAGTCTTCTCTTCTACAAGGGAAGGACCATAAAAGTCTTCTCCTAATGGGCTAAAGGTGGAGAGATTAAGTCAAATTCTCCATATTAAATAACAGTGGCAGCCCCTTGCCACACATTTGGCTCCCAGTGCATATATATATATATATGCTTATAAGCTTAGGGCAAGAGCAAGCTGAATTCCCCTCTGGAGGCAATAAAAGACCAATGACAGATTAAGAGAAAGATTTACAAGTATTGATATTTGGAGGCCATTCCCCAGTCTTCTACATTTAATTTCATTCATTCACAATTCCTACCAGGCTCACAGAACTTCCAGAGAGTACATTAATGCCTCATAGTTTACTATGGAAGTACAACTAAGAATTGTGACACATTTGAGGAAGTAAATATCAAATAAAAGTGGACATAAATAAAACAGATACAAAGTAGAAGGCAGAAGAAATTTAATTCTAACAGCAAGAATAACAATAAACAATCAGATAACAGAAAAGGTGTTTTTAATTGAAATTTGCTAGAATATAAAAATACATAAATAGTGAAAAACCATTTTGGAAAATCATCAAGAAAGCAAAATGAAATAGAGAGTTATATAAATTAATAAAATAATAAATTATTACAAAACCTGATGATCAATTGTTGGAAAGCCTGGTGGGGAGGAAATTGTGAAATAAATGATGTAAGAATAATTTTCAAAGTTGAGAGACATGAAATGTTCAATTCAAAGAGCACACTGAGTACCTGGATAAAGAATTTTAAAATACCCATGTTAACATATCAATAATGACTATATTGATATGTCAAAGCACTTGAGAAAAATTAACAATCTTAAAAACTTCCAGAGAGAGAGAAAGTATACACAGACAAAATCACATTAAATAATGGTGTTACTTTATTAAAGTAACCCTGGAAATTAGAAGTCATTGAAGAAACCCTTCAAAATCCAAAGGACATGTATTTCCAATATAATAGTTTATATTTTTTCCATTTGATAAATCAAGTATCAGCATAGAATAAAGACATTTCTACAAATGCCCTCTCAACAATGTTGCCTCTCATGCCTCCTTTCTCTAAAAGCTACTTGGGTAATGTTACTTCAACAAATAAACAAACAAAATCTAGCAAATAAAACAAGAAGAAGAAATACATCCTGGGAATGGCAAGAACTCTCCAGCATAATGGGCCTGGAAATCCATCTGAAAAATCACTACAGATTGCTAGAGAATGGGTGCTTAGGAGGAGACAGAATCCCCTACTATCACAAACACCAAAAAGAAAGAAAACATCTATTACTTCATATGCGTCCAACAAGGGGTTTTACTATTACTCTGAACAACTTTGAAGAAAAGTAACAATTAGTGTCTAGAGAATCAAGCAAATAAAAAATAATAGCATACATTACATTAAAAAAAAAGTTGAACAATGAAGGTAACATTACTATTGAGACTCACCTGTCTGTGTTCTTACCCTCTCTTACCATCATTGCCTTAGTTTATCTGTCTTCCCTACTATGACATTTGTATTGTGAATAGTTTTCTTACTGTCATTATTCCTTTTCTCTAATCTATTCTTCAGCTTGCAATTAGAATGATTTTAAAAATAAAATTTGAAAACTGGTTAAATTACTCAGAGAGGAAACAGTTTCACATAACATATGGTAATTACCAAATGTGAATGTTTTAGCTTAAGTAAAGGGGACAACTTGAAAAATAAGTTGAGATATGGCAATAAAACTTTAAATTATTCTTTATGAGTTTTGATTCAATCTGTGAGAAGTTAGCTGATTAAATAAGGTCTTGGAACAGAGAAGAGGTAGGAAAGCAGAGCTTAAAAAGCCCAAACTGTTTGTAATACAAAGGTATATTTTAGTTACAGATATTTGTTTGGTGATGCTTACAATTGTTTAGAAGCAAAATGGGAAGAACATTGGTTAACTCAAGACTGGTGGAAATACGAAAACATAGGGAAAGAAAGCATTTAAGAATGAAAAACGTTATGATTGTGACACAGATTATAATATTACTAATTTTTGGATGTTTCAAAAGGTCAAGAAGTAAAAGATATTAGAAAAAAAAATGAAAAACAAACTTGGATGTTGTGATAAATTTGACATACAGTGTTATAAAGAGGAAGGAGTCAATTATTCTTTTGTGTGGTATTATTTAAGAGAAAGTTTTTCTCCATGAAAAAAGCTTTTTATTTACAAAAGAAAAAAAGACATAAAATTGAAGCTATCCCACTGTCAAATTCAAATTTTTTTAACTTCTTGTATAGGCTGCATCACCAGGTTCTATTGTTAATGAGAAAAGAGAATGAAAAAAAAATAAAGCTAGCTGAGTACTTGTTATTCATTCATTTACTCAGTTATTCACTAAATAATTAATTGGAGATTTTGGTAAGACAATAGAAGGATTATTTGAAAAATAAAGGAAATAAGAGCTTACACATTTATGGAAGGATATATCTAACAAACAATACAAATTTACAGGTAGGGTTCCCTTCGAGACTAGTAATAGCTCATCACTAGAAATTGATCTGACTGTAGCCAAATTTATCTAAGGAAATTGTTATAATTTTGGTCTAGATAGCATTTCTCTTCAGCTGATACCCTAGTCTGAGATCCATGCTATTTGGGCTCACTTCTTTTTTCAGGGAACTTCTTGCAAAGATTGTCTTGATGCTGCATATCACACCAATTTGTTTCCCACCAATGCCAGTTTTTAAATATCTGTATATAGTTACTAAAAAATTTATTTCTCAAAGTAGTTTTTACTTTTTACTCTCTGAGAACTCTGATTTCTGCCTCCACGTTGTGCTCCTGTGTTCAAGTATGGGTTTTAAACAGTGGTTTTCTTTGGATACAAGTTAAAAATAATCCTTCCCTCACAAAGAAGCCAGTAATGACATTATAGTTTTTAAACATCGCTATTAAACATACAATTTGTTTTTAATGATTATCACTTTTCAGCTAATAGCTCACAGGCTACATAATATGAGTTATGTCAACTCTACCCAAGTAACTGACAGAGAGAGTTCTTCTCTTCTAATTAAATTGCTTTAACCACTGATTATGTTTCTTCACATGAATACCTTTTAGACTGCTTTCTGGTCATACACAAGATTTAAAATCCCTCAGAAACTAAATATTTTTCCTTCTTTCTCCTTACCTGTCTCCTGGGAAACTTTGTGAAAACTTTAGCCTGAATGGGAAGAGTTTATGTTTATATTAGCACATGCTAGTCCTCACAGCAGAAAACTTTGCTTGCTTTTGTTAATTGAATTCCATTTTTTCTTATGATTTATAATATGCCAGTGTTTCTAAGAATTATAGAATATACATAAAGACTTACGACAACTTTCTGACATCCCCTTTTTAATTTATTTTTATGAGTACATAGTGTATAGTGTATACATGAGGTACATGTCATATTTTAATGTTTACATAGTATATATATATATTTATGGGATACATGAGATATCACCTGAATATAGTAATTTTCTTTCTTTTGGGTATACACTCAGCAATGGGATTACTGGATCATATGATGGTTTAAGTTTTAGTTTTTTGAGAAACCTTCATATAAGTCTCCATAGTGGTTGTACTATTTACTTTCCCACCAACAGTGTACAAAAATTTTCTTTTATCTACATCCTTGCCAGCTTGTGTTGCTGCCTGTCTTTTGAATAAAAGCCATTTTAACTGGGTTGAGATGATATCTCATTGTAGTCTCGGTTCATATTTCTCTGATGATCAATGATGATCATGTTTTCATGCAACTGTTTGTCATTTGTATGTCTTCTTTTGAGAAATGTCTATTCAGAAATTTTACCTATTTTTAAACTGGATTATTAGAATTTTTTCTTATTGCGTTGTTTGGGCTTCTTATATATTCTGGTTATTAATCCCTTGTCATATGGGTAGTTTGCAAATATTTTCTTCCATTCTGTGGGTTGTATCTTCAGTTTGTTGATTGTTTACATTGCTATGCAGAACCTTTTTAACATGATATGATCCAATTTGTCCATTTTTGCTCTGGTTGTCTGTGCTTGTAGGATATACTCAAGAAATATTGCCCAGACCAATGTCCTGGGGAGTTTCTCCAATGTTTTCTTATAGTACTTTTATAGTTTGAGGTATTGAAGTTTTTAATTCATTTGTTTTTTTTTAATAAGTGAAGAGATAGGGGTCTAGTTTCATTCTTCTGCATATGAACATCCAGTTTTTTTTTAGTGCCATTTAATTAAGAGACTCTCTTTTTCACAATTATGTTCTTGGCACCTTTTTCTAAAATGAATTCACTGTAGATGTATGAGTTTAGGTCTGGATTTTCTATTCTGTTACATTGGTTTATGTGTCTGTTTTTATGCCAGTACCATGCTGTTTTGGTTAAAATAGATCTGTAGCATAATTTGAAGTCAGGTAACGTGAGGTTCCTCTGGTTTGTACATTTTGCTCAGGACGGCTTTGGCTACTCTGGGTCTTTTGTGGTTCCATATGAATTTTAGGATTGTTTTTTCTATTTCTGTGAAGAATGTTGTTGTTTTTTTGTCAGGGATTTCATTGAATCTATAGATTGCTTTGGGTAGTATGCACATTTTAACAATATTGATGATTCTAATCCATGAACATGGAATATCTTTCCATTTTTTGTGTGTGTCCTTTTCAATTTCTTTCATCAATGTTTTATAGTTTTTATTGTAGACATCTTTCACTTCTTTGGTCAACTTTACCAGCAGGTGTTTTATTTTATTCATAGCTATTGTCCATGGGATTATTTTCTTGATTCCTTTTTCACATTGTTCACTGTGGTCATATAGAATTGCTACTGATATTTATACATTGATTTTGTATCCGGCAACTTTGCAGAATTTGTCCTAATACCTTTTTGGTAGGGTGTTTAGATTTTTCCAAGTATAAGTTATATCATCTGTAAACAAAGATAATTTGACTTCTTCCTTTCCAATTTGGATGCCCTTTCTTCCTCTTTTCTGATTGCTCTACCTAGAAATTTCAGTACTATGTTAAATAACATAAATGAAAGTGGTGATCCTTGTCTTATTCCAGATCTTAGAGGAAAGGGTTTCAGTTTTTCCTCACTGAGTATGATACTAGTTGTAGATCTGTCATATAGGGCATTTATTGTGTTGAGGTAAGTTCATTCTATACTGAGATTTTTGAGGATTTTTACAATAAAGGGATGTTGAAATTTATCCAATGAATTCTCAGCATCAACTGATATTATCATATGGTTTTGTCCTTTATTCCATTGACAGGATGTATCACATCATTGGGAGTATTTTGTTGAACCACCCTTGCATCCCTGGGATAAATACCGTTTGATAATAATGAGTCTTCTTTTTAATCAGTTGTTGAATTTTATTTGCAGGTATTATTTTGAGCATTTTTGAGTCAGGGTTTATATGTAATACTGACCTGGAGTTTTCTTTTTTTAAATTTGTCTTTGATTAATACTTTCATCATTTATGATCATAGTCTTTGTTTCTTTTTTTAGTTTTTGTCTTGAAATTTATTTTCTCTAATGTAAGTATAGCTCTCTTGCTCCTTTTTTAGTTTCCATTTGCATGGAATATCCTTTTTCATTCTTTTATTTTCAGTGTATGTTTGTGTTTATAGGCGAAGTGTTTCTTGAAGGCAACTGATCATTAAGGTCTTTTTTTTTTAATGTATTCAGCCAGTCTATGTGTTTTGATTGGAGACTTTAGTCCATTTACATTCAGTTATTATCGATAAGTAAGGACTTAATCCTGCCATTTTGTTATTAGTTTTCTTGTGATTTTTTGGTATTGTCTTCCTTAGTTCCTTCCATCCTGTTTTCCTTATACTGAAGTTAAGTTTTCTTTTGTTGTATTATAATTTCTTGCTTTCTACTTTTTTTTGTGTACTTGTACATTTTTTATTTGAGGTTACCATGTGGCTTGCCAATAACATCTTATAACCTGTTATTTTGAATTTATGACAACTTAACAGTTAATAACAAACTAGCAAAGAGCCACTTAAAAAACTATACACTTTAACTTAATCCCTTTTGCTTTTTAACTTTTCATTGTTTTTATTTATGTCTAATTGCACTGTCTTAAAAAGTTGTTGTAGTTATTGTTTTTGACAGGTTTACCTTTTAGTTGTTCTAATCAAGATATAAGTAGTTTACATACCAGAATTACATTGTTGTAATATTTTTGTGCTTGTCTGTATACTTACTAATACCCATGAGTTTTGTACATTCACATGGTTTCCTACTGCTCATTAACATCCTTTTTTCCAGAATAAACTTTCTTTAGCATTTCTTGTAGGACAGTTCTAATGTAAATAAAATTCCTCAGCTTTTGACTGTCTGGAAAGTTTTTATTTCTCCTTTATGTTTGAAGAATATTTTATTATTTTATTGTATTATGCTCTCCTGGCCTGTAAAGTTTCCACTGAGAAGTCGACTGCCAGATGTGTTGGTGCTCTTTTGTATGTTTTGTTTTTTTGCATTTATTTATTTATTTATTAATTATTATTATACTTTAAGTTTTAGGGTACATGTGCACAACGTGCAGGTTAGTTACATATGTATACATGTGCCATGCTGGTGCACTGCACCCACTAACTCATCATCTAGCATTAGGTATATCTCCCAATGCTATCCCTCACCCTTACCCCCACCCCACAACAGTCCCCAGAGTGTGATGTTCCCCTTCCTGTGTCCATGTGTTCTCATTGTTCAATTCTCACCTATGAGTGAGAATATGCGGTGTTTGGTTTTTTGTTCTTGCGATAGTTTACTGAGAATGATGATTTCCAATTTCATCCATGTTCCTACAAAGGACATGAACTCATCATTTTTTATGGCTGCATAGTATTCCATGGTGTATATGTGCCACATTTTCTTAATCCAGTCTATCATTGTTGGACATTTGGGTTGGTTCCAAGTCTTTGCTATTGTGAATAATGCCGCAATAAACATACGTGTGCATGTGTCTTTATAGCAGCATGATTTGTAGTCCTTTGGGTATATACCCAGTAATGGGATGGCTGGGTCAAATGGTATTTCTAGATCTAGATCCCTGAGGAATCGCCACACTGACTTCCACAATGGTTGAACTAGTTTACAGTCCCACCAACAGTGTAAAAGTGTTCCTATTTCTCCACATCCTCTCCAGCACCTGTTGTATGTTTTTTTTTTTTTCTCTTTGTGTTTTAAGGATACATTCTTTATCTTTGACTTTTGGGAATTTGATGAATAGCTATCTTGGGATAGTGTCTTTTGTGTTAAATCTACTTGGCATTGTATGATCATCTTCTGTTTGGATATTGATATCTTTCTCCAGGTTTGGAAAGTTATCTGTTATTATCCCTTTGAATAAAATTTCCACCTCAATCGCTGTCTCTATTTCCTCTTTAAAGCCCATAACCCTTAGATTTAATATCTTGAGGGTACTTCCAAATCTTGTAGGCACGCTTCATTTTTTGAAGTTTTTTCTTTTGTATCCTCTGAATGTGTATATTCAAATAGTATTCTTCAAGCTCACTAAATCTGTCTTCTGCTTGGTCATTTCTGGTGTTAAGGGACTCTGATGCATTATTCAGTATGACAACTGAATTTTTCAGTTCCAGAATTTCTGCTTTATTTTTAAATATTATTTTAATCTCTTTGTTACATTTATCTGGTAGGATTCTAAGTTCCTTCTCTGAGTTATTTTGGATTTCACTGAGCTTTTTAAAAACAGCTATTTTGGATTCTCTGTATGAAAGGTCACATATCTCTGTCTATCTTAGATAAGTAACTGGTGCCTTCTTTAGTTCGCTTGGTGAGGTCTTATTTTCCTACGTGGTGTTGAAAATCAATATGTATGTTCATCAATGTCTGGGCATTAAGGAGTTAATGTATTTATTGTAGTCTTCACAGTCTGGGCTTGTTTATACCTCTCCTTTTTGGGATGGCTTTCCAAATATTCATAGGATTTTGAGTGCTGTGATTTATTTCCTTGGTCACTGCAGCCATATCTGCATTAGAGTGCACTCCAAGGCCAGTAACACTGTGATTCTTACAGACTCATGGAGGTACTGCTTTTGCAGTCTTGGTTAAGATCACAGAAAATTCCCTTGATTTCCAAGAAGGGGCTCTTGATCTCTTCCCTTACTTTTCCCCTAGGAGAGAAAGTCTCTCTCTCCTTGCTGAGCTGCATGGAGCTGTGGGGGGGATGACACAATCACCCCTGTGGCCACCATCACTGGGACTGTGGTGGATCAGAACTGAAGCCATTACAGCCCTGAGTCTCACTCAAGAGGTGTGGCGCCAACTGCCTGGCTACTATTGATGTTCACTCAAGGCCCAAGGGCTCAACTGTCAGCAGGTGGTAAATCAAGCCAGGCTTGTGTTCTTCCTTTCAGTGTGTCAAGCTCCCCTCTGGCCCAGGGCAGGTCCAGAAATGCCATAGGAGCCATGACCTGGTGTTAGGAACCTAAGGAATCTACTTAGAGCTCTATTCTACTGTGACTGAGCTTGCACCCAAGCTGCAAAAGTCCTTCCCACTTGTCCCTTTCATTTTCTCACACATAAGGCCATGGTGCCCATGGCCACCACTGCTCTACGCAGTGAGTACTGTCTGGCTATCGCTGATGTTTATTTAAGGCACAAAGGTTTTTCAGTCAACTGTGGTTAATGCTACCAGGCCTGGGTCTCTGTGGCCTAGGCTTCCCTCCAAGTTTATTTAGGCCCCCAGAGTGCTTTAGCCTGTGGTGATAGGGTCAGGCAGAATTCAGGCTCTGATCACTAGGATGGATGATTCTTCCCTGGATAGAACTGGTCAAAATGCTCCCTCTGTGTGTACTGGCTGAATTCTCCCTCTGTTGCTTTCCACTGTGACAGGGCAGCACTGAATTCCAATGAAAGTCTCACAATCCCTGCACTGTCCCTCCCCCAAGCACACTGACTCTCTCTCTGCCACCAGGCTGCTGCTAGGGCATAGGGGAAGGGTGGTGTCAGCAATTCAAACCATCTTTTCTACTTTCTTTAGTGCTTCTTTCCTTGACATAATTTTAAAACCAGGTACTGATATTGCTCACCTGATTTTTGTTTTTTCCTGAAGGTGCATTTTTGTAGTTGTTCAATTTGGTGTTTCTGCAGAGGGTTCCTTTTGGCTATCTTGCTCCATCTCCTTTCACATTCCTTTTGTTAATGTGTGGTTTCAACTATAAAATTCACACTTTACAGAGAACTAATTTTTTTTTTTCAGTGACTGAGATAACCATTATCATGGTAACACAGAGATGTTACTGCTAATGTGATGGACGTTATGACTTTACTGATGTATTATTTAAAATATGGCATCTGTCTAAAGTACACAGAAAATTAATGCTACATTTTGTGGCTTCTCTTGGTTTATTTGTTCCTCTCCTAAATTTTTCAATATCTTATTCCTTAGATTTTCTTAATCTTAACAATATAATCTGCCAGACAGTTGCGAGAAAACCGAGAAACTGAATTTTCCTTGTTACTTGTTTTCTTCAATTCTAATGCCCCAGGGCATAAACCCACCCAAAAGAAGCTTAAGAAAAGGCTCTGAGCTAAAGTAGAAAAGGCTAAATTGCCCCTCTGGGTTAGAATATGCTTCCAGACAATATGTTTTCTTGACATCTGTAGATCTCACTGATGAGCTAAGGAAGAAGATCTCCCAAGAGACACCAGGCAGAAAAACCACTCTGAGAGGATCAACTTCCATCATCCTGATTGACAGAGTGGGGCAGCTCTTCCCTAAAGTCTGCAATGCTACAATTTAGATCTTAGCAAACAACTGATAAAGAATTTTTTCCCTCTTTTAGTTTTTTATTTTCTACTCATTCTTCATTCGGGTGCAATTGTAACAGAATTTGCTAAACTCCGCATTTGATTTCTGAAGTGGATTTTAATTATTCTGTCATAAACTTGCAATGGAGTATCAGGCAGGTGATATATCTCAGTTCATTGTCTTGGTTTCCTGGGCAATTGGCTGAAATGACAAATTATGAAAAATGGCTACACTAAGCTGAAAAAGTACATTAACACAGTCATTTCTACAAGAAGAGTATAATTGATGTTATAAAAATTTACTGTAACACAAACAATTGCTTTATAGTGGGACTCTATAAATTTCTAATTTGCCTAAAATAATCTAAACATATTTATTCATATAAAATAGCAATTATATGAGTAAAAGGTGAAATAGGGCATCAGTAAGAAAACTTGTTTTGCTAGTGTATGGATGATTTTAGGATGAAAAACTGAGAAATAAAAGAAGAGACACAAAGTTAATGAATTAGTATTCATGGATATGTGCTAAAAAGTTTTACATATACCATCTATATTAGCCAGGTTCTCTAGAGAGACAGAACTATAGGATAGATGTATATATAAAGGGGAGTTTATTAAGGAGTATTGACTCACACAAGGGTGAGTCCTACTATAGGCCGTCTACAAGCTGAGGAGCAAGGAAGTCAGTCTGAGTCCCAAAACCTCAAAAGTAAGGAAGCTGACAGTGAAGCCTTCAGTCTATGGCCGGAGGCCCAAGGGCCTGAGGCCCAAGGCAAACAACTGGTGTAAGCCCAAGAGTCCAAAAGCTGAAGAATTTGGAGTTTGATGTTCGAGGGTGGGAAGTATCCAGTATGGGAGAAAGGTGAAGGCCAGAAGACTCAGTAAGTCTGCTCATTCCACCTTCTGCCTGCTTTTTCTAGCTGTGCTGGCAGCCAAGGGGATGGTGCCCACCCAGACTGCGGGTGGGTCTGCCTCTCCTAGTCCACTGATTCAAATGGTAGTCTCCTCTAGCAACAACCTCAAGATACACCCAGGAAAATTACTTTGCATCCTTCAAGCCAGTCAAGTTGACATTTAATATTAACCATCACACCATCTTAGTCAATCTTCAAAAACACACTATGTAATTGATATAAATTTTAAAGGAGAAGGACACACCTTAGCCCAGGTGAATGCTTCCAAAGAAAGGGGAAATGCACAACGGTTTTTAGACAATGATGCTGTTGCCGCATATGAATTATGTTTTCATTTTCTATTGTCTTGAATATGGCAAAGAGGAAAATCAGGTGACAAATTGCTAGTTAGCGAGCAACTGAGACATTCAATTTAATGTGGGAACTGTGAAGGTGAATGAATGATTATATAAAAACTCTTCTAAATTATCATAATCATGGGAGGGGGCCAACTCACAAGTTTTGAAGACCGTTTATTAAATTGATAATAGGTAGACATCAAGTAGTAATACATAGCTTTAAAATGAGACCATTAGCAAATTGAGATCCCTTTATTTAATATATTAAAAATTCTTCTGTGGGGAAGAATAACATATATGTGTAATTTGGCTTACATTTCAAACATTAATTTTATTTGCGTTTATGTGGGCCATGTGAAAGCAGCAGCGCTGGAGCCTTATGTAATAATCACATCTTCAGCTGGGCGCGGTGGGTGGCTCATGCCTGTAATCCCAGCACTTTGGGAGGCCGAGGTGGGCGGATCACAAGGTCAGGAGATCAAGACCATCCTGGCTAACACGGTGAAACCCCATCTCTACTAAAAATACAAAAAATTAGCTGGGCATGGTGGCATGCGCCTGTACTCTCAGTTACTTGGGAGGCTGAGGCAGGAGAATGGCGTGAACCCAGGAGGCAGAGCTTGCAGTGAGCCGAGATCCCGCCACTGCACTCCAGCCTGGGCGACAGAGTGAGACTCCGTCTCAAAAAAAAAAAAAAAAAATCACATCTTCAACAGCACCTCCACACTACATGCATTCAATTCTGAGTCTCTTCTTGAGGGATCTTCATTTTGTCTCTACAAATAAAAATTGAATGCATTTTTGCCAAACATGCATTGGGAGAGTTATTTTCAGGGCTACATATTACAAATAGTTTGAACGTTTTAGATCTTATTTTTACATGAAGGTTTGGGCAGGTGTGCATAACTTAAATCTGTAGACAATTATTGACAAAAACATGTCTTTTTGTCTTAAAAAGTGTACATTTAATAGTCTGGATTGGGAACCCAGAAAATGGGTTCAAAACAATGATGTTCTTAGTAATCTATAAATAGAGAATTTTGTAGAAGAAATTTTGTTTCTCAAATCCAACACTGATATTCTTTTTAAAAGATTGTAATTTGAAATGTTACAAGAAATTTATTACCACATTCTTGTCTTTCTTCTACCTGTTCGCTTACTTGAAGCTATAAACTACTAAAAAATATATATTACAGAGTACCTGCTGTATTATAAGGATTACACTACTTGTTATTTTTTAGCAATAAAAATATGTCTATATATTTAAGGCTAAAAAATGGACTATGATGAACTTTCAATATTTCCATTTCTTTAAATACCACCATCAAATCCAAGAAAGATATTTACATATAGAAAATATCATTTTTACACACGTCCATGTGAAGAGACCACCAAACAGGCTTTGTGTAAGCAATAAAGCTTTTTAGTCACCCGGGTGCAGGTGGGCTGAGTCCGAAAAGAGAGTCAGCAAAGGGTGGTGGGATTATCATTAGTTCTTACAGGTTTGGGATAGGCAATGGAGTTAGGAGAAATTCTTTGCGGGCAGGGGGTGGATCTCACAAAATACATTCTCAAGGGCAGGGAGAATATTGCAAAGTACCTTAAGGGTGGGGGAGGATATTACAAAGTACCTTCTCAAGGGTGGGGAGGGTGTATCCTACAAAGTACATTTACAAGGGCAGGGGAATAACACAAAGCACATTATCGCAAGGGCAGCGAGGGTTTATTGTCACAAAGTCCATTGATCAGTTAGGGTGGGGCAGGAACAGATCACAATGGTGGAATGTCATCTTTTGTGGTTCTTCAGTTGCTCCAGGCCATCTGGATGTATATGTGCAGGTCACAGGGGTTATGAGAGCTTAGCTTGGGCTCAGAGGCCTGACAATCATATGTTTTGTTTTCCAGTTTATTTATTCTGCTTTCGTGATGATTTTTGGGGGCCTTCAATAATCTGAGTCCCTAAGTATCCACAGGATATAATCATATTTAGAAATTCATAAAAATTGACAATGGGAATGGACTCTTTATTGTATGGAATTCTGTGCACTCTCTATTGCTTGGCTGAAACCACCTAACAATTAGCACAATGAGAGAATCAAATACTTGGGAAAATGTTTTTTTAAAAAATGTATAAACTACATAAATAATTGATTACCTTTTGTCTTATTAATGTGATGATATGAAATGTGTTTTATATGAAGTCATCTCACCATTACACACACACACACACACACACACACACACAAACTTACCAATTTCTACAAAAATATGCATTCATCTTAGGCTCATGTAATTTAAATATGGGCATAAAATAACAAGCAGTAAAGTCCAAATGAAGTAGAACTTTTTTAGCATATAGATGGCTGCTATAGAGTAGGCATGTTATAGGGGTAAAAACAAAAAAATTGAGAAAAGTATATTGAAAGATTTATATCTCAAGACATCAATATATACCTCCCAAATCAAAAATAATTATATTCCTGTAGAAAATATAACATTTCACCATTCAAAATCAGTTACATATTCTGTCTTGGTAATTAATCAATGAAAAAATATATTGGTCTTCTAGTAAAACACTATTTGAAACACTGATGACTTCACAATGGAGAAAATCATTTAGACAAAGACATATTGATGCCTTCAAAAACAATGCAGGTATTGTACAGGGCATTTAGCCTTTAAGATTTTAAAAATGGTAAATTTTAAGGGTTTATCAACAATACCATCACAGTGTTTTCATGATAAATAATTACATCAAATAATATTTCTTTTTTTAATATACTAGTAATTATAGCTAAGAAGTAAAATTTATATTTTGTTGTTGATTATCAAGATATTTAAAAAATGTATTTCTTCCTTGGAAATTCATTTTACCTAATTTGTAGTAATTTTATTTATTCTAAATGATTTTACATTTGTTTTAGAAACTAAATCAGATACAGAAAAACATATTCATTAATTTTGATAATTTTTCTGTTAAATGTGTAGAGGAAAACCTGCATGAAATTGAGTAAGTAGAGGTTCTGTCTTCTTTAATTTTTTTACTAAGTCTCTAGAGGCATTTACTGAAAAAATACTTTTGATTTGGTTTTGCAGGAACAGAATTTTATTTGTTAAAATGTGGCCAATCATAAGAATAATGTGTGCATTACTTTCTTAATTAAAAAATGGCTTTATTCCTTTTAGGAATTTTTGAAGTGTTTCCTGTCTAGAAATTTAGGGAGAAATTGTAAGTATTTATTTTCTAGAAATGTCTATTGCAAACATGCAAGCAACTTTTATATGAAGTATATTATTAGGTATATTTTTATTTTAGCTTTTTTACCATAATCAATAACATTGAAATAATTTTAATAGTAAGCTTTTTAATTGTAAAACATCCTACTTTTTTTACAGATGGGGTTTTGCTATCTTGCTCAGGCTAGACTTGATTTCTTTGGCTCCAGTGATGATCCTTTGGCTTCAGCCTCCCAAGTAACTCAGACTACAGGTGTTTGCCACCACGCCCAGCTAAATCCCCTTTTGAATTAAACATTGGGGGAAACGGTGAACCTTATGTGTCTGGAATATTTTTTTGACAAGGAGGATATTTTAATTCATTCCCTTTTTTTGAAATTACATATTTTGGAACATTTTTCCTTCCTCCTTCTGAAAAATGCTTGTGTGTGCCATGAAATAAATATTTTGTTGACTCAGTTTTGTACCTGGAACACAAAGCCCTCATAAGAACATGTTGAAATGAGGGAAAACATATACCAACACTAAGAAAATTTTATGACTGGAAGAAAATATATAGAAAAACTTGATTTCTTAATGTCAATATAATCTTCGTAAAAGAAAACGACTAACAAAAATGTACATGGTATTAATGCAACCTTTACAAAATTGTATTGAGTATATTTACATCTTCATTCATTTTAGAAGTGGATAAGAAGAATCACATAATCTTATTTTCACATTATAATTTTAAGTTTAAATATTTTTAGTAACAAGTATAGAGAAAAATGAACATCATCTTTTAAAAGACAAATGAATCTGTTTTTTTTGTGTAAGAATGTGGGCCCTTAACTTAATGTAAAGTTATAGGTATTTGTGTTAAACTTTAGTATGTCTTTTTAAACTCTATGACATTTAGTAAATACATGTTTTAAACTCATTCTTCAGATTGAGTTATGGCAGTAGAGAAAAGATGTGCACCATTAGCTTTTGTGATATTTTTACAAGAAGCACTAAATTAAAATAGTATAATTTAGAACTGAAGAAATTTGAGATATGTATTACAGAAAATACTAAATATTGTTAACATTTTATTTAATCATCTCAGCTAATTTTATCATGTTGAATAACCTAAAATCATAAGCTTAAAAAAGTCAATTATATTTTCAAATAATTTTTGAAAGTATTTTTTAAAATGTGAACATAAAAATATCATCAAAATTCTTACTAAAATTTTAAGATTAACTTAAAGGACATTTGGGGAGAAAGGCATTAAAGGATATCATTTATATCCCATACCGTGCTTTGTTTGGAAATATGTAGGCCATTGATCATAGCTACTTCAATCTTATCTAATTACTAATTTTAGAAATAAAAAAACATTGAGTTGAAATGTATAATTTTCTTGTATAGATAAATATATCTTATATTAAATTTTTTTTTTTTTTTGAGACGGAGTCTTGCTCTGTTGCCCAGACTAGAGTGCAGTGGCATAATCTCGGCTCACTGCAATCTCCACCTCCTGGGTTCAAGCAATTCCGCTGCCTCAGCCTCCCAAGTAGCCGGGACTACAGGCACTTGCCACTATGCTCGGCAAATTTTGGTATTTTTAGTAGAGATGGGGTTTTGCTATGTTGGCCAGGTTGATATTGAACTTCTGACTTTGAGTGATTTGCCCACCTCAGCCTCCCAAAGTGTTGGGATTACAGACGTGAGCCACCACGCCTGGCCCTTTTATTACTTTCTTACAGAGTATTACTGTGTGTGTGGGGTGGGGGGGAGGAAAAGAAAAAAATTAAGAAGAAAATAAATATAAGATAGAGAAAAATACATTTATTAAGTTTAATAAATTTTCTGTTATATGTGTAGGGGAATACCTGCATAAATTTGAATAAATAGAGGTTGCGTCTTCTGCTATTTTTGCTAAGTCTCTAGAGGATGTAACATAAATTTCCACCAGAATCCCAAAGGCTTTATTAAGCAGTGGTGACATAAAATGAAAGGGAGAAAATACCAGAAAGTACACAAATATAAACTAATATTATCAAGCTGGTAAATGCAAATATGCTATTCAGTACAAAGTGAAGCAAATGGGATAGAGAATAAACAACTTTGTACAAAGAGATTTCCTTGAGTAAATGACATCATATATTTCTTTAAAGAAAAAATATAAAGTAATTGGGTAAATAATTTTCAAAAAGCCAGTTCTGGACAGAGGGAAAGAAGAGTATATCGGCCGGGCGCGGTGGCTCACGCCTGTAATCCCAGCACTTTGGGAGGCCGAGGCGGGCGGATCACGAGGTCAGGAGATCGAGACCATCCTGGCTAAAACGGTGAAACCCCGTCTCTACTAAAAATACAAAAAATTAGCCGGGCGTAGTGGCGGGCGCCTGTAGTCCCAGCTACTTGGGAGGCTGAGGCAGGAGAATGGCGTGAACCCGGGAGGCGGAGCTTGCAGTGAGCCGAGATCCCGCCACTGCACTCCAGCCTGGGCGACAGAGCGAGACTCCGTCTCAAAAAAAAAAAAAAAAAAAAAAAAAAAAAAAAAAAAAAAAAAAAAAAAAAAAAAAGAAGAGTATATCTGCTTTATTTCATGCATACAATAAATACATACATATGTATGCATAAAATAATGTTTTATTGTAGGAACATTAAAAATAAGAACTGCAAAGGTAGACAGGGTCACCATTAGAAAGAGTATTAATTCGAGAATGAACAGCTTAAACAGCATCTTTTAGGTTATAGAAAAAAAATTAATAGTTTAAAAATGTGGAAAGAGAAGATTCAATTTGTATTTGCTAATGTGTCACTTGAAGGTGTATCAGTAGAAAATGAGACTGGAAGAAAGAAGTCCAGGTCTTTAATAATGGTTGAGCTCACAAGAATGAGGGCCTGAATTACATTATAATACTAGGGTCAGAAATTAAAATTGACAAGTCTTGACAATTGATTAGATGAAGTAGTAATGAGAAAAATAATCTATGTAGAAAGATCACCAAGTGAAAAAGAAAAAATACTGAATGGCAGAAATTGAGAATGAAGGGTTGAAAGATTGAAGAAGAATCCAGAAAAAAGTGATCTTTCAGAAATTATGGAACTAGAAAAAAGATTTCACACAGAATAATGGCAACCATCAAACAAAGATACAGGAAATTTATAAAAGAGCATTTTAAAATAAATGTAGCATATAATTATTGATGATTTATTCAGTTTAATTATATTTAAATGGTCTGATTGCAATGACATGAATGGGGGCTAAAAAGCTTTTGAAAAATAATGGTTAAAAGATTCTAAAATTTATTGAAAACACCAGCATACAGATCCAAGAAGTTCTACAAAGGTCAAGCAGAATAAATATAAAGAAAACCACATCCAGGCTGGCCACGGTGGCTCATGTCTATGATCCCAGCACTTTGGGAGGCCAAGGCGGGTGGATCACCTGAGGTCAGGAGTTGGAGACCAGCCTGACCAATATGGTGAAACCCTATCTCTACTAAAAATACAAAAATTTGCTGGGCTTGGTGGTGCATGCCTGTAATTCCAGCTACTTGGGAGGCTGAGGCAGGAGAATCATTTGAACTTGGGAGGCAGAGGTTGCAGTGAGCCAAGACCATGCCACTACATTCCAGCCTGGGTGACAGTCGAGACTCCGTGTCAAAAAAAAAAAAAAAAAAAAAAAAAAAAAAAAAAAAAAAAGCCACATCTGATATATTACAGTTAAAATACTAAAAATCAAGTAGAAAAAAATATTTTGAAAGCAGCCAGAGGAGAAAATAAGGGCATTACATACAGGGGGACCATGATATGAAAACATGACTTCTCAGCAAAACAATGGAGACTTAAAGAAAACGGAACACTATTTTAAAACTGCTTTTTAAAAAAGTTAGCCCATAATTCTTTATGTAGCAAAGGTAGCTTTTAAATCATAAGGCAAAGCAAAAACATGCAAACATATATAAAAATTCAATGAATTTCTAGCCATTAGACCTACGCTATAGAAAATATTAAAGATGTCTTCAATATGATGGGGAATAACATAAAATAGAGCCCCAGTTCTATAATAAGAAATGAATATCACCAAAAGTAATTGTGAAACAGTAAATGCTTTTATTCTAAGCTTGAGGTAAAGGCTTTGTTGCTAATTCTTGAATGCTATATTAAACATTACACGAGGTAGACTGTGTAACAGAGAAAAAAAATTGGCATAAATATCAGAAAAAAATAGGTAATTATTTAACCCTTCTGAGGGGATTTTTGTTTATGATATAAGGTAGGAGTCTAATTTCATTCTTTTGCATGTGGATATTCAGTTTTTCCAACATCGTTTGTTGAAGAGACTATCCTTACCTCATTGTGTGTTCTTGTCATCGTTGCTGAACATCAGCTGACTGCACATGTTTGAATAATACTGTGTGTTTAATACTGTTTTAATTGCTGTAGATTTGTAATATGTTTGAGGCTATAAAACTCCTTAAAAAATAATAGGTGAAAATGTTATCGACATTGGTTTTGGCAATGATTTCTTGGGTGTGACAACAAAAGCCCAGGCAACAAAACCAAAAATAAACAAATGAGATTTTATCACAGTGAAAAGCTTCTGCACAGTAAAGAAAACAACCAAGCAAAGTGAAGAGGAAACCTACAGAATAAGAAAATATATTTGCAAAACATCTGTCTGTTAAGGGATTAGTATCCAAAATACAGAAGTGTCTCTTACAACTTAATAGCAAGAAAACAAACACCCCAATTAAAAAATTGAGCAAAGGACCACCATAGACATCCCCCCAACCAAACAGCACATTTAAATGGCCACCAAATAGATGAAAGGGTGTTCAACATCATTACTAATCAGGAAAATGCAGATCAAAGCCACAGTGAAATATTACCTCATACCTAGGAGGGAGAAGTGCTGGTGAGGTTGTGAACAAATGGGAACATTTATACACTGGTGGGTGGGAATGAAGAATGGTGTAGCCAATATGAAATACAGAATGAAAGTTCCTCAGAAAATAAAAAAAGTAGAACTACTATATGATTTAGCAATATCGCTTCTAGGTATGTATTAAAAAGAATTGAAATCAGGATCCTGAAGAGATATCTGCATTCTCTCATTCACTGCAGCATTACTCAAAAAAGTCAAGATATGGAAACATCCTAAATGTCTATTGTCAGATGGACAGAGAAAATGTGCCATACAAACATAATGAAGTATTATTCAGTCTTAAAAATTAAGGAAATCATTCAATCTACAACAAAATGGATTAAATTAGAGGTCATCAAGTTAAATAAGCCAGTAACAGAAGAACAGATACTGCATGATTTCACTTATATGAGGTATCTAAAATAATCAAACTATTACAATAGACACAGAAAATAGTGAGTGCCAGGGGCTGGTGAGAACAGGGAATTGAGAATTGTTACTCGATGGGTATAAAGTTTCAGTTATGCAAGGTTAATAAATTCTAGAGATCTGTACAATATAGTATTCATAGTTAACAATACAGTATTGTGCACTTTAAAATATACTAAGGGGATGGAACTCATGTAAAATGTTGTTACCACTAAAACAACAACATAAACAAAAACACATGTACACACGTAGAAGAACACAAAGATATATTTGAATGTTTTGGATATGTTTAGTATCTTGAGTGTAGTGATAGCAACATGGGTGTGTGTGCATGCCTAAACTCACCAAAATGAATATATTAAATATGTGCAATTTTTATGTATCAATTATACTTCAATAAATCAAAAAAAGAATAAGTAATGTTGCTATCAGCAGATGATATACATAGTTGTGTACATCATATGTAAAATCTTAAGTAATTTAGCACAAAATATTAAGACAAGAAGTGAACTTAGTGTTCTTGCTGAACATAGGGCCAATATACCACTTGCAATCATCATTATATTCCAGTAGCAAGGAAATAAAAAGAAAGATGTAAAAGTTGTACCATTTCCAATAATACCAAAATATTTAGGAACAAATTTAAGAAATGATATTTAACAATACTACACTGAAAATATTAAATATTGCTGAGAGAAATTAAAGAGAATCTATACAAATGAAGAAATACATCATGTCAATATATTCAAAAACCTCATTTTAGTTTTTAATTCTCCTAATATTAATTCATAGATTCAATGTGATGCAATCAAACCCCAAAAAACTTTTATGTTTTAACTGAAAAATTAATCTTTTTATATGGAAAAGGATAGGACCAACAATAAATGGAATTGTGTTTAAAGACTTAACTACCTGATATTAATACTCATTTTATTTTAACTTTAGTAATGGAAACAGTGCAGTATTGTTGTGAAAACATATAAATGGATCAATGAAACGAGCAGAGTGTCAAAAAGCAGACTGACATATACATAATATGTTATGCAGGATAATGGTTCCCCAAGAGTTCCACATCCTAATCCCCCAAACCTATGAAAATGTTATCTCTAAGGAAAAGAGAATTCAGGTTGCAGACTGAATTAAAATTCCGAGTCAGTTGACTTTAAAATAGGGAGATTATTCCAGATCATCTAGGTGGGCCCAATATAATCACAACAATGCTTCTTAAAAGTGGAAGAAGAAAACAGAAGACAGAGAGAAAAGTGACTATTGAAGGCAAGAGCATTGGCCTGCCCCTGCTGGCTTTGAAGGTGGAGAATGTGGTCTTGACACAATGTGATTGGTCTCCAAAAGCCAAAAAAGCAGGAAGCAGTTTTTCCTCTACAGCCTTCAAAAATAATCACAACTCTGAAAACAGTTGATTTTGCCTAGGAAGACCCATGTTTGGTCCTATCTGCATAGTTCTATGATATCAATTTGTGTTGTTTTCAGCCATTAAGTTTATGGCATTCTGTTATAGCACCAATAGAAAATCAATACAAATTTTCCCTTAATTTTCTACAAAGGTGCAAAGTTAATTGTATGAGGAAATGAAAGTTTTTCAAAAAATGGTCTTATAATAACTGGGCAAAAAAAAGGCCAACAAACAAACAAACAAAAACCAAAGATTTATGAACCCAACCTCGTATCTCACAAAAAATTAAATGAGCACAGCAATTACATTATCATAGCTGTAAAGCCAAAGCCAAGTCATATTGATTTTTCTTTTGCTTTCTCTTACTACATCTATTCTAAAATCTAAAACCATATAGCTTTTAGAATAAACGATAGCAGCATATTTTTGCTACCTTCAGGTGAGCAAATGTCTTAGATTCTATGTGCAAAGAACCATCTGACAGAACTCTGATATATTAATAACTAAACACAAACAGTCCAATGAAACAATAAGCCAGAGGCTTAAAGAGACATTTAACAAAAGAAAATTTTCAGATGACCAAAAACACACAGAAGCTGTTAAGCACCATTAGTCATCAGGGAAATGAATCTTAAAACAATGATGGGATGTCACTTAACATTCTTCATTTTGACTAAATTAAACCAATATTGGTGAGAATTCGGGACAACTCAAAATCTTATAGATTTCTGGTGGGACTGTTAAGTGATACATTCTTTAAAATGGTAGGTGCAGCAAACCACTATGGCACATGTATACCTGTGTAACAAACCTGCATGTTCTGCACATGTATCCCGGAACTTAAAGTAAAATAAACAAACAAACAACAACAACAAAACAGTTTTGCAGTTTTTTATGAAGTTGAACATACACATATCCTAAGAGCCAGTTATTTCAATCTTATTTATCAAAGGGAAATAAAAACATATTTCTGCAAAAAGACTTGTACATGAATAATCATAGCAACTTTATTCATTTACACCCTCAAATTTAAACAATCTGAATACTCATAAATAGGAAAATGCATACATAAATAATTCTACGTTCATAGAATACTAGCCAGCAGTGAAAAAATAATGAACTACTAATTTATAAAAACAATAAGAATATCTAAAAAACTGTTAAGCAAAAGAAGCTAAAGTTGCACATTGTATATTATTTCATTTATGTTATAAAGTTCAAAATTAGATAAAACTAATCTATGAAAATACAACACAGACAAGCCTGTGCCCAGGGACTGCGGATTGCCTAGAAAAAGGAATATTACGGGGTGCTATAACTACTCTATATTTTGCATGAGGCAGTGATCATTTAAGTGTATACATTTAACAAAATTCATGACTTGTACACTTAAGGTTTGTGTGATTTATTCATGTAAGTTTTATGCAACTAAAGTAATGCTGGAATGTATGGAATAGATTGAAAGAGACAGAGTAGAAGCAATGTAGAGGGTATAAGGCTATTACAGTGATTCAGGTGATAGATGATAATTAGTTGCTCCAATCAGGGATAAAATTCCATAGCTGACAAAATTATTTTGCCTTTGCTTAAATTTTAGGTAAAACCAACATTACCACCTGAGAGATTGGTTATAGAAAGTGGTGAGAAGATAAGTCATTATCACTCAAAGGTTTTTGCCTTAGTGACCGAAAAACTGAAGTTGCCACGAACTGAAATTTGAAAGTTCATAAAAAAGACAAATATGGATGAAACAAAAAAATCAGTTTAATTTTTAAAATGTGTTTAGTTTGAGATATCCACTAGATACTTAAGAGAAGATGTCAAGAAGGCAGTTGGGTATAGGGATCAGAGGCTCAAGACAGAGAACTAGGAGGGCAGAAGTACATAGCTAGTATGTAACACCACAACACTGGTTGTGTTAACAGAGTGGTAAATAGAAGAGAAGACAAGACCTGAACCCTGGGGTTTTCAAGTTCTTAGGAGTGAGGGGTACCAGGAGGAACTTACCAAAAAAAAAAAAAAAAAAAGAAAAAAGAAAAAAAAAAAAGAAGAAAGTGAGTGAGTAGTAATACAGGAAATAAAAAAAAAATGTTAGGAAGGAGAGGTGATCAATTAAGTCAAAACTAATGGTGGGTCAAGTAAGATGAGAATAACTTACACTGGATTTAACGATATGTTAAATTTTTTGTCTTGAAAATAGTTTCAAAGATGTTTTCTGAATAGAAGTCTGTTGTACTGATTTTAAGAAGTAATAAATAAATTTGGTACCATAAATATGGAAACTTACTTAAGAATTTCTCCTGTATGGGAGAGCATCGCACAGTTAGATGAAGGGGAAGGGTGGGTGTTCAGTCAATTTAAAAATTAATGTGAGAAATAAATTCTTTATTCCATTCTGTCTGGAATAATTCAGTAGAATCTAAAAAAATTTAATGTAAGAGGAAAAAAAGGTTGGTGGAGTGATGTCCTTGAATACATAAAAGGAGACAGGATTTAATGCATGTATAGGGGGATAGCTTTAGGTGAGAGCATGAATGTGTCATCTGTGTTAAGAGTCAGGTAATCAAAATGTGTGCTGTTGCTGCTGGTAAGAGGGTGTATGTGAAGACTGGAATTCTTAGATGTTCCTTTCTATTTATTTTTTTTTGTCTCCAGTAAGGTTAGATGTTTATTTTATGTTTTTATTGAACTAAGAAGCAAAATTATCTGAGTGGAGTAAATTTAGGCAAGGATGTGCTAGAGTTTGGGGAGGAAAGAGGTATGAAATAGTGTTCTAGGATCCTGGGACAATGAAAGGGCCATGGATATGGAATTAGAAATGCTCACTTGGCAACATCAAGAGCTCACTTAAAGTCTGTTGTCAGGAATTAAACGTGAAGCTTACTGTAATCCTTGACATTTATGGACACAGGACTGGGTATGGAGAGTTGGATAGAGGCAAGACAATGCTTTTTGTTTTTATTTTAAGAGTATTAAAAAAGTGCCATTGAGCATACAATGTAAGCAAGAGAGTAATTAGACAAATTAGGTATTTATTTATTTAACAGTTATTTATCAGTTGCCTTTTGTTTGCCAAACACTATCTAAGGACACTGGGATACATAGAGCAGTCAAAATGTAGACACCTAACCTTATTGGACATAAAAAGTAAAATGAAATAAATAAATTATACAGTATGCTAGAAGATAGTATGCTAGAAGATGAAATGCACTATTAAATAAAAGATAAATAAAAATTAGACTATAATAAGGAGGAATTAAAATGCAGGATGGGAAGATTTGTTAAATAGATCGGTCAAGTAGGACTAATTGAGAAGATGAGGCCTGGGGAGAAAAACAAAACAAAACAAAAGACCAGAACAGGTGAGCCATTTAGTTAAGTGAATATTTGAGGAACAGGTGAGAAAAAGGCAGTTATATATTAAAGGCCTTAAAGGAGGAATACGCCTGTCATGTTTGGAAAATAGCATAGCAGTCATTGCGACTGAAAAGTGTGAGAAAAGATAGTGTAATAGGAGGGAAGTGAGTCATTTAGCTTACATTTTAGAGTGATTTCTATTGCAAGGTGAGAAATAGAATAAATCACGAGTGAAAAACAATGAAATGGTTATTGGATCACAGATTGGAGGTCTTGATGGACCTGAGAATTGTTGGAAATACTGGGAAGAGTAAACTTGAAAATTAGGAAGAGGTAGTCAGAGAGAAGTATGCAGGCAATTTAATTTACACAAATATCATACAAGATCATACAAAGTCTTTAGTGTAAGATCTGGGGAACAAGTGGTTGAAATCGATTTTATATTATCATTGGTGGCGAGAAGTGGATGTAATGCAAAGGCCAGATTATTTCTCTTTCTTTTTAAATTATTATTATTATTTGTTGTTTTGTTGTTGTTGTTGTTGTTGTTGTTGAGACGGAGTCTCGCTCTGTCGCCCAGGCTGGAGTGCAGTGGCGCCATCTCTGCTCACTGCAAGCTCCGCCTCCCGGGTTCACGCCATTCTCCTGCCTCAGCCTCCAGAGTAGCTGGGACTACAGGCGCCCGCCACCACGTCCGGCTATATTTTTGTGTGTTTTTAGTAGAGACGGGGTTTCACTGTGTTAGCCAGGATGGACTCGATCTCCTGACCTCGTGATCCACCCGCCTCAGCCTCCCAAAGTGCTGGGATTACAGGCGTGAGCCACCGCGCCCGGCTATTTCTCTTTCTTTTAAAAAATATGTAAATTGGTATAATCATGCCATGAATGAAATGAATTGCTCAGAGTTGAGGAGTAAATAGGGTTTGTTAAATGACAATCAAGATCCTAAGTTATATATATAAATCAGCATCAAAGTTGGAATTCTTAAAGGGAGACTGTCTTAAAGCAGCAATGAGAAGCCAGTGATGAGGAGAAGAAACATTTGAACAAGAACATTCATAGTGCCTTAAGATGAGCTATACCCAGTGTTATATAAACATACATCAGAGGTATCTATGGTGCAATGTATTAGTTAGAAATGTAGGGCTCCCTGGAAGGATTGATGCTTAAGCTGAGACATTAAGCGTAATTCAGATCTAGAGAAGCAAAGAGAAACCATAATACAGTAAAAGGTAAAGAAAGGTATAGAAAGAAGTAAACAAAAAGGTCTTAAAGAGAAATAAAGTAACGAAGGAAAGTCAATGGCAAAGAATGAATTTGCAAGTTTGATGGAGTTTAGGTGACAAAAGGATTTTTGAATCCGAAAGATATTTTTGGGACATATAAGATTCTGGATTTTTTGCTAAAAATAATATAAAGACATTGGTGAGTTGTAAGTAGGAAAGAAATGTGATAAGATTTGCATTTCACAATAAATTACTCTAAATATGGAGAGGAGTCTGAATTAGAAGAGCAGTTTTTAAGCAGAACACCCTTAGCAGACAATTGAGTGACAGTGGAATTCAGTCAGGTAGAGTCTGCAGATAAATAGCATATATAGATAGCAGGTAAGAGATTGGGACTACTGACTGGAAAATGTTTAAATTATGAGCCACAGGGAGAGAAGTGAAGGGGTGGCTGAGAGATAGGAAAACAGAGAGAGGTTCATGAGAAGGAAAGTTTAATATTAATGTCAAAATGTAGGAATGATAAAAGCACTTGAGTGATTAAAGTAGAAGAGACCAGATTACCTAAGTGACTTCAGAGAAATAAAATCTTAGGGTGACAGCAAAGAACGTGGAGAAAGATGCTGAACAAAGTGCACAGAAAAAGGAAAGAAGATGTAGGGGTTATAAAGCAGGTAGGCCATAATACTGAAGAGACTATAATAACTTTCTTGATGCGTTGTGGAAGACGCAGAGCCAAGTGGAAAATCTTCAATAAAAGAAATAGGTTAGCTTGTCAGTTGGAAATCAACAGGAACTAATGGAGATAGAAGGTGGGCCTCACAAAATATCTAAAAACATAAAGAATTTTTTGATATGTATTTTTTTAATAAAAATATAAAGTAGTAGTGTCATTTAGGAGCATAGAGGTCCAATCCTAACTCTTCACACTTAAGTATGTTGAACAATGAAGAAAAAACAGATTTCATTAAAAGTATTATTTTTCAATAAGGTTCAAAGTGTAAAAGTAAGGTTTAATAAAATAAAATAGAAATAAGGTTTAAGAGTGCTTGGGAGAGTCTTTTCTAGTATGGGCCAGGCAAAATGGCTCTGACAAAGAAGGGTGAGGTTAAAAAGAAGCGTTCTTCTGCCATCAACAAGAGAATGATCAGAAGATACTCATAAACGCACTTGTGGAGTGGGGTTCAAGAAGCATGTTCCTTGACAACTCAGAGAGATCCAGAAATTTTCCATGAAGAAGATGGAAATGCCAGATGTACTACTGACACCAGGCTCAACAAAGCTGTTTGAGCCAAAGAAATAAGGAATGTCCCATACCATATTCATGAGCGATTGTCCAAAATATAACAAAGATAATAATTTATTAAACAAACTTTATACATTGGTTAACTATGCACATTGAAAAATCTACATATAGTCAACGTGAACAAGGAATAGCTGCTCATTATCACACCATATTAGGAAAGCATACACACACAGTGAGTGCAAGGGAGAGTGCTGTCACATAAATGAGGTTTTAGAAGTCACAGTAGAAAGTCTAGAAAGGGAGGAGAACCCTTGAAGACTGAATTTGGAATTAATTTGGATAAGGCACTATGGAAATAACTTTGAAGAAAAATAACCAAATGATTCTATATAGTGCATGGTGAAAAGGAAAATTAGGAAATATGGTATATATTTTGCTTTCACAAGTTTGTAAGATAGTTATTTTTCAATGGAAATATTTATTTAGTTAAGTCACTTTAACATCTAGCTTTAAGATACGTTGAGTGGAGATCTTTAATTAACATTGTTTATGATCCTGAAATTTTCTTATTAGGATTTCTTTTGGGTCATATATTCAGCTTAACTCAAAGAGCTTTTTATTCATGTTTGCTGAATCCATTATATTTAATGAAAAGCTACTTCTTATTTTAATGTATAAAATAGGAATACCTCTTTGTAACTTCTGTTCAAGGTTAGATCTGAACTAAACTGGTCATAGATATTTTTAAAGAGAGAATAGCAAGATAAATGTGTCTTATAAATCTATCTGAAGGGGTTTTGCCAAGTGCTTTCATTTATTAATCTTGCTCTAGTGATGAAGTAGTTTGTATTTATAAATTACAGTGAACATGCCATTTTTAAATTCATGCTTTAAATTTTGACTATATTTTGCTAGTGAGCATGTCTTTATTGGGACACTGCTACATGTGTAACAATGTACTAAGGGCTTTTGGAGACTAATAAACACATATACTCTCTAAAAGCTTAAAGCTTTGTTAGAGATGCATGGCCCATACAATGCATCAGGTAAAAAACAATATGAATTATGAAATGTTAGTCATGTGCTACAGATTATATGCCACTATTACAAAACAGTATACTATGGTTTGAGTGTCCTCTCCAAAATTCATGTTGAAACTTAATCTCAACTGTGACAATATTAAAAGTTGAACCCATTCATTGATTCATGGATTAAAGGCTTCATGAGTTAATGGGTTATCATGGGAATGGCATTAGCACCTTTATAAAAGGACGAGATACCTGAGCTAGCATGCTCAGCCCCCTCACCATAGGACGCCCTGTGCCATCTCAGAGCTCTGTGGAGAACCAACCAGCAAGAAGGCTCTCACCAGATGTAGCCCTTCCCTCTAATGAGAATTTCATTTCTCATTAGTCACCCAGCTTTAAGTATTTTGTTGTCAACAGAAAACAGACTAAAACACAGTGAAAACAAAATCATAATCAAGTAAGGTATTAGGAAGAACTAATTGGGAATGATTTTTATCACTGTGATTTGCAGGTCTTTTGAAAATTAGTGTCTCATATTTATAATGAATGCTTTTTGTCTTCACAATAGTTGTAATAGAATTCTTTAGCTATTAACACAAGTCCTGTGATGAAATCAGGTGAATAAACTTTCTTAAAGAGTGCCAATAAAAAAGATTTGAGCTTATACCTAAGCTCTATTTCATCAGCTTTTTTGCTTTTGGGAATTTCATTTTGTGTGAAAATAGAAATAATAATTAGTGTAAATATGAGGATTAGTTATAGGCACTGTTATTAAATGTATGTTAACTAAACCATTGCTGAGAATACAAAGATGTGATTCTCATCTCCAGAGTTTGATTAGATAGAAATACTTTGCATCGTTATATGTCTTCCATGTGTTTGCACTGCTTAATAGCTGTAGGGAACAAACTACATAGCTGCTTAGAGAACTCAACAGTGGGAATTATTCTACTGCAAACTCTGAGCTGTTACCTTTTTATTTGGTTTTATTCATGAACACCTGTTGTAAGTATATGTTACCTGCACTGTTGCTGCTAAAAATATGGAGCACCATATGTGAAATATATGGGAAAGAATAAAAGAATGGTGAACAAATGGGAACACTAAAATGGTGGTATTATTTCTGCAGTTTCTTCCAAGTTTCCAAGAAAGGAGAGAAAAGAATGATAATTCAATATTGATTATATACACCAAAGCATGTTGTGTCTGTCCCCAAACAATACTGTTAACAAATGTAGGAACAATAGAAATAATTATACATCTGAGGTGAATTTATACCAGAAAAAAAGTCACACACCAATAAAGTCCATTTCTTAAATAAGTTTTGTATTTTCTTACAAAACGTCATTCTTTAAGTTATTGCTTTACTTTTATGTTGGTGCGTAACTTCTAGTAAGCTCAAGGTGGGTTTTTTCCACAAAGGGAAAGATTATCTCCTTTTCTGAACTAAAATCCAAATTTTGATGTCTTTATCAAATGTTTTCATACCTCATGGTAAAGTTCAGTAACAACCTGTACCTGGTCTACTAGTTTAGGGTTCAGTAAGCCCAAGGAACAGGTGAGCTGATTGCTAATCGGCCACTGGTAGCTCTTTGTTTCAGCAGGAATTTGCTTCATAGTGGCCCACATGTACAACAACCTTCATTTGGTGATGAAGAGACCTCTAAAACCATACTTTCTCTTGCTAAGGCACATGCCTTTTCTCTGGAGTCTTATTTTCTTTATCCAGGACTGTATAATAGAAGTGCAATACAATAGATGGGAGAAATGTCTTTCTTGTGTGGTCCTTAATGACCTCAGAAACTACTTAGCCTGACCACATTTTGGTGGATGCTAGAGATCTTTCCCACCCAGCAACACACTGGCTGGGTTTATCCTGAAAGGGTAATTTAAAACCTTCCACTAAAGTGTTTGGTCTATCTCTGGAAATACAGGAACAAGCTGTAAGTGCTCTTCTTAGTCCTATCTACATTGTGTAATTTTGTGCAATAACCCTTTGCCATATTTGACCTTAGCAGTTCTCCTTTCAACCACTGCCATTATATTCACTGAAGAAATTCTGTGTTTAGTATACAATTATCTCCATAGAATAACCCTTCCCGATATTGTGTTTTAATATATTTTTATGTTCTTACCTTTTTTTAAATGAAAACCATCTTGTGTTTACTTAATTTGAGTTGCAAATAGGACAATCTCAGTTACATGTCAGTATCTAACCTAAAACTACATCTCAAATACTCTTCTTTGTATTCTTTCTTTGTTCCTTCACTCTGACATAACACAATTGGAAATATCTTCCTTTCTTAAGAAAAATACTGCAGTTTTTATACAGATAAAGATTCAGTTATATCACAGTATTATGTCTAGCTCCTTTTAAAGCCATATTGTATCATATAATTTTGTTTACATTTGTGAAATTATGTGATTGCTGTATATTTTATGTATAATTAAAATATTATTTTATTTCTTAGATTTTGTGCTTTAAAATCAGGTTGTATGTCTGTAATAATCACTTTCAATAGAACCAAATGCAGCTGTGTGTACAAAAATGCAATATTTAAATATAGAATTAATTTGTCCATATTGTGTTCTTTATATGTTCTTGTAAAGTATATAATTCCATTTATATTTTATTTTTATATAAAGAACCGTAAATAAAGGAAGTATAAAGGAAAATAATAAAAATGTTGAAGTACGTGGTTTCTGAATCTCAGTGACTGAATTATTATTTTGTCTCAGCCTTTATACCCTCTGAAGTTAAAAGTAGATTATTTTTAAGAGAAAAACAATTATTCATAGTTGGGCTCAGTACCTTTATGGCACCCCCTTGGTTGCAGTGTTCTGAAAATAAATGTAATTGAAGGGAGGGAAAATAAATTCATGCCACAAGACCTGTGATCTTTTACAGTCAGTATTGTTTTTTTGTGCCAGTATTATTATAGTGTAGGAAAAAGACTGATAAAATATACCCACACAATTTCAGTGTGGTAATTCAATTTCAATATAAGAAATGAATCTAATAAAAAGAAAGGTCAAGAAAGCATCTTATCTCAATAATTAACAATATATTTGAAAGAGCTAGCTCAGAGGAAATTCATAAAATCAGTGAAGTTTGGCTTAGGAGCTTTTCAAAACCTCGGTTCTTCTCACTACATCTTCCCAGCTGTCCACTGACATCTTCAGGTCCTTCTGTCCAGGACCGTTGTTATGGGTTTGACCAGACAGTTTGACTTGACATCCACTGTGGAACGGTCTGGGGGGTGGGTCCCAGGAGTCTCCAGACAATACTTCCAGGGTATACATTGATTCAAAACTATTTTTACAATACTCAGATTGTTTGGTGTTTTTTAAAGTCAACATGATGTGATAACAGTATAATAGGTTGAAATCAGAGCTTATATGACAATTTATTTGTCTTCTTTAATCCAGACATAAAGAAATTTACAAAAATGTAAAGCAGTGACACTCTTATCTTTTTTTTGAAAAAATATTTTTTCATTAAAAATATGGCATTTATGTTTATATATGGGCTTGTTATTGCCATTTTAAGATTAGTACATAAATATTTACAAACTTATTAGTTTTAATATCGAATATTAAATATAAATAGCTATATACCACATAAGCAAAAGCTTGTGTTGGGAACCTTTGTAAGTTTTAAGGGTCCAAACAACTCCTAAACAAATTTAAGAATTGATATGCTAGTCTAAAATACTGAGTGGTGTCAAGTAGGACACTAAGTGAATATTTCAGGTAATAAATTTGCATTTTAGAGGAGCCTCCTGGATATTGATACTTTATTCCAAAGTAATAAAGATAAGTATGATTAAGTAATTTGTGGCAAGCTATTAAAGCAGATTTTATTGTGGAGATGGGACAGTAGTATGGCCAGGGAAGACAATACATGGTCTATAGAGGAATCTACCTACTTGTTCCAGAGCTGGCAGATGTGGGTTTGTCTCAGACTCCAAATGCATCTTGAGGAATGCTACCATGAGATAGGCTTTGCACTTTAAAAGTGGAGCAGGTAGCAGATGGAACCCCATGTGTTTAAAACCATTTTCTGAAATTGTGAATGTTTTTTCTGTTCTGAAAGGATCATTATAATTACATGTACTATTTTGGTTAGTTCTATGGAGGAAAAAGTTCCAAGTATGTCAAAGAAGCTTGATCTAATTTTATTTATTTAGTTATTAAAACATGATAGCCTTCCCAAGATACCTGAATAATTGAATTTTATTAAGCAATTACAATGTTTATGTCTGATTAATTTTCTTTTGAACTAAAATAGTGTATCAATAAACTGTAAAACATCAATATCCAGCTTACTTATGTGGAGTCTGTGTTGAAAATCAAACTGATTATTTTTTGGAAGCTTAATAAAAATGGCCTTTGAACTGCTCAGATGGGAAAAAGTCTAAATACAACATAAACAGCAAAAATGTCAGATGGAAATACTAAAAAAAAAATCTGTTAAATGGTCTATTTATAAAAATATTGTAACTGTTGAAATTTTATTTTAAATTTGGCTAAAATTTTTTGCTCAATATTTTTATTTATTTTAGTATATTTTGCAAATATTGCACATAGACTGCCGACATATTTTGCTTGGTTAATTTGGTCCAAATTTTTAAACTAAAAAACTGAAGATACTTTATAACTTTTATGAGTATATGCATATATATATATATATAATATATATAATATATATATATATATAAAATATATATAATATATATATTATATATATAATATATATAATATATATATATGTCTCCATAAAACATATAAATAGGCTGGGCGCGGTGGCTCACGCTTATAATCCTAGCACTTTGGGAGGCCAAGATGGGCGGATCAACTGAGGTCGGGAGTTCGAGACCAGCCTGACCAATATGGAAAAACCCCATCTCTACTCAAAGTACAAAAAAAAAAAAAAAAAAAATTAGCCAGGCATGGTGGCGCATACCTGTAATCCCAGCTACTCAGGGGGCTGAAGCAGGAGAATCACTTGAACCTGCGAGGCAGAGGTTGCAGTGAGCTGAGATCACACCATTGTACTCCAGCCTGGGCAACAAGAGTGAAACTTCATCTCAAATATATATATGTATATATATGTGTGTGTATATATATGTATATATGTGTATATATATGTATATATATAAATAAATAATGTATTCTAAATTCTTTAAAGAATAAAAGAAAATGTTGTAGGCAATTTTGTCAAACATTTGTTAAGATAAACAGTGTTCCTATGGAATTTCATAAGGATTTAGCCAAAAAACATTTTTGTAAAATAAGCCTGGGAAATATTGCATACTTCTCTTTCGCAGATTTAAGATACACGTGATTATTATACATTGTGTTCTTATATCAACATATCTCATATGTCCCATAAATACATAAACTTACTATGTACACACAAAAATTAAAAAGCAAAATTAGCAAAATTCATTTTAGCTTTTTAAATGCACAGACATATTCCAATAAAAGAAAATGGGTATTTTCTATATATATATGCCATTTAAACACAAAATCACTTGTTTTGGAATGTTAATAAATAATTGCAAATTTGGTGCTTTGAAAAAAACTGATCTGAAAGTGTTCTTTGAGATTATCTCAGTTACTTATAAGTTGCGTAAAAGTTGAATTTACCATTTTTGAATTTCTTCTTGTCTGATGTAGAACAATACATTTTTATCTCATTTAAGTAAAATTAATTCTATAAGTGTTTTGTGAATAAATTTTATCTAGACAAATATAAAATATTTCATATATCAAAAATATAGTAACTGCATTATGAAAATATTAAGTTATAGTTCTCAGGACTTTTCATGCTTTCTACGTATCTTTTCATGATTTCTACGTACCTTCTGTCCCTATTGGTTCAGATACAGAATCCATTTACTCTGATAAATATACTCTACATATAGTTCTTTTTAAAACCTGAAATATTACTACTTTTTTGGTATATTATCTCTTAGAGAATGTTTTATTGAGTAGTTGTAAAAGATTCTAAGTGATTTATGATTTTGTGTGGATAATTAGTGGAGAAAGTTGACATGAGACTCATTTATATTGAGTACTATTATCCCACTCAGTATCTTGGTTAAGTATTAATCTGTTAGCCACTAACATGTAACACAGAATCAGAGGAAGCTAGTAAATCCCTCATCTTACTGGCCCAAAATGAAATATATTTCAAAGAAAGAAAGAAACGCATTTTGACAAACTATAAAATTAAAGAAACTGATATCATACATTTGCAATTCTCCAAGTTGGAATTCAAGAGAAAGCTTGCTTAATTAAATGAATTTGCAGTCCAGCAAATGTCTTGTTCACTTTGTATGCAGTGAGCTTACCAAATTTAATTATTAGTTTATATAGTTGTTTTTCAAACTTGTTAGAATTTTCAAACACTGAATTGCACAATACTGCAGCCATTCAGCCACATGTGGCTGCTGACCAATTGTAATAGGGCTAGTCCAAATTGAGATGCACTCTAAGTGTAAAATATACATTAGATTTTAAAGACAGTAAGATAAAATGATTAAAACATTTTAAGATGAGATGTATTTTGGATATATTGCATTAAGTAAAGTATCTTATCAAGTTAATTTCACCTCCATTTTATTTTTTAAATGTCATTACTAGATATTTAATGTGCTTCTTGTTATAGAAGCACATTAAATAACTTTGCTGTAATAGATAATTGTATAATCTGTGCATAAGGAAAGTTTTACCACTTCTTTTCCAATCTGTATGCCTTTTTAAAAAAACTTTCCTTATTACACTTCTAAGAGCCAAAGTAGACAGTTAAATGAAAAAAGAGAAACAGGAAACATTCTTATTTGCTTCTTTATCTCAGAAAAAAAAAAACAAAAAACACCTTTTGGTATTTCACTATTGCATAAGAGAAGATACACCAGAGAACTATTAGGAAATGCACACACAAACACACACACACACACACACACACACATATATGTACATATATATATATAGAGAGAGAGCGACATTGATATTTTAAGGAATTGTCTCATGTGATTATGGGTCTAGGAAGTCTGAAATTCTAGGGCAAGCCAGCAGGCTGGAAATTCAGGTAAGATTTAATACTGAAGCCTTGAGGCCAATTCCTTGCTTTGGGAAACCTCTGTCATAGTTCCTACGAATTTCAACTAATTGAATGAGACCCACCCATATTATGGAGTGTAAGTAGTCTGCTTCACTCAAAGTCTACTGATTTAAATGTTAATTACATATGATAAATACCTTCACACTTATATCTAGAATGGTATTGAGCAAACAACTGTAAACCATAGTCTAGCCAAGTTGACATATAAAATTGACCATTAGAGTATTTAAATACGATGTTAGATGCTGTTTATATTTTGTTATCATATTGAACAAGCTTCTTTTATATTTGCCTAGTTTTCTAAGACATCTAACATGTTTCATATCTTTTTCACATTATTTTACTGCCTCTGTTAGAATAAACTTATTTTTGGTATTTTATTCTACAAATATGGCAAATTTGATTGAGTGGTATTTGAATCATAAACCAGCCTTGAATTCCTGGGATAAGCCCTGTCTTAGTCAGTTTGGGCTTCTGTAACAAAGTGCTATAGACTAACTTAAACAGCAGACATTTATTTCTCACATATTTGGGGCCTGGGAAGTCAAAGACGAAGGTGTTGGCAGATTTGACTACTGGTAAGAGCCTTCTTCCTGGCTTGTAGACAGCCTTCTTGCTTTTAGTCCATTCTGACAATCTTTGCCATTTGATTGAAATATAGATTACTTAGAATATATAAGTATATTTCTTATGCAGTCTTATACTTTTTTTACTTATGTAAGTATATTAAATAAAATATATCTTTGCCATTTGATTGAAATACGTATTACTTAGAATATATATTTATATACTGTATAAATTATTCTATATTAAATGTTATATAGATTATAGAAATTTATAATTATAATTAGATTATATAAATTTATATAATCTATATAACATATAAGTAATAAATATTTCAATTAAGTAGCAAAGATATATTTTACTTAAATTTAACGTAATTATTGTTATAGTTGAGTTAGTTACATTATTTGGCAAGTTAATCTCTATCGGTCACATTTTTTTCTTTCTATGTCTCTTCTTTCCTGTTAATACCTTGGTTAATGTATTATTTTAATTATTACATTCCAGTTATTCTATAGTGTTGCTATATTTCCTGGCAACCTTTTTTATTTTATTATTTTATTGGTTGCTTTCAATGATTTATATATGCATTCTTAATTTATCATCAACAGATAGTCAGAATGGCTATGTAAATACTAGACAGAATAGACTTTAATATAAGAAATTTATAAGATCTTTTAAAATAATAAGAGGGCCGACTCATCAAACAGGTCTAACAATTCCAAAAAAAAAAAAAATGCACCTAAGAATACAGCCAATACATGAAACAAAAACTGGCAAAATAAAAGGAAGATATGGCCATTAAACAATAATAGTTGGACACTTAACTACTCCATTTTCAATAATGGATACAATACCTAGGTAAGCAGATCAACAAGGAATTAGAAGACCTGGATGACACTATAAACCAAATCTCCTAACAGACATCTATGGGCCACTTTTTGAACAAGAGAAGATGACACTTTTTTTTCTCGTCAAGCACAAATGGACATTTGCCAGGATAGACTACAAAACAAGCCTACACAAGGTTAGGTTAAGGAATTCCATTCTTACAGAGAATCTTCTCTGAAAACAGTGGGATTAAATTAGAAATCAAGGCAGAAGAAATTTTGGAAAATTTATAATTATATGGAAATTCATCAGAATATTTCTTAAAAAACCCATGGGGCAGAAAATAACTCACAAGAAAAAACTTAGAAAATACAGTGAGATGAAAGAAAAAAAAAGCATAACATACCAAGACTTGTTGGATACAGCTAAAGTAGTGCTCAGAGAGTAATTTATTCTCTGAGCTGTAAATACCTATATTTAAGAAGAAAAAGAATGACCTCAAATTAGCAAGCCAAAATTTTCCCTTTAAAAAAGAAAACAGAGAGGAAACTACACCCAATCAAGAAGCTTTTTTGATAAGATCAACCACTTTGACAAATTTTTAGCTATACTGACTAAGAAAAAAATGAGAGTAAATGAAAATAAAGTCAAGAATAAAAATGGGGCCATTACTGGAAACTTTACAGAAATTAAGAGGATTATAAGAGAAAAATATTCGCAATTGCAAACCAAACAAATTAAATAATTTAGATAAAATGGACCTATTTCTAGAAACAAAAAAAATACCAAATTGAACACAAAAAGACATAGGAAATCTTAACAGACCTATAATAAATAAAGTGATTAAATTGGTAATCAAAAACTTCTTAGAAAGAAAAGGATAAGACGGCTTCACTCTTGAATTTTAGCAAATCTTTAGAGAATAACTAACATCCATCGTATTCATACTCTTTCAAAAGTATATAAGAGGAATAAACTTCCAAGCTCTTCTGTGAGGCCAACATTACTCTGATACCAAAGTCAGAAAAATATACCAGAAACTAAGAAAACTACAGACCAATATATTTTTTAATGAATGTAGGCACAAAATACTCAGCAACAGCCACAGCAACACCACCACCACCGACAACAAATCTAGCAAGATGAATTCAACAGCACATTAAAAGTGCTATACACCATGACCAAGTGGATTTACCCTAAGAATGTAAAGTTGGTTGAACATAAGAAAATGAATCAATGTACTGTATCACATTAAGAGAATAAAGTAAGGCAGGAGACCCATGATTATTTTAATAAATGCTGAAAAAATATTTGAAAAAAATCAACATCTTTTTATCATTAAAACACTAATCAAACTAGAAATAGATGGAAACTTTCTTAATAAAGGGCATATATAAAACTTTCATAGCTAACATAATTTTTAATGGTTTAAGACTGAAAGCTAAGAGCAAGTACAATACAAGGATTCCTGCTTTCATCCCTGCTATTCATTGTGCTGGAAGTCTTAGCAGAGCAATGAGGCACAAATAAAAAGGCATCAAAATTGAAAGGATGATGTAAAACTCTCTATGTGTAGACGACATGATTGTGTATACCGTAAAACCTACAGAGTATGCACACAAAAAACCTGCTAGAGCTAATAAACAAATTCAGTAAAGTTACAGGGTACAAAATCAAAACATAAAAGTCAGTTGTGTTTTGCTACACCTGCAATGGATGATCTGAAAAGTAAATTAAGAAAACAATTCCACATACAACAGAGTCCAGAGGATTTAAAACAAAAGAAAACAAAACAAAATACCTCTTACAAATAAATTTAATCAATATGCTGAAATACCCCTAAAACCTACAAAAATTTGTTAAAATAAATTAAAGAAAACACAAATAAATGGAAAGATATTCCATATTCATGGACTGGAGAATTTAATATCTTAAGATGCCAGTATTCTCCAAGGCAATCTAGAGATTCAGTGCAACTATTATTCAAATTCCAATGGCCCTTTGTCAGGGATAGAATAGACACCCCAAAAATGTATGTGAAACTTCAAGGGGCCCCAAATGGCCAAAATAAAATTGAAAAAGGGAAAACATGAAGGCAAACTCACACTTCTTAATTTCAAAATGTATTTTAAAGTTAAATAATAAAAATCATGTGACTCTAGAATGAGAATAGATACATTAACCAATGAAATAGAATTGAATCCAAATATAAACCCAAACATTTAAAGCCAATTGATTTTCAACAGTAGTGCCAATACTATTAAATAGGGAAAGAATTTTCTCTTCAACCAACGGTGTTTGAGACTACTGAATAACAACATGCAAAATAAAGTTCAATACCTATCTCACACTGCATACAAAAATTAACTTAAAATGCACTAACAATCTAAATATAAGAACTAAAATTATCAAACTTTTATAAGGAAACATAAGGTAAATTTTCATGACCTCAGATTTGGCAATGAATTCTTAGATTGACACCAAAAATGTGAATAACAAAATTAGACTTTGTAAAAATTAAAAAATTTTTTTATCAAAAATACAAAAACATGGCCTAAAGAATGAGAGCTATTTTCAAATCATATATCTAAAGTGATTAATATCCAGATTATAGGAAAAAACCCCACAAAGCTCTCACAATTAAGCAGCAAAAAGACAAACAACCCAATTAAAAATGGTCAAAGGGCTTGAGCAGATATTTTTTCAAAGAAGATGCAAATAGACAACAAGAACATAAAAAGATGGCCAACATTATTGATCCTTAAGGATATTTAAATCAAAACCACAAAGTTACCACTTAATACTCACAGGATGGCTTTAATTAAAAAAAAAAAAGGAAAATAACAATTGGAGAAGGTGCAGAGAAATATTAATCCTTATATCTTGATGGTGTATTAGTCTATTCTCAGGCTGCTAATAAAGACATATCTGAGACTGGGTTATTTATTTATTTATTTATTTATTTATTTATATATTTTGGGGAACAGAGCCTCGCTCTGTCACCAGGCTGGAGTGCAATGGTGCAATCTCAGCTCACTGCAACCTCCACCTCCTGGGTTCAAGCGATTCCCCTGACTCAGCCTCCCCAGTAGCTGGGATTTCAGGTGTGTGCCACCATGCCCAGCTAATTTTTGTATTTTTAGTAGAGACAGGGTTTCAACATGTTGGCCAGGCTGGTCTCGAACTCCTGACCTCAACTGATCTGCCTGCCTTGGCCTCCCAAAGTGCTTGAATTACAGGCGTGGGCTACTGCGCCAGGCCAAGACTGGGTAATTTATAAAGGAAAGAATTTAATGGACTCACAGTTCCACATGGCTGGAAAGGCATCACAATCTTGTCAGAAGAGAAAGGAAGGGCAAAGGAACATCTTACATGGCTGCAATCAAGTGGGCATGTGCAGGGGAACTCCCCTCTATAAAATCATCAGATCTCGTGAGACTTATTCACTATCATGAGAACAGCATGGAGGTAACCAACCCCATGATTCAATTACTTCCCACCATTTACCTCCCATGACACGTTAGGATTATTACAATTCAAGGTGAGATTTGGTTGGGGACACAGAGCCAAATATTAAGTGTTTTAGCCACTATGGAAAATAGTTTGGTGTTTCTCAAAAAGTTAATAATGGAATTACCTTATAAGCCAGCAATTCCATTCCTATGCATATACCCAAGAGAAATGAAACATATGTCCTCACAGGAACTTATACAAAAATATTTATAGCACTATTACTTATAATAACCAAAATGTAGAAACAACCTACGTGCCCATTAACAGATGAATGGATAAACAAATTGTAATATATAAATACAGTAAAACGTTATTCTGTGAAAAAGGAATAAAGTACCAATGCATAATACCATGGGTATAAAACTTTGAAATATTGTGCTGTGTGAAAGAAGCCAGACACAAAAGGTCATATATTGTATGATTCTTTAATATGATATGTAAAAAATAGGCAAACTCATAAAAATTAAAAGCAGATTAGAGTTTAGCAGGAGGAGGGGGTGAGTTTGGGAGATGAGGATGACTACCTAAATGGTATGCCCTGTTTTTATGAGGTGATGAAAAACTTTTGAAACTATAGAGAGCTGGTGATTGCACAACATTGTGAATACACTAAATTACAATGAATTGTGTACCTTAAAATGGTTAATTGTATATTATGATAGTCACCTCAAATTTTGAAAGTCATGCATAATTTTCTTAATACATCTCTGTCAAAATAAAATGTAACTAAAACCTGCTACTTAAATTTCCAAGAGTTTAGTATATGTGTTTCAAATCAGAGTGTAATATAATATTTTACCATTCACATAATATTTTTTTCTAAATAAAGCATCTAGTATTTTACTCTTATTAATGATATAAATTTACATAACTGATTTTTTCAGTTTTGGAACTATTAGATATTTTATTAACCTATATATCAGGAGGCAACCTTTACTGATCTGGTTACAGCATATAAGTCTAACCTTAAAATAGCATTACTTATAATGTAACTAGAGCACTATTTTTCTCGCCAAATTTCACACCGTGTTTCAATATATTTTATGTGACATACATCTTACTCAAACTTATTGGAGTCAGTGCTTAAAATAATAACAGAATGTTTCATACATGATAAAATGAATGTAGAATAGGTAATAAAAAGTAGATGTGTGCTTATTAATTGTATAATTTAGTCTAAATTACAATAAAATTCTAAAAAATATTGGTGGTGGTGTTTGTGCTTTTGAGTTCAGCAAACTAGAGTTTAACAGATATATATATATTAAGTATTCTAGTTATGAATTATTTTGTAAGATTCTCTTTTATTCATTACTTAGAAGATTTAGAAACTAATGATGCACTGTACTAAAACTGCCTTTCTCTTTTTGTCATAAAAAGACACTCTAAAACCAGTAATTATAATTTACTTTGAGTTTGTATTTCAACTTAACTGACATTTATTTTTATTCTCGAATTGTACATAAAGTCATTGGGGGAGAAAATAGGTTAATGCATTTAGTATGCCTGTATTATAGGAATGAAATACTATTGCTTCAGTCATGATGTTTGTCTACAACGTAATCAGTGATATCCTTAATGGGGTTATAATGCATATTGTGGATTCATTCTTTTGTTTTATGATACATTTCTGGCAAGATTGAGCTAAAAATAGAGTTAGTTTTACTGTGTCAGTCATATATGATAAAGGACACCCAACTTAAAGTACTTTTAAGAAATATATATGTGTGTATGTATGTATATTATACATGTGTATGTACACATAAACTTACATATATATATATATACACACACACACACATATATATAGCCTCATATATATATATATAGCCTCATGCCATCAAAAAGTCCAAGGATTGTTTTGGCTTTGGAAATATTTGGATCTATGGGCTGAGATAATTCACTGGGAATCAACCTATCAATCAATCAAGCCAATCCATGGCTTAGCATATCACTCTTGGACATGATTCCCAGGCGAGTCCTGAGCAAATACCCATCAACGACTTCAGGATTCTACCCCATTATTTTGGAAACTTCAGTGGAAAAAGTAAACCTTTTCTCAGTATCTCAGTATTTCAAGTAACAGTTCCTGTAAGGTTCTTCTTGGTTTGGCTTACTTCTCTTAAGGTTCTTGGCTATCCCTAAATCACTGTGGTCAATCACTTGATATTCTAATGAGCCATGCCTGCATCATGTGCTCTAGGAATTTAGATGTGAGTCAGTTCTATCAGCACCACAAAAACTGAATGAAAACGGAGCATTCACCAGAGAAAAATCAAGGGACTTCACCAAACAAAAGGAGTATAGATAATAGACAGGCGAAAAAATTTATGTCCATATTATTTAATAATAACTGTTGTGATCTTTATGCAGCTGAAAAACTGCCTCCCTCATATAAATCAAATTGTTGACATTATAACTTAATTTGTACACATGCATATTAAAAAGAAAATTCTATAAGGAATGTACATTTCTACAGAAACATATCTCAAGTTCTGCATGTGCTGCATTTACATCTTAGAAAGTAAAGCCTTCTGTGTAACTGAATCAACAATTCTGATTCAATCAATGTTGAAAGAAGAATAGAGGTTGCTCATTTTGAAGATTTGTATAATACTTTGATTTCAATAATAATTAGAAATAAAGATCAACTAGCAGCCACTCTACGATGAATAGTGTATCAAATAATCAGAAAGTCAGCATATTGCTCATGAATACTCACAAGCATATATTTTTAAGAAATCGATTTATTACTTATTACCCATCAAAAAAAGCTATGACTACTATAGTCTCAAAGTAGCATGAGGAATGTTGTCAGTAAGCTTGAATATAAAGCAATGATACAACCTAAAATATACTCTTATTTCTCTACTTGAAACATCTTTAATTCTATTTAATTTCTTTAAAATATTTCTAATTTTTCAAAAAATGTTGATCCCCAATCTCAGTTCTAGGAAGGATTTACCATTAGAATTCAGTAGTTTATTTTTAATCAGTATGTGCTGAATATCTTAGCATGAGCTTAAAAAAAGTAAAGCTGAGTAATATACAACAAACTTGGCTATCAAATTGCTCACAGTCCACTAATATTTATCAAGACAAAAGAGCACTGAAAAATATGTATTGAGAAAACATACATGAGAAAGTAAAGGATTCTATATTTGGATGGGCCAAAGAAACAATATAAACAAGTATTACTTAAAAAGTGTTTTCATAATAAACATAGAAGTATATCCGTTAAAGGAGAAAGCATTACATGAAAGAGGAATATTGTAAAAAATTGCACATATAAAGTATAAGGCATTTGTGTACAGATAAGGCATTTCAATGAAATTGATTTATTTAGTGTCTATAGGAGTCACTCAAAATTTCTGGGAAGGGAAGCTATTGCCAGGCTTTTAGGACTCTGCTTAATTATCCAATGGACTTAGATTTTAACCCATTAACTAGCACTCTTCAAATATTTTTATCTGAGGAAATTTTTACATTCTTGTAAAGACTGATAAGTCCAAAGAGCTTTAGTTGAGTTGGATAATTTAGGTGAATAGTATCTATAGTAGAAATTAAAATGGAGAAACTTAAAATATTTATTTAATGTTATTTAACTGAGTTATACAGATCTTCCACATATTGACACATTTTAATATAGAACAAAATTAACATTTATTAATTGCTAATCTTTTCTGTGAAGTCTTTATTGAGAAGTTATGACAGATAAAAATTTTTCAATATTTTAATTTTCACTTTACATATTTTAGTATTGTTATTAGATACTGCCATTTGTTTTCATAGGAGTGACTGACTTTCTTGGTTCGTTTTCAAGAAAATAGCTGTCAAACACCCAAGTATGAAAAGTCTAGCTGTCTGCGAGTCTTTAGAATAAAAATAACGATCAATGAAAAAGTAGCTAATTCAATGCAGAAAGCAAATAATCACTCGTGTTTTCCCAAAAACAACTGTCATATGGTATGCAGCAGCAGTTCTTTATGTTTTCTTCCATTTTGTTCCTCAAAGAATAATGTAAAAAGATGTATTTAAGGGTATAGATTTAATAAAACTAATGTTTTGTACTGTTTTAATGAAGGGCATTCTTAAATGAAACAATAAAATAGTAATTTAAAAAATAATTCTCAGTGTGCGGCAGTAAATAATAAAATGATTTTCAGAACTGTTTGGTGCTACTGGCTTAATTTGTGCCAAGGGGCAAGAAATTTTACCCAGTGTCACTTTGGCACTATTAATGCAAATTTCCACATAGTGACAAAGGAAAAAAAAGTTAATATAATTATGAATATATTTTGATCCCACAGACCTCCTGAAAATGTCTTGCAAATTCCTAGGGACTGTGGGTCACATTTTGGGAACTGTTGTCTTAAGTAATTAGAAGAAACAGAAAATTCAAAGCTGACATTTATGAAATCCAAATACCTGCCAGGGATGGTACTTATAGGTTTTAAAATTTTACTGTATATGATGACTTTCTTATATTTGGATTCTACAGATTTAATTAATTTCACCCCAAATTGAACATGATTGGAGGGAAGCAAGGTCCACAGTTCTCAGTTAAGTGGCTTACGCCTGTAATCCCAGCACTTTGAGAGGCCGAGGCAGAACGATCACTTGAGCTCAGGAGTTTCAGACCAGCCTGAGCAACATTGTGAGACCCCCACCTCTACTAAAAATAAAAAAATATAGCTGAGTGTGGTGGCATATGCCTGCAGTCCCAGCTACAGGTAGGAAGTTGAGGCAAGAGGATCCCTTGAGCTCAGGAGTTCGAGGTTGCAATGAGCTCAGAAGTTTGAGGTAGCAATGAGCTATAATCACACCACTGCACTCCAGTGTGGGTGAAAAAAAAATCGATTATTTGATATTTCAGGTTAAGAGGCAACAGGAGGCTGAAATGGATCATAATGACAATTACAAAAAGCAAAGACAGTGATTATTTTAGAAATTAACAAAAACTGAGAATTGATTTAATGGAGGGATTGAGCCAAAGTACAGTGTTCATTCATCCCTCAGGTGTCACATTTTTTGACCAAGTTAGACATGATGTTTTTACTTGAGGCAAAGTTGGCTGCCCAAAGATGTATTGAGTTAATTTAAGACAATGTGTGACTATATATTTCACGTGCTTTTTAAAAACATGTTGATGTGATGGTACTTGTACAGAACAATGGTCAAGTAGAGATATATAATGAAATAGAATGAACAGTAAGAAATATTCTTGAGAAAGCAAGGGAGCTATAGAACAAATTCAGGCATCAGCCATACAGATGAACTAACTGGAGACTATCGGGATTCCTCCTCTAGCTGTGTGTATTATAGTCCTAGTGTCTGAAGCCTTCATCTGTGTTCCCCACTATCCAACACACTGTGTGATATGGAGTAAATAAGCAAACAAATAAAAAGCATCTAAGGACAAAGCAAAGAACAAAACTCCAGAGAAGGTAATATTTTTGGAGATGGCAGAGCAAGCACATAATGAATGGCGAAGGTAACATCCCAGGAATAGTATGAAATAGTCTCATAATAACTTGATTCTAGAAATAATTTTAAAAATTATGCAGGCAGTATTATAAATGAATGGTGAAGGGATACTTTGTATGCTAATGTTAGGAAAATTAACGAGTAATTAAAATAATTTAGTTTCACACTCTATAAAACAATACATAACAGTCAAAATAAAGTGTTAATGTTAACAACACAAACAATCCAACAGAAAAAACATAGAGGTAAATATTTACCCACTGCTGTGCAAGGATTTTCTAAGCATAAAAAATGAAAAAAATAGAAAAATAATTAGTGTGACAAAATAAAAATTAAAATATGCAAAAAAAAGAAAGAAGACAGGAAAAATGCTAGCAACAAAGATAAAATATCAGCAATCTTATGGAGATATAATTTTTAAGACATAAACATGTAATTCCTTGCTTTTACCTACTCCTACTTTTATTCCTTGCACCATGAAAAAGTGTGAAAGAGAACACATAAGAATGTGCTACAAGAAAAACATCTCTTCCTAGTTGCCACAATGGAAAGAAAAGTTGTGTTTATTGTAAGATTGATTATTAGAGCCACATTCTATCTTAAACTCTTTACATTCACGTTCTCATTAAATTACTATTTTCAAAAATTAAAAAATGGAGAAATAAAGACAGTAATATCTGAGGTAAAATCTTTGTTAGTAAATATGTTTGAATTAAAGCTCAAGAGAATTTTTTTTTTCCAACTGTAAAATGTTGAAAATTGACACCACTCAGTGTGAGCGGGTGAAAGAAACATTCCAATTTATTTCTCTTATAAGGGTAAATTAGTGTCATTTTTATTTTTAATTATTTATGTTTACACTAAATGCATAATAAATATTGGCACTTTATATTTATTATAAAAACATTAATATTGATCAGAGACAGAGATGGTGAATAGCTAAAATTAGCACTTAGGAAGAAAAGGGAAAATAAATGTTCAAAAAGCCCATGTAATCAAGTCAACATTGTCAAATGCTATGTATGTGTGGAGACAGGAGAGTTTCAAGTACTGAGTTTGTGGTCATTAGTGACATTTCACATCTCCAAATTACCAGTTTTTTATGTTATATATACAATATCATAGTGAGAGAATGAGAAAGACAGAGAGAGAGAGAGAAAGAGAAACTCAAGCAATAAAGAGTAAGCACTTTCCTCACTTAAAATTCCTTACCGTCTTCTGCTATAGAAAATTGGAGGATATTTCTCTGTAATATTCAAGGTGATGCTTAACCATCTCTCTGTTCATAACTTATCCTCTTCAATAGTTTGCTATATTAATTTTCCTCCTGAGTAATTTTGGTATCATTATATTTCTGCTTATTTCACATGTCAGTGTTTATAATTGAATGCTTAATGCTATCTCTGAGTATGAATTTGTTAAAATAATAGGTACCATATACCTGATGAATATGAATTGAAGTAATGGTAAATATTTCTCCAATAGACATAAAAATGTCAACTTTGAATATCTCTAATGCTTTTCTTTTAATATATTAAACTATAATAATGTGAATAAGAGACCTATGTACAATAATGTTAAATTTTCACACACTTTCTATATTTTCTCATCTTTCCTGCTTTTCTCTTTCTCTCTTACTACCTTTACAAAACATAAGTCACAAATTTAACATATTTGTTATCAGTAAGGATACTAACAGGGAAGAAATTCTAGAAAAGGATAATAAAATAACTACAGTTCCAGTAATTCATCAAGTAAAATAAATAGTTCTCTATAGGTAATTAAGAATGATCAGCTGGATCCTCCATCTGCTCTGGGAGCATGAATTCCCTGCTCTCCAAGAAAATAGTTGTTTTTCTTTTACCCCTCCAGAAACCTACATTTTATCAAATGTAAGGTAAAATTAGCAGAATTTGAAAATCCCTGATAAATTTTACATATTCATCTTCCATCATTCACATTCTGTGATCATAACTAATTAAATATCTGCTTATATTGGCACTTAATTACCTTGTGTAACATACAGATACACAATAACAGTTTGTCAGCACATGAATGTATGTTACATGAGCATTTTTCCATTTTTCAAAATCAAAAAACTATTCCAAGATATCATCATATTTCTCCTACCTGAAATACCCAATTTCCCCCTTTGTTATCTTCTAGCTATGGTATCTAGCTATTACAATACCATAACTAGAAAATAACATGGGGAAAAATCTATGTAACCATTGCTTTATTAATGAGTGTTTAAACAACAAAAGCTCAATCATGAAAAACATCAATAAAATGGACTTAATTAATTTTGACAAATATACTATCCTAATGTAACATGTTCATAATAGGGAAACCTGGATGTGATCTCTATCTCTATTACTAGATCTCTATTATTAATATATTGCATTTTTGATAAATCTAGAACTGTAATGAAATAAAACATTTATTTGAAAGAAACTCAGAGGAATATTTTAAAATGTAAATAATTGAGAAAATTATTTACTAAAATCCTGTAGTTCACTATGTTTAAAATAAATAGCCCAATAATATGACTTGTAGGATCTTTTAACATGGTTAACAATATCCTGAATGACATATTCTTCATCAATCACTGTCCTAGCCTCATCTTGAACCACCCTTTCCCTTAATGTGCATCATGATCCTACCTCTGTTCTTTCAGTACCACGGTTTGTAGCTGGATTGTTTATTCATTGGGATCTCCTGGAAGTCATATGTGCCACTTCTAGACCTGGCCCATAACCCTTCCAAATGCCTCTTCTTTTCATTTCTGCCTTCTAGCTAAATAGAATGGAAATTATAATGACAACTTTGGAATCCACCAGTTGACAATGGCAGAGATCGAGTTCCTGAATAATTGTGTGAAGTAGGCCTTGACTGACCTGAAATGTTACTTGAAAAACAAGTTAATTTCTTATACTCTAAATCACTAAATGTTGGGAATTAATTTGTTATTTTAGCTTAGTCTTTCAAAACTGACACAGGATTGTAGTGAGGATTAAATTATATAATACATAATGAAGTTCATGGAACAAAGACTGGCACATAGTAAGCACTCACTCATAGCTTTTTTTATTCATATTATTTTTAATTGATAAATTACAGCAGTGTACATTTATGGGGTACAGTGTTATCTTTTGATATATGTATACAACGTGAAATGATTAAATGAAGCTAGTTAGTATCTATTATCTCACATCTTTTTTTGTAGTGACACATTTGAAATTTACATGCTTAGTTATTTTGAAATACACAATACATCATTATTGACTACAGTAACCTTGCTATGCAATAGATCTCAAAGTTTTATTCCTTCTGTTTAACTGGAACTTTGTAGCCTTTGACAAACATCTCCTATTCCCATCCTTCCCACTCCCCCAGTCTCTGGTAATCACTATTATTTCTACTACTATGAGTTCAACATTTTTAGATTTCAGAAATAAGTTCCATCATGTGGCACTTAATATAATGTCCTCCAGGTTCATCCGTGTTGTCATAAATTACAGGATTTTATTCTTTATAATGGTTGAATAGAATTCCATTATATACACAATGCCAGGTTGGTCTGGACAATGATGTCTCAGATAGGACCCCAAAAGCACAAGGAAACACAAGTTAAAATAAACAAATGGGATTACATCAAACTAAAAACTTCTGCACAGCAAAGAAAACAATTAACAAAATCAAGAGACAACTCTTAGAGTGGTCGAAAATATTTCAAACTATCTGATGAGGAATACATAAAAGATTCAAACAACCTAGTAACCAGAAAATAAATAATCTGATTTCAAAATAAGAGAAAGATATAAAGAGGATGTACAAATGGCCAATGTGTTCATGAACAAGTGCTCAACATCACTAATCATCAGGGAATTGCAAATTAAAACCAGAATGAGATATAATTCATAACTCTTGTTATCTGATTTTTAAATGTGCACTTACTTTAGTTATCGTTATCTGCATTGTACATGATTATATTTTAAGTCTAAAGTATAAAATCTGATATATTTTAAAGTCTAGGCTGCAGAATTTGTATCTGATTTATCCTCTAATTTTCTACAATACCATTCTCATGCCTTTTATGGTTAAGGTCCTTAACATATGACAGGAGCTAAGATGGCTTGTACTGATGTTCTTAAATTTGAAATGTGCCATGAACTATGTATTATTTATAAGAATTTTCTTAAACTTTGACTTCCTTGTTAATGCATAATTTAAAATAACAATATTAATAATTTGCGAACATTTAATTTTATACCAGGACATTTTTCTTTATATTTTTAGACTACAGAGTTTTTAGGGCAGAATAGGATATTGTATATATTGAGGTATTAAGTTTTCCAAATGTATGAAACTAACATACAGAAATATATTCTGAAATATTTTTATTACTTTTGCTGTTGTTGTTACCTGATCTAAATAAATGTTTTTTTAAAAAACTTATTTTTTATTATGTTGGCAAAGGATAGGCATGGTGTTATGGATGAAGGCAAGTATGAGCCTGACCTCAACTCTGAGGCTTAAAAAAATTCTACACAGAATTAGGAAATATTGTGTAGCTGCATTATTTAAGGAGTAGAAACAATTCTTCTTGTTGTAACCTAATGATCATGCCAATGTGAACTGTTTAAAGTGTTTCCCTAAACATCTGTTAATTGTTATGTATACAAGTCTATAGAGAGCAAAACAGAGAAAAGCTGCTGCTGTAATGAGGTTAGCATCAGAATCAGTAAAAAAATCATTGCATCATCAATAATGATCTTAATTAGACTTTTCTTTAGGTTGTATCCAGGTGTAAGAATTCCAGTAAAACATTATTAATTCTTTGTTTTAGAAATATGGACATGTACTTCAAATTTTCTGCTGGCACTACCTATGGAAAAAAATAGTGTAGAAAGCAATTTCATAACATGAAAATGAGGCTGTCTCTTTAATAAGATTTAAGTTCTATTTTGCTCATAACAGAAGGTTTAAATTCTAGAAATAGCACAATATATTTTTTATTGTATCAGTAAGGTAAAAAGACAGAAATATTTTATTGATAGCCATGTTCATACATTTTGCTCAATTTTATTGTTTTAATTAAAATATTTTTGTACTATTAATAAATACTTTAATAAACAAAAGAATGAATGTGTGAATATTTAGAAATTCATGAAATGACATAAATATCACTTTTATTTGTAAATCTTTCTTGTATCAAAATCATGTATTATGTTTTCTATATATGATTATTTCCTTCTAAAGCTAAGTATTATTTTAAGTAGTTTTCTTTTTTAATATAATCCCATATAAAATAATTGTATTTAACAAATATTTATATAATGCTTACTACGTGTCTTGTGATATTCTGAAATCATTTAATCCTCATAGAAACTCTATGAGATGTTACTCTTATTCCATTTAAGTGAGAAAACCGAGAGGGGAAATTTAGATAACTGGCTCAAAATTATTGAGCTAGTAATTGTCACAGTAGAGAACTGAATCATGTCTAAATTTAAATTCTAAAGTTTATTTGATTAACCACTATATTCCAATTTTAAACAAATACTAGCTCTAAAAATTATTTTCATTTCCCAGAAGACTGACCTTCTTAGTGGGGCTTATCTTACTTACAGTGAATTTTTTTAAATAGAAATCTTCTAACAGTAATATTTACATACTTTTCTTTTATCATCAACTACTTTATGAGTATGCTGTTGCATAAATATAAAAGTTATATTGATTGTAAGCATATTTAATATCTGGGGTAATAATTATATACATAAAATATTACTTTTGGTAATATTAAGCATTACTTTAAAAACATATTTTAAAATATACTCTTTAAATCAGCCATTTAATTTTATCATTCTGAAGTTGACCAAAATGAATAAAATTAGAAATACATTAACAGTATTAGATGAAGAAATATGTTTTTCAGTAATAAAATCCTTTTTATTATATTTTATTTTAAAATTATTTTTTAATTTCTCATTTCATTTCATGCTTTTGATCTGTCTTATAATTAAATTTTCAAAAAGCCACAGTCAATAAATAAAATATATATTTATGTGATTACAGAAAAAATGTTGGATGTCACCAAAAAATCAAATGAAGTTTGATCACCAATTATTGCCATATTTCAGGTTTGAAAATATATTGAAGGATACACAGTAAAGCTGGTAGAGGTTCACTGAAAATGAGAAATGATACAGTTTAAAAGGTTAAAGTTAGAAAGTAGAAATATCAGGAATCAGAATGGTGGCATGATGAGAACTGGGCAAAGCAAGAATAATGACTCAAATCTTATAGGGCTGTTTCTCAATCTCTGTAAGTCACTTAAGGTATCACCATTGCTATCATCACTATTTTTGCCGTCAAGAGCAGTACTCTCATTATCATCACCACCACCACCAACATTAAAAATAAAGAACAGCATATTTTAGACAGAAATATTGCATACAATGAGAGGAAGATAAATTTGAATGGCAAAATTCCAACTTTTTAAACAGACCCTCACTTTGAGTAAATCTTTTCCAAAAGTTGAATGTAATAAGTCATCTTCCTCTTAACTGAGTAATGGGAATAAACCCAAGAGTATGAACTTGGGTTTGAGATTAAGGAATATGTGTTAAATATTAGCATAGTAATTATTCACGAAATTGAAAATCCATTAAAATAAAATGATTGTGCCAAGAGAAGAATGAATAAGAAAGGTGGTTGCATTCATGAAAAAATTGGAAAGGTATTTTTCAAGCAGAAAAAGGTAGATGATAGTGCAGAATTTCAGCTATTTTAGAGTGTAACAGAGTTAAAATGTATTTGCCCTTCTTTGACTTAACTCTTGGCTATACAGCTCTGCTACGTAAATAATATATATCTTATAGTAAAGTCTAGCATGATTTGGGGTAATCTCTTAAGGGTAGGAACAAACTCATCAAGATGGATTATTAAAGCAGTTTGAACCTATTCATAAAATATGTTTTATAGACAGAAAACATTAAGGGTATTTCCCTTTGGCAATCTTTGTGGAGCTGGTTCTGTGCTGCTTGTGGAAACTGTGAAATGAAGAAACCATCTATGCTAGTTGTGGGGGATGGGCATCTTGGCTCATTTAATCTGGGGTATGTTATATTTTGTGATTAAGGGTATGAAGGGAGGAGAAATATGCATTCAACTATGTCTAGTATTTTATATTCAAACATCATTAAATATTTCACTATTTTAATGAAATAATAAATGGTCACAGCACACATCTAAGGCAAGTTGTATTTTTGGCGATGATTTTTTATTTGATTCTAAGACCTGTAGGTAAGATGCATAACTCTTATCTTGTCCATGGTCTGCAGATTTGTAATGAAACCAGACTCTAACTTCCCTACGATAGGAGTGGGAGGTGGACAGTTTCTTCTCTGGGATAGCAAATTCCAGAAGCATTCTTGGAGAATTTGTGGATTTTTCTTATTTCAGCACTAAACAGTCAAAGGGAAACTTAGTTTTTTCCTAAATGACATCCATGAATTTGACTCCTTGTCTTATAAAACCCTGTATATCTCAGGCCAAATAATTTTTTACCTTTACAAATAGGTGAGAAAAGAAATATAATTGTTGCACTGCCTCAGTTACTTTGAATTTCAGTTTAAACTCAATTGAAAAATTAATTAACTTTTTTGATGAATGTTGATGTCTGTGAAAATTCTGAGCCTACTTGGATTCTCTTAATATTATTACTGTTCTTTAGAATTTACCAGAAACTTCAAACCATCACCTTTCCTAAAGTTGATTTCTACAGAACAAGCAAAGAGGAGACTTAGTATTTTTACCCTAGCCCTGAGAAAGAAATTATTACTTGATATGGAGAAAGATCACTAAATGATTTAAACTTTTAATTTCAAATTGTAAGTTACTAGTGTTATATTATAAAAATTTAAAGAAAGATGTTCTGGTTAGTAGAATTTCCACGAGAATAGATTCACAAGTCACTACAAACCATTCACATATGATTCATGAGAAGATTTGACTGTGGCTACTGAGAGTTATTGCAAGGACCTAGATATTGTGATGAAATGGTAACAGGTTGTGGATTGAGAGGTATATGCTATTTTCTTTTAAGTTTATTTTATTTTGCAGAAGCAGATATTCAAAAGAAAAAAAAAATGACAAGTTTTAAGAGATTGAAGAAAGCAGTGATCTAGCTAGGCATGTAGTTACAAAAAAACAGATTCCAGGAAAGAGTACAGGTTATACTCTTTAAGTAATCTTCAAATAGCTAATACAATTGTATTTTTCTTGATTTGTAACATTGTTTATATTTATTATATTACAGTTTTCAGGTAGTTGAAATAACATATGTGATTTTTATTTAACAATGAATATTTTATTCAAGTAAGAAAATGTTCTCTATGTGTTATGCCAAAATGTTTACTGCATTTTCAATAATAAAATAGAGCATTTTCTATAATGTTTTAACTCCATTTTCAAATTCATGTATTAGTTTTTAAGAGAATACAATAAAGTGATTTTTTAAAATTAAAAGTTGCATCATCATAGAAGCTATAAAGGACTTTATATGCACATTTTCTGCTAGTAAATAATATTTCTCTAATAGTAATTGAGTCGTATAGGAAGACAGGATGTTGCACCATGCAAATTCTACCCTTTTGAAAAGTTGAAGGCATACTCAGATTTTAAAAAGTTGTTACTGTATTATAATAAACAGATGGAAGATTAAGAATAAGTGGAAACAATGGAATTTAAATGACTTTTTAAAAATTGACCAGCTTTCTGGTTACAGTCTTCAGATAATTATTGCATTTCCTGAGATAATAACTGCAAGGCTGCTTTGTAAGGTAAAAGTTCAACATTTCAAAAATTAAAGTGATTCAAAGGTTATGATAAACATACAAAAATCAAAATTCATGATGGCCATATTGTAATATTTCCTGAACAGTAACAGACAAATGGAACATTGACTTTTGGTTTCTTATTTGATTTTAGAGTAATAACGATGATGATGATAATAATAATATAAAAATAATATTTATTGAAAAATACAATTTTGGGTATGTGAATTAAGTAATATCACATTTTTATTGTGAAAATAAATATATTTTAAGAATATGTTCATAGAATACATATGATAGATAACTAAAAATTCATAACAGATTTAAAATATTATATTGGAAAAACACTATATATGGAGATATGGGGCTAGGTGTGTGAAATCAGCAATAATACAATAAATTCTTATCAGGTCAAAGGTCAAAGCTCTTTGTAAAAAGCGTTGTTTATTTTGTACCCCAAGTTCTCAATATGTTTTAGATAACCATGTAAAACAAACAATTACCATCAATTTTGTGTATACCTGGTTGTATTTATATAATTAAGCATTTGAAGTAGCAAAACTCATTTACTTATATTTGAATAAATCTTGTAAGTTCCAAGCAAAATATCACTTTAAAAAACATTCTCCTAAGAAAAGGATAGGATAATATATCTAGAAATTTTTGTGTCTACCAATAATTATACAAATTATTAAGAAGTTTCTACAGTCACAGATTCGATTGCAGCAATATTTAATGCCATGATGAAAATGTAAAATATTTGCAGTTATTGTTTATAAATTATTATCAATGAGATTTAGACATGTATTTTTTTATGAATTATTCTTATCTTGGCACCAAAAAAGCCATTACTCTATGGGTTTTAATCTAACCTCACAGTTATTTATTGAAATTATTAATTTTATAACTAAAGGTTAGTGGAAATCAATAAACAAATCTTCATTATATAACTCATAAAACACAAAATCATTTAAATGTTTACATTAATACATTTTTAGAGTTCTTTCTAAGCTTACTATAAATTTTTCTAAAAATGAGTTGAAATGCAGGAGAATATGTTTAAAACAACTATTACTTAAATATAGTATGCTTCAAATTGGCCTATTCTATGTAATTATTACCAAATAGGTCTTTGATATATTTCAGAGGTATGTTAATTCTTAAGTTATTTGATTTTATTAATCATCCATTGTCTTGATCTATTTTTAAACTGATTGTCTTTTATATTGGACATCAGAGATAATGCTATGAATTATTACCACAATATTACAAAGCAATGCTTCACAAAGTGTGGCTAAACATAAAAAGAAAGCAGAGGGTAATGAAGGATCTAAAATATTCAGAATAGTGTATACTGAACTGACAAATTGTTAAACATTCATGGTTCTGCAACACCAATCTTTTATCTGCAAAATTTATATAATTCTTAAATACTGAATTTCTCTCACATTTTCAGTGCTAAAATTAGCTCTCAGAAATTGTTAGACACTGGAAATTGACTTACTCTTTCATTTGATTGGACAATTTAGTATACTGCTGAAGAGTGGGAATTTTTCTTAATTATTTTCAACAAATATTTGCTGTGCACCTTACATTGCGTATGTTTTACTAGGAAACAATGATTCAAAGATGAGGAAGAAAGCGGTCATACCCCCAGCAATTCACTTTCAGTCATACACACAGGCTATCCAATAGAAATGATATAAAAAGCATACCACTAACACAAAGGATTGGGTAAGATATTAAGGGAAATCAGAATCTTCATGGAATACGTAATGATTATTTTGCATTTTATAGGATGAATGTGGAGGAATGTATGTCAGGTAGAGAAGAAGATTAATGCCTTTCTAGAGAAGAGCAAAAAAGTGTCAAAAAATATGAGACAGTAAGCTGCTCTGGGAGCTTCAGTTAGTTGGTAGCTCTAGAGTATGATGCAGAACATCTGGGAAGGAAGTAATCAGAAGTCAGAGTACAAATATTTCATTACATGAAAAGAAATAAATTCGTATTTACTTCAGAAAATATATGGTTGTGTATATGTGTGCGTGCATGCGTGTATCAATTTTGTATAAAAGAGCTATTGTAGTTATTTTAATATTCAAAAGGGATTACTTAACCTTTAATATTAAGGGAGTCTGGACCTTTTATTGGAAGACACCAATCATTACGTACAGATCTACAGACCCATGGCCTCCGTTCCCTACAATCCGTTACACATTTAGTTTTCTTTTTTATTTGTTACACACTATTTTACTTTTATTTTCATTTCAACAGTTTTGGGGAAACAGATGGTGTTCAGTTGCATGGAAAAGTTCTTAAGTGGTGATTTCTGGGAATTGGTGCACCCATCACCCAAGCAGTGTACACTGTACCCAATGTGTAGTCTTTTATCCCTCATCCTCCTCCCACCTTTCCCTCCGAGTATCCAAAGTCCATTATATTGTTCTTATGCCTTCATGTCCTTATAGCTTAGCTCCCACTTATAAGTGAGAACATACGAGATGTGGTTTTCCATTCCTGAGTTACTTCACTTAGAATAATGATCTCCAACTCCATCCAGGTTGCTGCAAATGTAAATGCTATTATTTCCTTCCTTTGTGTGGTTGAGTAGTATTCTATGGTGTGTGCTTGTGTGTGTGCGTGTGTGTGTGTGTGTGTGTGTGTGTGTGTTTGTGTGTATTTATTTAGTTATATAATTTCACATTTCCTTTACCCACTTGTTGGTTGGTTTACCAGTTTCTTGCTAGTGATTCTCAGTTGAGAGACACAATTGATTTCTTATTGTAGAATAATTCTCTTCTGCTGTTCATTTTTTCATTTGTTGATTCTTCACTTGGCCAGGCTTAGTGTTTTTTTAAGGGAAATGCTTATTGTAAATAATGAACAAATTTAGATCCCTGGGGGAAGAAGTGAAAGCCACCAAAGTATAATCGTATTATCAAATTCCATGCTTTACCACTCACAGCTGTTTTATTCCTTGGTCATGTCGTTTCTATATAGAGATTTCATATTGCTTTTTTAATTGTAAGAGATAACAACATGTATAAAGAGTGGGTATATTTAATGAGACTTAGTTATCAATCAAATCAGATAACAAATTAATGTTACTAAAATATTAGGAGTAAAAGTTACTAAAGACACCATAGCTTGTGTAACTTTTGAAAAAAATACTTGAAAAAAAACCAGAATCTATAATAAAATATACTAACAAGCAGAAAAGCATTTAACTCTCTCATTTTTAATGTTACCGGCTCATTTTATAATAAGGATTCTGAAACCATTTAGAGAAAGCACTCATAAAATTATATAGGGTTTTTAAAGTTGAAATCCTAAAACTTTTGACTTCCTGTCACACTTGAAAAGTTATTTTTCCTGTTCCTTTCTCTTTCTCTCCTTCTTGTATTCCCTTCCTTTTCCTTTTCTTTCTCTTCCAAAAAAAAAAAAAAATCAAGTCCTGGCACACGGTAGACATTTAGTGTAAGTTCTTGAATGAATGACAATATGTCATTATCCTGTTGCTGTAGAATTATTTTTATTAGCATGTATTATGAATCTGACAAAACAGAGTAAGAAAAGAAAAAGGAGATTGTTGTATCACGAAGAGCCCTGAGTTTGCATAGAATAGATATTCAAAAAATGTAGAACTCAAGAAATATAATATTGTCATGTCATTATACATAATTATACAAATTTTTAGTTGCTCAAAATATTAAACAGGCATTCATTGATGGAAAACAAATATTTGCATGTCTTAGTGAATATATCTTCAATAAGTTGTTTTAAATAGTTTAGTAAAATAGATAATGGCCCATTCCTCCTTTTGATATTTAGCTCTTGTAAGTTTGTTTTTTAATACAGTATATTTTAATACAAGCTCCCAGATAGGGAAATATGTCTATATATACTATTTTATTATGTTCAGTAGGTACTCACCATCAATTTTTCGACACTGTATTTAGTCTTAATGACTCTTCAAATATAAAATCTAATAGACTCTCCAGTGATTTTTATAAAAATCTAGAGCACTTCTGTTTATATCTTTATAGTTGTATTTTATGACAGTATTTTATACTATTTACTTATTTTTAAACAGTATTACTTTTACAGGAAAATTGATAAGAAGGTACAGGGAATTCCCTCATATTATTCCCCTTTCCTCCCCCTCCCCTCGATTTCTCCTACTATTTAAATCTTGTATTAGAATGATACGTTATGGCTGATGAACCAACATTGATACATTATGATTAACTACCGTTATCCTCAACATTAGGGTTCACTCTTTGTGTTGTACATTCAATAGGATTTTACAAACATCTTGTAACTTGTGTCCATCATTACACAATCATACAGGATCATTTCACTGCCCTAAATACTCCATGCTCCAACTATTTATCCTTTCCTTCCCCACTATGAACCTCTGGCTACCAATGATCATTTTATTGTCTCCATTGTTTTGCCTTTCACAGAAAGCTGTATAATTGAATTTACACAGTATAAAGCTTTTTCATATTGGCATCGTTCACTTAGCAATATATTTTTAAGGTTCTTCATCTCTTTTCCTAGCTTGATAGCTTATTTCTCCTTATGGCTGAATAATTCTCCACTGTATGGATGTGTCACAATTTATTTATCCATCTTGGCTGCTTCTAGGTTTTGACAGTTATGAGTAAAATTGCTATAAACATTCATGTGCAGGTTTTTCAAATCATTTGTGTAAATAACTATGATTGTGATTGTTAGATTGTGTGGTTTAGCTTTGAAAGAAACTCAGTCGGTTGCCTGTTCACTCTGATGGTAGTTTCTTTTGCTGTACAGAAGCTCTTTAGTTTAATTAGATCCCATTTGTCAATTTTGTCTTTTGTTGCCATTGCTTTTGGTGTTTTAGACATGAAGTCCTTGCCCATGCCTATGTCCTGAATGGTATTGCCTAGGTTTTCTTCTAGGGTTTTTATGGTTTTAGGTCTAACGTTTAAGTCTTTAATCCATCTTGAATTGATTTTTGTATAAGGTGTAAGGAAGGGATCCAGTTTCAGCTTTCTACATATGGCTAGCCAGTTTTCCCAGCACCATTTATTAAATAGGGAATCCTTTCCCCATTGCTTGTTTTTCTCAGGTTTGTCAAAGATCAGATAGTTGTAGATATGTGGCGTTATTTCTGAGGGCTCTGTTCTGTTCCGTTGATCTATATCTGTTTTGGTACCAGTACCATGCTGTTTTGGTTACTGTAGCCTTGTAGTATAGTTTGAAGTCAGGTAGTGTGATGCCTCCAGCTTTGTTCTTTTGGCTTAGGATTGACTTGGTGATGCGGGCTCTTTTTTGGTTCCATATGAACTTTAAAGCAGTTTTTTCCAATTCTGTGAAGAAAGGCATTGGTAGCTTGATGGGGATGGCATTGAATCTGTAAATTACCTTGGGTAGTATGGCCATTTTCACGATATTGATTCTTCCTACCCATGAGCATGGAATGTTCTTCCATTTGTTTGTATCCTCTTTTATTTCCTTGAGCAGTGGTTTGTAGTTCTCCTTGAAGAGGTCCTTCACATCCCTTGTAAGTTGGATTCCTAGGTATTTTATTCTCTTTGAAGCAATTGTGAATGGGAGTTCACTCATGATTTGGCTCTCTGTTTGTCTGTTGTTGGTGTATAAGAATGCTTGTGATTTTTGTACATTGATTTTGTATCCTGAGACTTTGCTGAAGTTGCTTATCAGCTTAAGGAGATTTTTGGCTGAGACGATGGGGTTTTCTAGATATACAATCATGTCGTCTGCAAACAGGGACAATTTGACTTCCTCTTTTCCTAATTGAATACCCTTTATTTCCTTCTCCTGCCTAATTGCCCTGGCCAGAACTTCCAACACTATGTTGAATAGGAGTGGTGAGAGAGGGCATCCCTGTCTTGTGCCAGTTTTCAAAGGGAATGCTTCCAGTTTTTGCCCATTCAGTATGATATTGGCTGTGGGTTTGTCATAGATAGCTCTTATTTTGAAATATGTCCCATCAATACCTAATTTATTGAGAGTTTTTAGCATGAAGGGTTGTTGAATTTTGTCAAAGGCCTTTTCTGCATCTATTGAAATAATCATGTGGTTTTTGTCTTTGGCTCTGTTTATATGTTGGATTACATTTATTGATTTGCGTATATTGAACCAGCCTTGCATCCCAGGGATGAAGCCCACGTGATCATGGTGGATAAGCTTTTTGATGTGCTGCTGGATTCGGTTTGCCAGTATTTTACTGAGGATTTTTGCATCAATGTTCATCAAGAATATTGGTCTAAAATTTTCTTTTTTGGTTGTGTCTCTGCCAGGCTTTGGTATCAGAATGACGCTGGCCTCATAAAATGAGTTAGGGAGGATTCCCTCTTTTTCTATTGATTGGAATAGTTTCAGAAGGAATGGTACCAGTTCCTCCTTGTACCTCTGGTAGAATTCGGCTGTGAATCCATCTGGTCCTGGACTCTTTTTGGTTGGTAAGCTATTGATTATTGCCACAATTTCAGATCCTGTTATTGGTCTATTCAGAGATTCAACTTCTTCCTGGTTTAGTCTTGGGAGAGTGTATGTGTCGAGGAATTTATCCATTTCTTCTAGATTTTCTGTTTATTTGCATAGAGGTGTTTGTAGTATTCTCTGATGCTAGTTTGTATTCCTGTGGGATCGGTGGTGATATCCCCTTTATCATTTTTTATTGTGTCTATTTGATTCTTCTCTCTTTTTTTCTTTATTAGTCTTGCTAGCGGTCTATATATTTTGTTGATCCTTTCAAAAACCAGCTCCTGGATTCATTAATTTTTTGAAGGGTTTTTTGTGTCTCTATTTCCTTCAGTTCTGCTCTGATTTTAGTTATTTCTTGCCTTCTGCTAGCTTTTGAATGTGTTTGCTCTTGCTTTTCTAGTTCTTTTAATTGAGATGTAAGGGTGTCAATTTTGGATCTTTCCTGCTTTCTCTTGTGGGCATTTAGTGCTATAAATGTCCCTCTACACACTGCTTTGAATGTGTCCCAGAGATTCTGGTATGTTGTGTTTTTATTCTTGTTGGTTTCAAAGAACATCTTTATTTCTGCCTTCATTTCGTTATGTACCCAGTAGTCATTCAGGAGCAGGTTGTTCAGTTTCCATGTAGTTGAGCGGTTTTGAGTGAGATTCTTAATCCTGAGTTCTAGTTTGATTGCACTGTGGTCTGAGAGATAGTTTGTTATAATATCTGTTCTTTTACATTTGCTGAGGAGAGCTTTACTTCCAACTATGTGGTCAATTTTGGAATACGTGTGGTGTGGTGCTGAAAAAAATGTATATTCTGTTGATTTGGGGTGGAGAGTTCTATAGATGTCTCTTAGGTCTGCTTGGTGCACAGCTGAGTTCAATTCCTGGGTATCCTTCCCAACCTACTCATCTGACAAAGGGCTAATATCCAGAATCTACAATGAACTCAAACAAATTTACAAGAAAAAAACAAACAACCCCATCAAAAAGTGGGCAAAGGACATGAACAGACACTTCTCAAAAGAAGACATTTATGCAGCCAAAAAACACATGAAAAAAATGCTCATCATCACTGGCCATCAGAGAAATGCAAATCAAAACCACAATGAGATACCATCTCACACCAGTTAGAATGGCAATCATTAAAAAGTCAGGAAACAACAGGTGCTGGAGAGGATGTGGAGAAATAGGAACACTTTTACACTGTTGGTGGGACTGTAAACTAGTTCAACCATTGTGGAAGTCAGTGTGGCGATACCTCAGGGATCTAGAACTAGAAATACCATTTGACCCAGCCATCCCATTACTGGGTATATACCCAAAGGAATATAAATCATGCTGCTATAAAGACACATGCACACGTATGTTTATTGCGGCACTATTCACAATAGCAAAGACTTGGAACCAACCCAAATGTCCAACAATGATAGACTGGATTAAGAAAATGTGGCACATATACACCATGGAATACTATGCAGCCATAAAAAATGATGAGTTCATGTCCTTTGTAGGGACATGGACGAAATTGGAAATCATCATTCTCAGTAAACTATCGCAAGAACAAAAAACCAAACACCACATATTCTCACTCATATGTGGGAATTGAACAATGAGATCACATGGACACAGGAAGGGGAACATCACACTCTGGGGACTGTTGTGGGGTCGGGGGAGGGGGGAGGGATAGCATTGGGAGATATACCTAATGCTAGATGACAAGTTAGTGGGTGCAGCGCACCAGCATGGCACCTGTATACATATGTAACTAACCTGCACAATGTGCACATGTACCCCAAAACTTAAAGTATAATAATAAAAGAAAAAAAAGAATATGTACAAAATAAATTCAGAGCAAAAATACACATAAATAGAACGAAGATAAGAGACTATGTAAAAAATTTGAATGCAGATATGCCGATAGAAAAAATTATAGTTATTCAGATTGGACTATAAATTAGCTTTTAACTTGTTGAAAACCAAAGTAAAATGAAATCAGTAACTGGATTCCTGTTATTTAATAAAGAAATATATATCAGTTTACATAGAAAAAAAAACTGGGAAAATCTGAGTCATATCACTGGGTTGTATGGATGCCAATATCCTGCTTGTTGCAATATTACACTCCAGTTTTGCAAAATGTAACCATATTGGGGGGAAATGGGCAACATGCATAAAGGATCCCTTTGTGTATTATTTCTTACCATTGCATGTGAATCTACAATATCTCAATAAAAATTTCAATTAAAAAAAAAAAAGAAGGAAACTCAGTCTTCCAAAGCGGATTTGTCAATTTTCATTCCCACCAGCAATGGATAAGAATACCTGTTGCTTCACGTTCTCGTCTCCAGTATCTATTGTCTTTCCTTCCTTCCTTCCTTCCTTCCTTTCCTTTCCTTCCTTTCTTCCATTTTTTGGCTTTTCTATCTCTCTATATTCAATTGACCTTTCTTTCTGTAAAACTGTCTCCTGTTTGTAATCCATGACAACACTTCATTTTGCCCTACAGAGACTACTTCTAGTTCTCTTTAATGCAATGCCTTCCCTCTGAGATCTCATAAATATATATATATTATATATATATTATATATATAATATATATATAAAATATATATATATTCATTCCTCAGTATGTCATCATAGGTACTCTTCTTCACTCCTCATAAACGATTCCTGAGAAAGTGCATATACAAAAATGACTTCACCTAATGCTAACACAGACTCATAAATAATCTGTAGTGGATGTCTTTATTTGACACTTTTACTCAAACTTTACATGTAATTATCAAATGCATCACATTAGATTATCCATCAAACTTATGTCTTGATTATGATTACGGCACTGTTTCCTTCTGTCAGAAACAAGCCAGGAACACACTTGCAAACTGGCAACAATTCTTATGCTTCTTTCTTCATCTCTTGCATCTGATCACTAAATAAGACATGCGCATGCAACCTTTTAATTATCTTTTTTTGTGTGTGTCCCATTCTCTCCATTGTTGCTTGTATCATTCCAGTAATATTTTAGGTCATATTTATGCTTTACTCAATTGGTTCCTCATGGTCTTCAAAATAAAATCACATCTAAGTATGCCCTATGTTGTCATATTTAATATATTCTTTATAATCTTTATTTCCTAGCATTGCATCTTATATTTCAGAGACACAGATGAACGTGTAACTTTTCAAATGGACTCTTAAATTTTTCTTTGCATATTGTTCCTACGTCCTAGAATAACCTTCCTTGTTTGTTCATTCGGCTACTCTAACAAAGCACCATAAACTAGGTGGCTTATAAACACAGAAATTTGTTTCTCACAGTTCAGGAGGCTGGAAAGTTCAGTATCAAGGCAAGATTCCATGTCTAGAACCTGCTTTCTGGTTCACAGATGATAACGTCTATCTGTGCCCTCATGTGGTTAAGAGGCAAGGCAGCTTCCCAAGGCCTCTTTTATATGGACAATAATCCCATTCAACGAGGACTCCACCCACATGACCTAATTATATTCCAAAAGCCCTACTTTTAATACCATCACTTTGGTGATTCAATTTCAACTTATGACTTTTTGTGGGGACACAAACAATCAGACTCTAACACCTTCTGTATTTACTGCAAAAGTACCAAAATCTTTATTTCTACAACAATTTATGCAAGCATTGTTTATTTTATCAAGTCTACCCTAACTCTCCTAAAATAGTTATCTAGCATTTACACTGTATTTTTCTGACCTTGTATTGTTGCATAAGAATTTATGACATGTTGTTTATCTACCTGTCTCTTTACCATGTTGTAAACACTTGAAGGCAAAGATCATGTTTTCTCAACGATGTAGATACCAAACAGCCCAATTTTTTGTTGAATGAGTGAAAGTAAGTGACATAATACCAAGTGGCCTGAGAGATTTGATTTAGTCAATGTCACAAAATAATTTTAGCTTTAGAGCAGTTTAGCTTATTGCATTTTTATCTTGTAAAGAAAAATAAAGAAAAATGCATGCAATTAGAAAGAAATACTTTGGAAGGTTTTGCTCTTTTCTTGTTTGAAAGGGCAAAGATGATATGTACTTCATACAACTTGTGAAAGAGAAAATATTTCTTTCATGGACAGAGAAAAATATGACTGTTGTTTTCTTACAAAAAAAGAAAAAGGAAAGTGAGAAAAAAATACATTGTTGGACTAGTATGAGTACATAGAAGTCTTAGAGGAGAAAACTTGAGACAAAATAATTATACATTATTTTAAATAAACTAGACAGAAGTTAAATGCAGTGATTCAAAATAAGTGTATAATTTCAAAAATTATTTATATGAGAGTTATATTTTTCAGTGAGTGGTGCTCTGGCACAAATATATAAAACTAAATATACAGTAAAATGAAACATAGATTGTGAATTTTTTTGCTTTAGTTTTGTTTATGGTTTTGTATCAACTTTGCAACATATTTAAATTCTTTTACCTAGGCTATTAACACATCACAATAAATTAAAAGATACTTTTAAATTAGCAGGCTTATACCGAAATTTTGATTCTATATGGATGGCAATTCTATTTAAAGTTTGCTAAATGTACCTTTTATTGCAGTGTGTTGTGATAAATTAATTCTGAATGTGCTAATAAATAAAACAGATATTGCCCTTGCAGGGTAGGAGGCACATAAAGAGGAACAAAAATACAATTTTATATGTTAGATCTCCAGTGAAAAATGATCTGCCAAGTACTAAGTTCTATTGCCTCTGGGACTAAGTTCAACTACCCCAAGGGAAAACACATGTATTTTATCTAGTTTTAAGAAGACATAGGTTTTCTAAATAATATAGAGAACTGGAAGAAAAAAAAAACAACTTGTGTTAGTTTGTTTTAGAGTTATACCTCCCTTAAGTATCCTGAAAAAAAATGGTTTATGTTTTAAATTTGACCATAAATTGAAATTGGAATGTTTTAATATTCTAGGGAAGTTGGTTGCTTATACAAAATATATGTCAATTTTAAAGGTCAATCAATCTGGGTAATTTTGGTGGTGTACATTTACATACATACATACATACATAACACAACCATCTATGTGTAGGATATCCTCTTACGTGCTGGTAGTAAGTTCTAATTATCTTTTAGAGATTGGCAAACTGTTTTGGTAAAGGGTCAAATAATAAATCTCTTAGACTTTGTGGGCCATTTGATCTGTGTGACAACCACTAACCCCTGCTGGGGCAGCATGAGAGATGCCATAAATAGTATATAAAAAATGAGTGTGACTGCCTTCTAATAAAATTTTATTTACAGTAACAGGTGGTGGAAGGTATAGTTTGCTGACCCTTGGTACACATTGCCAAGTCTCCCTTGGAGTGGGAAAAAATATCACTCTCAGTTGAGAATTACTGTTAAAAAATGACCAGGGCCACTATGGTCATGAAAACCTACTACATTGTATTCTGTGTATTTAAAATAGTCTATGTTTAACATAGTATGTATTTTAAAGGTACATCCTCTGACTAAAGGTGCAAAGAGTTTATGGAATCAAAACGTCAGGATATAAGCCCTATGAAGACAAGAAATCTTTAATTAGTATTCATCATTCTACCCTCAGTACTTAGCATTGTGCCTGGCATTGAATGAGCTCCCGTATCAACAATCATTGGTTGAATAAGTGAGGGGAGAAAAGTTTCTAAAAATAACTAAACTATTATATAGAGGTATATGCCAGTTATTGTCTGTGTCTTTTAAACACACTTTTATATGCCCTTAGACCTTACAAATCACATTTGCCTTGGTTCAATATCTCCCTGTTAAGTTTATGCCAATGATGGCTGATATACAGAGACCAGAATACTGAAGGAGAAAGAAGAGATATGCCATATCTTTTTTATTTTCTGTTCCTGTGAATATTGCCTTTGCAAAGATGTTTCATCTGGCAGTGGCACTTTGTTTCATTAGAAGTTTCCACAACACTCTTGAAAGTGGACCACAGACTCCACTACAGAGGCATCTTGTCAGACATCTGAGTTCCAGCTTGAAGGCCTCCTCCTCCAAGCTTCTTAAGATTTAAACATTGAAACCTCTTTTTTTCCTTCATCCTTCAATTCCTGGTGTCAGGCATGTTGTAGGTACTTAGTAAATATTTATTAAAGAACAAATGTAGCTGCTTCCCTACCTAAGGAAATGTCTTCTTGTACTTTTTTTTGTATTTTCAATTATTTTAGTAACTATTAACAAATTTTTATGTTAAATTATTTTTGCTAAAGTAATGCTGTGATTTCTACACCCAGACTGAACTCTGAAGATTGAAGTGACAGCACAACTATGCTCAGGCAAACAAAAACATCAATGCCAGGAGAGTTCAAATGATTCAATTAAAAAGATGATTTTTAATTTTTTCTTGAAAAATTTACAGATATTTGTCAGACTAACCATGTAAGCCATAAGGGCATCTGAGGGAAAGGAAAATGAGGCTCCTAAGCAAAAACACTCAAGGAAGAAATAATCTGGCAAATTTAGAGAATATGACAATGGTATGTTAGTTGGATGGGAGAAGTTAGTGTGAGCTCAAGAGTGTTGGGAGTACATAACATTAGAGAGTCTGAAGTAGCAATCATTTATTCAGTCAGTGTGCTAGTTTTATGGAGTAAATAAAATAGAAAATGTCCCTAAAGACACAGCATTTTCAGTCTGCTGTGAAAGACTGACATTAAATAACTGATTTTACAAATATGTGTAAGATTAAAAATCCTTAAAAAGGAATAAAAAATCAGAAAAATGTGATGACGAATTCACAAGAAAGCTAATTTAAAGAGTGTAAAGGAAGTCATTTTTGACAATGTGACATTTAAACTAAGACCCAAATATGAAAGAATTGGCCAGAATTAGGTGAGGAGGAGGAGAAGGAAGGGAGTTTACTTTCTGACTTTGGGCTATATCCTGTGGCTTCGCTGAGAGATGGAGTAGGGAGGTTGCACAGTCATAGTTGTGTTTTGAAAAGGTTATCTTGGGAGTAGAAAGGATAAATTCAAATGAACCAGTTTGTGCTCAAAAACCACGTTGTAGGCAATTGATGATGAGAGATTTTGCAACATAGGCAGGTAAGATGGGAAGCCTATGAGTGCAATTCTGGAGATTCTGGAGTAATGACGAGAATGTGGGAGATGAGGAAGGAGAAAAATAGTTTCAACAACTAAGTTTCGAATTTGGTGGTGGCACTAAATAATGCTACTCATCAAGATTAGAAGTATAAGTGAATACAGGATAAAATGCCTATTTTCAAAGTTAGAGATATGTCCATTACATAAAATTAGTCATTTATTTATATTCAATTTGACATCTTTGCTGTGTTCTGTTAGCTTCAGTTTTAACGGCAGAGGGAGGTGTTTTAAAATCTCTAAATGTGGTTATGGATTGTATATTTTTATTTGGAATTCTCATAGTAGAAGCTTTATGTAACTTCATTCTTTGCTTTTAGTTACATATGAACTTAGAATCATTGCATCCAATTAATCCAAAATCCATTCACCAGCTAATCTCACTAATTTTATTTTCTATTATTTTAAAAATCCCTCTCTAGTAGTCTACTTGAGCCACTGTCCTCTTTGTTGTTCATGGGATATGTCTAGCTCTTTGTTTAGACCCTGTGCAAATACTTCTCTCCCGTCTTTCTAAACACTGTTTATCATCCATGACTTTCTGGAAGTGTCTTTTCAAATGTCAACTTATTGCAGAAATCTTTTCTCTGAAAACCTTACAGAAAATAGCATTTCACTACACCAAAATCCATTCACTTGGCATGTTTTACTTTATTATCTAGCTGTTATCAATGATTTATTTATTTGTTTATTGTTTGTTGATCCTCATTAGAGTGTGAGCTTTATGACAACCAGAACTTAGTCTGTTTATTCTCTATTGTATTCCTGGTGTCTGGCATGTTGTACATACTTAGTAAATATTTATTAAAAAACAAATGTGAATGAAATATTTTAACACTATCCAATAGCTCTCTTTAAGTGTATTAATAGGTTTTGTTTAAAATATATTTTGTATCATATTAAAGTAACCAACTGGGTGTATTTTGCAATCCAAGAGTCATTTTGTAATGCCTGGTGACATTTTTGCTTGCCAACACTTGGAGCTGGGGTGGTGCTATAGGTATCTAGTTCATAGAGATCTGGGATACTGCTAAACAAGCTGCAAGGATACCACCCCAAAACAAATAATTATTCAGTCCAAAATATCAATAGTACCACCGTTGACAATCCCTGATATAGCTAATACTACTTTCATTTTGATTAGAAATTTTTGTATAATTTTACATTATTTTACTTTCACTCCTTTGCTATTTTATGATTTGATTGTAATTTTTAAAATAATTCCTAGATTTTTATTTTTATATTATAATTGAAAGTTATTCCTTTTACATTCATTTGATATATTTGGACTATGTTTTATATGCTAATTATTTCCTTTTTGTTTTTTATTTTCTGCATTTTTTTAATAAAGAGATTTTTTAGAGATTTTACTTTGTATCAAATTACAATATACAGACAAAAATGCACATAAGTGTACAACTTATTACATTTCCACAAATTGAACGCATGCATATGCCCAGCCCTCAGATAAAGAAACAGAATATCAAAGGGCCACAGGAAAACTTGTTTCTTGCCCTCTAAAGGTTCACTGAAAGATCAACTGAAAAAAAAAGATTAATAGGAGAAAAGACACACAAATTTCTTAACATGCCTGAGAGCCATACAACATATCAGAACTCCAAGAAATGGCCAGATAGTTGACATTTTTATACCATCTTGAAGTTACAGAAAGAATGGGGGTTGGGAGCAGAGTCAAATACAAGTTATGATAGTAAATCGGGTTGTAGGGGCAGGATAGGATATGGGAGGAAGAGAAGAGGAGGCTTGGCTAGGAAACGTGGTCTTGTTATATAGACAACATGTTACAGGTAGCAACACTCAGAGAAAATGGATGGTAAATGTTTTTGTCAGACCTTTAAAGATGATAGACTCAGATATTTTCTAGATCCAGACAGGGAAGGGCCTCAGAGAACGCCCGGCTACTTCAATGCAGGTTCCCTACAGATGCAAATCTCTCCCACAAAAGACAGCTTTGCAGGGCTACTTCTGTTTGCAGACCCTCTGAACAGGCATCTTATCAAAGAAGTATACTCTGGGGTGAAATATTTTGGCTTCCTTCATCGCTATCACTCCAGAAGCCCCATCATGCTTCCTTCCAGTCTTTAGACACAAGAGGAACTACATTTCAGGTTTCTAGCAGCACAGATGAGATTTGTTGTTGTTTGTACTTCAGATGAATAGATATATAAGGTATGTATCCTTCAAGGTCTGTTTTCTCTTAAATATTATGATTGTGAAAGTCATCTTTATTTTTCCACGTGGTCGTAAGTTGTCTGTTCCTGTTGCTGTATTGTATTTCACTTGTGAATATACTCCTGTTTACTTATTCAGTCTGTGATTGCTGGGTGTGATGGCTAGTTTTAGGTGTTGACTGGATAAAGAAATGTCTAGAGAGCTAGTAAAGCATTATTTACCTGTGAAGGTGTTCCTGGAAGAGACCGGCCTGTGAGTCAGTGGACTGAGTGGGTAAGATCCGCTTTGGCTGCGACCCCAGATTGAACAAAAAGGCAGAGATGGGAAGAATTATTGTTCTCTCTCTTCCAGAGCTGGGAAGGCCTTCTTCTTCTGCCTTTGGGTATCAGAACTCCAGGTTCTCTGGCTTTTGGACTCTGGGACTCACACCAAAGCCCCACTCTTCCACTCCCCACATTCCTCCAACTTCTACCCTGCTCTATGGCCTTTCACCTTGGAGTTAGAGTGATACCATAAACCTCTGATTCTGAGGCTTTTGAACTTGAACTGAGCCATGCTACAGGTTTCCCTGGTTCTCCAGCTTTTAGGAGCATATTGTGGGACTACTCAGCTTCCATAATCATGTGAACTAATTTCCTTAATAAACCTCCTCTTATCTATCTATCTATCTATCTTCTATCCATCCATCCATCCACCCACACATCCATCCATCCATCATCCATCTGTCCTAGGTTCTTTGAAGAACCCTGAATAATACAGTAGGTATTAGAGTAGTTAACACTTTGAGGTTATTATGAACAGTACTGCTATGAACTCCAGTATGTATTATTTGATAAACCTATGTCCACATTTAATATAAGGATAGTTCTTGGGGTGAAACACAGGTCACCCCTTATCTGTGAGGGATATGTTAGATGCCTCCAGTGGATGTCTGAAACCAGGGATAGCACTTAATCCTATATATATTATTTTTTCTCCTATATGTAACTACTTATGATAAAATTTATCAATTAGGCACAGTACTTTTGAATTTTGTGGCCATTATTAAGTAAAAGGTAATTGAATACAAACACTGTGATATTGTGAAAGCTAGTCTGATAATGAGACAGCTGCTAAGTGACTCAGGATTCACCAGTGGGTAACATGGACATGTGGATATGCTGAACAAATGAATGATTCACGTCTCAGCTGGCAAACAGCAGAGCATCATGAGATGTCATCACAATACTCAGAATGGGGTGTAACTTGCCACACAAATTATTTACTTTTGGAAGTTTCCATTGAATGTATTTGGACTGTGGTTGACCGCAGGTCACTAAAAGCTTGGAAAATAAAACTGTAGATAAAGGAAGACTACTGTATTGTCAAGTAACTTTCCAAAGTGGTTATATAAATGTTTAATGGCATACAGACACAGTACGCAAATGGGTTGTACAAATGACAAACAGTATACAGAATTCTAGGTGCTCCATATTCTGACTAACATTTGGCATTTTTCATCTTTTTTTACATTTTATACATTCTGGTGTTTAGATTTATGTTACAATTGGCATTGCTGATGCCTAATGAAGTCAATACTTGTAGATATATTAATTGTCTATTTTAATAATATTTCCTTTTATCCAGATTAATATAACAATTAAATTTATTTTTTAAATTTTATTTATTTAAATTTCAACTTTTTATAGATACAGAAGGTACATGTGCAGACTTGTTGCATGGGAATATTGCATGATGCTGAGCTTTGGGGTATGGATCCTGTCACCTAGCTTGTGAATATAGTACCTGGTAGGTAGTTTTTTTAACCCACACCCTCCCTCCTTTCACCCTCTAATAGTCCAGATGGTCTATTTTTCCCATTTTTATGCCTATGTGTAGTCACTATTTAACTCTCTCTTATGAGTGAGAACATCTTGTATTTGGTTTTCTATTCCTTTGTTAATTTGCTTAGGGTCATAGCCTTCAACTCCATCCATGTTGCTGCAAAGAATGTGATTTCATTCTTTTTTATGGCTGCATAGTATTTTATAATATTTAATGTGAAATATTTCTCTTTCTACTATTGGGATGTGTAATTTTTTCTAATCAATTTATTGACATGTTTTATATATTCTTGTAACCATCCAACGGATTTATCTTGTCCACTGCCCAAAAAAGCCAATGCACTGAGAACTGCAGGTTTTTGAAATAGAGAAAACATTTAATAAATGTAGAGGCAGCTAAATGGGAGAAGAGATTATTACTCAAATCAGCCTCCCTGAAATTTCAGAGACTGGGATGTTTTAAGGATAATTTGGCATGCAGTGAGTTAAGGAATGTGAAATGCTGATTGGCTGGATGAGGGATGAAATCATAGGGGCCATCAGAGCTGTCTTTTTGCTGTCTCCTGTTCCTGGGTGGGATTGCAGAACTAGTTGAGCCGGTTTACTGGTCTGGGTGATGTCAGCTGGCCCATGAGAATGCAGTGTCTGGAAAATATCTTGAACATCAGTCTTGGGTTTTACAATAGTAATGTTAACTGTAAGAGCAAGTGGGGAGGTTAGAAAACTTGTGGCCTCTGGCTGCATGACTCCTGACCTACAATTTCTAATCTTGTGGCTAATTTGCTAGCTTTACAAAGTGCTCTGGTCCCCAGGCAAGGAGGGGGGTTGTTTAGGGAAGGGGCTGTTATCTTTGTTTCAGAGGTAAACTATAAACTAAATTCTTCCTTTGGTTAGCTCAGCCTACACCTTGGATTGAAGAAGGGCAACTTGGAAGTTAAAGACAAGATGGAGTCAGTTAGGTCAGATCTCTTTCACTGTCATAATTTTTGTATGTTTTCTCACTGTCATAATTTTTGCAAAGGCAGCTTCATTCTGAGTTTATCAAATATGTGTATTGTGAATGTCTTCTTTCTGTCTCTGAGTTGCCAATGAATTGGTTTTTAATTATTTATCCTATTTTTTTGGTTTAGAGTATATGCATTCGATTTAAATTACTTTAATGATTACCCTTAAAATTTTAATATACATAGAATTCTATAGTCAATAATTTTCTCTACACTGTTCTCAAAGGATATATGTTGTATATCCGTTCACTCACCTCATGAGAGTTATGCTATTTTTCCTAGCATTTTATTTATATCTTTGGTATTTTAGCCCTACAAATTAGACATTAGTATATCATTACTTTATATATTCAATGTTTCCTAAAATTCACCCACATATTGAATATTTTCTTGTTTCAATTCTTCTATGTTAAATTTGCTTTTTTCTAAACTATCTTTTAGAACATTTAATCTCAAATTTACCATATATAAGAATAAACTGGAGGGCTTAATAAAACACAGATTGTTGGGCACCAGCCTACAGTTCTGATTCAGTAGGTCTGGAGTTAAGTCTGTTAATTTGCATTTCTAACGAGTTCCCAGGAGATGCAGATCCTGTTGATTTGGAGATCATATTTTGAGAACCACTGCTTTAGAAATTCTTTCAGTGAGAATCTGTTGATGGTAAATGTTCGAAGATGTGGTTACTTGCTTTTTTCTTTTACTTATAATTGTCTTCTGTGCCTAGCACAGTTCCCGATGCAATGTAGGCACTCAAATTTAAATATTAATTAAATGCTGAAACTGATGTATGATGTAAAATTGATTTTTAAGTATAAAGTCCTCACAAAATAAGTGATTGGGCTTTTTAAATTCCTTGTGAGGTTATAACATTAAACTTAAGCCACAAAATATATGTCCAATATACTGAAAACAGTTCTTTATGAATTTGCCTTAAAGAGAGAATGCATTCTAAGGAAACATATAGACGCTTTCTCATTCTGCACAGAATTACTTAAATGTTTCATTTTTTCCTTATGTTTATCTTAAAATCGCTTCTTGGTAATATTTTACATCAGTTATATTATAGAATTCAAATGGTTAAAAGGTGGGAACAGATGCAAGGTGAATTTCTGGAGGCAGTGATAAATGGTGGAAACAGAACATGATCAACATCAGAGTAGAATATATAAATAATGTAGGTATTTTTATGGATTGCTTTCACTAAAAACTAATTTAATTCTATATTAAGAACTACAGAGTTTATTTTATAAGTAGGATTTGCAGAACATTTCTAAAAATGTTTTATATACATTATAAAAAATTATGCTTGCAGGGTGTTTTTTTTTCTTTGGTGTGTAAATATTCCCTGAACTTCAAAATTTTAAAATCCAAGTATATTAGGACCAAGGATAGAAAGAAATTTGAAAAGAGAAATAATGACACAATGAGATTTTCTTTTTAAAGGCATATATTAGAGTTACAGGTCAGGACTTTATGGATTTTAAGTATCTTCTGGAGGGGCACAGTGGCTCACGTCTGTAATTCCAGCAGTTTGGGAGGCTGAAACAGGAGGATCACTTGAGGCCAAGAGTTCAAAATCACCCTGGGCAAGACCCCGTATTTACAAAGAATTAAAAAATAAGCCAGGCACAGTGGTGTGCACCTGTAGTCCAAGCTAATAAGGAGGCTGAGAAAAGATCACCTGAGCCTGGGAGGTCAAGGTCACAAGTGAGCCAACATCACGCTACTTCACTCCAGCCTGGGAGACGGAGCAAGACTCTGTCTCTCCCTCTAAAAAAAGAATCTTCTATTAGGTTATTAATAAGTACCTGATTCAGAAACTATTGAAGAGAGAATAATTTTACCAAACCTCTTATCCTATTGTAATTTAGATATGTTCATGTAGTTATAGGCCAATTATCTATGTAGACTTTCTTTATCGCTATCACATGATAATTATTTTACTATCTACTGAAATTTCTACATATTACATTGTTGTTATTCTTAATCAAATTAATTTTAAGTTCATTTCATTTGAATATAATCATAATTATTAAAATTGCTATACATCACTTACAATTTACTAATGTGTTATGAAATTTTGTATAGTTATAGAGTAACTATTTTATACTTTAGAAGAAAGAATTTAAAAATAACATAGCAATTTTTTTCTCATTTGTCATGGAAAACTATTTAGCAGCTAGTTAACAATATGTAATGAACAGAAAAGATGAAGTCATTCTGAATATTGCTGGAGTATTTAAACAGAATTTGTAAGAACACAGATAATGATAGTAGGATGAAGCGACTAATATAATGTGAGATTCAAGAATTCAATGGCAAAAAGAAATGGTAGAAAAAATTATGAGCCTTGTGTTTCTAACTGAACAGAATTAAAGATTTAAGCCTGTCAGAAAGTCAGATATAACGCGGATAATAATAAGTATAAAATGGACCATTTAATGAATTTTACTCAATAGTTAATTCTTATTTTATCAGTATTTGTTTTGTACTGATATATTAACAAGAATTATTAGAAGAATTTATGGAGTTCATAAATTTACAAAGACTTTAGCTCTTTTGTTATTTTCACTTAAAGTGTTTTATTTCACTTGGTAATTAGATCTTATTATGGCATCATTAACTGTTGCAATTTTTTTCTTTTTTTTTTAATGTTTTAAGACTATTCTCACCAAAATATATGCTAATCCTAAAGCAGTCAATACAATTTTAAATGTAACTATTGAAAAGTTTGAGATTATAGTTGTGGATTTTTATATTCAAAAAAATTATTTTATTTCATTGTTCTTTATGTGTCTCTAACAAATGCAGTGGTTATCAGCCTACCCAATAGTTGTTTTTGCTTTGTATTATACCCTTAGAATAGTCATTCAGATAAAGGCTTTAATAACATATTGTCTTCTTCCTTCACCTCCTCATCTTCCTCTTCTTTGTCTCTCCTTCCTTCTGTTTAATACTTCAGTTTGGATTTTTCTATTGACCCGACATATAGAGGCTATGTATGCAATCACCTCATATATAAAATAGTCATCACCCAAATTTACATAGGTAAGAGGAGTATAGGAGAATCCATAGTGAATTAGAAAGTGAATAATCTCTTTGTTGGTATAGTTTATATTAAAAATCACACCTCTATAATTTAGTTTGTCAGATAAAATTTGGTAGTACCAAAACAAAAAACGGATTTATGAAAGAAACCTACTGTGGTTAAAACATACTGTGATAATTTACTTTTTACAATTTTCTCCTTTTTGAATTGGTACATAATTGTACATACATATAGGGCAGAGTGTGAAATTTCAATACATGCATATGATATATAATGTTCAAATTAGGGTAATTTGCATATCTATCACCTCAAATATTTATCCTTTCTTTATAATAAGAATATTCAAAAATTTCTCTTCTATTTTGAAATATCCAAAACATCATTATTAACTGTGGTCACCCTACTGCACAATGAAACACTATAACTTATTCCTCCCAAGTGTGACTTGGTACTCAATGACAAACCTTTCTACATTCCTCCTCTCCCCCATTTCCTCACCAGCACATGGTAACCACTGTACTATTCTCTATTTCTAGGAGATCAACCTTTTTAGATTCCACATATGAATGAGATCATGCAGTATTTATCTTTCTGTCCCTGGCTTATTTCGCTTAACATAAAGTCATCCAAGCTCATCCATGTTGCCACAAATAACAGGATTTCATCCTTTTTTTAAATGCTGAGTGGCATTTCAATGTGTACTTATACCACATTATCTTTATACATTCATCTGTTGATGGACATTCAGGTTGACTATCCTGGCTATTGTGAATAATACTGCAATGAACACAGTAGAGAAGATATCTCCTTGAAATATTGAATATTGATTTCATATGCCTTCATTATATACCCACTAACAGGATTGCTGGATCTTATGGTTGTTCTAGGTTTAAGTGTTTTAGAAACTTCCATAATATTTTCCATAATGGTTGTACTAATTTACATCCCTCCCAACAGTGTATGGTTTTCTCTTTCTTCACATTCTCACAGGCATTGCATTTGTTATTTCTTGTCAGTTTGAAAATAGCCATTCTAACTGGGGTGAGACAGTAGTTCATTGTGGTTTTGATTTGCATTTTCCTTGTGATTAGAGATAATACAACATTTTCTCATATACTTGTTGGCTGGTTGTATGTCTTTTTTTGAGATACGTCTATTCAGATCTTTGGTCCATTTCTAAGACAGATGATGATGATGATGATGATGATGATGATGATGATGATGATGATAATTGCTACTGGGTTGTTTCAGTTTCTTATATATTCTGGACATTAACATCTTGTCAGATGCACAGTTTGTCAATATTTTCTCCCATTCTGTAGTTTGTCTCTTTCCTATGTTGATTGCTTCCTTTGCTATGCGGAAGATTTTTAGTTTGATGTAGTCCCATTTGTTTGTTTTTGTTGCCTATGCTTTTGATGTTTTATCCAAAAATTCCTTGCCCAGACCAATGCCATGAAGAGATTCCCCTACATTTTCTTATAGTGGTTTTATAGTTTCAAGTTTCACATTTAAGCCTAATCCATTTTGAGTCATTTTGAGTTGATTTTTGCAACTGGAGAGAGATCAAGGTCTAGTTTCATTCTTCTGTGTGTGGATACTGAGTTTCCCATAGTCATTTATTAAAGAGACTCTTTTTTATTCCCAATGTGTGTTTTTGGCACCTTTGTTGAAGATCAGTTGGCTGTAAGTGCATGGACTTATTTCTGTAATAATTTACTCTTTAAAATGTCACTTATATTTCTTAATAGACATTGATGATTAATACAGTTCTATTAGGTACACCTTTACTGAATCCTTACTGTCTAATAGGCATTTTGGTAGGCACACATGATATAAAAATTAAATAAGATATATTACTTCAAAGAGTTTATATTTCAGTGAGGGAGAGTCAGACAAAGATATAAGCAAAATGTCCTATTCAGTCCATGAATATGTTCCAAGGGCTTCCCTCTCAAAAGTCCCTTTCTTGATCGTACATCAATCTATGTGGTCTATTCTCTTTCTATAGAACCTAATTTAAGTGTCTTGAAGGAGCTAGCTTAACTTCACTTTACACTTTGTTATCTCTCACTTTGGACTTTCAGGTTGACTGTCCTGGCTATTGTGAATAATACTGCAATGAACATGATAGAGAAGATATCTCCTTGAAATATTGATTTCATATGCCTTGATTATATACCCAGTAATAGGATTGCTGGATCTTATGGTTGTTCTATGTTAAATAACCTCTTTAATCAACGACACAACGTTTTTCCCCTACATTGTTCTTAAAGTGGTAATAATAAAATCACTAATAACATAGTAATTGCCAAAGTCAATAGCCATGTTTTGACCTTTATCTTCATGGACATTTTGCAGTGTTCCCCCATAGTTAATGGTTCCCTTCTTTCAGACACTTTTTCCTTTGTTACCTTCCTGTTATTGTACCTGCCTAGCTCTCTTTTCATGCGTATGAAAATTCTCAGTCTCCTTCATAGGACACCTTTTCTCTGCCTTTTCCTCATATTTTGGTATTCTGAGTTTCATCCTGAGTTCACAGTTCTTAATAATTCTGTATACCATAACTATGTGAATTTGCCTACTCAAATGGATGCAAGTTCCACATAAATAATAAAAAATTCAAAATCTTTGCCTCTGACCAGACTTCTCTTTCAGATTTTATTTTTAAGTACGACTTCAGTTAAATATCTACATGTATTGCTAATAGCGATCTCTATCTAGCTCAACATATTCCAAATTCATATTTCCTTCTTAATCTTAGCCCATTTCCCTATTATTTATCTCAGTGGCATCAAGTTTTTAATCTGATCATTGAAGCTGGAAATCAAAAACCATCTCTAAGCTACAATATCCTTTTTTAAAAAATCATCAAGCTATGCCTTGTTATTCACTGAATGTTTCTACACATTTCAAGTCACTCCCGACAGAAACATTAATATCCATCTTGACCACTAAAACTCTTCAATATAAACATATTCTTGTTTCTTCATATTTATCTTCTGTGCTCTTGTCTATTTAAAATGCAAACTTGACGATATACGTGATAAAACCTTTTTTTTGCATAAAAGCCTTTTTCTCTGTACATTTAACACTATAGAATCCACATTCCTAACTATAAAGTTAACAATTATATGAATGTCTCTTTACTCTTCAGCCTCATATTTTGCCATTTCCAATCACACAGTGTTTTAGGAGAAAAACTCTATGCAAATTGTGTCTTCCCTTTGCTCTCACACCACAACAACAATCAACACAGAAGACTTCTATGACCGAACATGTGTGGATTTTTCCTCACATGCCAAGCAGCAGGCATCAGCTGGATGTCCTCCCATCCATCTCTGACACCACCATTCTGGAGAAAGTGCTGGAGCTCCCACTTCAGACACTGCTCCACTTCAGACACCAGCGACAAGTCCAGGCCTCCGGAACTTCTGACCAACTGATTTCCAGTTGGAGTTTCCATGGCCCCCTCGGGCTTAATTAATTTGCTTGACCAGCTCACAAAACTCAGGAAGACATGTTTGCAAGTTTATTATAAAGGATATTACAAAGGATACAGCTGAAAAGGTGCTTAGGGCAAGGTATGGGGGAAGAGGTGCAAAGCTTCCAAGCCCTCCCTAGTGAAGTCGCTCTCCAGTAACCTGCACTGTTCAGCCATCTGGACGCTCTCTGAACCCAATCTTCTTGGGTTTTTATGGAAGCTTCAAGACATCAGCATTCCTTCCTCCAGGGTATAGGGAGGACTTTTTCTGGGGAGAGTCTTAGAACCCACAATCAGAAAGATGGGGAAAGATTAGAGTCCTGCCTTAGGGCAGGTGAATGGACTGCAGGAGAGATTCTGTTTCCTGAGGCCTGTCCCTGAAGCCTAAAAGATCCCTCATTCTAAGTAAAGACTGTAAGATGGGCTATTGGAGTTATGAACTAGGAACTGTGCACAAAGCCAGTGTATATTATAATACCGCACAGAGACTCTGTCCTGTAGTAAAACCAAATAGCTTATAGTTATACACCAAATATCTTCTTGACCCCTGGCTTTAATCCTGATGTTTTATTTGCCAGGAGTGCTTTTCTACATATTCATCTTTTGGCTTATTTCAACTCATCCATTTAGCTTCAGCAGAGGCAACAATGCAGTTCTACAGGATTTATTATCTAAATCTTTCATGGTGGGTTCAGAGACATCTTTTCATCCATTTGTTAAATCATATTTGTACAGTGATCATTGTATTTATCCCATTAAATGTTGTAACAATATTATTTACAAGACGAAAAGGGTGTAAGAGCAGAAATAGGAAATTATAGAGCTTAATTCATATTTTCAGCACAAAGCACAGATCTTCTGATAGGTTTAACAGCCATTAAATGAAAACAAACAAACAAATAAATAAGGAGCAGGGAGGCATGTAACACAGGTGAAAGAGAACCTGGCATAGAATTAGGTCTGGGAAGACAGATTAGAGATTCACTATGCAGGATGAGGGAGCAGGAACAAAGACAGACTCAAATAAGAGAAAGACCATGGCCAATTTTGGTATCTGGAGATACTCAATAGAACTGATGTTTAGAATATAACTTAGCAGCTAGAATTAAAGGAGATGAAGCAGCAAATAAAAGCAGAAGCAATGTCATGTAAGGCCTAGCATAACATTTTGAGATGTTACCCTTTTAATATTGAAATATTACAAAGAAACAACAACAAAAGAGACGACAAATTGAAATTGGACAGGGGTCTCTCCATTCACTTTCTAAGTCTGTATTTGAGTATATCTCAATTTAAAATAAGTCATTTTGTTGAATGTTAATAAGTCACATGATTAAAAAAAAAAGTAGACATGGTAAGAAGAAGGATGATTTACTAATACTCAAGGAGTGTAACTGACCTGAAGACAACAATGGCAAAGAATTCTTGCTAGGTTGAGAGGATTAAATATGCTTTTCATGTTGCTAAATATTAAGAGTGCATTAAAAAGTTTTTGGAGAATATATTAATTCTGTTTTGGACATACTGAGTTTGACTTGCTTGGAACATGCAGATTGGTAACAAAGATGACAGTCAGCAAAATAATCTGGGTTGGAAATTGAAATTTGAGGTGTCAAAGCAGACAGATGGATGGATGAATAGATAGACAGAGAGAGAGAGAGAGAGAGAGAGAGAGAGAGAGAGAGAGAGAGAGAATAAATTCACGAGAGTAAATGAAAGTACCCAAGGAGTATCTATCAGTGGGATTGAAAGAGCTAAGAATGGATTTCTTGATGACACCAATATTTGAAAGACAAAAGATTAAATGTAGAAAATAGGTCAAACATGCAGAAAATAACAAAGAAATTGTGCTCAAGGTCCTCTCAGTGATGAATGGTGTTTATATTTTCTGCTCCTTGAGCACTCACCTCTCGAGTGCAATAGTCAGTGGAGGTCATGATTTAAAAAAATAAAATTGTTATAGCCCAATTCAGATGGGCTATAAAATCTGAATTATAACATAATTCAGATGTTATATTATATAATTTATATTATATAATATAAATCTTATATTTATATTATATGTTTATATTATATAATATAAATCTTATATTTATATATGTTTATATTATATAATATAAATCTTATATTTATATATGTTTATATTATATAATATAAATCTTATATTTATATTATATGTTTATTCATATAATATTTATATTATATAATATAAATTAAATAAATTATATAATACATGTTATATAATATTTATAACAATTCAGCTGTTACAAATGTAAATATTTTATATAATTTAAAAACATTATACAAAAACTAAAGAGTTTTTTTTTAACTTACAAATGCAGAAAGAAGAGTGTTAGTTACACCAACCAACCTCTCCACTGAGAACTATAAAAGCTAGAGAAAATATATTTAAATTATTCTAAGTGATGATGTCAAAAGATACTAAGGCAGAGAGAAATTGTGGATTCAATCTTCAAAAAAAGGAAAGCCCGGTGGAGTGACTCATTAATTTGACTTTACCCTCAAAGTAAAGTGAAATTTCTAAAAGCTGCAGCCAAAAGTTCAAAAAAATAAACAGAACTTTTGGAAAATAAAGCTGGAGTAGAAGATACATAAATAATTAAGAGTTTTAGTCTCACCAAGAAAGAATTTTACTAAACATAATAGGCTAACCAACTGATAGCATATGAATAGCTACAACTTGGGAACAGGAGCATACCTCTTAGAAATGCATACCTACATGGCCAAAAAGACACATAGAAGAATACCCATAGCAGCATTATTTACAATAGTTCCAAACTGGAACAAGCCCAGTGGCCATTAAATTTGATGTATTCACACAATACACAAGTTTGATCTATTCACACAATAAAATGCTGGGCAAAACACAGCTATATGCAAACACCAAGATTTACTTTATTTGTACATATTGGAGAAGTAACACATGTCATAAGTCATGTTTAGTTTTATGAAGTTTAGAACCTAGCAAAACTAATCTAGAGTGTTAGATGACAAGATAGATACTACCTTTGTGTTAACTTGATCCAGATAGTGATTACATGAGTCTATTTACTTTGTACACTTTTTGTGAGTGTGTTATTCTTTAATAATACAAAGTATATTACAATTATGCATTTTAGGCTCATTTTCCATAAACTATTGGTTTTACTACTTGATGTCATATGTATCCTTGTCTTTATATATATATTGCTCAAAAATTTCTTGAGCAATACCCCACAAGCACAGACAACCAAAGCAAAAATGAACAAACGGGATCACATCAAGTTACAAAGCTTCTGCACAGAAAAGGATAAAATCAACAAAGTGAAGAGACAACCCACAGAATGGGAGAAAATATTTGCAAACTATTTGCTGGCAAGTGATTAATAACCAGAATATATAAGGAGGCCAAACAACTCTACAGGAAAACAATTAATAATCCAATAAAAAAAAAGGCCAGAAGATTTGAATAGGCATTACTCAACAGAAGACATACAAATAGCAAACAGGCATGTGAAAAGGTGCTCAATAGCACTGATGATCAGAAAAATGCAAATCAAAACTACAATGAGATATCATCTCTCCCCACTTATAATGGCTTATATCCAAAGGACAAGTCATAGCAAATGCTGGCAAGGATGTGGAGAAAAGGGAACCCTTGTACACTGTTGGTGGGAATGTAAATTAGTACAACAGCTATGGAGAATAGTTTGGAGGTTCCTCAAAAAAACTAAAAATAGAACTACCATATGATCCAGCAAACCTACTGCTGGGTACATATCCCAAAAGAAAGGAAAGCAGTATATCAAAGAGATCTGTACTCCTATGTTTGTTGCAGCACTGTTTACAATAGCTAAGATTTGGAAGCAATCTAAGTGTCCATCAACAGATAAAAGGATAAAGAAAATGTTATATATATATGTGTATATATATGTGTGTATATACACACACACACACACACACACACACACACACACACACACACAAGGAGTACTATTCAGCCTTAAAAAGTAATGAGATCCTGTCATTTGAAACAACATAGATGGAACAGGAGATAATTATGTTAAATGAAATAAGCCAGGTACAGAATGACAAACATTTGCATGTTCTCACTTATTTGTGGCATCTAAAATCAAAATAAATGAACTCATAGACTTAGTAAGTTGAAGCATAGTTATCAGATGCTGGGAATTTTAGATGGAAGTTGGGGGGAAGGTGGGGAAGTTAATGGGTATAAAAAATTAGAATGAATAATATATGCAATTTAATTGCACAACAGGGTGACTAATCAATAATAATCGTACATTTTAAAATAACTAAAAGTGTGTAATTTGATTGTTCATAAGACAAAAGATAAATGCTTGGGGGAATGAATAAAAAACAAAAAACAAATTTAATATCCAAGCCTGAATGTAAAAGTGATTTCATAACTCCAAAGCTTATCCCCCTTACCAAATATTAGGATTAAGCAAGTCACTATGTACTGGAGTGACCAGGTCCTCTTAATCACTGCCAGGGATTCCTAGCCAGTCTTATTACAATGCTGGGTACTCGGAACCCACTGTTGGAAGGATGAGCTGAGGACAGACCAGTGACCTCAACTCTGTTGCATCTGTGCACTGGGCCTCCACAACACCTACACATAATCCAAGAGCCCCACAGCAGGGGGCCCAGGTCAGGGCCCACAGGCCATGTGCTTTTCCTGCTTTCTCATTGCAATCTCACTGCAAATTTCAGAGTCTTTTTTGCTTCTAAAGTTGTCTGTCCCCTCACCCCCCAAAAAGAACTGCATGTTGAACAGGTGGCAGAAACCTAACATGTCCAAACTCAATTGCTAATATTCTCAATAATCCTCTCCATCTTATAATCTTCCTCATTATAATAAATCAAATCTCATTGTGTCAGGTAAGTAGATAAAAAACCATTATTTTTTCTCATATATTATCTTATGACTCTTCCCTTAGTATAATTTCAAGCTACACTGACTTTCTCGCTGTTTCCAAAACAGGCCAATGACCCCCTGTCTTCGGGATCTTTGCATTTCCTATTTCCTCTTTTCTTATCCTAGATATCTTCATGACTTACTCCCTTGCCTCCTTCAGGTCTTCTCAATTTCAAATGACACTTAATCTGTTAGACTGTTCCTGGACACAAGTTTAAACTACAGCTAATTCTCCCACACTTCCTATCCCCTTCTCCTGTTTCAGTTATTTTCTCAACATGTACCACTATTTAACATTCTATGTACTGTATTTGTTTATTGTCTGTCTTTTTACTGGAATTGGAATGTAGACTACATGAAAGATCTTTTTTCTTATAATCCATAATATATGTCTACTGTTTACAATAGTGCATGGCACATGAAATATGGTTAATAAATATTTACTGAATAAAATATATTGACCTTAATGATTCTATTCTTTCATTTTGCTTGTTCCCCAGTCCCCTTTTGTGTTCTACATTTTTTTCATTGTTCATCTATATAATTTTCTTTTTTGCCTTCTTCATTAGAGGAAAGCATTAATAACTCCTTAGTGGTGGTACTATATTGTATTCAAATTATCTTCTTTTTAAAATTAGGTTAAGGTGCCTAGTTCAAGGAGATTATTGCTTGCTCATGTGTCAATTTTCACAATAAGATATTTTTAATCGTATGAATCCTTTCTATAGAATTAAATGTATTCAATCCAATGCCTGTATATGCTTAATAAATGTTGTTTTATGAGTAAACAATAGAAAATTTTAATAATATTTTCATTTTCCCCAAATTTATAACAGAACATAGAATCATTACTCTTCTTCTTTATTATAAATACTGCTCAAATATTTGGAGTTACTTGCATCTATTTTTCCCATATTTAATTTCTTATACCTTTGAACATAAATTAAACCTTAAAACTTAAATCATGTTTGCTGTTCTCTTTATTCCTTCTTCTTGAATAGTTCTGCTGATGAGGTTTTTACAAACCGCTTATAGCATATGGGGCCTCAATAGTTACTTCATGTACTGATAATAGGAAATTCTCCTTAATATCCAACATGTGTTTATTTATAATATTAATATTTACAATACAATAACAGCAGCAAAATGTAGAATATATTTGGTTCTAGTTCAGAGTTACACATACAAATTGTTCCAAAATGCACCAAAAACGGAAGGCTGAGTTCATTTTTAAAAAGCTTAATGGTGAAAGACTTGACTTAGAATTGAAGGAAGCATGAGAGGCATAAATGGGATGCTTCAATGGGGCAGAGCAGGGATGAATTAATTGGACATTCACATTCATAATGGAGAATTAACACAGGTCAAAAAGTATTATGTTTCAGAGAAGAAAGAGTAAAATCTAGACAGTTATTATTGCTTTATGGACACCAATTCTTGACCTGTGGGCTAGAGCACATGCTATTATTTCTTTCTGAATTATAGTGAGGTTAGAATGTATGCATAATGAATCATGAGGAGTCTTTTTAACAATTTTTAAATACATCTAAATAACAAGAAGTACAAATTTACTAAAGAATATGTTCCATCATTAAAGACTCTTGTAGAACAATCCTATGTGGATTATATTTAAGACAACTGTAATTTGTTGAAATTAATCCTCTCATTCAGGGGAGATGAAAGCTGTTATAAAGGTCCTTTTTTCTGTTTAATTAGTCCTTGTTCCAAATCCTCCACACAGCCCTGAAAAATCTATTTGTACGTTAGTAAAATCCAATAAAATTAAGGGGTGGAGATGAGGGATTGGAGGAACTAAAACCTGTAAAGAATAGGCATTAGGAGAGTAGATAATAGAGTCATGGATCTTTCTAAAAGTCACTGTGTTTTGGTGTAGAGGATGCTTTGGAGAGGAATTGGCATACAACCAGTCCTGACTCAGTTTCAGGTTAAGGGTGATAGATATGTGCTTATACAGCTATTGATTAAGCCTTTTAAAAAGTATGATGTTAATAATTTTTGTTAACACTTTCCTTATCTTTCACCTTTTAAAACATGTAGCTAAATTACAAACTCCTTGGACATAAGGGTGATAATGCATGCTAACTTTTTTCTTTTGTCATTCATAATGGAGCACGTATCATCAATAGCAGAAGCTAAATATCTCATGAATCATGAATGCTACACTAGATGGCCCTGAATCTTAATTTAAAGCAGATACTAAGCATTTTTCCTTTCATCCTACAGAATTAAAATTTGTAAAGAAGAACAGTATGTGGAAATCATTCTTGTATTTTACATTTCTTACATTATCAGATCTTACAGGTAAAGTTTCCCAGGAACCAGAAGCCATCCTCTAGAGAACTGGCTGCAGCCACTTTTATAAATTTTACTTCTCCTGGGGAAGTACAATATAATGCAATGCATTACTCTACGAGATTTGTTGTAAAGAGCATTTAGAATTTTCAAGATAAGTTTTTATTCCAGACACATCTTCATAAGCCCTTCCACTTTTTCAAGGGCAAGGAATGCCTTGTATTTATGATGTTTTTGCATGCTTTAGAACTCAGCTGTAAGAAATATATTTCTTTTCAAGGAAAAAGCAAAAGAAGAGAGTGTTTAGAAAATACACTGAATAAATGCAGCAGCAAAACATTACACCAAGGACTCCATGTCCGAGAAAGAGGGAATGAGAGAGGAGGCAGAGAGAGACACAGAGACACAGAAAGAGAGAGAGACAAAGAGAGAAAGAAGAAAACAGATATTTGTGCTGAAAATACTAAAGATTAATTTAAAGTTGTATACATGAAATTTTCTAAGAGAATAGGTCCTAAGTACTCTCATTACAAAAGAAGTGGTAAATGTGAGGTGATGGATATGTTATTCAGCTTGATTGTATTAATCATTTACATTGTATATCAAAGCATTACCTTGCTTACTTCAAATAAACACAATTTGTATATGTCAATTATACCTCATAAAGCTGGGAGGAAATTTAAAAAGACGGTATCTCTCTCCCAAGACAGAGTAAGAACTGTACCTTTTGGATAAAAGCATAGACTTTATAGGATTAAATATATATATAGGTTTCACAAAAGGAAAATATTTCTCTATATCTTGATTCAAACAATTTCTAAATTTCGAGTATAGAAAGCGTTTGTCTCTGTGCCATCGCCACTGAATACTGATTTTCTGGTAATGTTCAACAAAAACCAACTAGAAGAACAAAAGCTATCTACATCTTGACCACAATTACGATCTCATAATTCTAATACAATTTCTTTAAATTTTGTGTAAACTAATTAAACTAAAGAGCTTCTGCACAGCAAAAGAAACTACCATCAGAGTGAACAGGCAACCTACAAAATGGGAGAAAATTTTCGCAACCTACTCATCTGACAAAGGGCTAATATCCAGAATCTACAATGAACTCAAACAAATTTACAAGAAAAAAACAAACAACCCCATCAAAAAGTGGGCGAAGGACATGAACAGACACTTCTCAAAAGAAGACATTTATGCAGCCAAAAAACACATGAAAAAATGCTCACCATCACTGGCTATCAGAGAAATGCAAATCAAAACCACAATGAGATACCATCTCACACCAGTTAGAATGGCAATCATTAAAAAATCAGGAAACAACAGGTGCTGGAGAGGATGTGGAGAAATAGGAACACTTTTACACTGTTGGTGGGACTGTAAACTAGTTCAACCACTGTGGAAGTCAGTGTGGCGATTCCTCAGGGATCTAGAACTAGAAATACCATTTGACCCAGCCATCCCATTACTGGGTATATACCCAAAGGACTATAAATCATGCTGCTATAAAGACACATGCACACGTATGTTTATTGTGGAACTATTCACAATAGCAAAGACTTGGAACCAACCCAAATGTCCAACAATGATAGACTAGATTAAGAAAATGTGGCACATATACACCATGGAATACTATGCAGCCATAAAAAATGATGAGTTCATGTCCTTTGTAGGGACATGGATGAAATTGGAAATCATCATTCTCAGTAAACTATCGCAAGAACAAAAAACCAAACACCGCATACTCTTACTCATAAGTGGGAATTGAACAATGAGAACACATGGACACAGGAAGGGGAACATCACACTCTGGGGACTGTTGTGGGGTGGGGGGAGGGGGGAGGGATAGCTTTAGGAGATACACCTAATGCTAAATGACGAGTTAATGGGTGCAGCACACCAGCATGGCACATGTATACATATGTAACTAAGCTGCACATTGTGCACATGTACCCTAAAACTTAAAGTATAATAATAATAAAAGAAAAGAAAAGAAAAATGGTAAATAAATAGAACACCAGTTAAAAAAGTTAAAACAAAAATGTAAAATTCATTTGGAAATCTTTGTTATCTATAAATATAACCAGTTATTTTTTAAGTAAAATAACATGTAATTTTTAAAGTGTCTAACAGCTTCTCCAATCTAGTTTGTCTTCCACGTGGTCCAAATATAACAAAAACACATTGTATTATATCTTAAATGAATATTTACAAAACTTCAGTGGTGAGTCAAGTTAAAGTATGAGTGAAGAATCCTGGGAATGGTACAGTTTGCATGAGGGAATGAACAGATTACAGAGCGAAACTTTATTAGAAGGCAATTTTGTCCAGAAGGAGGCTTGAGCTAAAAAACCTGCTTGTTTTTGAAGTTGTCTCCAATGTCACTGAAATTTGCCATAAGTATTTACAAGCCTCTTTAGGCTTCTAGTTGCTCTTGAGAGCAACATTTGTGAACTTGAGAACATGGAGAAGTTCAATTGTCACAGAAGAGAAAAATCATTGAATTATTCTACAAATGGCATCAGTTTATTAGGACTTCAACTATTGGAAAGAAAGTGATTGAGGGCTAACATGACATGTTTTAAACCACTAGTTAAAAATATTAAAGTTAGAACTTCCTAGTCTGGTTCTGATATTAACCAAATTTATGTTTAAGAAGTTAAAGGGGCCGGGCGCGGTGGCTCACGCCTGTAATCCCAGCACTTTGGGAGGCCGAGGCGGGTGGATCATGAGGTCAGGAGATCGAGACCATCCTGGCTAACAAGGTGAAACCCCGTCTCTACTAAAAATACAAAAAATTAGCCGGGCGCGGTGGCTGGCGCCTGTAGTCCCAGCTACGCGGGACGCTGAGGCAGGAGAATGGCGTGAACCCGGGAAGCGGAGCTTGCAGTGAGCCGAGATTGCGCCACCGCAGTCCGCAGTCCGGCCTGGGCGACAGAGCGAGACTCCGTCTCAAAAAAAAAAAAAAAAAAAAAAAAAAAAAAAAAAAAGAAGAAGTTAAAGGAATTGTTGCAGTATTTTCTTGGCACCCAAAGGTAGAGTCAAAAAGCGTAGGCAAGATGTTACAAGCATTGATAATCACTGTCTTTTGGAAGGTGATGGATAATAGAAAGCTGAGCAAAATTAATATAATGTTGAAATTAAAGTTCATTACTTGATATAAGAAAATGTATAAAACTCTGATTACTACATATATTTATTAAGCACTTTTTAATATTTGTATATGCACTATCGAATACTCATAGCTCTAATATAGGTTCCATCGTGGCATTTTTTAATCAAGTGTTTGCACAAACAATGATAATGAAAACGACCATTTAGAGGATACCAACCACATGCAAATAACTGCATTAGATACTTTTCTTATTTTGAATTCTCACAATTATCTGAGTGGAGTATCTGAATCTCCACTTAATAGATGATGAAGCCAAGTCTCAGACCGCTTAACTTACTCAATTTTGTAAAACCAAAGAGTGACTAAGAAGCTCTCTAAACTTATGTTGGTATGAATCCAAAACCTATTCTTTGTATACAAAAGAGCATTGTTTTATAAATAAACAAACAAGTACATCTGTCTTTATTTGCTTTCTTCTTTATGGCAAGGATAGGCATGGGAAGCTACTTACAGTATGTTTCCTCCTGGTTATACAACAAAATATTTACTTTTATTTACATTATAGCAACCTCTCATTTGCTGCCCTCTCATATTGGTCTAAGCCTCTGTGAGGAAAATAACTGTTAAGTTGCATTTACTTAAGTGTTTGCTACCACAGAAATATTGTCATGTCTATTTGAGGCTGTAGCAATGCACTGATAAGAAAGCAAGCCAGAACAAAATCAAAAAACTTAGTAATTCATTTGTTTTGTCATATTTCTATAGTTTACATTTTCACACTGCAATACAATACAATTGTTTAGTATCTTTTCTTTATAGTTCCTACGTGAACTTGATTATCCACATGTTCTTGCAGCATGTGGAAGCCAAAACACATCCATGTTAGGTGACCACCTAACATCACGAGAGGATTTGGAGAATTTAGAGCTCAAGGCACATGTATTTCACTAAGTAGAAGATATTCAAGGTGGTTTTGTAAAGGTAGACTTACAACTTGAAAGAAAATGCACTGCAGTATATGGGGTTATGTTCTTAACATAGCTAAAGGCCATAGCTGATACCTAGTGACATAATTTCACACTATCAGTAGAAGAGGACAAAATGATATTGACATTTTAAAAATACTTAAGGTCAAAAATTAAAAAAAAGATATCTGAGATGTCATTATTTTAGAGACAATCTTTAATATTTTCTAGCAAGACCATCCAAACTGAATTATCTTTTAACACCTAAACATGGTAATACCTACAAGCAAAATCTAAATTAATAAGTTTATAATTGAATATCATAATTAAAAAGCAGTATATAAAGAGGTATAAAATATGACATGGTTTTAGATAAAAATACCTTCTAAATAATATAATAAACTAACTTAAAATGTTTAAAGAAAATAGCTAAACCAAATGATAGCCTGGTGGCATAAAGTAACTTAACAATTAAAACATAGCTTTAATATAAAATTTTAATATGATTTTATCATTTCCATCATTTAAAATGAGTTGAAAATGTCAGAAATATCTATTTTATTTCTGAAAATTTAATTTTACATTTTTATTTCAGGCAATGCTGTTTATACAATAAATAAAAATAAAGTATTTATTGCCGTAGGCAATTCATTCTGTGGTGGATAAAATAGGTACTTCCTGATATGGGGCCTGAGGCCCTGCATGATCTTAACCCTCTTGGTAGTTCCAGTTTCATTTTCTATTATGGATCAGGTTATATGTTTAAATAGCAAGCATTCTGCTAGACTATACCAAAAAATTATACTTTCACCTACCTGTTTTTTCTCTCTGTTACACCATGTTAATAGCAATTCAATAAATTTCTACCCTGTCTTGCAATTGGTGCCTTCTGGCTTTTGAGGGCAAAGCATTCTTTATTTATGTCTTTTTTTTTTCCAAGTATAAACTATAGTTTCTGCTTCAGTGTGAGGGCATCATAAAATTTTTGTAATATTTGCATTCTGTGATGCTTCAGGTATATTCTGAAAAATTCTGAAATGCCATTGTTTGGGAGAAAAATAGTCTTTAAATGACCCCTACCAACAATCTTTTTTTTTTTTTTTTTTTTTTACAATGAGCAATTTCACTAAAAAAAATTCCAGGAAAGTGCCTCTATATTTGCATTACAGGAACCTGCTAAACTCCTGAAGTTGAATCAAAACTATGTACATATGAGTATCTGTATTTAGAAAGGCATTTAATAGTTTTTATCAGATTCTAAAAAGGGTTGTTATACAAAATAGTTCCAAAAGCCATGGACACATTTCCCTGATGATTTATAATGTCTGCTGAATTACCTGATGTCACATATATTATAATTCTCACCTCTCCTATCCTTCTACCTATAAACAGCTTAGAGTCTTAAATCCCTACAACAAATGATTAGCAAATTTTTAAGTTAGATAATTAAGTAAATAAGGCAGAAAAGAGGAAAAATATTAAAAGTAAAATATGAGCATGTTGTTAATGATATGAAAGGGTTGTTCCTATAAATGATGAGTATGGCTTTCTCTGTTTACTGAACTCTGTTTTATAAAATTAATCCCTCTAAATGAGAATTTTATAAGATGAAAGATAGAATAATGCTACAAATTTATAAAATGTCTTTGGCAATTAGTGAATTTAATCAATACGTTTGTTTTCTCTTACCTGTGCTAAACAGAATAAGAAAGTTTAGAACTTATCCCATTAAAACATTAAAATTTTTTGAAGCACCATGTTTGTTAAAAAGTGAACTTCAGAGATAGACAAAGAAAACAGCAGCAATAAGTGTGCCCGTAACTACTGTGTTCATATACTCTTGTTAATCTATATGATCATCAATATTGTTTGCAAATTAGTTTATACTATTTCTGTTATTGAAAGGATATAATTTATCTAAATCTTATTTTTAAAATGAAGTATGAGAATAACATAATTGTTACTTCTACAAAACTGTCAACTTATTTAAAAAGACTTAGTAAAAACATGTTTCTAAAATCATTTGTATTTACCTTGATGAGAAAAAATCAAGTATAAATATTAACGGGAATTATAAAATCCTAGAACTGCTTTTCCTTCCATTCTACAAAGAGTTAACCAAGATGTTGTGTATGCCTTTACAATTCTCAAACATTTTTTGATGCCACTAATATATAAGTCCACATCTGCCAAAATATACTTTTTTTATAACTGTCCACGTTTGAACAAGTGTCTGATATTCCATGTGTAAGTTTTTACCTTGCTTTTTATAACTATCATGTTTATAGGCTTATAAATAAATATTGAAACCATAATTTTTGTTTATTTTGGTTACAGTGTTTACTTTTTAAAATATGCCAATCAGCGTTAACCATCCTTCTATCCATTAATTTGCATTTCTTTCATATATTTTTGTTTTATGATAATCTCTGTAAAATTTCTGAAAACATTTTGCTAGATTCATTCAAGCCTCTTCTCTTCAAAGCAATACAAGCACACTGTTACATTTAAATATTCCAGACCTACTTTGTTGGTTGTAGGTATGTAACTTTGTTTCTGAGATCTCTATTCTGTTCCATTGACCCTTTTTTTTTTTTTTTTTTTTTTGAAACACAGTATTACTCTATGGCCCAGGCTGGAGCGCAGTGACAGGATCTCAGCTCACTGCAACCTCTGCCTCATGGGTTCAAGCAATTCTCCTGCCTCAGCCTCCTGAGTAGCTGGGATTAAAGATGCACACCACCACACCTGGATAATTTTTGTATTTCCAGTAGAGATGGAGTTTTACCATGTTGGCCTGGCTGGTCTCGAACTCTTGATCTTAGGTGATCCACCCACCTCGGCCCCCCAAAGCATATGTTTATTTTTATACCAGTACCACACTGCTTTGTTTACTGCAGCACTGTAGTATAATTTGAAGTCAGGCAATGTAATGCCTCTGCTTTTGTTCTTTTGCTCAGAATTGCTTTTACTATTTGAGCTCTTTTTTGGTTTTAGGTGAATTTTAGGATTTTTTTTTTCAATTCTGTAAAGAACGATGATGGTAGTTTGAAAGGGCATAGCACTGAATCTGTAGGTTGCTTTGAGCAGTATGGTCATTTTAAGGATATTGACTCTGCTGATCCATGAGCATAGATGTTTTCTATTTGTTTATGTCAGTTATGATTTCTTTCATCAGTGTTCAGAGGTCTCATAACTCCTTGGTTAAATATATTTCTAGGTGTTGTTGTTGCCAATATCAACATATATATGTGTGTGTGTGTGTGTGTGTGTATAGGTATACATATATACATATATGTGTGTGTATACATATATATATACACACCTATGTATATACACACACACACACACACACACACACACACACACCATGGGATACTACTCAGCCATAACAGAGAATGAAATCATGCCTTTTGCAGCAACACGAATAGAACTGGAGACCATTATCTTTAGTGAAATGACTCAGAAACAGAAGGTCAAAAACAGCATGTGCTCAATTATAAGTCGGAACTAAACAATGAGTACACATGGACATACAGAGTAGAAAAATAGACATTGGAAAGTCCAGAAAGTGGAAGGGTGGGAGGCAGGTTAGGGATGAAATACTAGCTTTCCGATATAATGTACACTATTCTGGTGATGGGTACACTAAAAGCCCAGACTTTACCACTATGCAAAAAATCTGTGTAATGTAACTGCACTTGTACCCTAAATCCACAGAAATAAAAAAATTAACTAAAAGTAAACATTACACGTTTATAACAAAGTGTTGCAATTTTTTGTCTATTCCTTTTTAATAATAATTTCTATTCCATTAAGGAAAACATTTTTATATTTTAAATTTATTCTTCCAATATTTATTCAATGTTAATGAATTTTAAATTCTACTAGTTTGTGCTTTTCTCTCCTATTTTAAATATAACGTACTACATTTCTCCTTATTCTATTGTGCAAACCCATGCCTAAATTCTAACAAAAATTTAACATAATTTTTGGATAATACTCAATGTCAATATATTTATGTATATACTGTGTACAGCTGGGCCATTATAGTATATGATTTTCTGTCAAAATTTTTAATCTTTCTGAATTATCTGAGGCTTGCTTTTCTATGCTGTCTCTCTAACTGAACTCTGTCCTGACAAACTTTAAACAGTTAATTGCATCATGTAATCTATTAATTTTTTTTTTTTTTTTTTTTGTTAGAAACCTCACTCTCAAAGCCTCTGAATTCTTGCTCTAACTTTGGCTCAGTGTTAAGTATTCCTACTACACATATCTTATTGTGGGACTTTCCTTAACTCTCCATTGTCAGGGTTTATTTCACTTCTCTCCTGTGTTGGATGCCCTGTTTTCTTCATTTCCATGCCCTTCATTGACTTTTACCTCCTCATTTCAATAGTTCATGTCATCCTGTTTCTGGAAAAATTTTTGGAAAATGTTATATGTAATGTATAAACTTTATATGATGTAGTATAATATTTAATAATATATTTTACTACTTCTACTTTTGAATAAAGTTTAGAATTCTAAATTAGAAATACTTTTTACCTCAGAATGGCTCCATTGTCTCATTTTCCTTGGATCTGGAAACTTATTTACTTAGATTTAGAGAACTTTTTTCTCCAGTAGTTATTTTAAAATAGCTTTTTTATAATTTTAAATAATTATTTTTGAATAATTCAGGGATTCAAAAAGTTATAAAATAGCATAGCAAATAAACATTTACCCAAGAAAAGATATTATGCAAAAATATTGTAGCTGTACTGCTATGCCATAATGAGGTTGCTGATGAAAGAGTATGTCTCTCATTGATGAAATTAGACATTGCTAAATTGCTCTTATTTTCCTAATTTGGCATATGAAGGTTGCTTTCGTTCTACATTCCTCCAAACACTTAATTTTGCTAGATATGAAAATTCTCCCAATATCAAGAGCAGAGATCATGTTCCATTGCTGTCTTAATTTGCATTTTTCTGATTGAGTTAGAACATCATTTACTATGTTTCATGCTCTTTCCTCTCTGCTGTGCAGCACTTTTAGTGTCCTCATATTAATAGAGCCAAACTCAGCTTCTAGATGTGAGGCACAGATGACATTGATGTCTGCCCCATTGACATTTAGAATATTTTCTTCATTTCTGCTATGCACAAATTCATTTTGTTTCTTTAGCTCAGTTATGTGTTTGGGGCACAGAAAAATATACATACACATGAACAAATATACATACATTTATACATATATACATACACTCATATTACATATACATATATTTCTGTCATTTTTCAGTTGTAAGCCATGTTGAATCAAGTATGTATTTTTTCAATAAATTAGTCAAATACAGATTTAAATATTTATTTTTATTTGATTAAAAATCAAATTATAAGTATTTGAATTTATAAAAGTTGAAGCTATCTAGTATAATTTATCAACGTTTTAAATCACCTAAAATTATTTTGATTTTCTCACCGGTAATATCTATTAATTCATAAAATTAGAGTTGCCATGTTTAGCTAATGAAAACACAGGATACCAGTTAAAATGGAATTTCAGCTAAACAATTTTTATTTAGTGTAAACATTTTCTAACTGTGCCCAAATTTAACTGGGCACATTTATCCTGTATATTTCGTGGCAAAGTTAACTAAATCTTATTCATAGTAAATTTTTTGACAAATATTGCAAACATGTTTTTAACAGTTTCTTGAATATTTCTTCTCTGGTGGATTTTTCTTCTCTCCTATTATTTTCTAGTTTAGTAAAATCAGCAATTCAAAGGGAAACGTATGCTTTTGAGTGCCAACAGCCATCCCAGATTATTACAACGTGTGACTGCAATGAGAGTAGTATCATATGATGCCTAGGAGACTGCTGGGCTGAATTTCGTCCTCAATATTTAGTAACTTTGTGAATGTAGGCATACTACATAACCTCTCTGTGCCTTAGCTTCTTCTTATGGAAGTGAATTAGTATATGTATTAAATATAAAATATATGGCTCAAAAACAGTGTCTCAGCCAGGCATGGTGGTGTGAGACTGTAATCCCTGCTACCCGGCAGGCTGAAGTGAGAGGATTGCTTGAGTCAAAGGGGTTAAGTCCACCCTAGGCCACATAGCAAAACTCCACCTCTTAAAAAAAAAAAAAAGTAAATAAATAGTATTTAGTGCATAAATAAATATTACTCTAGTATTAGCTATTTTTACGTTCTCTAGATATTATTTTTTTAAGTCTACAAATAGGTACATATTTTTAAAATCATTAGAATGAGAATAGGAATCACTTGGTGATTCTTGGCTTGCCAGCTTAAATATAATACATGAGAGGGCACTGTGACAAGCCATCAGATTATCAATTTATGATTCCCTAGAATAAGAAAGTTTCCAAGCAGCATATTATTGGAGAGAGACTTACTATGAGCCCAATTGATATTCGTCTGTGATAGGATGACTTTGTATCTGGATAGAGAAACACCAAAATATAACCAATAAAATCTTCCATTTTATATTGAGATTTTATCTTCTATCATATTTTCATAAATGGTTAAGAGCATACAGTTGAAACTGAAATATTATTCTGTCAGACTCACTGCCTAGAGAATACTTTTCAGAGGTTCCTTGCCAGTAGCTCACTGACAAGTCAAAAGACTGGTATCATTTAATTGCTGTACTCCCTTCTGGATTCATTTTTACAATATCACTTAAGCCCACATAATACCTTAACTGGTGAAATTCATGACTACTTAGGTGCAAAGTTTGGGAAACACCAGTCTCCAGTAAGTTTTGTTGGAAAAAAATCTGAGTTTTAATTGAACCACACAATGAATATTGATGAGATATGCAGAGTTGTCATTTGGAAAGCTAGCTACGGTAGACCCTGTGCAATTTTCCTACAGGTATGAAACAGAGAACACAGACAAAAACTCACAATGTTGTTGAAAACCAGGACAGATGTCAACGTATGTTCGAAATGTAACCGAAATTTTTACTGTGAATCAAATGCAGCTAGATAGAGAAAATGGGTAATGACATTTCCAACCTGTATTTTCTCTCTGGTTCTGTCTTTTTGTTTTGTTTTGGTTGCATTTTGTTTGGGTTTGATTTCCCAAATCTACAGATAGGATCTCCCATAAAACAAAAAAAGAAAATGCCAACATATGCTGATGAAAAAGGCTTATGTTTTTCTGGGCAAAAATTAACCTTAAAAAAGCTGAGCTGCTGTTATTTGGTGCAGGCTGCTAGGTGAAGGTGGTACCTCCTCTTCTCTTTTTGTATTTTCTGAATGATACACAAAAAAATTATTGGACTAGCTTTTGCCCTAATCCAATATCCACAGACACTATCACAGTACATTTACAATCACTACCCCTATTTGAGCTGCTTATCTGTAGGCAGGCTCTTCTCCTATTTCTCAGCATGTATTGTGATAACATTTAAAGATTGATATTCTATCTTAATTAAAATAAAAGGAAATATATTTGAGGGAAAGTTCCAACTAGGCAGAATCTGCTTATAACTGGCTCAGAAGAGAAATAAATAAATAAATAAAATTCAGTACGATCCTGAAATTAAGCGTAGACAGTGAGAATAGAATAAATATTTTGACATTTGTTTCCCCAAAGCTTTCTTTTCTAGTACAGAAAGTAAAATATGTGATTTATGATCTAAATATGTAGTATAAAATATGAAGCTAATAAATAATGCAATAATCAATTACTCTTCTATATTGTATATTCTACTCTTTCCTTTCTATTTATTTATAATATTGGTGCCTGCTCATCCAATCTCATTTTCTCACTGTTGTTCTTATCCCCATTGTTCTTGCTTTTGATCTCCATGAGTATTTTTTTTAATTTTATGTTTTAAGGGGTACAAAATAATGTTTTGATTTATTAATACAATCTCGAATCATTAAAAAAAACTGATTAACATATCCACAACCTTAAATATTTATGACTTTTTGTTGTGACAAAATTTGAAATTTACTCTCTTAGCAATTTTGAAATGTACAAATATCTTGTTATCTACCACATTCTCCATGTGGTACAATAGATCTCATAGAAAAAAGTCCTTATTTCTTTCGGTCTAATTGAGGCTTTGGGCCTTTTGACCCTTATCTTCCCTTTCCCCCATACCCCTCCAGCCTCTGGTAAACACTTAGAAAGTTTAACATATCAGATCTATGTATTTGCAATTCACATTAATTTTTCAGACTCCTATTGATAAATATTGGCCTGTTTGTGGTCTAGGATTATATAGTTTTTTGGGAAATAAGCAATGGATCAATTTCACCTAAGTGACCAAATTCTTCCATTCATAAACTTTCAGTTTTGAATTTATTTTGTTATTTTTTAAAAAACACATAATTGTTATGAACATAAATTTATGAGATTTGTACATTTTATATTTTACCTTTTTGTAAAACAAAACCATACTTATGTAGTTACAAGGGTTAGTTTTGAAAATTTCTATTTTTTTCTAATAATATTTTTGCCTTTTTTGTAATATATAATAGAAAAAATTATGTTTTTCTGGGCAAAATTGCAAAGTGAATTATATAAAATAATCTCTGATAATACTTCTTTCATACAGTACAGGACTTTTATACAGTCTCTTTTTTCAGCAAATCCTTTTATACAGAATGGGACTTAAGATGATCAAGTGTTATCTGTGAATGTGAATAATCAGGCTCTTCTATAAGGAAGGTAAGATACGAAACAAATATGTGTGTGTGCATATGTGTGTGTGTGCATGTGCGTACATACACACGCACTTAGAATGCTTGCTTAATTTTAGATCACCCTTTCACAAATTCATCAGGTTCTCTGAGACATACTATTTTTTAATATCTATTCAAGACAATTTAACATAAATAACTTTGAAATGAACAAATTGTTCTTCAAATACGTCACTGAAAAGCTTTAAGAGTTTTGCAACACCATCTAAAAACAAGTGTAGCCACTGAAGACTAAAAATGTAATGACAAAATAATATCTATCTATGTCTCCTTTTTCTGAAATAATAAAGTAATGATTATGTATTTGGCAAACACGTGCAGAAATGTTTCAAAAAGGACATTTGAAAATAACAAAAGGTCTACATAAAGTTTATAACGGAGAAAAATATTTGCGGAAATGCTATAATTTACTTCGCAATACTGTATAAAAGTTTTTCAAACTTTCTAATTTTTGTTGTTAGCTCTCCATCTTTCCATTTGTGTGATAATTGGCTGGTTATTGATTGAAACTTTCAAATCTTAGTTTCTGCTTGTGAATGATGAAAAGTAATAACGGAAATTACTTCATAAATGTGATTTAAAGTGAACTGAGCAAAAAGAACTGCGCAAATTTCTGACTTGTAAATTATCCAGTATATGCTTATGTTTACTTTTTAGCTTTTTATTCTTTTATTTATTTTAAATCAACTATTATTTTAAGTTCTGGGGTACATGTGCAGGTTTGTTACATAGGTAAACATATGCCATGGTGGTCTGCAGCACAGATCAACTCATCATGCAGTTTTAAGCCCAGCACCTATTAGCTGTTTATTCTGATGCACTCCCTCCCTTTCCCCTGACAGGCCCCAGTGTGTGTTGTTCCCCTGCCATGTGTCCATGTGTTCTCATCCTTCAGCTCCCACTTGTAAGTGAGAACATGCGGTGTTTGGTTGTCTGTTTCTGCATTAGTTTGCTAAGAATAATGGCTTCCAGCTCCATCCATGTCCCTGCAAAGACATGGTCGTGTTCCTTTTTATGGCTGCATAGTATTCCATGGTGTATATGTACCACATTTTCTTTATCCAGTCTATCACTGATGGGCATTTAGGTCGATTCCATGTCTTTGCTATTGTGAATAGTGGAGCCATGAACTTATGCATGGATGTATCTTTATAACAGAATGATTTATATTCCTTTGGGTATATAGCCAGTAATGGGATTGCTGGGTCAAATGGTATTTCTGCTTCTAGATCTTTGAGTAATTCCCATACTGTCTTCCACAATGGTTGAACTAATTTACATTCCCACCAACAATGCAGAAGCATACCTTTTTCTCCGCAACCTCACCAGCATCTATTGTTTCCTGAGTTTTTAATAATCACCATTCTGACTGGCATGAGGTGGTATCCCATTGTCGTTTTGACTTGGATTTCTCTAATAAGCAGTGATTTTGAGATTTTTTTTTCATATGTCTCTTAGCCACGTGAATGTCTTCTTTTGAAAAGTGTCTGTGCATATCCTTTGCCCACTTTTTAATGGGGTTGTTAGTTTTCTCCTTGTAAATTTGTTTAAGTTCCCTGTAGACTCTGGATATTAGACCTTTGTCAGATAGATTGCAAAAATTTTCTCCCATTCTGCAGCTTTTCTGTTCACTCTGATGATAGTTTCTTTTGCTGTGCAGAAGATTTTTAGTTTATTTAGACCCAATTGGTTACATTTTTGCTTTTGTTACAATACCTTTTGGTATTTTAGTAATGAAATCTCTGCCAATGTCTATGTCCTGAATGGTATTGCCTAGATTTTCTTCTAGGGTTTTTATAGTTTTGGATTTTACATTTAAGTCTTTAATCTATCTTGAGTTAATTTTTGTATAAGGTATAAGGAAGGGGTCCAGGTTTTATTTTCTGCATATGGCTAACCAGTTCTCCCAGCACCATTTATTAAATAGGGAGTCTTTTCCTCATTGCTTGTTTTTGTCAGGTTTGTCAAAGAACAGATGATTGTAGGTACAGACTTATTTCTGAGTTCACTATTCTCTTCCATTGGGCTATGCGTCTGTTTTCATACCAGTATCATGCTGTTTTGGTTACTGTAGCCTTGTAGTACAGATTGAAGTCAGGGAGCATGACTTCTCCAGTGTGGTTCCTTTTGCTTAGGATTGTCCTGGCTATTCAGGCTCTTTTTTGGTTCCATATGAATTTTAAAGTAGTTTTTTTTTTCTAATTCTGTGAAGAATGTCATTGGTAGTTTAATGGGAATAGCATTGAATCTATAAATTACTTTGGGCAGTATGGCCATTTTCATGATATTGATTCTTCCCACCCATGAAATAAAAAATATAATTGAGTCCCATCATCATATCATGAAAATGGCTTTAAGAGAAAACTAGTAGCTGGGCACAGTGGCTCATGCCTGTAATCCCATCACTTTAGAAGGCTGAGATGGGCAGATCACTTGAGGTCTGGAGTTCAAGACCAGCCTGGCCAACATGTAGAAACCCTGTCTCTACTAAAAATACAAAAAAAATTAGCTCAGCGTGGTGGCAGCCACCTGCAGTCCTAGCTACACAGGAGGCTGAGACAGGAGAATTGCTTGAACCCAGGAGGTGGAGGTTACAGTAAGCTGCGATCTCACCACTGCACTCCAGCCTGGGTGACAAACAAACAACAAAGAAGAGAAAACTAGTTAGATGAATATTATTGCTTCCTATTTTCAACCAGTAAATAGTTGCCACTGATAAATTGACAGCCATGAGTCTATCAAGAATCCTCTTGATATATTATATACTACAACATGACTGTTCACGGGGGAAAATTATAGGAAACAACGTATGTGTACTTCTTGATTTCATGATACAAGACAAGCACAAAAGCACCACTCATGCCACTGAAAACAATGGACCATGAACCCTTGAAAAATCTTTGCCTCCTTCATCACGAGCAATGTTCCTTCAGCAGTCAAAAATGCCTGTGTACTCAAGACCAGCCTGGCCAATATGGTGAAACCCTGTCTCTACTGAAAATACAAAATTAGCTGGCCTTGGTGGCTCACGCCTGTAATCCCAGCTACTCAGGAGGCTGAGGCAAGAGAATCGCCTGAAGCTGGGAGGTGGAAGTTGCAGTAAGCTGAGATCGTGCCACTGCACTCCAGCCTGGGCGACAGAGACTCCATCTAAAAAAACAAACAAACAAACAAACAAACAAAAAAAAATGCCTTTTTTTTGTTTTTTGTTTTTAGACTCCATCTAAAAAAAAAAAAAAAAAAAAAAAAAAAAGCCTGACTGCATCGACATTTAGCAGTGAACAGTGTCAAATGGATAGGAATTCAACCCTGCAATGACAATGACAGGCTGTGTGTAATCATTCAGCTGATGATGATGTAGTACTCTTGGAATCTGGAAGCATTCCCTTTGCAGTGTCACAGATACTGAAGTAGGCAGCTGGGTAGATGCTAATACCCTGCACAGACATGGTAAAGCCTTGGTGCAGGCCCTTAATCCTATTAGATTTGTAGATCTTAACCAGACAGTCACCAAGGCTTCTGAATTCCCTTTTAGCTCCAGCTTTACCCACATCCACTGGTAGATTGGTACAGACAAAATCAAGAGGGTACACAAAACACAAGGATGTGGCCCCAGCGCACGCCTGATGCCAGGTTCCTTGCAACATAGTGCTGAAAGTGGGTCCTCTTGTCCACACTACCCAGGAAGATCTGCTAGTACTTATTTCGAAGGCGAAGTTGAGAGCCCCTGGGTGGGGAAATATCTGATGACATTGGCCAGGTTACCACGCCAGAAGGACAGGACTCTCTCCTCCTTGGGAATACAGACCACACAGTCTATAATGTGCTTGTACTGCTTATCTGTGGTAATTTCCTTGGTGGCATGCTGCACCTGCAGCAGCAGCTTGAGCCACTCGATAGGTGCTCCTGCTGCCTTAGAGATGGCTGTGACCACCCCACCTGCCAGAAGTCCCTGTTGAAGGACACAGCATCATCTGTCATGTTGAAAGGAAAGGGGAGGCAGGCTGCTGCGAGATGGGATTGGGCCAGGAACTCTTTAATTTCAGGGCTGGGGGGCCTCATGTTATTTCAGAGCGTAAGCTTGCTATTTATAGGACACATCTAAGAGTTTCCAGAAAAAATTATGGGACTGCAAGTCTCCTGAAATATTAACATTTGTAGTATTAATATATTATCTTTTTCCCTTTTAAGTTGTGGTAATAAAATATGGTCCTTAAAAGCCTGCCTTTTTGATATTTGTTGTGACATGTTTGATTGCCTAACATATGACCAATTTTATTTAAGGATTCTTTGGTATTTGAAAAGTATGTGTATTCTGAAGTTGCTTCATGCTATTCTAAATATATTGATAAGATCAAGCTTGTGAATTTTTCTGTTCAAGACTTTTGAATGTTTTCTACTTTTCTCTGATATTAAAAATTTTGAAAGAATTCAGTTAAAATTTTCTGTTTTATTTGGAAATCTTTTCTTATGGTTCTACCAGCTTCTTTTATTTTCCTTTTAGTAAAAAAAAAAAAAAAAAAAAAAAACACATCAAAACTGTGTTTTTACATGTACACAAGTTTAAAATCATGATATTTCTCTTTTTTTCCACTTGAAGTTACGTACTTATACCTGGTAATAATTTTTCATGTTAAGTATCTATTTTCCTAATATTAATATGACCACTTCAGTTTTTTTGTTTGTATTTATCTAAAATTTTACTTCTAATCCTTCCTTGTATGTGTGAGCTTTATATGAATCTCATGTAAATAACTGTATTTCTTATAGCTAATCTTGCAGACTTTATTTTGTTGGTTTTATTTGCTCCTTTTTATTTATTGTAACTAGTCATAAAATTGGGTTATTTCTACAATATTATTTCTGCTTTCTATAAGTCTTGATATTTTGCTTCTTTTTCTTGCCTTTCTTGCCTTATTTCATCCTGATTGAGATATATTGTTTTCTTCATTTTATTTTTTTCTCTCTATTCTTTTGGAGATTATATCCTGAATTTCTGTCGTTTTAGTCCTTTGGAGATTTTAAGATGACTATTAAATTTATCAAAGTCTAAAATTAATCAATAATCACCCTATTCTTAAATTACTACTAGAGTTTATGGGACTGCTTCAAAAGCTTTCTCTTCATATATTTGCTATTATTGTGCAGCATTTTAGCTATATTTCTCTTTTTTGTCCTACTTACTAAATATTGTTTTTGTCATTATTTTTTAAGGACAATGTTTTAAATTTATTCATACATTTCTGTAGATTCTCTCTGGCATTATTCTTTGAGAAATGCTATAACTAAGGTTTTGCATGTAATGTATGACTTCACTTCTTGTTTGTTGCAAAATGAGTTTAGTTTTTCTTATTCTTGAAAGGTAATTTTAATTAGTATACAACTTATCTGAACTTTGGATGTATCCTAACTGTTTCCATTGTTTTGTTGACAATTCAACAAACTTATATTGACTTCTATTGTTCTCCTCAATTGGTAATCTGTCTTCTTCATATATCATCTTTTAGTTTTTTTCTTTGTTGAACCTCAGTTTCAATATAGTATCTAGAGATATATTTATTTTTATTTACTTCTACTTTAGATATTTTGGGCTTTGAATCTGAGAATTGGTTCTAGAAATTTCAGTTTCAGAAAAATCTCACCTAATATTGCTTACCATTCTTTTTATTTTGTAATTCCCAGTTTTAAAAGTAACCACCCTATCCTTGATGCTTCTTATACTCTCTTTTATATTTTTATATTATTGTATCTCTATGCTGTAGTATGGAAGCTTTCCTGAATTGTGTTTTCCAATTATTCATTTTCTCCATTGTCTATAACTGTCATTAACCCTCCTATTGAGCAACTATTAATTATTATACATTTCAGTTCTAGGAGGGCCTTTTGTTCTTCATTTTAGAATTTCCCCAATATTCTAATATAGACTGTGTTTATGGATTTGATTCTGTAGTTCTCTTTTTTTGTCAATTCTTGTTCATGCTGATTTACTTCTTCATGAATTTGGGATTTTTTATTATGTGCTATGTCTTGCAATTTTATTTTTGTGGCCTGGCCTAAAGGGTATTCTTCTAGATTCGATTTGCTTACTTCTGCTATGTTCCTGAAGACAAACTAAATTATTGGCATATGGATTTCAGTGCTAGAGATGCAGAATGAATACTGGGCCTGTTACACACACAATCATTAGTAATTCTCAGAAGAAACATTTAATTTCTATTTTCTGCTCTATCTGCAGGTAACCAGACTGAAGAGTCTCATTTGCCTGTATTTTAATCACTTGGGATATTAAGTTAGGGGTCTTGGTTTTTAAGATGAAAATCCATAGGGCTTTACACTTTTTGAGGTTCAAGCTTTGTCTCCTGTAATTTGCCACGTAGTCCTTAGAAATGCGTGCCCTAAAACACAGGAATAAGCAGTTGTCTCTAAGGCAAATGCTTATTTGTTTCTCTGAATTAGTGCTACCCAATAGCACAAATTGCAATTACTTTGTAATTTCTCTCAATTTCTTATCATCTCAGTCCTATATTTAAAACATTTAAATATACATGCATATATGTGTATATGTATGTGTGTGTGTATATATATATATATGTGTGTGTGTGTCTATATACCATCACTTTTGCGATTCTATGCTAAGAAGGTTTTTTTTTTTTTTTTTTGAGATGGAGTCACACACTGTTGCTCAGGCTGGAGTGCAGTGGCACGATCTCGGCTTACTGCCACCTCCGCCTCCCAGGTTCAAGCAATTCTCCTGCCTCAACCTACCAAATAGCTGGGATTACAGGCGCCCGCCACCACGCCCAGCTAATTTTTTGTATTTTTAGTAGAGAGAGGGTTTCACTTTGTCGACATTCCCACAAAAAACACAAGTAAATAAATACACCATGTAAAACAATTCTAGATTATCAATATATGCTCTTTAAAAATACGAATTTAGAAATCACTAGCTTAATAAAGCAAAACAAAACAAAATGAAACAAACATGTTAAAGCTTAAATAAAAACGTAAACCACACATAGCAGAAAGTAAAAATAACAAGTATATTGCACATTACAATGTAGTTTAATAGATTTGAATATTTGATGAAATAAAACATTTTATAAGACTAAATCAATTATTAAACAATATCTTAATAATCTTAATAAACAATAAATAGGTTAATAAATAATTTTCTTCAACATACAATTGATGCAGGATATTTTCTTTACCTTTTCTTGGTACTCGTGACAGAGGTACCTCATTTACTCAGCCTGCCCCTGTCTACCCCTTGCAGCAGGGAGCCTGCGAGCAAATGAGTGCAGTAACCTGAGCGAGTGCTTTGGGGAATTGGCAGGAATAAACCCCATTTACTCAGCTCGCCAAGCTCAACCCCTTGTTGGAGGGAGCACATAAGTGAGGGAGTGTGCGATCTGACTGACCATTTTTGGGTGCTGGCAGGTGCAAACTCGGTGTGGGCCACGCGGCAATGACCTTGTGGGGGTTCCTGCGACCCCTGAAGCCACAGAAGTCACGTTACAATGATCTTTCTGCTCTGCCCTCCGCAGATGGCTTAAGTGTTAATAGCTCAGTGGGAGGGCAAAGAGCCAATGTGAAAGCCTTCTTTTGGGTATCAGCACTCACGGCTCTCTACCTCTTGTCCTGCGTCTAGGAAAAATGAGTTTGCACGAACAAATTGAAGGATGGCGAACATGGAGGATTTTATTGAACTATGAAAGTGGCTCTCCGTGGGCAGGGGAGCTAAAAAGGCGACGGGACAGGCAGGTAATCTTCCCAAGTCTAGCAGTCTCTGGCTAGACACTTCTCTATCAAGTCATCCCTCTGAAGTCAAGTTGCTTCTTTCTAATGTCCAGCTGCTTCTCTGCTTCTCTCCAACTGAGTCTGGGGTCTTTATAGGCACAGGATGAAGGATGGGGCAGGCCATGTGTAGTTGAGGAAAATACAATATTTGGGCAGGAAAACAGGGATAGAAGTTCTCACTTTGGACCATCGGTTTCAGGCTTTTCGGCTTGAAGATGGGGTTTTGCCAGAGACCCGACCCTGTCTGCCTAGAATTTCTCTGCCTCCTGTCACTATCACAATAACCAATTAGGTAATATAAAAAATTGATTTATAGAAATAAATATATCAATATGAGAATATTAGGAAGGAAACTTCTCTGCCTATGTAAATAAAATTTGTATCTCTGATTGAAGAACTTTTTAAAAGAAAATGGAGAGATGTGTTTGCCCAAAGAGCAGTTATTTCTCTAGTTCACCACCTCTGGTGTATATTTGCATGTCACTCACCAAAGTGTGAGTAATAATTTGTGGGTGCTGTGGTTTATCATGATTCTTTCTTATTTTTTTCTATATTCTGAATGTTTATCTTGGGTATTCCTTTCACATTAAAAATATTTCCAACTAAACAATCAAGCAACTGTCACTTACCAACAGAGCTAATACCTAAATAACTTAGAAAATTGTTTTAAATATTTTTTCTTAATATCTAAGGGAGGAAGCATAATTTTTTCTGTATTAATATAGTTTTTAGTTTGCTTCTTTTTATTTTGAATCATATGTTATCATAACAATGAGTACATTGTCTCTTAATTAATATACTTTATTCTTTCCTTGCAAATGTAATGAACAATTATTTACATTTGCTTGAGTCTTTCTTTTTTTCTACTCCATAGGTCACTTTATTTGAGCTATTGTTGAATACCACTATTTTCCCTCCATAGAGTTCCTAAAACATGGGTGCCAGGCCACACACATGCCTTCCTCTTGAAAACAGACTAATTTTGAAGGGGTGTGTAAATTACCTTAAAAAATGTGTAACGGTATTCTAAATTTCTAAGCTGCATTTCTACTTTAATTTGCCTTTCATTGATTTCTTAAAAAAACACTGAATTGTTTGGTAATACAAATACAAAAATTCTTATATTTAAGTTTGTAGTTTAATTTTTGACTTCTCACAATTGAGAACAACTATATTCTTGTAAGAAAAATGATTTTTAAAGAAAAGTGTAAGGACCATTTTTTAACCCTGAAAGACATTTAAAAAGTAATACAATGGAGATATTTGTTAATACTTATTTACACAATAACCCAATATTTTTCTAAGTTAAAAAAATAAATCTATGTGCATTGAGTCTTTTGAAACAGTAGAAAATAATACAGAGGAAAATAATTACTCATGATGATCTCTCTACTTGAAGTAGTTTGTAAGCATAGTTACACACTTTCCCAGTCAATTCTTTTCTATATTTTTGGGTACATTTTTCCTGTACTTTTAAAATAATTTAAAATTTTTTTATACTTGTTACTTTTTTTCTGTACTTTTCCTGTATATTTTTACTTTTAGAACACTGAGCTAATTATATTTATAAGGCTTTGAAAACTCTCATTTTCCTTTGGTAGATATCATATTTTGAATAATTGTCTTATTCTTTTTTCTTTCCTCCACTGTCCACAAAGGGAATCTAGATTTGTCCCATGCTCCACACTTTTGATATTGCTAAACAACAAAGACAGCTAAGGGATTTGGAAACAACTCTGATTGGGGGTTAGGGGATAGAGAGATTAAATGAGAGGGAGAGACAGAGAGTGAGGAGAACAGAAAAAGAGAAAAGGAGAGAGAAGAAGAAAAAGGAGAAAGAAGTGGGGAAAGAGGAGGAAGAGGAAGAGAAATTAGGTTGAAAATGGGCTTCTTGAGGACTGTACTTCAGCTCAGAGAAACAATAGGTTAATGTATTTGAAATGTTTGCAGAAAATAACTCAATCAACATGGCTTTGAAGATGAAATGTTAGAAATACTGGAAATCTTCAATGATCCATTTGCTTGTGAAAATATAGAAACTGAATTGTAGCTTCCACTGTTTGCTGTAAATAAATTTTCTTGACTATTTTAATTTGATGCATGGCAAACTTTGTGTGACTTTTCTTTGAACCCCCACATTCTCTTTTTTTTTTAACTCATGTTTTAGAGTTAAGAAAGCACACACAAATGACTTTTGTACTTGGAACCTTTCACAGGTCTTCACCTGTTCGGTGCAAAACTTCGTCATCCACAGCACCATGCTTTGCAATTCTTAACCATGCACATAGTGATCTCCTGGTTCTTATATTGGGTAATTAATAAATAATTAATTACTATACCCACATTTTTTAGTGACATGCTTAAAATATAATTGATGCTGAAGGGGCAATTATGAGCGTGTCTTAGAAGACATGTAGTTTTATGATTTATTTGTTTAAAATTCAATCCTTGGAACTTTTCTATTTTGGAGGTTACTTTTTTATTTTTATCACTATTAAAATAACTTCAGTCAATTTTATTTTATTTTATTTTTTTGAGACAGAGTCTTGCACTGTTGCCAGGCTGGAGTGCAGTGGTGCGATCTCGGCTCACTCTAACCTCTGCCTCTCAGGTTCGAGCCATTCTCCTGCCTCAGCCTCCCGAGTAGCTGTGACTATAGGCGCCTGCCACCATGCCTGGCTAATTTTCGTATTTTTAGTAGAGACGGGGTTTCACCATGTTGGCTATAATGGTGTACATCCTCTTGATCTCGTGATTGGCCTGCCTCGGCCTCCCAAAGTGCTGGGATTACAGGCATGAGCCACCATGCCCAGACAACTTCAGTCATATTTTTGAAAACTATTTGTATTAATATCATTAAGATTTTTAGAATGTTTCTGAAGTAATTTTTTCTTATTTTAAAAATAAATATAAAGACACTATTAAAATATTTCACTACTCAAATATTTACTTCAAAACACAAGCATCATATGTTAGGAAAAAGTGAAGGAAAAAGCTGGGAAGTATATTGTAATGATGAGTTTTAGTCCTGAATTGTGCAAAAATCCAGCATCTATTTTAACTAAATAAGTTTTTTTGTAATCAAATAATCTGTATCATTATATTAATGCATTATTACTAAATATGTTTTTATTGTTTTAAAAACCTCTAGAAATTAGTTAAATATTTATAACTCATATAGCAGCATAAATTTCAATATAGCATAAATCATAGAAATAAATCAAACTGTTAACACTATACATCTATGTGCTGGCAGTATATTTTTAGAAATACACAAATATATCTACATAATAAATAGCATTATATATAAATATTTTCAAAAAATTTTAATATACAAATAAATCATTGTATGGAAGAATTTTTAAAACATATTTTCTTAATCTTCTTCTTCTTCAAAAAATTAGTTTCTACCTTTAGTCGTAAGTGTACTGTTTCATCCAAGACAGAAAATCACCTTTCTAATTTTACATATTTCTCATTTTAAGTTATACTTAGACTTTTAATTTCCATATCTTAAACATTGATGTATAAAGGTTTTAGATTTGTGTTCCTAATCTAGAAATTGAATTGATTGAAACCTTAACGTGTTTATTATATTATATCATATCATATTATACTATAGTTATCACATCTTCACACTAATTCTGATTCTTTGCATGTATTTCTAGTATATAATAAATTTTTCATTACTTATAATGTATATCAATTAAAAATTTATATAAATGTTTCATTACTTATAATTTATATAAATGTACTTACATGTATTTATGTTCTTGAAAAAACTAACCAATTGGTTGTTTAAAGATATTTTTTATCTTCCTTAAAAAGGAAGAAAATTCCGTTTATTATGTAACACTGTGCTAATGGTAATTATTTCTCCACTAACAACAGATGAAATGACAAGAGACATTTCATTCTCTGCCACAGAAGAGCGATTTCAGAAAACCATATGTTTGACAGTTCCTCATCTTATTCTTATTATAGCCTCACAAGTACGAAGTAGGTGTTACATATATAGTAGGTGCACAAATGCTTTAAAATAAAATAAATTGATATTGAGCCTGTATTTTGAGAGCCATAGTCATGGAATAAGGGAAAGTAGTATGTAGTTTCCTTCTGTATTCACTTTTTCATTATTGATAGATAAATAAGATAGAAAACAAATGTATACATATTCAATATATCAAGTGGTAAAGGGTGATGTTTAGAAAAGTGAATCAGGACAAAGGGAGAAAGCTTGATAAAAGGCTTTTACATATGTGCCTTACGAATGTGTGTGTGTGTTTATATATGTATAGATGATATATTATTTAATATTACTATGATGTCTCTATTATAAAAATAGCTTTTGCGTCTTTATGCTATCCTCTTATCCCTTCTAATTCCCATCTGGGAAGAGGTCAAGCATTCGTTTGAGAAATAGCCAATGGTTCTAAATTTCTAACCTGCTATGAAGCATTCAGATTCTGAAAACTTGAAATCTCACCCAAAGGTGTAGTTTAAGGGCAATAGTTGGATTTATATGCTTTTGGATTTCTTCTGAATGTATCACCAAGGCATAATACACTTTACTAAGGCCTGTAATGCTTCCAAATACTGGTGTTATGTGTAGCTTCAGGTCATATTTTCTATTACAGGAGATATGAGAGTATAAAAATTGCATTGCATAGTGCATCAATAAAAGAACACTGTGAGCTTTATCTTATCTTACAGAAATTTCCAATTTGAAATATGCATTTTGTTGTGAAAATGCTTTAAAAGTTCACAGTACTTTCTGGCTTTACTGTCTGAGTTATACCCAAGCCATTTTAATGTAGGCTTTTGTTCTGGTTGAAGATCTATGAACCAAACTGGTGCTCCGCTAAAGGGGAAACAGAGGGGAGTAGGGCCAAGAGCACACTGCTGCTGATAAACCAAAAGCAACTCTTGAAAGCATTCTGGTAAGAGATACAATGAAAGAGTATACCAATTTTCACTGTAATACTGTTTTTCCAAGAAGAAAACAATAAAATAATTTATTATAAAATCTCCTAGCTTACTTCCTCAGATGCCAACTTTTAAAGAAAATTTCTATCAGTATTGTCAAAACAGCATAGCATATTCTATGGGGCTATTTACTTCACATTGAGAAGAACACTAAAAAGAATGCAAAACATCTGTTTTATTTTTTTCTTACCTCTTATCAGTACCAACTTGGAAATAATTTTATCTATTCTTTAGTTTCTTGCTGTTGCCTCTATACAACCTATTGGAATGATATTAATTCTAGTTGATAGCATATTGTTTTTCCTGGGTCATGCAAAGGTCTCCATCAGTAAGACAGATGTTTGTTGAAATATTAATGAAAATAACCCTAGAGATTATTTCATTTTACCTAATAAGATAAATTGAATTATAAATGAATCCAAAAATAATTAGTGAAATATAACACTATTAGGAGGAAATAAAAATAAGCTAATAGGAAACAAAAGGAATATTTCAGTGTTGTCTTTATGTGAAATCAGTGTTACAGCCTCAAAGCAAGAACATATTAGACATATTTAGTAAATAAACTAATCCCATGGCATAATCAGAAATTCGTAGGATCTATTTACTCTTACGATGCCTGGAGTATCAGTCACAGGAAATTAAATATACAAGTAAATGTGCAAACAAATTAATTTATTAATTTCTTCAGACATGCACATGGCTTTAATATGTTATGGTGACCTAGAATTTGAAAAAGTGAATAAATCTCTTCAAGATTCTAATTTTTATACTGCATATATAATTTTAATTCAATTCCATAACTTATGTGCATTTTTTTAGATTATATTCTACTCAAATGGCCAAAACTATATCACTCTGGAAATATTACATACATGCTTGCTATTTGCTGTTTAGAATCTATATAGTTTACACTAAACATTTGCTTCTTCTTCTTGTCAGAATATTCTAGTCCTGGATTCTTTTTAGCCTTTATCACAGAAAATATTTATGTTTATAAAAAGGGACAAACAATTAAGTAAAGTAGTATATATGTGAAACATTTGGATTTAATACCACTGAAACAATTAACCAACATGCTATTTTCAATTGCTTGTTTGCATTACTTCCTACTTCTATAGGCATAGCCCATCTTTAAATCTCTAGCAACAAGCATACAAAAGTATAAAAGTAATATGAACCATCACTGCCTGCAAGTCAACAATAAATAGATCAGCATTTAATTGAAGAATGTGCATTCTAATTCTTTCACTGAGTGACCTTGGGAAAGTAATAGCATTCGTTTTATTTTCTTAAATATTTTCTTTAAATATTTTCTTAAATTTCTTAAAACAATAATACAATATAATCAAGGATTAAATTTAAACTCAGCACACAGACTGGCACAGGGAAAGCATTCAGAAAAGGTGAATTAGTCATCATCACTCCTTCATTACAAAAGTAACAGCTATATACTGATGTGCCCCTTCCAAAATGTGTATATTGAAGCCCTAACCTCCAAGGGGATGGTATTTGTCTATATATCCTATAAGGAGGTAATTAAGGTTAAATGAGGTCAGAATGGTGGGGTCCTAATATATTGATAATAGAACTGGTGTCCTTATAACAATAGATACCAGACAGCTTGTTCCTTCTCTCTTCCTGTGTCCACAATGCAGGTCATGTGTGCACACAGCAAAATGGCAGCTGCCTACAAGCAGCTCACTGAAAACTGACTGTGCTGGGATCCTGATCTCAGACTTCCAGCATTGAAAAGTATGAGAAAATAAATGTTTGTTGTTGATATCATCCATCTATGGCGTTTGTTAGGGCAACCTGAGCAGCCTGAGACAGTAATGCAAAGAACACATAAGCAATATTGTGTGCTCACAGTTATTTTTCAACGAAGAGAGATTTGTATTGTTACTTTTTTGACCTATCAAAGAAAACAAGCTATAAGGATGTATTCATCAAGACTTTACAACTACTATTACATGTGTAGTTCTTGGCCCTGACTCTGGACAAGTGATGCTACCATGTCCTGGGGTGAATTTAAACTAGGTTTTAGGATTCTGAACTAATCAGCAAAATTAAACCATGTATTTAAACAACCACCTAAGAGAATATACTGGAACTGATAGTTGAAGTTTTAATGAATCTCTAAATAACAGGCCTCTTTACTGTCCTTGCTTGGAATTAATTGAGAATTAAACACAGAAGTCAGACAGATGGAGACCAAACTGTCAGCTTTCGTGCCGATAAAAAATAATCAAAGGGGTAAAGGACATGGCTTAGATACACAGCCAAATGGACTTGAGAACCCCTCCTAGAATTGGGCCAACTTGTTTACCCAGTCATTAGGAAAACAGGAAAACTGCAGGCTACTCCATCAGAGCATGACCAATAAGCTCACCACAGGTTGAGAAAGCAGGCCAGCACCCATCTGTTTGTAAGGCCGACTTGCTCCAAAGGGGAGTGTTCTTCCAAACTCATGAGTCAGATAACTCATTACTTCTACCATGGGAAGATACAAGTGAAAAGCCTAGAAAGGGAGGGTGCAAGGAGTATTCCTCCAGCTAAAAAATCCCCCTAGAGAAACCTGAGTGGGGATGATTGTTTTCCTTAAGGACAATATCGTGTGGTGGGGAGGATGCACTTAAACTTGGAGAGATTGTGTCTACCTGGCTCACTCTACAAGTGCTCTGCTCATTTGAAGCTTCACCTGCTCTTAGAAGTTCCTTAATTCTGCTTCTATTTCCCTCTTCCTAATTGTGGTTAAGCGACTCCTCGAAACAAGTATTTATCTTCATCATCCAGGCTGACAGTGTTTTACATGACTATTCCATTCTTGTATTAAAACTCTTTGTGGACAGAGACTGTGGCAGTCTCTTCTATTGACTAGTGCAGTACCTAGTACGTAGGCACTAAATAAATGTCTGTTGAATTTGATCTGGTGTTTTATTAAAACTACCTTTTCTTTAAAAAATACTAAGCAGAGATTAAGAACATGTGGAGTTTGGATGACATTCAATAAAATGTTCATTACCTAAATTTTTTTTGTAGTGCAATGTGGATTTCATGACTGCCACTGACTCTGCCTCAGCTCAAGGTTTGGCTGTTTAATTCTGTCATAAACATTGTCCTGTGTGCTGCATGAGTCACACAGTCTTAGACATTTCAAGTACATTTTTTTTTCTTTCTGACCAATCTATGAAAGCAAATATGGCAGGTGAAGAATGAAGTATGACTGAGTTAATGCTTCAGTAATAAACTAGCCCATCAGCGTCTTTAGTCCAAGAGGCAAACAGAATTTTTAACCCTCTCAAGAATTGTTAGTGATATTTGAAATTTGTTACGTAAAATTTTGTATGTAACCTTTTAAATAAATCTGAATTCAATACACAATTTGGGAAGAAATGTTAATGTTGTCAAGGTCAGAAATAGCAGCAGGTGAAATTACAAAATTCTTTAGAATAATGCTTTTCTTTTACATTATCTTGAGAGTAGGACACTGGATCTTACACTTTAATAGTCTCATCTGAAGTGGTTTAATATAATTTACTAGCACCTACAACTATAAAGAGTCACAGCTAACATTAAAGGTATCCTTTTCAGGCTAATTATTCACTTTTTTTTTAATCTTGCTTCTCATCTTAATGTATAATTATGATAATTTTACTCAGAGTGGGGCCAGCCTCTATACAAATTCAGATTTTGAGCAGGGTCAACAATTACATTTCCTTTTCTCAGTTTAGTTTATTCTATTAGTTCCTGAAGAAAACATATGAATGTTGTTTTAAAATTTAATCTCTTTTTTGGGAGAGAATAATAAGGATAACACGATTTACCTAATTTTTATTTCCACATTTTTCCAGTCATTTTCTCCAAGAAAAAAAAAATTTCACTACCTATTAGGATAATAAAGCATAAGCATAAATAATTTATTATATTTTCAGGGTGAATTTTAATATTTATAACCACTTATATGTTAAAGTTTGATAAATATATATCACATAAGGAAAACTAACATTGTGATTTTGAGATGTATTCAGACTAAGATTTGCCATTTTTCCACATTGAAAACATGCTAATATACTACTTTCCTCAGCTTTCAATTTCTTTAGAGCCCCGAGAATGAGATTATAGAGGTAAATTGGGTTGTCCAAGATCAGTATGCTTGTATATTAAGTACCTAAAATATAGGATATAAATGCCATAAAATTATTGGGTGTTTTACAAAATAAAGTAACCCACAATTGAACAGAGATATAAGCTTTTTCAGAGCGGGAGTTTTCCATTAATTTATGGTATATCCTTATGCTGAACAGAAGTCTTGGCAGTTAAAAAGTGCTCAACAAATATCTGTTTGGTTAAATCTCACTAATTTTAAGCATATAATACTGAAAATTTGTGTACAACGTACAAGTTGTATGCTGATTAGCATTTTCTATGTAATTTTCAGTGAAGTACTCCAATGGAAAAACAATTATCCCAAAATACAGTAAAATCATATGCAAGAACACTAGACTTGCTTCAAATAGCACACCACGTACAAAAAATACAGAGTAAAAATCACATATGTGTATGGGTGTATATGCACTCTTTACTTACTGGGTCTAAGAATCTTTTGATATGAAAGGTGAAGAGCAGAAACAAAATTATCTCTGACTAAAACAAATCAATCACGAAAGTATCACTTTTAAGACAACTGGATATAGAAAATAAGAAAATCACAGAATCTTGGACTTGTAAGGCAACTGAGAATGCAGTCTCTCTATTTGTCATCATTCATTGCATAATGTGTGAGGACTGAAGCCTCTGGGTGCATCGCCAACCAATTTAAGCGGCGTCTGGAGTCTGTCAGTGTCTGTCTACGGTCAGCTTTACCAAGTGAAGTGGCATGCTATAACCATTGGATAAATTAGGATGGCCACACCTGAAACCCTTAGTCAATCTTAACAGTACTCAGAGAGACACAGACATTCTGTGACTCCTGATGTAGCGCAACAAGAAGTACACATCATTGCCCATTAAATTAGCCGTGCCAATAAATCAAAACTGATCTCACCAAGCCTCCTGCTCTAAAAGTTTAAACGGAATACAAGGAAAAGAGGACCGCATTAAGTCACATCATAGAGAAGCAGTTAACCAAATCCAGCATGTGGAGAATTCATTAGAACAGATATCCTGAATTCTTTATTAGATATATTTCCAGGAAAAAGAAATAGTAGCGGGAACCTATATATTTTAAAAAGGGAATGAGCGACAAACATATATGAGCATTGTTTGATAGGGATTCCAGCAAATCAACAGTAAAAACACACTTAGGAGACAAGTGGAGAAATTTGAATTCTGGCTGGATGTTTAATGATATCAATAAACTACTGTTATATTTCTTAAGAGTGATAAATTAACTATTCTTACATTTTAAAATTAGAACATTTTCTTGAGAGTACATAGTCAAATATTTACAGGCATGATTTTCTACCCTTATAATCTTAAAAAATTATTCAATATTTTATTTGCTTCAGAGACTATTTTTATTTGTCACTGTTGCAAATCTTTTCATATCCAAATGTTCACTAAGGCTGGCAGGTAATTTTAACTACAGTTAGAAGTTGGCTATGGTGTTGCTAATGGGCATCATAAGATGATTTGACTAGAGCCAATGATTCAAAGATTTTAAATATGTTTTTTAAGTTATTGCCAGATTAGTGGTAAATATTCTATTTATTTTTAAATTGAAGAAATAATTTGATAGTCTTTTTTTTAACAGGGGTTGGGGAAGGAATCTCTGTGAGAGCTTTTAGCTCTGAACTCTCATCAAAATCTTTAGGAGTGTTTAGCACTTTCTTTGTACAGGTTGAAATGTGACCTCCATTAATTATCAGACAATAAAATTCAAGCAGTGAATTAATGCAGCTACATTACTCAAGGATAAATTAAGTTGTGAATTTTATATCCTGTGTGGGTGGTAAGCAAAAATTTGAGGAATAATAGCAAGGGCTCATGATTTAGATTATGTCTCTCATATCAGAGATCACATGTTAAATATACTATCTAGAGGTAAAAATGCCATTCAAACCCAGGTACTTATGTAATTGTGGGTGCTTTTCTAACTCAGTATATATTTAACAGGATAAAATTAATATCGATTTCAAGCCAGTCATAGTTCATGGAAGGGCAAATCCTTATCACTTTGTATTTAATTATCATTTCTGAATTATTCGAGCCCTTTGTTCTCCTGCTTCTTTTTTGTGGCGAAATGTCCCTAATAATTATCATGTCTGTCTGATGATTTTCTTAAAAATGAAAAAGAGCTAAGGCACAAAGGTAAACTTTATTATTGTTCTAGTAAAAGTTTTATGAGGTCAATAATAAAAGAATTAGATAAAATTAGGATTTAATGACTTCAACAATCCTTTCAATTTTTTCATTTTTTTTAGGTATCACAATTACTATAGTTTTTGGAGTGAGCAATTCTCTTTATGGGAGTATAGCACAGGGTAAAAGGGGCCATTACAGTCATGATAGACAGGTGCTTGCTCTGCAATCCACTGTGTTCAATTTACAGTGTTATTAAATTTTCTGAAGTCTCAGTGGCCTTATTTGTCACATAAGTGTAAAAATGATTTCACAATACTTTTGTAAGAAGTAAATAACTTCTTGTGTGTAACATACCTAGCGAGTGGTTTCTGTCCTGTATTATAACAGGTAAGAGACAGTACCTACATTTGAGTCCTCATTCTGACATAGATTTTTCATAGCTTTGCAACAGTTGAAAAATATGCCTCTGCCTCAGTTTCCTTACATATAAAATGAGGATAATAATTGTACATACTTTCTGGAGTTGTGATAACATTAACTGAGTTAATACAAGTAAAATGCTTAAAATAGTGTCCAAAACATAGTCATAATCAGGAAACACAAATTATTATTATTATAGGTATTGGCAATCAATAAATGTTTCTTTTCATCTAATTTCCCTTGTCTTAAAAAATAAAAGTTTTGAAAACAAGAAATGATCACCAGTAGTGCATCCTCTACTTTTCTAGTTTAGTGCCAGCAAATGCCACTAGTAAGTCAAAAAAAAAAGAGAGAAAAGAAAAAGAAAGCTATATTCCTGAACAACAAGATTGAATGTATAGGGTTTTCCTAGAATAAATTATTTTCACTTTAAATATAAGTACTTCAGTTATTTTTGCATTTTTCAATATTGGGGGTTAGGCATATCAACATATTTTTTGAAAATTTTTGGTAAGTATTATAATAATCTCTAACTGTAATATAAGCGAATGATTGTCTCAAGTGAACCCATCAATTACATTCTGTGCTTTGTGTCAAAGACAACTTGGATCTAGATGAAAGTATTGTACCAAGAAGTGCATTTATTATAAAGAGAATTGGCGGTAGCATAAACAGCTTTAAATGGCCCTATGCTGTGGAAACCCTCGAAACTCCCCCATAAAGCAGCTGGTTCAACTTGGGAAGAGGCTGGCTGCATCAGCAACTGGCTGTAATTCTACTGTGAAGACCTATCCATTTAGAGAGGCTTCCAAACCACCTGTGAAGTCTTATAGAATTACATTTCCAATAGCTGATGAAATATTCATAAGATACTGCTGGAAACAATGGCTATTTCTTGAAATTACTATTCTAGATATGGCCACACATAATTACTAAAATAAATACAATCATTGCTATTCTATTTCATCAAATATGTAGTTTTCCTTATAAGCGCATTTCTTTTGAAATATGATGAGTTAATTCAAGGACAAATAAATAAGTGTAATCAGTGCAGGATGGTCTTATCCATTTACCTTTTAAAACTATGTTAAAATAATGTAGAAAAATGAAAGAAATTATAGAGAAAAAGTGGACAGATTTTCTGACAAAAAAAATACATGCTTAACACATTGAAAACAGAAGCAAACATATTGGGAAAGTATATGAAGTCATTATAACATTTAAAATATAAACATGAAAAAAGCAGCCAAGACATCCCTGAGGTATGCTTTAGCCTAAAATGCACAGCCTTCACCTTATGGTCCCTGCTCACCTCTCAATCCTCATCCTTCCTCACATCCTTCTTCTCATGCTCTGTGTTAGCCATGCATGATTCCTTGGAAGCACCATGTTCCTGATCCTCTGGAGCTGAACACATTACTTTTGAAATTGAGTGCAAAAACAATCCTACCTCACCACTAAGTTCCATCCCTTCACCAAGCAGTTTTGAAATAACTTCATCCAGGCCTCTGAGAAATGAGATATCTGACTCTCTCTTTGTTCTTATCATATTCAGCACTCAATCACAGTACTCTGTGATTGCTTTTAATTACCTGTTGACCTCCCCTCCACAGTTAGAGACAATGCTTATATATTAACAGTGACCAATGCAGAGCACTCAGTAATTGTGAAAAAAAAATCAAAATCTCAATTTAAAAAATGGGCCAAGAATGTTGACAGTTTCCAGAAAAAGAATACAGACTGAAAAAATAGCAAACAGAAACTTAGAAACCCGTTCCAGCTCACCAAAGTAACATAAATAAAACAACATATAAATAATATTATAAACATATAACATTTTGCCAATTAAAATAACACTTTAAAATTATAATATTAAACATTTGCCAATTAAAATAAACATTTCAAAAATTATAATATTAAAAATAAAATATTCAAAGAAATGGGCCTTGTCATACCATGTGAAAGAGAGTACAAATTATTACAGTCCCTTTTCAAAAAAAACGGAGCAAATGTGACACAATACTTTTTATTACTAGAAAATAACCTGGAATTCAGGAATAGCATTTAAAAAAGAAAGATATTAAATCTAAAATAATATGAAGTAGAGATTTAGAATCATTTTTATTGTCGCCTTACATTAAAATGGTTATTAAAACTAAGGTATATCTACCAAATAAATATCTTTAATTTTTTAAAATTAAGTTTTGTAGAGATAATTTTTAATGCTACAATAATAGAAAAATTATGGTATATTTATATCATGTGATCAGACATGTACAAGTAGTGAAAGGAGCAAAAAATCTGCGGAAATGAATTTCAAATATACACTAAAATTTGTAAAATGTTGCATCAACTGACATGTTCCTCTCCCATTCCAATCAGTTCACAACTGACATCCCTCTGACTGGAGAAAATCCTCACTGAATAAGAAGGCTAGGAACACTGGCTCTGGAGAAAGAGAGCTTGGGCTTGAGAACTAGCTATGACACTTACTTGTCACAGGATCTTCAGCGATTGACTTAACCTAAATATTTCTTGGTCTCCTTATCAGTAAAATCATGATGCTACCAATCCCTGACTTAGCTGCCTTTTTTTCAACTATTATTTTAATTTCTGGGGTACATGTGCAGGTTTGTTATATAGGTAAACTTGTGTCATGGGGGTTTGTTGTACAGATTATTTCATCACCCAGGTATTAAACCTAGTACCCATTAGTTATTTTTTCTTACCCTCTCCCTCTTCCTACCCTCCACCCTCCCAAACTCCCCAATGTGTCTTGTTCCCCTCTGTGTGTCCATGTGTTCTCATCATTTAGCTCCCACTTACAAGTGAGAACATGCAGTATTTGGTTTTCTGTTCCTGTTAGTTTGCTATGGATAATGGCCTCCAGCTCTAACCATGACCCTGCAAAGGACATGACCTTAGCTGCCTTAAAATGTTAGGAGGTTTAAATGCCTTGATACCTTCAAAGTACATACAAAAATATCGCATACAGAGCATGTACTTAAGTGATATTATTGCCATTATTATGGTTTTATATTATTATAAATATTTCTTAAAAGTTTTTGTTACTGTCTGGCTTGGGAAATTTCCCTGCTTAGGTGATTTTAATAGTGCCTTTTACTTCTCCTATCACTGCATTTACAACAGTTTAGTATTCTAAATTCAATAAGGGCATAGTCTGTGTCTGCCTTGTTCACTGTTACATCTCTAGTGTGAAGAAAATTTCCTGATATGTGGGAGACTTAATTAATAGTTGCTGAATTAAATAATTAATGTTAGAACCTAACATAAAACCTTTATCCTTTTATTAACATTCCCTTAATCCCAGGAGGTTTTCCTCATCCTCATCATCAAACTTGACTCTATTTCTTGATGTGGTTTACTTTCCACAAAATGACAATTTCTTTTGCAGAGGGCCTGTTTTCAAAACAAATGTAGCGAAATAACTTTTTCTATATCCATGAAGTAAAACCTCATTGAAATCATAAGCTACGTGACAGCAGAGGATTTGTCTTGTTTTCTTTGTATTGTCTCATGAATCCTCTATAAATAGTTTACATATAATAAATTTTTTAAAGTGTTAAATATTAAAACAGCATCTCATAAGAAAAGTGTCTATCTTTAAACTAGAACCCATTTGTAATTATATTTTCTCATATCTAAATGCATACATTTATAAAAATGATGTCTGTGGCTGTAATGTCTTTCTTCTGGTTCAATTAAACATTGGAAATCTTTAATAATAACATACACATTTGACTTGAGATAGAATATGAGTGGTTTTGTAACCTGGTTGTTTTTATGAAAATAGTTACTTAAAACACTCCCTAACTATCCAACTAGCCATCTTTTTTTTTTTTAATGGAGACCATTATTAGGTTAGATAAATTCACAAAGTATTTGGTCAAAAGTTTATTATGAGGCATGTGGTTAACTAACGATGTGCTTTATCTGCTGTCACTTTATATGTTGATGTTAATTACAACCCAGAGTTTACAGCATATTTTTAATTTAAATTATTCCAATTCTAGGCTATTTCCTTTCAATAAATTTTAATCACTTGTTGGTACTTTTCATAAAGTATCACATAGAATAATACAAAAAAATTGGAAAGATTTCAGTAAGATTTGCAGTTTAAACTATGTGTTCGGCAGACATCTTAAAGAGGTACTATTTCAAATCATATTAACATAGTGACTATTATACAATATATTAGCATAAGGAATGGGCACATGTAAAGCTGGAGAAAGTGTGTAAATTTTTAACATTTGAACATGTGGCCAACTTACAAGAACAACTTAAACCTTTATGACATCTTATCATTCTGAGACAGTTCCTGGTCTTTTACAATGACATCAAAATTAAAATTTAATTTTTTCTGCAGAGTTAATAATTAGCCAATGTCAGGGAAGAAAAATAGTGAGAATTCATCCATTTTTATTGCTGTTTTGAAAAGGGAAGGGGAAATACTCCTTCTGTCATGGGCCACTGAATATTGCTATGTGATGGTGCTAAAATAGCTGTAAATATGGAAGTGAGTATCTCTCCATACCACTGCTGGTCCTATTTTAGGAATTTAGGAAAATATATTAGATCTTTCTTCACAAAGTGAGAAGTTATGGAATCTGTATACATCCAAATGTTAACTCAGTGTCCGAACTTCTCTTCACTCTAACATCAAAATTTTAAATATTAAATACCACAGTAAATAATCAAATTTCTCATATCCAAATGTGTACTACTTGATAAATTAATGTACTTAGCATACAAATCTCTAGGATGATTTGAATGAATAGATTAATGACTTCTAGTAACATATTTGGCTTGTTGGATGACATCCAATGACAGTATGTGTCCTCAATATTGTAAAATAATGGGGAAGTTGAGCTCAGACTTCTTTATTTGCTGTTTGTGCTAGCCCTCTACATATTGAAGTACCATTTAAAGACCCTTAGGAATAATAAGGTCAGTTCCCAACTTACTCCTAGCCCATTTCTCTACTTTATTATTCTTGTGACCAATTTGTTGCTCCCTGAAACTTTCATCTCCCCACAATCTTGAAGACTTGCTCCATACTCCTGTTTCTAATAACTTCCTCTAGGCCCCCTTTTTTTTTCTTTTTGTTCTCTGCAGGCTTCATTCCTAATGTATCTATCACAGATCTTCTGTTAACTGGGACGTTCATATATCCCCTTCGATTTTATAATTCTTGAAACTTTATATGCCGCTAAACTAAGTTCCTCAGAATACTCATCATTGAATACTCTTCTCTCTTTAACACGTCTTAAAAAAACTATAATGAATGTTAATACAAATTAATGTTTCATAAAACTATTATATATAGATATCTTATACATTGCCAAAACAGTATTTACGGCATTTATTTATAACGCAACTTTAATACTATCAGGGACAAATTTTCCTCAAGGTTTTCTCTCTCTCTTAGATGATATGGTAGGCTGAAAGATGACTCATGGAAAAATACCCATGTCCTAATTCAGGAGCCTGTTAATATGTTACTTTGCATGGCAAAGGGACTTTACAAATGTGATTTAATTATGGGCTTTCAGATAAGTAGACTACCTTGATTTATACAAGTATACCACAGTAGTCAGTTTCCCAACGGAGCCTGCCTGAAACCCTAACCTTGACCAAAACAATGATCATAACTGATGAGAGAGCCTGAAGCAGGACACCTACCCATCTAAACAGTCTCAGGATTCCTGGCCACAGAAACTATACGATAGTAAATGTACTTTATTTTAAGCTGTTAAATTTGTGGTTATACTTTAAATAGCAATTAATAACTAATAAATGTAGGGACAGTATAATTCAATGAAGGAAATAGTTTGTAATTTTCCCATAACTTTCAGTTTCCTTTCAAATTTTTTGGCTTAGCAGTCAAGAATGAATTTTCCTCCACCTCTGTTTCCAAATTTGCTATATTAATTTTGAAGTATTTTCAATTATCAGAAAGCACAGTTATTTCATGCCTCTGTGCTTCCATATATTTTGTTTTAGAAAAGCTTTTAGAAAAACACTATGCCTTTATCAAAATGGTTAACTTCTATTTAGTATCCAATATGTACCACAAGCCTTCTATTTCTGAGAATACTTCTCTGACTACCCAGACCTACTGAAAAATTCATGTTCTGTGTTGACAGCACAGGCAAATTCTTTGTTATAGCACTAATTCTACTGTATACAAATAGTTTACACATCTTTCTCCTACATTCATCTGTAAGATATTTAGGGTAATAGCCACATCTTAACCAACTTCATCCCCTGTGAATGTCCTAACAACAAATTAAAGATTAAACAAATTTTTGATATAGAGACAAGCAACAGCGTTCAGTAGTAAGACTCCAATAATTTAGTTTTAAAGAAATACTTCCAAAAAAGAACACTTCTTCTCAAATGTACTTGCCACTCTTTGTCAGTTCCTTTTTCGGGAATGCTATCCTTTCTGAATGAAATTCATTAGTTTTGTGCTTTGATTTTTTTTCTGATATCTTATTGTAAACATTATCAAACGCAAGGAAAGGTTGAAAGTATTTTATAGTGCATACTCATACAACCAACACCTAGATCCTACTGTTAATTTTTCACATCTATCCATGTATCCACACCTGCCATTTACCCCCTGAATCCATATTATTTTTGATACATTGCAAATAAACTACAGGCATTGGGATAGTTTCTGCTGAATATGTCAGTGTGAATGTAATTAATTTGTGTTACCACTCTTTGTTTAGTCAGTACTTCTGAGGAAAAACATATATACAATAAAATGTGTATTAAAATATTCACTTAAATGCATATTAAAATACTATTAAAATATAAAATACTGCCAGCCAGGTGCAGTGGCTCACGCCTGTAATCCCAGCACTTTGGGAGGCTGAGGTGGGCAGATCACAAGGTCAGGAGATCGAGACCATCCTGGCTAAAACAGTGAAACCCCGTCTCTACTAAAAATATAAAGAATTAGCTGGGCGTGGTGGCAGGCGCCTGTAGTCCCAGCTACTCAGGAGGCTGAGGCAGGAGAATGGCTTGAACCCAGGAGGCGGAGCTTGCAGTGAGCCGAGATCGTGCCTCTGCACTCCAGCCTGGGCGACAGAGCAAGACTCCATCTCAAAACAAAAAAACAAACAAACTATATATATATATATATATATATATATACATACACACTGCCAACACACTAAAATGTTTTTCTATATCTTTTTTCAGTCAGTTCCCTCCCCTTACCCTGGAAGCAAACATTGCTTTATAATTTTTTCTACCATACACTAGTTTTGCTTGTGCTACACCTTCATATAAATATAACACAACCTGTACTCTTTTCTGTTAGACTTCTTTTACTTAGCATTATGACTTTGAAATTCATCTAAGTTACTGTGTACATAAGCAATTTATTTATTTTCATCTTGAGTGATATATCATTTTATGTATATACTACAGTTTACCAATTATCCAATTTATCAATTACACTTGTCTTGAACTGGGTTTTGCTCATTATGAATATATCTCCTATGAAAACTCATGTGAAAGTATTTTTGTGGAGATTTCATTTTTTCTTGAGTAAATACACAGCTATGATCGTGCTAGGTCATAGAGTAGGTATATATTTAGTTTATTAGAAAGGCTACATCTTTTCCTAAGGTTGCCCCATTTTACAGTCTCCAGATGAAATTATCAATGTTACAGTTGCTTCACATCCTCCTATTTTTGCAAACATTTTGTATTACCATTTTTTTTAAGTTATTCTGTTGGGGAGGGTATCTCATGGTGGTTTTAATATGTATTTCTCTAGTATTAATATAGTTGTTTTAATATGTTTATTGGATGTTCATATATTTTACTATGTGAAACATCTGTTTAAAACTTCTGCCTTTTTATTTCTTTTAAATTCAGTTGCAGAAGTACATTATACAGCCTTTACATAGCTCTCTGTCAGATGCATATTCTATAAATGCCTTCTTTCAGTGTTTTACTTTACATTATTTTAATGGTGTTTTCTGATGTACAGATATTTTTAATGAAAACAAATTTGGCTTTTTTATTGTTGTTTTCTGTGTCTGAAGAAAATACTGCCTTCTCCTAAGTCACAACATATTTTCCTATTTTTTATATCTTTATAGTTTTATTTCTATGTTTAAGTTTATGATCCATCTTGAGCTAATTTTTATGTTTAGAATGAGGTAGGGGTCAAGTTTCATGTTTTTCCTTAATAATATACATACATTCTAGCTATATTGTTTGAAAATTCTTTCCCCAGTATGTTACTTTTTTTTTTGGAAAATCATGTGTATTCACTCATTTTTAATATACACTTAAAATATCATCTTCTGGGATGTATTTATACAACATGCCCAAAATATCTTAGCTGTGGACTTCTGTGTTTTCATAGGGTGTTGCCCATCTCTAGTATATCTCTGATTAATATCCATTATATTATTTTTAACATAAGTATTTCATTCACTAGAAAATCATCTCCACACAGGGAGAAAAAATTCTTGTTAATTTTGTTGTAGCCATAATATATAATTCTAATTTTGCACAACACAGACATGCATTTTATTTTGAATAAATAAATGGAGAAATGGTAAGTAAAAGTCCTGTTTTATCCATTGGGATTTAAATATACTAATCATTTACAAGAGAATTTTTGTATCTTTATTCTTAAAAATAAGGAATATGTGTAAATACCTATTAGGTGGAAGTCAATTGTATCATAACAAAATAAGTATGTACAACCTTGCATGTTCTTTACAGCTTCTTTTGGAAATTAAATAAAAATGAATTAAAATAAATGAAGAATGTTCAATAATAGCATATGTTCAAAACTTGCTAATTTGACAGACATAAAGTTATGTACTGATAATACAGATACATCATCCTTGCAAAAGGTCATGATCTAGTGAACTATATGTTTTTCTTGGGGTTTAGTATTTTTATTTAATTAACCATAAGTTTCAAATAAGTCACTGGCTTTTTGAGAAAGTGTTTATTTTTCACCACTTGCTTATTTATTCAGAGTATAATTTTTTTCTTTTACATAATATTGCTTGCTGTTTATGGGGGCTAAAAGTGTGATATATAATAAAGTGATAAGTACAAAACTGGTGAGTCCTCAATATGGGGCACAATGTTAATACAAAGAAAATGAAACCACATCATGTTTCTCCTTTTACTATGTTCCTGATGGCTTGTAAATAGCAATTTCACCATTTTGACTATAGGTAACATTCACATTTTTATCAAGCGGCATTTGTTTCTTTCTTATATGAGGAGTAATTACTTGTTATGCAACTGATGAATTTGAAAGAAAGGACCTGAACATATATGATTTAATTATTTCAGCCTGTTTCAAATGTCTACCTAAAAAAAAACAAAATCAATGCTTTTGAAGGTTTTGTTGTTATTACTGTTATTTTTGTGCCTACTAGGACAGACTCTGTAGGTAGAGTCAGACATCATTACCTTGGGAAGTTCAGTGATAAGTTCAGTTTAGAGTGTGATGGAGGGATTAGTTATCCTGTTCAAAACCACATTCTCCAAACTACCTTTGCTAGTCATTAAATGGACATATTTATTGACCTTTATCTCATTTCGATAAGTGTTTCTAATATGATTTCTAATTCAGAGGAAAGGGCCAACAGAGTACTTTCAACAAGCCCTGCAAGACAAGAACTATAATTAATAAGATTTTTAAGGAAGCATTAAAAAATACTAATACTAATGTGCCCCATACTGAGGACTCGCCATTTTTGTACTTACTGCTTTATTATATATCACATTTCAGCCCCCAGAAAGAGCAAACAATATTATGTAAAAAGAAAAGATTATACTCTGAATAACTTAAGTATGTTGAAGAACTAACCAGGTAACTTAGGATATAGTTAGTGAGTAACATTAGATTTATTTTTAATTTTAATCAATACCTAGGTTATATTATAAACATATGAGAGTCTGAGAGTTCTTGTTGAAATTCACAACAGAGGTATATAAATGTTCTCCTCATGTTGTTCTTTATTGATTTCTCAATCTGTTTTACAAGTTAGGTGAGCGCCTACACACAGGTTTTCTATGCATGCAACTTGGATGGAAATGTTTCCATTGATTTTGTATTATAATTACAAGTAAATATGAGCATATTCTAGATCAACGGGGTAAGAATTTAATGATGGACATGATATACAATTTTAAATACATCTATTGGAGGTTTGTTTTCATCCCTTTGATGTCATGTGATCAACTGATATGATATTGAATTTTGTTTATTTGGTTTTGTTTCTTTGCTTGATCTTTAAAAGTATTTAAATACATTATTTTAATTGAAAAATAATAGTTGTACATAATTATGATGTATTGATATACATATACATTGCAGCAAGAGCAAATCAAGCTAATTAACATATCCATCACCTCACCTACATATTATGTTTTGTGGTGAGTATGGTAGAAATCTACGTGTAGCAATTTTGAAATATAAAATATATTGTTAATTATGGTAATCATGCTGTACTCTAAAATGTATCTTCTACCTAGTAGAACTTTGTGCCTTTTGACCAGCATCTCCTCTTTCCCTACTCCCTGCCCACCTAGTCTCTGGTCATCATATTCTATTTTCTGCTTTTATGAGTTCAACATTTTGAGTAAAGTCATTCAGGATTTGTCTTTCTGCGCCTGGCTTATTTCACATACCAGAATGTCTTTCAGGTTCACCCATGTTGTTGGAATGACAGAATTTATTTTTTAAAAGTTGTGTGTATATATACATTTTCTTTATCTATTTACTCACTGATGTTCATTTTGGTTTCCATATCTTGGCTATTGTGAAAAATGCTGAAATAAACATAGCAGTGTTTTCTTGAATTTGACTGCAGCATTTTAAAGATCTATGCACCTGTAAGATCTATAGATCTATACACATGAGGGTTCTTAAAAATAGTTTAAAATAAATCTGTACATTATTCAAGTTTGAGAAACACTGTTCTAGAAATTATAACGTACTCCTTCCGATCATCAAATTTTATTAATAAGTTTTTTTTTATTTTTTAGAGGTAACTAATGTCTAATCTTTCCATCTCAACTGGAATGTATTAGGATATAGTATCATTATAATTTCTCTTGATGCTTTTACATAGAAGACACACTTATATAATGATATAATGTTCATTTGTTAGTTTGAATGACAACTTCTGCAAAACTGTCACCCTCTCTCCACACAGCCACTGATGAAATAGAAGGAAAAAAGTCCACAATGGTTTTTATATGATTTTACTTTGTTAAAACGGATTCATTCTACAAATGCAATACATAAATTATAAAGAATCTTCCCACAGTTGCCTCTGATGGTGAAAGCTTTTTGTATATGTGTGTAAACAAAGGATGGTAGGATTTTAAAATAGATAAAATATTACTATATAGTTATACAACAGATTTTTAATACTCCCAAACTCCTATCCTATCAGACTTGAAATGACCTAACATTAATATGAAATAACTTTGAAATATATTTTAATCACTATGATTTTACTTTTACACTCTATATTTTTATACTGCCTAAAATCAACTTTTTATTTCATTGTTTGAATATCTTTAAGCCAAACTGATTTTATTTTCTAAGAAAAATATTTAGACAAAGTTATCAAAGGACATTGATATTTTTCCGCTGACTGACAATCCGCATAACAGTTGCTCAGAGAGCTTTTCTTACTCCCAATTTTACAACTGCCAATCAATGAGGAAATCAACCCAAATAGGTTAATTTATCACTGCTGTTTTCAATAGAAGTTAGATACCCTCCATTTGTTGAGCTTACATTGCTTTCTGAAACTAGGATTTTAAGACTTTTTTCATATAGTGACTTATAAAAAAGCCTGAATAAGAAGTAAGAAAATTAAAGTTGATTCCATATAGCAAATAAACTACAAAATACTTTTAAAACACAAAAAAATGCTGAGAAGCTTATCAACAAAGAAAAGAACCAGATATTTCTTACCTATTTACATAATGGACATCTGTAAGCTTTGGTCTTGCTATTGAGAGGTGACAACGTGCTAGCAGCCCTCGCTCCCTCTGCACCTCCTCAGGCTGCGGTGTCCACTCTGGCCCCTCTTCAGGAGCCCTTCAGCTGACCGCTGCACTGTGGAAGCCCCTCTCTGGGCTGGCTGAGGCCGGAGCCGGCTCCCTCTGCTTGCCGGGAGGTTTGGAGAGAGAGGCGCGGGTGGAACCTGGGCCGCGCGCTGGCGCTCGCTGGCCAGCACGAGTTCCCGGTGGGTGCGGGCTCGGCTGGCCCCGCATTCCGAGCAGGCAGCTGACAATGCTGGCCCCAGGCAGTGAGAAGCTTAGCACCTGGGCCAGCAGCTGCGGAGGGTGCGCTGGGTCCGCCAGCACTTCCGGCCTGCCGGCGCAGCGCTCTAATTCTTGCCAGGCCTCAGCCTCTTCCCAGCGGGACGGGCTTGGGACCTGCAGCCCGGCATGCCTGAGCAAACCCCCACTCCCTCCGGCGCCGCCGGAGCCTCCCTGACAGGCGCCGCCCCCTGCTTCACAGCGCCGCGCCCCATTGACCGCCCAAGGGCTGAGGAGTGCGGGCTCGCGGCGCGGGACTGGCGGGAAGCTCCGCCCGGGATCCCAGCAGGAAGCTCCGCCCGCGATCCCCGTGCAGGATCCACTAGGCAAATCCAGCTGGGCTCCTGAGTCGGGTGGGGCCTTGGAGAACATTTATGAATAGCTGGAGGATTGTATATGCTCCAATCAGCACTCTGTGTCTAGCTCCGGGTTTGTGGATGCACCAATCAGCACTCTGTATCTAGCTAATCTGGTGGGGACTTGAAGAACTTTTATGCCTAGCTGGAGGATTGCAAATGCACTAATCAGCACTCTGTATCTAGGTTGGGGTTTGTGGATGCACCAATCAGCACTCTGTATCTAGCTAGTCTGGTGGGGACTTGGAGAACTTTTATGTCTAGCTAAAGGATTGTAAATGCACCAATCAGCACTCTGTGTCTAGCTCAAGGTTCGTAAACACACCAGTCAGTACCTTGTGTCTAGCTCAAGGTTTGTAAATGCACCAATCAGTGCTCTGTGTCTAGCTAATCTAGAGGGGACTTGGAGAACTTTTGGGTCTAGCTAAAGGATTGTAAATGCACCAATCAGCACTCTGTGTCTAGCTAAAGGTTTGTAAAAGCACCAATCAGTGCTCTGTGTCTAGCTAATCTAGTGGGGACTTGGCAAACTTTTGTGTCTGGCTAGAGGATTGTAAATGCACCAATCAACACTCTGTGTCTAGCTCAGGGATTGTAAATGCACCAATCAGCACCCTGTCAAAACGGACCAATCAGGTCTCTGTAAAATGGACCAATCAGCTCTCTGTAAAATGGACCAATCAGCAGGATGTAGGTGGGGCCAGATAAGGGAATAAAAGCAGTGGCAACGGGCTTGGGTTGCTTTCCATGTTGTGGAAGTTTTGTTTTTTTGCTCTTCGTAGCGAATCTTGCTGCTGCTCACTCTGGGTTTGCACGGCCTTCATGAGCTGTAACACTCACTGTGAAGGTCTGTAGCTTCACTCCTGAAGTCAGTGAGACCACGAACCCACCAGAAGGAAGAAACTCTGGACGCATCTGAATATCTAAAGGAACAAACTCTGGAGACACGGTCTTTAAGAACTGTAACACTCACCGCGAGGGTCCGTGGCTTCATTCTTGAAGTCAGCGAGACCAAGAACCCACCAATTCCGGACCCACTATTAGTAAATATAAGGTGTTTAAAATCACTTACATTTAAAAAACAAGAAGAGTTTACTTAGATGAAACTTTTTATATTAAAAAGGAGTTTTTACTTGAACTATGCTTAGAAATGTTATACCTCTAAATAAGCTTCTACTCAAATGAAACATACAATATAAACTGTTTTTAAAAACAGTTTTCATTTTAATATGGGCAAGACTTCTTTTTCCTTAAGAAAGATTTCTGGGCCGGGCGCAGTGGCTCACACCTGTAATCCAAGCACTTCGGGAGGCTGAAGTGGGTGGATCACCTGAGGTCGGGAGTTCGAGAACAGCCTGAGCAACATGGAGAAACCCCGTCTCTACTAAAAAATACGAAGTTAGCTGGGCGTGGTGGCATATGCCTGTAATCCCAGCTACTCAGGAGGCTGAGGCAGGAGAATAGCTTGAACCCGGGAGGCAGAGGTGAAGGTGAGCTGAGATTGCTTCATTGCTCTCCAGCCTGGGCAACAAGAGCGAAACTCCCATCTCAAAAAAAAAAAAAGAGAAAGAAAGATTTCCTTTTACTCATTAGTATTTGACTTAAAGAAAAGAATAAAATTGAATATTCATAAAGTTTGGAATTTTACATTCTACATATTTATCTTCAAGTAGCCCATCTAAATACTATATAATATTTGAATATCTTTATTATATCCACAAATAATCATTCTTAATTTGATTAGATCTACAGGGACAAGTATCCAACCTATATTCTCAGGAAGTTTGCTGATGTTTGAACAATTCGGTTGGACAAAAGGTTACTCTTGAGTCTCTTGTAGCTTTCCTCCATTAATTCGTGTTCTAGCCTCTGAATCCTTACCAAAAAAATTTAATAAAGTGCCTTCCATATGCCTTTAGTATAAATGTAGACTACTATCAAAAATCCTTAGTTTTACCATCTCTGTGTCTTTGAACCATGCTATATAGCTCTTGGTTTTCATTTTAGTTTTGTTTTATCTCACTTTGTAATTTTATGGCCTTTTAGAATTGCTTACTAGAACTGAATTCAGTTTTGTAGGACAAGGAAACATACAATGGTGTGATTTATGTTGCTTAATTCTCCGTGAACTACCTGAAATTATATACAAGCTAGTATATTCATGAACATTTCTTCCGGGGAAAAATAAGTAACTTGAATCAGGCTCCAAAACTTCATAAGCTCACCAAATCTGCCCAATTATCAAGAAAGTAATCACTAGCTTTTAGATACTCAAATAGTCAAAAAGAAAGGTAACTATGAACATATTTGCTTTCATAAATCCTACATTATCAACATAACATTTTTAAAGGAAATTAGAATTTAAACATTATTTGTACATATACAGCTAATCCTAATTATTGGGAAATTCCATATTTGCTATTTAAAGTGTATTTGTGACCCCAAAGTCAATACTCATGGTGCTTTCACTTCATGTCATTTATGGACTTGAGCAGAGAAGTGAAAATTTGCATCATCCAATATTCAGGTTTGCATTTGAGGCTGAACAAGATGATGTCCTGTCTTTTTGTTTCAGCTCTCTTACCTAGAATAAACTATTATATGTATGTGTGTGTGTGTATATATATATATATATATATATATATATACACACACACATACACGCACACATATAGGAAATAACATTCTTAAACAATTATCACACATTATTTTACCTCCTTTTTTTCAGTGATTGCTGTTTCGGAACAAAGCATAATACCTTGACGTTATTTCTGTGAAATCTTAGCCCATTGTATCAGTATACCAAAAACTTTTTAGAACAAAAACTTATATCTCCTATTGTACGTTTATTCAATTGATTAAAAGCCCATGTAAATATTGTGGCCATATATTCTAGTCATGTTTTTAAAATGTCATGAAAAATATTATCAGTTTGTCTGAAATGTAAACCATTTATTTCAAAACTGTTGACATTCTATTTGAAAGTATTTTGCCATTGATTTTGAGGATACAATGACAAATTGACAAATAATGCCAGGAGGTTTGTTTTTGTTTTTGTTTGTTTGTTTGTCTGGTTGGTTGGTTTTTAATCAGAGTATTTTGCAGAGAAGTTGAATGAATTAGGTAGGAAGAGATGCATCATTGTATAATGGAAAAAAAGGGAGTATATATTTTATAGTCAGAAAACCAAATTCAAGTGCCCGTTGTGTAACTTACTAGCTGTATGATTTTGGTCAAATTAATTTAATGTTTATGAGCTTCAGGTTTTTCAGTTATATAATGAGAAAAATAAAATCTCCCTACCACAGCTATAGTCAGGTTCAAATGAGCTCATATAGGGAGAAAGTGTGTAAAGTACTAGCAAAATATAACTACTGTATTTTTTATTTCCATAGAATATTAAGATTTTTATGTTTTATTATATATTTAAAGTGAAAAACATGTTTATAAATATGCATATACATAGTGAAATAAAATGTTTTTAAAATATGCATCTACATAGTGAAATGATTCCTGTAGTTATGAAAATTAATATGGCCATTATGTCATGCAGTTACCTCACTTCTTTTTGTGTCAAGAGCACAAAATATCTACTCTTTCAGCAAAAATTTGGAATACAATCAATATTATTAACTATAGTATTCACGTTGTACATTAGATTCCTAAGGTTATTTATCCTACATATCTGAAACTTTTTACCCTTGAGCAAAAATATCCTCATTTCATCTTTCATTTTCCCACCCCAATAACCAACATTTCATTTTCTATCTCTATGAATTTCTCCTTTTTATCTTTTTCTTTTTTAAAAAACATTTCACTTATAAGTGAGATCATGCATTATTTTTCTTTCTGTGTCTCATTTAACATGTCTTCCAGATTCATCTGTATTTTTTTTTTAAATGGCATGCTGTCCTTTTTCAGGCAGAGTAATATTCTTTTGCATATATGTACCACAGTTTCTTTGTGCATTCATCCATCAACAGACACTTTTAGTCAGTTGTTTCCATAGCTTGGCTAATGCAAATAGTGCTGCAATAAACAGGGGACTGCAAATATCTTCAGGAGGTGGTGATTTCATTTCCTTTGGGTATATACCCAGAAGTGGACTGCTGAATCATATAGCAGTTTGATTTGTACTTTTAGAGGAAACTCAATGCTGTTTCTATAATAACGGCACCATTTCACATTTCCACCAACTTTGTAGAGTTCCAATTTCTCCATATGCTTGCTAACACTTATTTTGTGTTTTTGATAATAGCTTTCCTTCACAGGTATGAGGTGATATGTGACTGTGGTTATGACTTGCATTTCCCTGGTGATTAGTGATATTGAACATCTTTTTATATACCTGTGAGCCAATTATATGTCTTTGGAGAAATGTCCATTCAAATTCTTTGCACATCTTAAAAGTTGGTGTACTGTGTTTTTTCTTTACTGAGCCATAAGAGTTCCTTATAATTTTAACTCTTTATCAAATATATTGTTTGCAAGAATTTTCTTGCAATCTGTAAGCTGCCTTTTCACTCTGATGATTGTTTGCTTTGTTGTCCAGAAGCCTCCTTAGTTTGATGAAGTCTCATTCATTTATTTTTGGCTTTGTAGTATGAGCTGTTGGTGCAATATCTAAAAAATCATTGCCAAGGCCAATGTCAAAGAACTTTTCTCCTGTATTTTCTTCTAAGAGTTGTATAGCTTCAGGTCTTACAGTTAGGTCTTCTATTAAATTCGATTTGATTTTTGTATATGATGTAAGATATGGGTCCAATTTAATTGTTTTGCATATATAAATCCATTTTTCTCAGTGCCATTTATTCAAGAGAGACTCTCCTTTCTTCATTGTGTCTTCTAATTGTCAATCATTAGTTGTTCATATTTGCTTCAGTTTATGTCTGGGCTCAGTATTCTATTCCATTGGTCTTTGTGCCTATTTTTATGCCAGCAAAATACTCTTTTGATTACAATAGCTTTGTAACATAATTTGAAATCAGAAAGTGTGATGCCCACAATTTTGTTTTATTTTCCTCAGAATCTCTCTGTCTATCAGGGTCTTTTGTGGTTCCACAGAAATTTTAGATTTTCTTTACTATTTTTACAAAGAATGCTGTTGTAATTTTGGTGAGAATTGAATTGAATTTTGTTATTGCTTTGGGTACTATAAACAATTTAACATCTTTTTTTCAATTCGTAAACATGGGAAATTTTATTTATTTGTGTCTTCAATTATCTTCATTCTAACTGTATAGTTTTCAGTGTATAGATTTATAGATTTTTCAGTTCAGTTAAATTATAAGTATTTTTCATCTATTGTAAATGAATTTGCTTTATTTTTATTTTTTGAGTAAGTCCTTATTTATGCAAAAAAATGCAATTAATTTTTGTAAGTTGATCCTGCAACTTTACTGAATTTACTTGTTGGTTCTAACAGTTTTGCTATTAACTGTTTGCAGTTTTCCTTTTTTTTTTTCTTTTTCTTTTTTTTTTTTTTTTATGGAGTCTCACTCTGTTACCAGGCTGGAGTGCAGTGGCGCCATCTTGCTCACTGCAGCCTCTGCCTCCCGGGTTCAAGCAATTCTCCTGCCTCAGCCTCCCAAATAGCTGGGACTACAGGTGCACACCACCATGCCCAGCTCATTTTTGTATTTTTAGTAGAGATAGGGTTTCACCATGTTGGCCAGGATGGTCTTGATCTCTTGACCTTGTGATCTGCCTGCCTTGGCCTCCCAAAGTTGTTGGATTACAGGCATGAACCACTGTGCCCAGCCTGGAGTTTTCTATATATGGAATTATGTCATCAGCAAGTAAAGATAATTTTATATTTGTTCGCCTTCTTTTTTGTTTGTTTATTTGTTTGATGGCTCTTGCTTGTACTTCCAGTACTGTGTTGAATAAAAGTGATGAGAGTGGGCATCCTTGCCTTGTACTGGATTGTAGAAGAAAAGCTTTTAGTTTTTCCTCATTGATTTTGATGTTAGCTGTAAGATTTTCGTAAGTGGTCTTTATTATGTTGGGAACATTTCCTTCTGTACCTAAATATTGATCGTTTTTGTAAAGAAACAGTGCTGCACTTTATCAAATGCCTTCCCTGCATTTAGATTATCATGTAATTTTTCTCTTTCATTTTGTTAACGTGATGTATCACATTGTTTATTTGTATATGTTAAATCAGCTCTGCATGCCTGGGATAAATTCCACTTGGTCATACTGTAGAATCATTTTGACGTATTGTTGAATTTGGTTTGCTAGTACTTTATTGAGGATATTTGCACCTATGTTCATCGGAAATACTGGCCTATAATTTTCATATCTTGCAATGTCTTTGTCTGGCTTTGGTGTTGTATTAATGCAATGCTGGCCTCATCAAATGTGGTTAGAATTATTTTCTCTAGCTCTGTGTTTTAGAAGAGTTTGAAAAGGATTGGTATCAATTCTTTTCTGAATGTTTGGTGAAATTTAGTGGTAAAAGTATCTGGTCATGTGCTTTTCTTTGTTGAGAGGTTTCTAATGACCAGTGCAATGTCTGTGTTTGTTGTTGGTCTCTTCAGGCTTTCTATTTCTTCCTGAGGCAATCTCAATGAGTTTGTAGTTTTCTAAGAATTTATTAATTTTATCTAGTTTATTCAATTTGTTGTCATGTAACTGTTTGTGATAGTCCCTTATGATCATTTTTATTTCTTAGGCATCCATTGCAATGTCTCCACTTACATTTTCTGTTTTATTTGTTTTAGTCTCCTCTCGGTTTTACTTAGTCTAGCTTATGATTTGTCATTTTGTTTATTTAGAAAAACAATTTTAGTTTTATTGATTTTTTTGCCCTAAAGTTTTTCTATTTTTTATTTATTTCTGTTCTGATCTTTGTTATTTCCCTCCTTCTGCTAACTTTGGCTTTACTTTGTTTTTCTTTACTAAGTTCTTGAATGTGTGATATTGGGCTACTTGAGATCTTTCTTCTTTTTTAAGTTTTTAAAGGGTATTGCTGTAAATTTCCCTCTTAAAATTCCTTTTGCTATATCTCACAGGTTTTGGCATATTTTGTTTTCATTGTCATTTGTCTCAAAACATTTTTTATTTCTCTTTTGATTTCTCCTTTGACCCATTGGTTGTTTGTGTACCTGTTGTTTAATTTCCACATAGTTGTTAATTTTCCAAAATCTCCTGTTATTAATTTCTAGTTTTATAACATTGTGGTTGAAAACAATGCATGATATGATTCCGATTTTCTTAAATATGTTAAGACTTGTTTTGTGGCCTAATATATGAACTATGTTGAAGAATATTTCATATGCATTAGAGAAGAATGTGTATTCTGCTGCTATTAGATTAAATATTTTATATATATATATATATATATATGTGTGTTAAGTCTATTTAGTCTAAAGTGTGGTTCAAGTCCAATATTTTCTGCCTGGTTGATCAATCCACTGTTGAAATTCAAGCATTACTATTTATTTTAAAAAGGCAAGTTTACACATATCTTGAATATATTAAAATCATATGTTTTTAAAGATAGAGATGTAATTTTGTGTTAGTATCAGAAAGGTTATGTCGACTTAGATAATTACATATGGTTAAAAATTGTGATGTATCTATTACTAGAGACAGCATAGGAGATACAACCTTGATTGGAAAAACAAATTCCCAAGTTTTATTTTGGACACCGAGAGTTTAGTTCTTCCATAAAGGAAAGGAAAATAATATAATGGTATGTTGGAATATTTGGGGTTTCATTTATAACATTATGGGTATTATGTTCATCTTTGTTAATAATTTTATGGGCCATAGAGTGAGTATAAGTTTTAAAATTGAGTTATATAAAGATAAATCTGGGAAGTGTGTAGGATGGACTAAAATGATAGGATACTCATGGATAGAAAATAAAATATATTAGTTCAAGAATGAGGGAACTCTATACTGCATTAAAATGGTGGTAAAAAATGAAAATGAGATTTTAAAAAATTCAAAAGATTTTATCTTTAAATTTTCTTCACTTTATTTAAAATTAGAAAACTAATTCATGCATATTTTAACAATTAAAATTTAACACAGAATGTAGAGATGTGAAGTTAATTTTCTTCCTTGTTTCTTCCTCAAACACACACATACACACAGATATACACTTGACACTGTCTCATGTCCTCGAGGTAATCAATTTTTGACCACCTAGTATAAAACTTTATATTCTATTATTTCTATATAAGTAAAGATATAAAGACATTTGTGTCCATATATTGAGGATTATTTGTCTTTTTTCAATAGAGAATTATACTATATACATCAATGTTTTAGATGACTTCATTAGAGCTTGGTAATGGATTTGATAATAGATGACTTGAGAGAAGAAAATAGATTAAGAATAATAGGAATTTTTGGCCTACGTAGGTAAAAATAGATGCTTGCAGATAAAAGAAAAAGTGTGAGAAAGAAGTAGTTTTTGGTAGGAAGGGGTAGTTTGACAATACATGATCATTTTAGTATGTGTTCTTAAAATACATGATTCAAATTAATATAATGGGTATATTAAGAATATTATCTTCATATGTTTGTCTTCAGAAAAACCAATACAAGGTTTTAAGCCTCATTTATTTTATTTACTCAGCATTTATTTAACAATCTCCGCGTCAAAGATACGCTTGTTGCCCGTATGATGCTTAGTTTCTCTTGGTGAGAAACAAAATGTACAAACAAAAAAGAGAAACAGATAAATAGAACAAGTGATATTCAAAGGTAATAATTGACATGTGTATTAGTAAACTAGGAAATATAAAGGAGAGTGAAAGGAAGCAGATAGGAGAGGTTAAAACTGAGTTGAAATCTAAACGATTCCATGGAAGCCAATCTTTTCTTGTACGTCCCTCTGAGTATTGGTTGCTATTGTGTTTGTGTGTGTGTAATCATATATGTATATAATTATTACACACCTGAGGCTGCATAAAAAAATTACCACAAACTTGCTGGCTTAAAATAGTAGAAGGTTATCTTACAGTTCTAGAGGCCAAAATCTGGCAAGGCCATTCTCTATTTGAGTTTTCTGTGGGAGAACTCATTCTTTGCATCTCATCTTCTGATGGCCCAAGATGTTTCTTGACATGTAGCTGCATCACTTCAGTCTCTACCTCTGTGGTTCCATTACCTTCTGTTCTCCTGTGTAAAATTTCCCTCTGCTTCATGTTGTAAGGTTCTTGATCCTTGGATTTAGGGTTTACTTGGATGATCCAGTGTAAGCACTTCCTTCTAAAATCCTTGATGGTTCACATACTTTGCCATTATGTTACAATCACCCTTTACCATAGAAGTTAATATTCATAGGTTCCAGGAATTACGATATGGGCATATCTTTTTGGGGGGCACCATATAGTTCAATAGAATTTATGTACTGTATTAATGTGCCATAATTTTACATACATTCTTGTCATCCAATAGTTCATGAGAAATGTTACTCCCTTTTTTTCTAATTATACAATGGCTGTCACAAAATAGCTGAGTCATAAATAGGCATTTGATTTATCAAGTATTCTGTTAAAAATCAATGATATGGTTGAGGAAGTTATTATTGAAAAAATATAAATGTTTTGTTTGAGAAGAGAAGAAAAAAGTAGAAAAGGAAGAGGAGATCCAGCATTAGGTTTGAGCCTGATAGCCAGTCAACATTATCTTGTTTAGTTGTGAAAAGTGTCATATATTTTTTCTCTCGAATATTTTAGTTTTGTTATTTCTATTTCCTAAAATTCATAATAAAATATTTTATGTAATAGTTTTTACTTTGTATTTACTTTAAAATGATTTTAAAAAGGTTAACAGGAGAGGCTTCTAGGTTGCACCAAGGATATCAGTGTTGTGAGCCTTCATTTTCTGTGATTTAAAAAAATGGCTTAACAAAACTCAGTGTCGGCTACCTAACAGATGTTTCATATGTGCTGTGGACAAATAAATGGATGAATTAGTGAATTAAAGTAGCCAACTGCTAATTCATGGCCAATATAACAATAGAGGAAGAAGAGCTCCAGTTTAAGGAAAGGAAAGCAACCAACATAACAGCAATTTTTTTTTGCCTAAACAAATTTACTAAAAATTACATTTGGTAAAACTACAACAGCAATAGAGAACATTCTGGTATATATTGCCTATTAAGAAGCAATGGTATAACAAATGAGCAGGTAGTTTAAAATATTTTAACTCATTTGAAATCAAAATGTCTTTGATCTAAATTACACTATAGCTATCTTCAACTCAAATTTGTGTTGAATATTGACATAGATTTTTTAAGCAGCTTTTTTGTTTTATAAAATAAAAAACTGATCTTCATTTATTATATTATATCTGTGATCATATAATCATTCAGCTACACTGATTGGGGAAGTATGTGAAGTTTATAATAAAGGAAGCACTATCTTCTGGGAATACATATAAATGATAGGAATGACTAAGAAACGTAAATAAACTAAAAATTCTGCTTTTAAATTTATTTCCTGGAATTTGTAGTCCACAGGGTGTCAAAACATCCTACTTTCTAAGGATTTAAGACACAACTTTACTTGGTTTTTAGGTATCAATATTAATTGGACCGTTTTGTTAATTAATAATGTGTTGTTATTTATAGGAATTTGAGGACTGCTACGGGTTTAAACGGAATTCTTTTGGCTCTAGGCATTATTACATTTGAGTGGTGTTATTTAATTTAAAAAGAAGGGAAAGGGCAACATACATTTTTAACATTTTCATCAGTATCATCCTGAACTGTATAGCACATATGTCAGAATCATGAAAAAGGAAATTAACATTTCTGATGGCGATATGAATCATATGATACAAAATCTTCATTTCAAATACTTATAATTAGGATAACACTAGAAGGAAGCAGATATGACAGATATTTCCAAAAGCTCTGCCTTAAAATTTATGAATCTCATTTGCATATAGATATCTAATCAATTATATCTGGGGTTTCTCAGCTCTTACTAACATAGGTAAGGCAATTATGTATCACATTTTATGCATTCCGTACAATACAAAAGTTGCATATGCCATGATGTAAGTTGTATTTTAAAATATTGCTCAATATATTAAAAAGTTTACTGTATTGTGGTCATTCTGTTAATATATACATCATTTATATAATAAAAATATGCAGCCTATAACATAATTAGTTATCAAAAGAATTACAAGGATATTGAAATGAAGAAAATAAACTAGAAACCTCTTGAAAACTATGTCCACATGAAAATGTGTATAGTAGCATCACTCATAATAGCTTAAAGACAGAAACAACAGAAATGGTCATCAACTGATGAATGAATAAATAAAATATGACATACCCATGCAATAGAATATTTTTCTACCACAAAAAGATGAAGTACGAATATAAGCCACAATATGGATGAAACTTTAAACTTGTATTCTGGGTTAAAAAAAAAGGCAGTCACAAAAGACCACATAAAGTATGATTCCATTTAAATGAAATGTCCAGAATGGAGAAAGCTGTAGAGACAGAAGTAGCTGCTTATGGCTAGGGAAGGAGGATGGGAGCATAGTGGGTCAGAGCTTAAGGGTGTGAGACTGATTTTGAGGTGATGAGGCTGTTCTAAAATTGTGGGTGCTTTGCACATACATATCTGTGGATATACTAATAATCACTGAATGACATTTTAATTTGTTGAATAATGTGGTATATGAATTATATCTTACAAAAGCTGTTTAAAAGAACTAGTATAAAGAATTCTCTAATATACCACACTTAATTTCCTTTTTTTTTTTTTTTTTTTTTTTTTTGAGACGGAGCTTCGCTCTTGTTGCCCAGGCTGGAGTGCAATGATGTGATCTCTGCTCACTGAAACCTCCACCTCCCAGGTTCAAGCGATTCTCCTGCCTCAGCCTCCTGAGTAGCTGGGATTACAGATGCCCACTACCACGCCCGACTAATTTTTGTATTTTTAGTAGAGATGTGGTTTCATGATGTTGGCTTGTCTTGAACTCCTGACCTCAGGTGATCCGCCCACCTAAGCTTCCCAAAGTGCTGGGATTACAGGCGTGAGCCACCGTGCTCGGCCTTAATTTCTTTTTTATTAGCATCTTACATTTGTATGATATATGTCAAATTAATTAACAAATATTAAAATATTATTATTAACTAGTGCCCATATTTATTCAGATTTCCTTGTTTCTTCAAATATTCATTTTCGATTCCAGAATCCCACATTACATTTAGTAGTTCTGTCTCTTTTGGCTCCTCTTGGTTGTAACAGTTTTTCAGACTTTTCACGTTTTGATGACCTTAAAACCTTTGATGAATTCTGGTCAGATATTTTATAGATTGTCATCCACTGGGATTTGTCTGATGCTTTTCTAATGATTACACTGGGGTCATGTACGTTTGGAAAAAGTTTTAAAGGTAAAAAGTGATATTCTAATCACGTTAGTTAAGAGTAAACACTATCAACGTGACTTATCACTGTTGACACTAGCATTAATCATATAGCTTAAACTAATGTTTGTTAGGTTTTGCCACCATAAACTTACTATTTCTTATCCCTTTCTCATTTATTCTTTAAAACGAAATCACTGTACATGGCCCACACTTAATGAATAGGAGTCATGATCCCCTCCTTAAAGGTGAAATATCAACATGTATTATCCGTATTTTTTAAGAGATTTATTTATTTATTAAACCGTTTATTTATATCAGTACAGACTCATTGTTTTTTAATACTTTGCATTATGATTCCATAATACCTTATTTATTTTGTTGCTAAATTATTGCAGCTTGGTCAGATGGGAGCGATTTCAGTTGCTTTCTGTGTTCCTTAGATATATATGTCTATTTTTCTGGATTTTCTTTGTCTTTGTCTTTTTCTTCTTTCTCATCAGTATTTTCATACTATCTGCCAACACAAGATGTTTCGTGCTCATTTTGTATATTTTACGCCCCCACCCCCAATCTTAGTCATTTCTCCAATAAGCCGTGGTTTCTTTTATCGGCAAATTATGTTAGAAACCAAGATTTGGGAGCTAGGTGTGCTTGTTGCTTCTGAGATGCATCTAGGTTCTGCTAGCTGACATAGCAACAAAAAATGTGTATGAGTACACATATTTCTAAACATTTCCATGGGTCAGCAGCTGTATCTATAGTAAATGGAACATAAATTAATATTGATATCTCAAACTCGAATCTATTACCCCATGGATCTTTCTAGGTTTCTCCCCTTGTTTATTCATAAATTCCCAGTCTAACAATGAGAAACCTGGTTCTAAAAATATGCCATCAGTTTATGTAAATGTTCAGTTAGAGTATACATGTATAATAGTTTCGGAATGATTAACATGTAACCTCATACCATCATGAGAATGACTTAATACTGCAGTACAGTATTAAATATAGTTTCTTTTGCCTTTACTCTTATAGACCTCACTTATTTCCAAAATTACTCATTAATCCCTTATTCCCCCACCTTTCAGTGAGGTTGTTTTATACATTTGTAATGTATTTAGTTTCTGTATCATATTTGTATTCCACTCAGGAAATCCCTGTCCTCCTACATGCATTTTTTAAAATTATATATAATGAGATTTAATTTCTGTTCTATAAAGTTCCATAGGTTTTGACAAATGCTTAATCTCTTATATTCACTATTACAGTGTAATACAGAATAGCATCAGTGCCCTAAAATATTTCCTGTGCTTCATCTATCAATTCTTACCACCCAGGTTCCTGGCAATCACTGATTTGTTTACTGTCTCTGTAGGTTTCCATAATGACATATAATTGGAATCATAGAGTATTCATCTTTATTAGTCTAGCTTTTCTTTTACACTAGAAATAAGAATCTAAGATTTGTCTATGTATTTTCATCATTTAATATTTTATCACTGAATAACATTTCATTGTACAGATATGCTGCAGTTTGTTTACTCCCCGGTTGAAACATATTTTCATTGCTTCCATTTATTGGCAATTGTTAATAAAGCTGCTAAAACCATTCACATGCAGTTTTTTTGTTGTTGTTGTTGATGTAAGTTTTCAAATCAGTGTACAAATTCAGAAATTAGTAGATCATATGGTAAGACTGTTTCATTTTTGTAATAAACTGCCAAACTGTCTTCCCAAGTGGCTTTACCAGTTTTCATTCCTACCAGAAACTGATGAGACTTCCTGTGGCTCTCCATTCTCAATATGCATTGTTAGTTTTTGCGATGATTTGTTTTCCATTTTAGCCATTGTAAAAGGTGTGTCGTTGTAACTCATTGCTGTTTTAATATTTAATTCCTTAAAGCCAAATAATTTGAATATTTTTATGTAGGCTAATTGTTCATCTGTATGTAATTTTTGGTGAGATGTCTGTTCAGATAGTTGCTTTTTTAAAAAAAGTTTTGCTTTTTTTTATTATTGAGTTTTAAGGATATTTGTATAGTTTAGATATCAGTCTTATATCCGATACATATTTTGCAAATATTTTCTCCCAGTCTGTGATTAATATTGTTATTCCTTTTTTTATTATTATTATACTTTAAGTTTTAGGGTACATGTGCACAATGTGCAGGTTAGTTACATATGTATACATGTGCCATGCTGGTGTGCTGCACCCATTAACTCATCATTTAGCATTAGGTGTATCTCCTAAAGCTATCCCTCCCCCCTCCCCCCACCCCACAACAGTCCCCAGAGTGTGATGTTCCCCTTCCTGTGTCCATGTGTTCTCATTGTTCAATTCCTATCTATGAATGAGAACATATGGTGTTTGGTTTTTTGTCCTTGAGATAGTTTACTGAGAATGATGATTTCCAATTTCATCCCATTCACAATGACTGTCAGAGAGAAAGTCATTAATTTAATTAAGTTAGACTTAATTTTAATATGGTCTAACTTTTTTTTTCTTTAATGGGCATTGTTTTGGTGTTGTATATAAAAATTCATTACCAAATCCAAGTTCATGTAGGTTTTTTTGTTATCTTCAGCAGTTTCACAGCATTGTGTTTAGCATTTAGGTCTATGATTACTTTTGAGTAATGTTTCATGTAATATGTAATGTCTCTGTTAAATTAAATGTATGTTAAATTTCTTGCCCAATTGGTATGGTTCTAGCACTTTGGGTTAAAAAGATTATCTTTTTTTGTTTTCCTTTGATATATTGTCAAATATCAGTTGACTATCTTTGCAGTCAACTTTTTTTTGTAGTGAATCTGTGTTTGTCACAGTCAAAATGCAGGAGTATTTTGGTTTTGGGGTGTGACTATAAATATTTTAACTTAAAAATTCTAGTGGTTTACAGCTACTATGTAGGACAACGACTGACATCCATATATTATCCTTGTACCTTGTAACTTTGAATAACTTATTTGTTCTAGCAGTTTCTAATTGTGCTAATTAGGAATTTGATTATGATATTTAATAGGATTTGTGAGAGAAGACATCCTTATCTTTTCAATAGTATGAAGAAGGTGATCAGTGTCTTTACTTTGTTTACTGGCAGCTGAAGGGCTTCTTTATAGATTTCTTTTTAAATAAACCTGAGAAAGATCCCTTTGATGCCTGGGTTTCTGGTAAGTTTTTCCATGAATGATTCTTGAATTTCTCCAAATGCTTTCTTACATCAATTCTTAAGAACATATATATTTTCTTCTTAGTCTGTTGGTGTGGTGGATTAGATTGATTATTCTTCAAATGTTGAACCATTTTTTTGTATTTGAGAGCCAATTCCAGTATTACACAACACAGGAACAAATCTCACTTGGCCAAGGTTTATAATTACTTTAATTTATTGCTGTATTTGACTAAAATTTTGTTGAGGATGTTTGTGTCTGTGTTCATGAAAGATATTAGTCAGCAGTTTTCCTTTTTAGTCACATCTTTATCTGGTTTTGGTATTAAGATGAAGGTGCCTTTATTGAAGCATTCCATATGTTTTCTGTTCTTGTTTCATTTTTGTTTTGAGACAGGGTCTCCCTCTGTCTCCCAGGCTGTAGTGCAGTGGTGTGGTCACAGCACACTGCAGCCTTAATCTCCTAGGCTAATGGATCTTCTCACTTCAGTCTCCTGAGTAGCTGGGATCACAGTCACATGCCACCATGCCCGGCTAATTTTTCTATATTTTGTGGAGTCAAGGTCTCCCTACATTGCCTAGGCTGCTCTAAAACTCCTGGGCTCATTTTTGTCTTGAGATTTTTGTTTATTTTCTTTTAATTTACCAAATAAGTACAGAGGTGTTTGTAATATTATTTGTTATCCTTTTAATTTCTTTAAGTAGTGTCTCATTTCTGAAGTTCGTCCTTTGTGTATTTTCTCTTTGTATCTTTGTTATCCTGTGTAGAAACTTAAACATTTGGAAAGAAATTGCTTTTGGTTTGGTTGAAATTCCCTACTGCTTCCCCATTTTTAATTTTATTGATTTATGCTATAATGTTTATTATTTATGTTCTTCTGCTTACTTAAGACTTAACTAGTTCTCCTTTCTCTAGTTTCCTAATGAAAGATTAGGTTATGAATTTTAGATTTTTCTTTTTTTCTAATATATGCATTTATCTTAAATTTTTTTCTAAGCACTCTTTTCACTACATCTCACGCATTTTAATAAGTTGTGTTTTCACCTTCATTTAGTTCATAATATTTAAAAATTTCTCTAGAGATTTTATGTTTACATTTTGTATTATTTGGAAATGTTTTATTTCATTTCCAAGTATTTAAGAATTTGGCTTAGATGTGCCGCTGGATTTGGTTTGCTAATATTTGGTTGAAGATTTTTTGTCTACATTTATGAGAAATATCAGCCTGAAGATTTTTCTTTTCCCTTGTGTCTCTGTCAGATTTTGGTGTCAGGCTGATCGTGGCTTAGTAGAATGAGTTAGGAAGGAGTTCCTCCTCAGTTTTTCAGAAGTTTCAGGAGGATTGGTATCAGTTTTTGTACATTTGGTAGAATTTGACTGTTAATCCATCTGGCCCAGGCCTTTTTAAATTGGTAGGTTATTTATCACTGATTCAATTTTAGAAGTTTAAATTGTTCTATTCAGCACTTTGATCAATTCTTGATTAGATCTAGGGAGATTGTGTCTTTCCAGGACTTTATCCATTTTCTCTAGATTTTCCAGTTTCTGTGCATAGAATTGTTCATAGTAGTCTCTGAGGATCTTTTGTATTTCTGTGGGTCAGTGGTAAATCACCTTTGTCACTGCTGATTGTGCTTATTTAGATCTTCTCTTTCTTTTTCTTTTTTAATCTAGCTAGCAGTCTGTCAATCTTATTTATTTTTTTCAAAAAAAGAACTCCTGCTTTCATTGATCTTTTGTATGGCTTTTTGCGTCTCAATTTTATTAATTTCTTTTCTAATTTTAGTTGTTTATTTTCTTCTGCTAGCTTTGAGATTGGTTTGTTCTTTCTTTTCTATGTCCATTAGGTGCAAAGTTAGATTGCTCATTTGAGACCTGTCTGACTTATCCATGAAGACACTTAGGGCTATAAACTTTCCTCTTAAGACTACTTTGGCTGCATCTCAGAGATTTGGTAAGTTGTGTTCCTATTTTCATTAATTTTCAATAATTTTTAAATTTCTGCCTAAATGTCAATGTTCACCCAACAAAGGTCTAATATCCAGAATCTATAGGAAGCATAAATATATCAACAAGCTAAAAACAACCCCATTAAAAAATGAACAAAGGACTTGAAAAGATATTTCCTAAAAGGAGACATATAAGCAGCCAACAAACATGAAATAATGGCCAGTATCAGTAATCAACAGAGAAATATAAATCAAAACCACAATGAGATACATTCTAACACCAGTCAGAATGGCTATTACTAAAAAATGTGGAAAGAAGTTTGGGGATTTTTCAAAGAACTTAAAACAAGTACCATTTGACCTATCAACTCATTCCTGGGTTTATACCCCAAGGAAAAAAAAATCACTCTACCAAGAAGAGTGACACATGCACATGGGTGTTTATTGCTGTGCTATTCACTATAGCAAAGACATGGAATCAACCCAAGTGCTCATCAATGGTAAATTTGATAAAGAAAATCTAGTGCATATACACCACAGAATACTGTGTAGCCATAAAAAGGAATGAAATCACATTCTTTGCAGCAACATGGAAGGAGTTGGAGACTATGATCCTAAGCTACTTAATATAGGAAAGAACAGAAAACCAAATACCACATGTTCTCACCTATAAGTAGGAGCTAAACATTGAGCACACATGCTACTTAATATAGGAATGAACAGAAAACCAAATACCACATGTTCTCACTTATAAGTAGGAGCTAAACACTGAGCAAACATGGACATAAATATGGGAACAATAGAAACTGTGGACAGAGGAGGGAAGCGGGTTGAAAATGTACCTATCCGGTACTATGCTTACTACCTGTGTAATAGGATATACACCCCAAACCTCAGGCAATACTCCCATGTAAGAAAAATATAAGTTGAAATTAAAATTAAAAAGTTGATTAAAAAAAGAAATTTTCAACTATTTTTCTATTATACACTTCTAATTTAATTCAAATGGAGTCTGATAACAAACTTTACATAATTTCTATTCTTTTAAAGTTGTTAATATATGTTTTATGCCCCAGAATGTGGTTTATTTTGGAGAAAGTTCTATGCAAGCTAGAAAACAATAAGATCTTCCTGAGGAGGGAATGAAGTTTTCCATGAACCTCAGTTTGATCAAGCTGATTTACAGTGCTGTTTAGATCAACTATATTCTTATTGATTTTCTGCCCTGTTGATCTATCAGTAACTGATGGGGAATGTTGTTGAACTTCCCAACTCTAATAGTGGATTTATTTACTTCTCTGCTCAGTTTTACTTGTTTTCACCTCATATATTTTGACATTTTGTTGTTAGATACATACAGGCTTAGGATTGTCATGTAGTATTGGAGATTTGATTGTCTAATCATAGTGTAATGACCCTCTTTACTGTGATAACTTTTTAATGCAAAGTGTGCTTTTTATGAAATTAATATAACTCCTCCAGCTTTGTTTTGATTAGCACTAAAATGTTACATCTTTTTACTTCAGAGTCTTTATATTTAAAGTGGGTTTCTTTTAGACAACATATCGCTGGGGCTTCTTTCTTTTTTCTTTTGTGTGATAGGGTCTTGCTCTGTTGCCCAGGCTGGCATGCAGTAGTACAGTCATAACTCACTGCAGCATTCAGTTCCTGGGCTCAAGGAGTCCTCATACTTCAGCCTCCTGAGTACCTAGGACTACATGCATACAACATCATATCTGGCTAATTATTTTAAATTATTTTTTGTAGAGATGGGTCTCTCTATATTGCCCAGTCTGGTCTCGAAATCTTGGCTTCGAACTATTCTCTCACCTTGGCTTTCTAATGTGCTGGGGCTACAGACATGAGCTGGCAGGCCTGGCCTAGGTAAGCCTTTTTATAAGCCACTTTGTCCATCCTTATCTTTTAAATGGTGAGTGTAGACTATTCATATTTAAAGTTATTATTGATACAGATAGTTGGATTGATAGCTACCATGTTAGGAACTGTTTTTATTTGTTGCCAGAGTCTTCTTTTTCTATCCTCTCTGGTATGATTAAAATATATATATATATATACGTCTAATCTCATCTTTTAATGTATCAACTGTGGTTACATCTTTAATTTTTGTTCCTAGAATTAAAAATATTTATGTCTGACTGATTTTAGTTCATTTTTAGTTGGAACCAGTTTTACTGTAAGTTTAGTGCAGATTCCTTTTAACCCACTATTTTCAATTATTCCCTCCATTTTGTGTGACATTACTTTGATTTATTTCACTTATCCATGTGCTATCATAACGTAATATTGCTACCATTATTATTTTGAACAGTTGTCTTTTAGATAAATTAAAACTGAGAAAAATAAAATATTTTATTCAGTTTCTTATTCCTCCTCTGATACTCTTCCTTTATTTACATAGATTCAAGTCTCTGCCCGGTATTATTTTTCTTCTGTCTGATGAAAGTCTTATTAATTTCCTCAGATATTTTTGACTAAGAATGTCTTTATTTCTTTTACTTCTCCTTTAATTTTCTTGTTGTTGTTTCTTTTTCTTTCTTTTTTCTTATTTTTTTTTTCAGATATGGGGTTTTGCCATGTTGCCCAGGCTGCTCTCAAACTCCTGAGGTCAAGTGATCCAACTGCCTCAGCCTCTCAAAGTTCTGGGATTACAGGCATGAGCCACCACACCCAGCCCTCTTCTCTACTTCTGAAAGATAAATTTGCTATATATGGAAATCTAGTTTAATAGTGATTTGTTTTTCCCTTTCAAGACTTTGTAGCTCTACTCTTTTCTTGCTTGCATGGATTCTTATGAGACACACTTTGTAATACTTACTCTTGTTTTTCAGTAGGTAAGGTGTTTCTCCCTACCATACACTGGCTTCTTTAATTTTTTTTGTTATCTTAAGATTTTCTAAAGTTTCAATATGATATGGCAATATATGATTCTTAAGGTATTAGTTGTGCTTTTTGTTAGCTGCATCTGTGTTTTGGTGTTTGTCACTAATTTTGAAAAGCTGTTGGTCATTATTATATCAAATATTTCTTCTCCATTAACTCTTTCTTCTATGGGTATTACGATTCCATGCTATTTACATTTTTTTAATTTATCACCGTTTTTGTATTATATTATAACTTGATAATGTCTTATATCCAATATGATAATAGAAAACAACCTGGAATAGTTATTTCATAAAAGGTGACTTACAAATGGTGAATAAGCACAAAAATATGTTTAGTATTATTAGTCATGAGGAAAATTAAAATTAATCCATAATTATATTTTACTTTCAACCCATTAAAAATGACTGAAGTTAAAAAGACCCACAATATAAAATTTTTACGAGGAGTTTAAACAACTGGAACTCTCACGTGTCATTGGTGAGATTAAAAAATGGTCCACCCATTTTGAAAAATAGTATAGAAGCATCTTGTAAATTTAAACTGTACCTCAAGACCCAACAATTGCTCTCCTAAGTCATTACCCAATAGAAATGAACACACAGGCCCATACAAACGTGCATACACACAAACACACTCTTGATTAGCAACATTATTTATTTAAAAGTGGAAGCAAAATATTCACTAATTGTGAAAATGATAAACTGATGGTATTACCATAATATGTTCTACCACTCAGAAGTAACAAAACACATAATATCAATGTGCAATATATGGGTAGATCACACAACATCAAACTAAGTAATAAAAGTAAAATTCAAAAAACCTTGTATGATTTTATTCCTGTTAAATTGTACTAATGAAAAATTCTAGTTACATAAAGCAGAGTAGTAGCTGCCTGGGCTTTCAGGCAAAAGGTTGAGGGGGTTACAAAGTGGTAGAAAACATTTTAGAGGTGGGAACTGTCCTAGGTTCTGATTTTGGTACTGTTTCTGCAATTGTGTGCAATTATCAACTTTATCCAACTATACATTTAAGCTGGATGAATTTGATTCTATGAAATAATTCCTTAATAATGATAAAGAAAAAACCTTATGTATTACATTCCATATACTGGAAAAAGAAAATTGCTTTGGAATGTCTTTGGACAAAGAGTAAATAAGGCCAACATTTATTTCCATTTAATGAAGTAGTTGTCCTGTTTTACCTGTGGAAACTTGACTCCAGATTGAAAACAGATTGCTAATTTTGTGCCACTATGAACAATATAGTTTTTCTTACTCTGAAGCTCAGAATTTTTCAATTGACAAACTCTATCTTTGCCCCAAAGCTGGAAACGTTGGCCAAATTAGCACTTTCTATTTCACTTGAGGTTTTAAAAAAAGTTTTGTGTCAGATAAAAGTCAGTCTACATCACTTATTGCTTCAGAATTTTTGTCTCATTAAAATAAAACGTCATCAGAGAATCAAAGAAAACAGTGGTTCCTAAATCATAGTAGTTTCTAAATCACATGTGCAATATAGAAACTTTTAGATACTGACCCAAAACTAGTTAAGTATTTTCAGTAGTAAACGTATTTCTAGGATATTTTTTACTGGATTCATTTAAAAATTATTACTGAAACATGGCCTTAAGAAAATGTGGGAAAACATAGATTGCAAATAGAAATAATACACAAGGAAAAATCTATAATTTCTTTTTTGTTGTTGTTATTTTTACAAGTTTTCCAATAATACACAGGTGACTGGTAAAGTCTGTACTTGAATTTTGCTTTGGAATCATCTATTATTATAATTAGAGTTCTCTATTTTATTCTTATTCTAGTATTTTAACTTTATAATAGGTGCCACATACTACCTCCATAAAGTGAAACATACTTCAAATCCATGCCCCTGGCTATCACTATATTCTCCATCCCTATAATTTTGTCATTGGAAGAATGCAATAGAAACTGAATCATACAATATTTAGCCTTTTGAGACTGACATTTTGTCACTAAACAAAATTCTCTTTAGATTCATCCAGGTTGTATGTACCAGTAGTTTGTCCTTTTATATTTCTGTGTAGTAGCCCAAAGATAAATTTACAGCAGTTTGCTTAACCATTCACCTATTGAACAACATCTGGGAAGTTTCCAGTTATTGGCTATTACATATAAAGCTGCTATGAACATTAATTTTATGTTTCTGTCCAAACAACCACAGGTTTTTGTAAATAAGGTGTTTTTAGGAAACAGCCACAGCCAATTTACCTGTTATCTTTGGCGGCTTGCATGTTGCAATTCTGCCTATTTCATAATTGAATAATTGCAATAATTGTATGACTTCCAAGTTTAAAATATTTTCTGTCTGTTGTTTCTTTTAAAAATTTGCTAACTCCTGCTAAAAATAATTGAAATAAGAAAGTATGCATTCATTAATTTAACTAAACATATATTCATACTGAAGAAGTGATTTTTGTATAGACTAGGATTCAGGAAGTTTAGTTTGTGGGCCAGATATGGCCAATAGAAGTTGCTTGTTTTATGCCTTTTTAGCTAGAAATAACTTTTATTGTTGTTTATATTGTAAACAATAAAATAAAAAATAGAAAGATGGAAGTATGAAAAGAAGGAAGGGAGGGAACAAGGAAGGGAGGGAGGGAGGAAGGAAGGAAGGAAGGAAGGAAATGTAGAACTAAACGAAGAAACAGGCACAAAATAAAGTTTTAAAGAGTTCACTTAAGTCTTAATAAGAATGGCTTCCTGGAAGACTCAGACCTAAGTAACCTTAGATATGAGCTCCATTCAGCCTTTGTTACATGCAAGTTTTTAAAGACAAAAAGTCAGACGAGTGGCTTGATGCAAAATTGTTTGTTAGAAATTCTCATTGGTTTATAGAAATAACATTGATTAGTGCTTGGCTATACATGAGTGAGCTATAAGGTATGGGCTATGGTGTGTGGCATGTAGCATTGTTAGGTTAATCTGCATCTACTTGCAGCAATAATAAGCAGCTTCAAGCATGATTACTTAGCTCAAAAGGGAAAGTGAGACGTGATGACTGTCTCATTCCTATATGTCTCCAGGCCTGATAATTTAAAGGATGTTTGTATTCCTCAGATAAAAGTTGTTTTCTTTCTCATTTTCCCCTCTTGATCAAAATCTTTCTTTCTAAAAGTATTGATGATCAAATTCTGAGTGTTCCTTGTTGCCAGGAAGGCTCATTCCCAGATAGTCCTGTTCCACATTGGAGGAAAAGAGGAGACATCTCAGTGAGAAAGCTTAATAGTGCTCAAAAGCCAAATTGGAATGACATCACAGAGTGATAAAAATGGGATTATAATCAAGTCATTGATTTACGCAGCTGTTGTCATTTGTTGAATCATCTCTATTCTTCACAATACCAGGTTTTTAGTTTGCTTGGAAGGAAGAAAACAACAAGGGATGCATAGCATTAATAATTTGAAGAGTAGAAATATAATGCATATGAGGATAATCAAAAAGAATCTCTATGCCAGAATTTAAAAAGGAATCTATTCCATTAGGGTGCCAATTTAAAATAAATCCAGATTCTTCTTTAGAGACTTGTTATAACCAAAAGGCTTCTTTTCTAATTTGTGCTAGATGAGTTTCTACTTCATGGGAAGTTTTATGTATACACAACAGGAGGTATTTGCCACCATACATACACCTCTTTGCTCAGCTAATATACAAACTAAAGTGAAGTGATTGCCTACTACAACCTTAGCCAGTGAATCAATGGCTTTTTTTGAGCTGTGACGGAGGCAGTAGTTTTATTAGCAATATTTTCTAAGGTTATAGAAAGTCTTCTGATCATGTGTTCATGGGAAGTGACACCTCACCAAAGCAAAAGTTCTCTCCTAATAAAGTGCATGGAGTTATGTTCTTGATGGCTGCACAGATAATTGGCAGGTTTTTCCCAAACGAATTCTTTGGGTAAACTAGATCAGCAATCACCAATAGAGCAATAGATCTATTGACCAATAGATATAGAGAGCAATAGGCTGGTCTAGAGAAAAGTTTCAGGGAACTAGTCCAGTTTGAGATTTCTTTAAAGCTATATATAGATAGAGGGATGATCAAATATCTTGAGACATTGCTCTTCCTTATTCCATGCTCTTAGATATTTATAGGCTTATGGATGGTAAACTTCTTTACAGACAAAAATAAATCCTATTAGAACACAGGTAAATGTATTATAATTTGAGTTCATCCATTTTGAGACACTATTAAACAATGGCTCAGACACATTAAAGCAAGAGGGCAGGTTGGATTCTAATGACAGGAAAGACTGTCTTTCTTTTAACTTCCAACAGCATCATGCATTTTAGCATTATCATTTCTATATAAAGCTGCAATCATTTTGACAATAGGACTCTGATGAGGAAAACTGAAAGATGGTGCAAGCAGATTAGGATGAGTCAGGCAGATCCCATAAAGAGGTTTTGTTTTATGTGACCCCTAAGTTGTGCTGCAAGTACAATTAAGAATACCTGTGAAATTTAAACCAGGATGTATCAACGTACCACTGTTGTCAAAAGTGTTTGTCAGTTTAGGGTGGCAAGCCAACATCTTGTCAATTTCTGGAAGTGGCAATGATCTATGAGATTATGATCAGAGAATTATCTCTCCAAGTTACAGTCAAATGTATCAAGAAGAGCAAAAAGAGAAACCTGACTATAGGCATTTTGTTAAATTGCATATGTATATGTACTTTAACATATATGAATAAGACTAATATCATGTAAGAGAGTATATTATATATGAAACGATTTTACCAAAACAACAAAGAGAGGATCCTCACAGTATGAAGGAGGCCTAAAGGCATAAATACTCCAGTGAAGAAGGAAAAAAGGACCAAATATTTTAGGTGCAATAAGCATTAGAGTCATTCAGAACTGAATTTACAGGCCTGGTCTTGTGTCTTGGGTGAAATTAGAGTTAAACGGATTTCACCTACTTGACATCGTGGTCAAGAAGACTGAGGGTCAGGTTCAAGTGAAGGTCTCAGTGATGCAAGATTTCCACTTTGGTTGGGATGTCTTTTTTAAATGAGAAACGTGAATCTATGAGTAAATGCCCTTAAGTTTGCAGCGCGGAGATTGATCAACAATATCTAATGTGGTCCCTTCTAAGGAAGTTGGAGTTAATCTTTTATTTGATGTTTTTCCTAGTAAACACAGTCTTCATGTTGTAGGCCATAATCTTTGATGTTTTCATCTCCTTGGAGCTTGCTATGAAAGGAATCCTTTATCCACTTGGAGTTCCTAGAGAGAAGTTTTTGGAGGTTTTGACAACAATGAAGAATATACCTTTAACAAGTGCAGCTTCAGAAGCTCCTTTATCTAGTCACATGGGCATTTCTGTTATTATTTCAAAGGGATAAAGCTGGTATTTTCCAAATTTAGTAGATCACAGGTTGGGCAGAACCAAAGAGAGAACATTTGACCAGAGAAGATTTAAAAACTTCAGTTACTTTTGCCAATTGAGTTTTTATTAAACCATTGGTGCATTCTGCCAGTCCAGAGGACTGGGGGTGATAGGCACCATAGAAATATTGGAAGTTAGGCCAAATGTTGCAAATGGATCAACTTAATAGACAAGTAAAATGTGTTCCTCAGTTGCTATGGAGATCAGATGGAACTCCCCATGAAGGAATTATCTTTTCTAATAATAATTTGTCTAATATTTGGACCATAGATCTTCAGCAAGGAAATGTTTCAACCCAACGAGATCATACAAATTAGCACCAGAATATATATGTAACTCTGAGATGGAGACAGCTGGATAAAATCCAATTGCCATATCTCAGAAGGTCCTGAAAGTAAAGGAAAATGTCCATGTGAACTATGAAGGGATTGTTCAGAATTGTGTTTGGAACAAAGAGTGCAGTGAGAATAAAACTTTGTGCAGCAGTAGAGAATGATTTTCAATAATATTGCTTTCTCCATACTATCATTTTATCTGAATTCCAGTGAGTCAGCTCATGAACATATTGCAAAAACTGTAACTGAAGCTGTAAGGAAAGATCAGACTATTGGTTCAAAACCTAAGCCTATTTCTGGAGAAAACTTACCTCCTTTATCTTTCTAGAGGTCTATTTCCTTCTTGGGAACTCCTGTTTATGCCTCTTTTAATGAAGTTCTGAACGAGCAATAAATCTGTGGAGACATTTCAAGACATTTATTCTATGATGTAACCTTCTGGGATATATTCTATGCTATGACACCAGTGAAATAGTTGTCCTTATTCACTGAAATATCTAGTTTTGAGTGACCACAGATTTTGATGATAGCAATAAATTTGGGTTTGGAAAGTGCTTTCAAGTGGTCAGAGAGTTTTTGACCATTTTTGGTGGGTTAACCTGATGAGGTCCAAAACTGTGTTGCTTCCAAAGCATGCCAAAATCATGGGATACTCTAAATGCATGTATATTATTATTATGAATGTTAGCCAGTCTTTCCTTTGCTAGTTGACAAGCTCAAGTCACAGCAACAAATTCTGCCTGCTTAACTTATTTGATATCTGGAAAAGTATTATTCTTTATTCTCATTTAGAAGCACTATGCCATAACCAGCCTGATAACTCACAAACAGATCTTTCAAATAAAAACCATGAGTGAATCAAATTACATCAGCATTATCTGTGGATGTCTCTTGTAGGTCCTATCTAGGTGTGAGAAGTTTGTTGGTCAGAGTGATGCCGTCATATGGCATCTCATCAGTAGACAAAAAGCAAAGGAATGAGTGGGTTAAGATTATTACAGCAAGAAATAATAAAACTGTGTGAGGACAGAAGACGAACTTCATAGGAAATAAGTCTATTAACAGAGTAATGTTGGGTATGATGTGAGTTCAGAAGGGTTTTCACTGAGTGGGAAAAATAGATGGTAAGATGGGATCCCATAACTATGTTTTCAATGGTTTTAAAGAACAAGGTGGTGCCAGAGGTTGCTCTTTTAAGCACAGTAGCATTCTTCTATTGGCTGCATCAAGTTTCTGGCTTTAATATAATTTTTTCTGAGTTAGGACTCCCAAGCCATTTCCCTGGTCTTCATGAATGTACAGGGAAAACAGAAGGCTGTAATTGGGATTCCCTAAGGCAGGGGCAATTGTAAAATTTTTCTTGATAACTTATAGGGTTATCTTGAGTCCCTCTAGAGTCCAAACAATAAGATCAGACTGTCCACTTTCAGTAGGGTATATAAAGGCTGAGTTATTAAAGAAAAATTAAGTATCCAATTCTGTCAGTATCCAACCATTTCCAGAAATCTTTAAAATTGCTTCTTTGTCAAGGGCTTAGGGAATACTAGAATGCCTTTAATACTTTCTGCATTTATAAACAATCCTTTCTTAGAAGTTAAATGTCTTAAGCATTTTACCTGCATCTGGCAAAAATGGAGTTTGTCTCTAGAAACTTAATATCCCTGAAATGCCAATTGTTTTCAGAGTTTCATGCTCTCATCCCTTGAGATTTGCATAGTCAGGCGACAAAGGAGCTCATCCACATATTAGATGAACATAGGTCCCTCTGAGAAATGTATTATCAGCCCAGTCATATTTCAATATATGATAAAAATATGTAGGACTCTCAGTGTTACCTTGGGGTATGATGGTCCAGGTATTCAGAGGGTCACCCAAGTTAAGGCAAATAAGTATTTACTCACTGGGTGTACTAGAATATTTAAAAAGCACTGCATACATTAACAACAGTAAATATCTTACTTTAAGTGGTGACTGCTGTCAAGAGTAAGGAGGTTTGGTAACACCAGATGTCTTGGGACCAAAATGTTGATAGCTCTCAAATCTTGTAAGAAATGTCAGCCGTACTCATTTGATTTTCTTATGGAAATGATCAGAGTACCATACGGGATAGAGCAATAAATAATTAAACCCTTTTAAATATAGTATTTTATTGTGGGTCTGATTCCTTCCATTTCTTTAGGCATTAGGGAATATTATTGATAAAGATTTAATCAGGTTTATTTCCACTTAAATGGGGTGACTGAATGTATTTTACCAATGTCAGTGGAAAATTGAGACCCTAAGTGAGACAAGGCCATCAATGTCACTCATTAAACCTAGTTTAGAAAAAAAATTTGTAGAGTCTGTATTTTCATAGTTTTAATAGTTTTGTTCTTGTCTGTAGTTGCTCTGTTTGCTCCTTTTGTTACAAATTTAACACATTTCTCCATTTAGAAAGAAGAAAATGTGTACATTGTGCCTAAGAAATGTATGGTAACTGAGGGAATCAGCAGAAAAGAATGAAGGCCACTGAGTGAGCTTACCTGGAATTCTAAGGGTTTGAACTTGTATACAGTCATAGGTCAATTATATATTCCTTCCATTTGTACATAATCACTACTCTCAGGAAGAGAACAAGTTAATTTGGTAGGGTTGAGGACAGAAAGAGCAGCCCCAGTGTCTCTTAGGGAATATATCTGTTTTCCATTTATGGAAATTTCTATTTCTCTTAAGGCACTAGTCAGGAGAAAGGGTAAAGCCTCCTTTTAGTCCTATGAGCAATCCTATTCATCTCGTGGCATCCTATCTTTTTATTGGTCCTGCTGTCTTTTATGTTTTCTACAGTCCTGTTTGAAATGGCCAGGCTTTTTACAATAGAAGCAAACATCCATTCAATAGTTAAAATGAGGCGCCTGTCTTTTCTTAAAAGGCTTGATTTTACTAGTCAGTTGTAGTTGTACATTTATAACTTTTGAGGCCTTAGTTTTTACTTCTTTCTGAACAGTTTTATAAAGTTGATCTGCCATGGTTACTAATTTGTGGGTTTATATATTTGCCCAATTAAGCAGGTGTCTTTTTTTTTTTTTTTTTTTTTTTTTTTTTTTTTTTTTTTTGAGACGGAGTTTCGCTCCTGTTGCCCAGGCTGGAGTGCAATGGCACGATCTCAGCTCACCACAACCTCCGCCTCCCAGGTTCAAGTGCTTCTCCTGCCTCAGTCTCCCTAGTAGCTGGGATTACAGGAATGTGCCACCATGCCCGTAAGCTGGTGTCTTTTAACTGAGGTAATTAAGTCCTCATTTAAGCCACTGGGGCATGTAGAATTTATAAGGGAATCACTCTGATGATCATGCTAGCCTTAGCCATTCCAGAATATCATTTAAAGATTTGTTTCAAATCATTCAAAATAATCAAGCACAGATTTGTCTGGCGTTTGAGTATATTGTTGAACTATCTTCCAATCTACATTTTTTAGAAAAGACCTATGGAATAGCATCATAAAAAGCCTTGGCTAAAGTGCGGACCATTTCATGGTTGGTTGTCTGTTTTTGAAAATCTACCAACAGATTATACCAGCTTTCCTTTTTGAACCATTCAGTGGCCCTACCTTCTCATACCAGCATATAAACTAACTAATAAACATGATAATATCCAGGCTTGTAAGTCCAGACAATTAAATTAAACTCTTTTGCAAACCCTATGGGATTTTGGAGCAGGTGTGGGAAGTCTTTTACGATATTCTTAAGTTTTTTCTTTGTCTAAGGGCTATACACAATAGCAGGCTCACCTCTTTTTGTGAGTTTTATCTTGAAAGGAGCTGCCAAAACAGGAGTTTCAGTGAGGAGTGTCAGAAATCTATGGTTTTCTTAGGTGATGGTGGTAGTTGTAGAAGGGAAGGCAAATCAGAGCAGGAAAGTCCAGATAAGAGAGGATACAAATGCATAGTGTAGGAGGAGGAGGAATAGTTGGAGAAGGAAGAGTGGAGGCTTCTGATGCCATTGAAATTTGGATATAGTTTCAGATATATTTTTGTTTACTTCTTGAAAGAAGGCAATTTTCTCAGAACTTCTTTTAGAGACTTTTAGGTGGCAGTAAGTATCCCATTCAATTTGTCTGTTTCTAAAACCAGAAAATTTCCAATTGTGCACACAAGTAATTTTAGCCATTTCAAAGGACTCTCATTGCAACCATTGCTGCTATGACCATCCTGGGGTATGTGAGCACATTTTCATAAGTATTTACAAGAGGAAGCTCCTTATGTGTTGCACAAAAGGATGTTTTGTACAACAGCTGATGTTTCTAAAGGAGGTTGTCCCTTAGAAGAATGTTTGGATTCTGAAACTTGATTTCCCCTAATGTAGGAACTTTTTGAAAGTGACCAAGGCTGCAAATATGTTTTGGGTCAAAGTGTGCTGCCTGTGAGTGTCACCTGACATGGTGTCATCTGAATCATGAATCACTCTCTTATATGTCTTAGAATCTCTAAATGCCTTGCAGCAGCAGAGTGCTCAAGGTGCCAACCCTGATGTGCACCTTCAAGCTGAGCTAAAAGTCTCTGCAGGTGTTCTTGTGGAGAGGCTCTATGAGACTTACACACGTCATGGATAAACATGCTGATACCTCCATAAAGTATCTTACCACATTGACTACTCAATCAAATTTGGAAGGGATAAGTGTCTCAACTTCTGGGAAAGAGAGCTCACCCTCCTGCACCTTTAGTTTTGAAACAGGAATTGGTCACAAGTGCAAAAACAAGTGTGAATTATAAGCAATAGAAAGCTGACCTCAGGTGATCTTCCTGCCTTGGCCTTCCAAAGTGCTGGGATTGTAAGTGTGAGTCACCACACCTGACCTATTCTTGAGGCGCTTAAAATCAAATGGCAGTTTTACAGTGTTTCATTTAGATCATCTGTGGACAGATGCTTTATTGAATATCAGGTAAACTAACTTTCAGAGTTTTTTTTTCTATACTGTTAAATTATAAATTCCATTGTAAATTTCTCATTAAAATTTCCTTCTTGGAAAAATGTTAATTTTGTTCTTGAATTTTATTTTGCTTGACTTCTTATGTTATGGCTCTCAAGTTGCTCCTCATTACGTTTCTAGTATGTTACATTACACATTTTTAAATGTTTTGTAATTTTCTTTTAGAAAACCTTTATTGTTCAGTTATCTGGTTATTGATAGTTAATGTAGTCAAAATTATCTAGATAGTACCCTATTTCAAATATCTAGCTATATCTTATGAAAAAAAAGTTAATTATTTGGTGTTTAAGACATAAGAACAAATAACAGTTGTAATGTTAATTTTAAAGTTTTATTGTTGTACTCAGTAAATAAAAAAGTTTATATCAAAAAACTACTTGATTAACAATATGCCATTTTAACATTAAATATTATTTTATCTAGCACTTTATTACAATATAAAATATTTTTTTGCATTTGGGAAATAATATATTCTGCAAAACATAATTAAATTATCTTACTACAGTATTATATTAATCAAACTTCACAGATATGTTAGAGCTAAAAAGTAGGCATGCTTTCCTGGTAAATAAGAAAAAAAGGTGAAACTTAGTAAGAAATCTGTATGATGATTAAATGACTAAAATATACTAGAACTTTTTGAGATCACCATCAATAAAAATTTTTAAGAACCCAGTGGATTAGCTATGATGTCAAATCCCATAATAATATCTGTCTTTTCTCACTTCTGCTTTACAACATTTTATGTGGATAAGATGACCCACTTTAGTATAATTTAATGATGGAAATGAATAGCTCTCTGGGAAGGTCAGTGAAAGAATCTTATTTCTTTAGGAAAAGAAACTATAGCTTTGATTTTATTAATATAAACAGCATAGTAGATAGTATCCAGCATTTTCAAAGATACACAAGGATAAGCTTTGAAATTTGGCCAACTTTTAAAAGGATAATTTTATTTGTTTTCCAGATTAACCACCAGAGAAAAACACATTTCCTGTCGTTTCTCCAATCAGACCCGAAGTATCGGAACAGATATGAACAATTCTCCTTTTTTTTTTTTCCCAGACAGCAATTTAGAATAATTAGGGTAATTTATACATAAGGCTCTGGCCCAGACCTTATATAATAGATCTTGGAAATGACCATTATCTTAAAGGTGACATTTAAATTAAAAACAGTGGCAGTGAGCATAAAGTTTGAAAGCACAGGCTGTGCAGTCATGCATAGTGGCTCTGTTAGGAATTTGTCTCTCCCACTACATGTTTTGTAGCTTTAGAAAAGTTATTAATGTCCCTAAGCCTCCATTTGCAAAACTGGAATGAATATGAAAAGATTGTTGAGAGAAATACAAATTTAATCCATATAAAACCCTTTGTATGATATCTGAAATAGAATAAGAAGATAAATATTTCTTATTATTAAGCTGCCTTTGAAATAATTGCCTCGAATGACACTGAGCCTGTGATCTGAATTTAGGTTTGCTGTATACATGTCTTAGAGGCAACTCTAAACTGAAAAATAAAAATGAGTAAATCTGCAACATCAAATCTTTGAGCATTTCTATTGATTTCAGTTTGGTATGCTTATGAAACTTTAGCTTACAAGCCACTTCCAGTGAATGCTACTCTCAACTAATGATGTCATCATCGCATTTCTTTATCCTCTCACACCTGCAAGTTTTGCTTCCAAGCTAAACACCCACACTATCTGCTGCTTGATTACATTTTTCTTAATTAAATGGTGTGTACAGTTTGCATTTTCAGTTAACACAGAAAAAGGAGCCTGCATTCTCCTAAGTCATTTTTATGAGTTGGGCCCCTATCATTTTAATGTGGCAATTAATTAAGTGCTTAATAAAACTGTGCTTTATTATAGCAAAGCCTGGTTGCAGGAGCCTAGTTAGGGATGTGTCAGCATTTTTTGTTACTAACTCTTTTATATCCTCTCAATAATTGTACTATAAAAATTTGCTTTGGGTACAAATTTTGAAATGGTGTGAATTGCAACAACAAGCTGTTCTTCGGCTATAAAAAATAATCAGTTTTAGATGTGACCCTAAGTATGAAGAGATGGTTAACTGAATTATTTTCCTGCTCCCCTGGAGTATTGTTTACATTACATCAAATTATATATTCTAGCTGACTATACATTAATGACGTTTGGTCATGTTGATAGATTTAATTCTTTTGATTAAATTGTTACATCTCTAATGAGGATTTGCTCCTAAAGAAGATGGGATTTTTCAATATGGAATAAAGTTAGGATTATAATTTAGTTATATTTCAATTAGGAAAATATTTATACACTCCTATGATTGCACAAATCTTCCTAAAATATATTATATAAAGAAATGTCCTTATGGCAATGTTTTTCAATTAAAAACATCCAAATACAATAATTAATTTTGTTACATTTTAAGAATTATATCACGAGCAATGGTTCAGAAAATTGAGACTTCAGGAGTGCTCAGTGAAATATTTGTTATGTAATGATATAAAATGATTCAAAATGTGAAAAATTAACTCTCAAATATAAATATTTATTAAGATGTATTTCTATCTAGTTTGTCTGTATGGGCATTTTTGTAAAATGATGGGATTTTCCAGGAATTTTTAACTATTGGTTTAGTATTAAAAAAGTAAAAGTACATTTAAATGACAAGCTAGTTAAACATAAAATTCTTGCTGCTCTTCAGAAATAACTGAAACAAAGCGTTACATTTTTTTCAGAGTGGTCTGTGTTGGAAAAAGCTGAAACATAACAATAAGGCAGAATTATTCAGTGCATTTTAGAATGTCTGTATATTTTTCCTCTGCCTCTGTGTAACGCACTCAACTGTGATTAGATAGCATGAAAACATAAAATTTGTTGATTAAGCACTGATGAGACACAGAACAATTTACGCGATATTGGTAACATCTAACAGAAGAATATGTATGAATGCAGGTGAGTTTAAGGAATACTTCTACTCTCTGAGCTCAAGGACCCATAATAGTACCCATAATAGAAAAAGCTGGAAAAAATACATGGATGGAGATGATATGTATAGCAAATAAAAGATTTTGAAAAATTACCCCAAATTTCAATCTTGGGCCGTATTTACAAACCAAGTTTTAAAATATGTAATTCAAGTCAATAAATTCAGGTGAAAAAATTTTGCATAAGTGCAGTTGACCAATATTCTTATGTCTATTTTATGAGTGATTTTGTCCAAAGTGCTTTTAATTTAGAATAACTAGTAGGTGCTTATAACTTTAGGCTAATGGGACATGATGTGCAATTTAAGAGGCTAACTTATTACCACTATACTCGCTAGTAATTTTGACATTTTAATAATATTTTTCAATATAATTTGTAATAAACTGTTATCAGGTATGTAAACAGATAGGAAGAAAAGCATGCATGTATCTGTACTCAGATATTGCAAGTTTATGTTAAAAGCATAACAGACAAATGTATATATTTTGCAATACAATTTCATATCACTCAGTTGTACTGTGATTCTCCAACAATCATCGAATACCTGAATGAATATTGGCAATATAAATTTAATGGAAATGAACAAAAAGAAGACTAAAGTATGTAAAATATTTCTGTAAATATCAGAAATTATCAAACTATCAAAATTATTTGATGAAAAATTATACAATTTTAAGGTGTCAGTGTAAAGAATATGTGTTCATTCCTTTATTTGAAAATCATTAAAAACGAATACAGAAAAAACTTAAATTTCATGAGACTATACAAGAACAGTAACTTTAAGTCATAGTAGTTGGAATTGGAGAGAGTTGGAAATGACTTCACTGCATATAGTTAAGTGGTAGTAGAGTGAAATGGTAGTAACCTGCAGAGAGGGAGGCTAATTAGAAACAAGAGTTTTCCCTGAGGAACTCTTGAAATACGTAGAAAGCAGTGATATGAGGAACTGTGGAGTAAAGGGATGAGAACCGGCACAAAGGCAGGAGGCTGTTCTAAAGACTAGATACAAAGAACAGTTAAACTGCCAGAAAGCCAAAACAATTCTAAAACCCAGATAAGTTCTCTAAACACTTCATTCTAGGATAGGGAAGTACATAAATTGGAGAAATTGAAGCAAACATATCTGAACTGAGAGGCAAAGTAAAGGGCAGAATTAAACTATGAAAGAGAAAGCAATCTAGTAAATAGAAATTAGCTAAATAGCGAGAACCTGACAGGATTGATTTCCCGTAGTCCGTCAGATGATTGTTATCTGGAAAAATTAAAGTCTCAAGAGAGTAAGCCTATGGGTACTGGCATTTAGGAGAACTCCACAAAAAGTTTCTCACTCCCTGAAAATCCTACACCTAATTTCATCAGATAAGGAAACCTGTCCTTGCCAGTCATCTTTTTTAGTACTTAATTCTTATATATTAAATGGCAAAAAGAATCAGTAGAATTTATTGAAAAACTCCATCAGGAAAGACAAAACTGAAACCAAACCAAAACAAAAATATTAATATAGAGCAGAAAAGACAGTAAAAACTGTAAAATAAAGTGTCAAAAATTTTAACTATGATTACTGTCTTCAGAGAGAAAAGTTATTGGGTCTATGATCCCCCAAAAAACAGATTGCCAAACAACAACAACAACAACAAAAACAAAAACATTGAATGTGAGAAAAAAACTATTACGGTCAAAGTAAATAATTTAATAGAAGTATTGGAACATTGAATGATGACATCACTGAAAATAGGAAATTTGAGACATAGAAAAGAGAAAAAATAGATAAAATTCAAGAGATTTGACATCAAACTAATGACGTATCCTGAAAAAGAATGTATAAAACAAAAGAGAAAATATTCAAAGAATGATACAAGAAAATATTTTCAGACTATAAGTGATAAATCCCAAGAGTGAAAGGACCCAGGTAAAACCCTGGAGGTAAACAAAAGAAAAAGCCAATCGGAAGCATATAACAATGTGAATTTTCAAAACACCTGGAATAAAATAAAGGTTTTAAATCCTTCCAGCATGAAAGAAATAGTACACAGGAAAAATGAAACATCTTAATTCAAACATGAAAAGAGAGAAGATAAAGGAGCCACAGCTTCAAAATTCTTAGTGAAAACAACGTATAGTGTAGATTTCTTTTTTCAAATTTGTATTTATATAAATTTGGGGTACAAGTGTACTTTTGTTACATGGATATATTACATAGTGTTGCAGTCAGGGCTTTCAGTGTATCCATGACCTGAAAAATGTACATTTTACCCATTAAGTAATTTCTCATCATTAACCCTCCTCCCACTCCCCACCGGTTCAAATTTCCATTGTCTATCATTCCACCCTCTACATCCATGTGTGCACATTATTTAGTTCCTACTTATAAGTGAGAATATGTGGTAGTTGTGAGAATATTTGGTATATTTCTTTCTGTGTCTCAGTTGTTTTACTTAAGATAATGGCCTCCAGTTCCATCCATGTTGCTGGAAAAAGCACAATTTTATTATTTTCTATGGATAAATAGTGTCCTATTGTGTGTATATACCACATTAAAGAAATCAAAATTTCCATGGATTGACACTTAGGTTGATTTCTTATCTTTGCTAATGTAAATAGTGCTGCAATAAATATATGGGTGCAGGTCATACATTTTGGGTATAATAATTTCTTTTCTATTGGGTAGATACCCAGTAGTGGGATTGCTGGATCAAATGGTAGTTCTATTTGTAATTGTTTGAGAAATTTCCATACTGTTTTCCATAGAGGTTGTACTGAATTACATTCCCACCAACAGTGTATGAGTGTGTTCTCTTTTTTCCACATCTTCACAAACATCTTTTTTTTGTCTTTTTAGCAATAGCCACTTTGACTGGTATAAGATATCCCACTGTGGTTTTGATTTGCATTCCTCTCATTATTAGTGAAAATGAGCATTTTTCCATATGCTTTTGGGCTATTTGTATATCTTCTTTTGAAAAATGTATACTCATGTCCTTTGCACAGTGTTCAGTAACATTATTTGGGGTTATTTTTGTTGTTCTTGTTGACTTGTTTTTGTTCCTTGGAAATTCTGGATATTAGTTCCCTGTTGGATGTATAGTTTGCAAATATTGTCTCTCATTCTGCAAGTTGTCTGTTCATTCTGTTGATCATTATTTTTGCTGTGCAGAAACATTTTAGTTTAACTAGGTCCCATTTATCTATTTTTGATTTTGTTGCTTGTGCTGCTTTTGAGGTCTTAGTCATGAATTATTTACCTAGACCATTGTCCAGGAGAGTTTCCCTAGGTTTTCTTCTAGTATTTTTATAGTTTGGGGTCTTGAATTTGAGTCTTTAATCCACCTTGTGTTGAATTTATATATGGTGAGATATAGGGGTTCAGTTTCATTCTTCTGCATATGGCAATCAATTTTTCCAACACCATTTATTGAAAAGGGTATCCTTCCCCCAGTACATGTTCTTGCTGACTTTCTATTTTAATCACATGAGATTACAGAATAAATTCATTTTCTGATGGACAACAGCTTCAAGAAATAATTCCCATGGCTCCAATTCTATGAATTAGCTGGGGAATATTATTCCCCCGAACAAGTGTAAACCAAGAAAAGAGGGAACATCCTGCTCTATGAATGAGAAAGCAATGGGAAAGAGGAGGAGAAGAATGTGGAAAGAAAAGAAGAGAGAGAGGAGGATAGAAATGCTGCTAATGATACCTAATATTTCTTTAACATGTATTGCTAACTATAACAATATATAAATAAAAATATATAATTAATATTTAAAATAATTTTCTGCAATATGGATAAATCCCACATGTATAATATTAAATAGGAAAAGCTCACTGAAGAGAGTACAAACTGTTATTTGATTTTCTATAAAATTAAAAATCAGTCCAACCAACAAGGCAATCTTTATTCTATTCTAGTAAAGATTCTAAATTACAATAATACAAAGTAGATAATAAAACAATTAAAAGCCTATGTTTTCAATCCATAACTAGAGGACTGTGACTTTGTAAACACAGGGAGATATTCGTTTGTTTGTTTCCAGAAGGAAATTTTTAGGTCAAAATGAGGATTTGGCGTTCACAAAATTGCATATGCAAAGAAACAGGATAATTTTAAGAAGTATATATAAATCGCTTGCTCTTACTGGAAATCATTGCAAGTCTTTGGGTACCACTCCGTGAACCTAAATGATTACTCCTAATTTCATGAACCAATTTTCCAAACATTAAGAAAAAAAAATACTTTGTATGCTCACATTTTTCTGGACTCATTCTTGCTGTCATTAACATACCTACCCCTTCCAATTTTTACCCTCACTTGAAAGCTGTACAGTTTTTAACAATTCCCTATTCTTTTATTTCAAATACTGACCTTTGTATTTCAAAAGAAAATTCATAGTAGAGAAAGCTTTTTATTTCCTCACAAAGCAGAAGGCAAGTGATTGTTTAACATAAACTTTGAACATTTTTCTCTCTTAGTTCACATTTACTCTACTCACAGAAACTTATTGTTTTCTGAGTAAGAGGCTGTGATGAAGATGCTCCTCACAATTTAGAATAACCCTTTAACTGACTAATTTAGTTGTAGAGATAATTTCTTTTATTCTGCATTATTATACATATAAATTGTATTTTTAAAGTATTATTTTATTTGAAATGATGCATAATGTGCATATTTATGGGACTCAGTGTGATGTTTTGATATATATATATATACAATGTACAATGATCAAATTAAGGTAATTAGCATCTCCATCACCTCAAATATTTATCCGTTTATCATTTATTTGTAGTGAGAACATTAAAAATGTCTCATTTAGCTGTTTTAAAATACATGATATTATTAACTATAGTCACCTTTCTATGTCATGGAACACTAGAACATATTCCTCCTACGTAACTATAATTTTGTATCTGCTGAAGAACCTCTGCCTATTGCCTTCTCCCCCTTACACTTCCTAGCCCTTGGTAACTACTATTCTACTCTATACTTCCATGAGACCATCTTTTCTAAGATTCCACATATGAGTGAGATCATAAGATAACTACCTTATAGGTTTTCATAGTAGCCCATGTTATTTCTCATTTTATGAGTATCATGGGCTACTAGTGAGGTAAAAATGTCATTGTAAGAATGACTCATTACTGTATTTAATTGCATTAGACACAGCAATGATGCTGTTTTGACATATACATTTTATATAAAACAGAATTCATGCACCTTAAGTTTGTTGTAATTTACAAGAGATAAGCATATGACTTTGTCAGCCATGTATATATTTTTATTTCTGCAATGTTTAGTTGTCTCTTTAATGCACTTTTTGTGATTGTAGTTACCTTTTCTAATCTGTAAACACCTTAATGCCAATGTCGCTTTGATAATAATAGTAATAATTACCCAAAGTTGACAATATCTCTTCAAAATATAATTGTAAAAATGGAGAACAATGCATTAAAACTGTGTAGTCTTCATAATTCATATTTTCTTAACCATTCACATCCATCACCTCAGTTAAAGAACAATCTGTCCTTATAACTCTGTTGGAAATGTGCTTATATGTTTAGACAGATGGGTATGCCCTGAGGTTCATTTTCTAGCTTAAATGCACAATTGGCTTTATGCTCTTAAGAAGCAGCTGATGGAAAATAATTGTATATGCAAGAGCTTGTTTGGAATGTATCACGACGGAAACTCAATATGACAAATCATTCAATAGTCTTGACTCCTAAAAATAGATTTTGTATTAAGAATTCATTGTTTATAATCAATTGCACTAATTAGACTAAGCTTTTCAAAACTTATTAATGCAAACAACTAAAATTTTGACACTCAAAATGTCTCTCAAAAGAAAAAATGCACAGCATCATTCAAAACTGAGTAATAATAATACTTGTGACTACTCAAATTATAGTAGTTTCTTAACAGCAAAAGTTGAATTGTCTCATGCTAAGAAAAAAATAGCTTTGTTGCTATTTATACACCTTTCTAGTGATTTTATATGGTAATACTTGTGAGACCAAATTTGTCTTGGTATGTGTACGAAATACCAATAATGACAGAAGTTATAAAGCATCCTTCAGTGAATAACACCTAAAACTTAAAGGAAAGAGGTCTGTGTTTTATATTTTTTTTCTCTCTGACTCACTCTGAAGGGAGGCCCCATAACTTCTCCATGTTCCTATTTCTTCTTGGTTTACAGGGAAAAAATGGTATATACATATAAGGACAATTTGAAAAATGTTACACTCAATTCTGGAAATACAAAACCCAACCTTTAAAAAATGAATAGTTAAGCTATTCAGAATTTGCGTTTTCAACTATGAAAACTACCCTAAACCTACTCTCTGGAATGTTGAGTCAACACTGCTGCCGAGATATCAAATAAGCACATTTTAAAAATATTGCAACAGATTGATAGACATTATTTCTTGCCCACATTTTTCCAGGATTTATTGTAAATTCTAAAGGTCAGTTATTTAAGGCTTCTCCTATTTCATGTTAATGTGTATTTTTATATTTTAAGGTATTGTCTAAATACTTGACTGTCCACTTGTCTTCATTGCTGTAATAGCAATTTTAAAGGCACAGGCCCTGAGCTTTTAATCATTATAAATTTTACTTTGATTTTAACAGCTTCTTGAACTACCTTTTCATGTAGTTAAATGAAAAGGACAAATGCACCAAATATAAGATTGATTTCTGCTTCCCTTTAATCTGAAAATGTATTTGGAGGTGGCAGAGGATACAAAATCCAAGTTATCTGCAATTCTTACAATGTATAAAATTGATCCATTGTATAGGTAAATTAGGCTGTTATTCTTACCATCAGCATCATCGTTATGTCACCATGTTGGTTAGAGTTTGGTATTGAAAATAAGTTTAAAGAATACAGCATGGATTGTTCTAATCATTACAAACTGCCTAAGGCACATAGTTTTTTGTTGTTGTTGTTTAAGCTTCTGATGACACTAAAGAAAATTTATATTTATTTTTATCATAATTTTAGGAAAAATTCTTTTATGTGGTATTTCTCAGAAAAAAATGAATATTCTTGGTTTTATTTTACAACATTATTCAAATTTCATACCCATGTGTCAACAATTTACAGCACAGAATTCCAAGACCTTATCATTTCTGACAACGGGCCAGTGTTAGTTCAGTTAAGTTTAGAAAATGTAAGCAATATAATTATCTAAGCTGTCACCATCATTACAGTCCATGGTTTTGTTATTGTTATTGTTTTTTGTTATCTTTCAAAAAATGATAAGATGTTCTGAAATGATTTATTAAGAGGAAATAGCCAAAAATTTGGTTATCTTTGGTTTTCTTTGCTCAAGGTGTCACTCTATGTCTAAAATCAGTGGTGCTGAATTATGGTGAGTACATTGGCACTCACTCCAATTTTACCCATTCAGACTCACTTGATCACTTACAGCTCAGACAAGAAGTATACTCTCCTATGCACACAAACCACATTTCATTAAATTGACAGAGGTCATGTTTATTAACATAGAGCACTATTTATTCATTTGCTGGACCCATATCATGTCTGTTCATTTTTCATTACACTTACATTTACACAATATACAATACAGAGAAAACTCTAGAATCAGAGTTAGCAAACTAAAGCCCACATGTACAATCCAGCCATGGCCTGTTTTGTACAGCACATGAACTAAGAATGATTTTAACATTTTTAAAGAGTTGTAAAAAGCAAGCAAAGACAAAACAAAACACAGTGAATAATACACACAGAGACTTTAGGTGGCTTGCAAAGCCAAAATTATGTACTTTATGGCCCTTTACGGAAAAAAAATTGCTGACTTCTGCTTTAAATAGTAGTGAATTTTTCACTCATAAACTCATTTGTAAAGATATTATCTGTTTAGAACAATCTTAGATTCAGAGAAAAAACATTGAGACAAGGTACAGAAATTTCCCATATCACCCAATGCCCACTGTAGTTTACATTAGGGTTCACTCTTGGTGTTGTACATTCTATGGGTTTGGGCGAAGTTATAATGACATGCATCCATTGTTATAGCATCATACAGAGTATTTTCGCTGTCCTAAAAATTCTTCTGTATTCTATGTTTTCATCTCTCTCTTCTTCCTAGTTCCTGGCAACCATTGCTCCTTATACTGTTTCCATAGTTTTGCCATTTCCAAACAGTATGTAGCTTTTTCAGATTGGCTGCTTTCGCTTAGTAATATGCGTTTAATTTCCTTCTTGTATTTTCATGATTTCGTAGTTCATTTTTAGCACTGAGTAATATTCCATTGTCCGGATGTACCAAAGTTTATTTATCCATTCATCTACTATGGGACATCTTTGTTGCTTCCAAGCTTTGACAATTATGAATAAAACAACTATAAACATCTTTGTGCAGGTTTTTATGTGAACGTAAGTTTTCAATTCATTTTAGTAAATACCAAGGAGTGTGATTATTTGATCCTATGTTAAAAGTACGTTAAGTTTTGTAAGAAACTGTCAAACTGCACAGACTGTTTCTTTGTGTGTGGTTTTATTGTTTTGTTTTGTTTTTAATTACTCTCAAGTTTTTCAATGGTTACTAACTGGTTTGGAAAGAAAGAGTGCAACCAAAAGTCCTTCCACTGAAAAGATGAGTGAATAAAATTCGCAGCACCTAGTTATTTGTATTTTTTTCAAATATATTTTTCCGGGTCCTATCCTGTCTACCTTTAAGTTCCCATAAGCAAGGTGGACCCAAATCCACTATCTATCATCTGTTTATCTCTCTATCTCTCTCTCTATCTATCTTTCTATCTATCTAATCTATCTATCATCTATCTATGTATCAATCATCTATCTCTCTATCAATCTTCTCTCTACCTATATGTCATCTACCTATCTTTCTACCCATCTATCATCTGTCTATGTATCTATCTAATCTATCTATCTATCTATCTATCTATCTATCTATCTATCTATCTATCATCTCTCTGTCAATCATCCATGTGCCTATCTGTCATCTACCTGTCTATCTACCTATCATCTGTCCATCTAGATATCTGTTTATCTAATCTACCTATCAGGATTTTTGTGTGTGTGTATGTGTGTGTGCATGTATTTGTGTATTTTGGGAAGCAAAATATGTACATCTTCTCTCACTCAAATTGTTTTCTCTCTATAAATATTTTGATTATGTGGGGGTAAGGAACAGAAAATCTTCCTTTTTCAAAAGAGAGTTCTTTTTATCAATCTTTTTCTTGTTTTTTTTTGGAGATACTAGTACCACAGAATAGGCTTAACAGATCTATAATAACTGTTTTGCTGAGTTGCTGGTACTATACCATAGAAGGTCTCATGTGCCAAGGACATGAACATCCTTATATTGAACTACAGAAAAGAGGAGATATAGAATAACAATGATATCTCTGAGTCATGCTCTTAAAAATGGTTTGCATGTGTTGTTTTATTTATTCCTCACCACACTCATGCAAGTATTATTATGCTTATTTAACGCATAAAGAAATGAAGATAAAGTGTGGTAATTGCCATTAAGTATTAACTCTTCAAAACAAACAAACAAAAACCTGGGAATAAATGATGAAGAAATATAAAATATAAATGAATAAATGAAGAAATTCTGATCACTTGGAAGGAAGGGAATTTCAGAAGCTGTCTGCTGAACTCCACTGGCACAACATTTCCTGCTGACATAATTCAAGGCTCATTAGGACTTAAAAGTAAATGAAGCAGAAAATCTATTCAAGACACTGAAATCATATATAGACCAGAAAAATTGTACTTTGCCTACTAGTACAGCATCTTAGGCCAATATCCCTAGGAAATGAACTGTGAGGCAGAGATTTGCAAGCCAGTCAGTTATGTAGAGTACTCTTAAAAACAATGCATGTAAGAGGATAAATGGAAAAGATTTGGAGAGAAGGAGACATTGATTTGTGACTCAGTAGCACCAGAGGCCTCAGCCAATTTCACCAGGGACTCTGGAGCTGAGATGTTGCCTCAAAATTGCTGAGAATTTAAATAAGAAGTGTAGGCCACTGTATTAGTTTGTTTTCATGCTGCTGACAAGGATATACCCAAGACTGGGAAACTTACAAAAGAAAGAGGTTTAATGGACTCACAGTTCCATGTGGCTGGAGAGGCCTCACAATCATGGTGGAAAATGAAAGGCACATATCACATGGCAGCAGACAATAGAAAATAACTTGTACAGGGAAACCCCCCTTTATAAAACCATTAGATCTTGTGAGACTTATTCACTATCATAAGAATAGCACGGGAAAGACCCCCCCCCGCCACCGATTCAATTATCTCCCACTGGGTCCCTCCCATAACACATGGGAATTATGGGAGCTACAATTCAAGATGAGATTTGGGTGGGGACACAGTCAAACCATATCAGCTACTGTACCCTGCGTCAACCAATCAATAAGTATACTTCTGTTTAGCCATGATATAATTTGGCTTGTTTGTCCCTTCCAAATCTCATATTGAAATGTGATCCCCATTTTTGGAGAGAGAGCTTTGTGTGAGATGTTTGGGTTATGGAGGTGGATCCCTCATGAATGGCTTGGTTCCCTCCCCTCAGTAATGAGTGACTTCTCACTCTATGGTTACTCTGAAATCTGATTGTTTAAACAAAAAATGGACATCTCTTGCTCTCTCTGTCTCTTGCTATGTGTCATGCCTTCTCCTGTTTTCACCTTCAACCATGAGTACAAGCTGCCTGAGGTCTCTCGAGACGCCAAAGAGATGTTGGTGACATGCTTGTACAGCCTGCAGAACCATAAGACAAATAAACCTCTTTTCTAAGCCTTAGGTATTCCTTTATAGCAATGTAAAATGAATTAATATGAGCTGGTTAAGGGCTGTAACCTTATCCCCACTGAAGGTCAAATTCCACAGAAGGGCTCAACTAATTGTTATCAGCAAACAACAGTGTGGCTAGGAATGACTAAAGGGGAGACCAGGTTGTCAGATCACAGCATACACTACAGTCTACTCTTTGCTCTGTTCAAATCTTCTTTCTTCATACAGTAATTTTTATCCCATCTGGAAACAGTTTCTTCAGGTTCTGGAGTTTTGTCATTGTAGATTTTTATTTCCCCTCTAGGGAGTCATACACTAGAACATTTTGTGACAAAAATACAGCACTGGTGATAAGGCTGCCACTGTTGTTTATCATTTATTTCCTCCTCACCTCTACTAACCATTCTAAATTTCCCTTAAATTTGGCCTGTGCCTCTGCAGATTTAGGCTGCTCACTTGTTGGGGTGATCAAGACCCTTATGCCTGAGGGGTTTGAGTCATCTGATAACATTGAATGATCAAGAAGCTGAGAGAAGTGGTAGCAATAGAAGGTCATGATCCTTTGTCCAGTTCAGATCTGAGCCAGTTTTCAGACATAGAAACCTTTGAGGAGAGGCTTGATCCACACAAGAAAAGAAAAAAAGAAGCTCTGGAACAACAAAAGATTTTTGGTAATGAATCTCCTGTTTTTTTTTTTCCTAAGGAGAACTAGATCCCTGATTTAAGTAACCATACACTGGGGAAAGAATATGTAGATATATTGAGAAAGTCACAAAACAAAACCATGTATCGAAGATGCTCAGAAAATTTGTAGCAATATATTTTGTGTTAATAGCGTATGTAAGAAATGTATGACAGCACTAAACCAAAATATGGGCGAGAGAAATTAGGAATGCACAATTTTAAAGTCCATATTTCATATGAATTGTGTCCTTCAATTTATTTTCATTACTTTCCCTTTTGCTTGAGTTATGGCAATGGTAAGTAAGTAGAGAGATGTAAAAGAGAACAATTAAAATGAAACAAAGACAAATCAAGATAGAAAAATGTGAGAAATTACTAGTTACTCTGGGATATCATTTTTGTCATGATTGTAAAAAGTAAAAATAGCTGTCAATTTCTGAACATTTATTCTCATTTATACTGTATAACAATCAAGTCATACCTACATGATTAATTACAGTTCACTACAATAATTCAGCACAGCCATCAACTCTTGTCTTCTCCATATCCTATGCTTATTGTACTATGCCATGCCATTCCATTTTCCTTTAATATTTCGTTTCTTAGTGAAGTCCTTTCAATGCATTATTCTCTTTATGTTGCTTGAAACAAAAATTATTCTGGAAAATTTTCTTAAGATGAACATAATTTTAAGAGTTACTATGCTAGCCTTATGCAATCAAACACATGAAAATATACATTCTTCCAGATTTACTGATGTGCATTCTAAATCATAATTTAACCACATGCTTTAGTCTCCTTTGGAAAGAGGTGAAATATAAAGTCAACAAAATGATAAGTGTCTATAGTCTATGATACTCTATTAAAATATTTATTGGAACACTATCAAAATTCAATACCAAAATATCTATGACACAAAGTATGCTTTAGAAGATGTGAACATTTATGAACTAAGAAAATGTGGTGTCTTATTTAATAAAAAACAACATACACTGGAGCTTATAAAAATGTATTTACTTTAACCCTCAGCAAGGCAAATGACTCATACATAATAGATAAAATATATTTAAGAGCAAAATTTATTCATAAATTAAACTAATTTTCAGTATTAAAAAGAATAACACTTGTTTCGATTTGTTAACATTTTACAAGGTACTGTAGGATCTTTAAAAATATAGGCTCGAATTTAAAATTTAAAAAATACATAGGCTCGAATTCATAAAAATAATTTCATGCACACCATAAACCCATATCAGCATTATAGTAATGGATTGTCAACTAACAGTGCTTAGGAAAACATTACTGATAAATATCAATATAAGTATTAACTTCCCGATGCTAGGTCCAGAGTGACATAACTTTTTATTAATGACCTGAAACAAAGAAGAGATTTTTAATAAGATCTTAATAAATTTATAAAATAGGAATATAGAGTGGAAGTTTATGTAATATATTACCAAGTAAAAAGATCAAAGAAATACACTTTATAGTGATAAAGTTATAATCAGTTGAAGTGGAACATATGGAATTACAAAGTAAAGTTTTTGTGAAAAAATAAGAAAAGCATGCTATCAGTGAGATGGATTGTTTGAAAAATTATAATTTATTAAAATCCATAAAGGCTGCTGAACTGTAAATTAAATGAGTGAACACTGTGCTGTGGCACCAGGAAACATCAATATATGTGTGACTCAATATTCAGGGTTTGTCTCTCATTATAGAAAGCATTTCTATTTCTTTTCAAGTGTTCCTGGTGAGAACTAAATTACATATTTTTAAAAATAGAAGCTGTTATGATCGTGAAATATAAACAGCATTAAACGGCTTTACGATAAGCTTGATCTCATAGAAATATATAGTAGAATGGTGGTTACCAGAGCCTGGGATGGTTGTTGGGGGAATGGAGATATTGGTCAAAGGATATATCTTTATGGTTAGATAGGAGGAAGATTCAGGAGATCTATGGCACAGCATTGTGACTCTAGTTAATGACGATGTATTGTTTTCTTGAAAAATACAGAGTGAATCTTAAATATTTTCACCAGAAAAATGATAACTATGTGAGTTAATACATTTTTAATTAGTTGAATTTAACTGTTCCACAATGTACATATATAGTTAGAACCATCATGTTGTACATAATACATGCATACAGTTCTGTCAATTAAAAAATTTAAAAAGAGAAATAAATAGCATATAAACATGAAAGAAATCATGTATCAAAAATTTTTAAAAGATTGTTCATTTTGCCTGAGCAAAATCTTCACAGTAACATTGTTAGATATTAAAAAATAATGTACATTTCAGTATTTGATTTGTGTACTTTTACCATTACAGAATAAGTACATATTGTCTCCTCATTTATTATTTGAACATTAAAAATAATTTTGAGGTGCCTCAAACATTCACTTTTATGAGTTTATTTGAAAACAATTTACAAGGTGGACTAAAATAATCCTGCTAGTTGACACAGCTTGAGAAAGTATAAATGAACTATTAGGAATTTTTTTTTTTTTTTTTTTAAGTGAGTGACTTTCTTAAACTCTTCATCTATTTTTTCATTGGAGTACCTTCTTACCAGAAAGAATAAATATATATTTTCCCCGGTGTAAGCTCTTCCCCCAAATTTACTGGTTCAAAATATTAGCTAATTTTTAGTATGCCTTTAGGTTATCTTTTTCACGTTTAGTTTATTAGCTGTTGCAAGCACAATAGAGCAGAATCAATGGCTTGAAGAAACAGCTAATCCTGATGCAGTATACTTCATGTTAGAATATTAAGGAATAACTGGCTTTTTTCTCTATAGAGGCACAAGGAAGCTAGTGTTAATTTTATATAATTTCATTTTAGTCTTTAGCGATTTTTAATCCAATGATATTATCTAATCAATTGAAAATGTCTGACTATGCATATAATTACTCCATTTCCAGATCTATGACCTTATTCTCTGTATATTACCTTTGCTAGAAATACCCATAATTGTTTTGCATGGAGCATTCCAATTCATAGCCCAAGAATACATTTGAATTAATAGTCTAATTAAAGATTATAAAATTAAAGCCATTTTTGACACGTATGGAGCATATCAAAATTTATCTCAATGAAAATTTAGCACAAAACATTTAGAGTATTTTTTCAAGTTCTGAAAATAAAATGTGAAAGTTAAATTAATAGTGTTGATTAAATTACCATAGCTACACTTCAATTTTTGTGTGAATAAAATATATTACAAAGACTCTTTTTTCCCTTCTGAGTATGAAACATTTTTCCAAGTTCTATTCATTAGAAAATGTAATCAAGATGAAAGTAAGGTGACTTTAGTTTGGTCACAAATGAGGACATCTCATTTTCAGAGCTAAATAAGAGTTAACTGTCCTAAGTGTGAAAAGCTATTTTTCAACTAAAATAGGAAAGGATCAGATCAGACCACCCATGACCATTATCCATATCTAGCACAAATAGCCCTGGCGAGAGAAAAAAATCAGTTCATTTTCTTCTTGAGAACAAGATATATTTGCCGGAGAAGTTTTGTTGTTTCTCTGCCTCTCACAGACAAATAAAAATAATAACCAGATTCTCCCCAGTGCCTAAGTCATTCACATAGTAAGGTTAGACACTAAAGGAGAGTATACCTCCTTTTGATCCATAAACTTACAGTCAATACATTGTTACAAAAAGGGAATCTTTAAAACAAATAGTATAGCTATTAAATATGTTTGTTTTCCAATTGTAAGTTTCTGTGTTTATATATATGTACACATGTATCAAAGATGCTAGAAAATTAATAAAATTGTACGTAGTTATTTTTTTGCCCTAACCTCTATCTCTTCCATACCCCTTACCCTTCACAGGCCCTGCTAACCACCATTCTACTCTGCTCCTATCAGTTCAAGTTTTTTTACATTCCATATATAAGTGAGATCATACAGTGTTGGTCTTTCTATGCCCCACTTATTTCACTTGAACATAATATGGTCTAGGTTCATTAAATTATACACAGTTCTTTGTGAAGAATTAATTCTCCCATATGTCTCATGATTTTTGTTTTATTTTTAAAGAGTTTATTGTATTTTGTTTTGATAAGACATATATTGTATACTCACAACTATATATACTTAATAGAAGTTTAAAAAACAGAAAAGGGTAAAAATAATATAATATCACTGTTAGTATTTTGTACGTTTACACGTCTTTTAGCTATGTACCTTATATATTATTTTAGACTTTACTTAGCATTACAAGTAGTTCCCAAGTTCAGTTTTTGAAAGTTGTAATTTAAATGCTTTCATAATATGCCATAATAAGACACAATATAATATTTTGCCTACTAAATTTAATAATTTAATTCCTATTTATTTCATGTTAGTAGACTAGAAATAAATATCTTTATTCATGTAATATTCATATGTAATTCAAGTATTTGTATTGCAATATATTTTCTTACACTTTTAGTTATCAAAAAATGTGATAAGAATATTTAAAACAAATTATATTTTCTAATTACTCATTATATCCTATCAATATATTTCATTTAGTTAAGTCTCCAATTTGTGTCACCTCCCAAAAGCTACAAACATCTGCCTATACAATTTGCAATTTCCTTTTCAACTCATATGACTAACAATTTCTCCAATATACCCTTGTAACTGAAAAAAAATTAAATTATTTTTACAAAAACACAAAATGTTATTTACATGTATTTTTTCAAATATCTTCAGTGGTTCTTCATGTATTAGAGTAGGAAATATGACTCTTCTGAATGATAATCAAAATGCTCTCATAACTTGCCTATATTATCTTTCCTAGTTCTTCATGGATTTCTTTGACAAGAAAATTATATTACATCTACAGAGGCCAAAGAATCACAATTGTTTTTTATTATAGTTTAAGTTCTGGGATACATGTGCAGAACGTGCAGGTTTGTTACATAGGTATACACGTGCCATGGTGGTTGGCTGCATCCATCAACCCGTTCATCTACATTAGGTATTTCTCCTAATGCTATCCCTCCTCTAGCCCCCCACCCACCAACAGGCCTGGGTGTATGATGTTCCCCTCTCTGAGTCCATCTGGTCTCATTGTTCAACTCCCACTTATGAGTGAGAACATGTGGTATTTGGTTTACTGTTCCTGGGTAAATTGCTGAGAATGATGGTTTCTAGCTTCATCCATGTCCCTGGAAAGGACATGAACTCATCAATTTTTATGGCTGCATAGTATTCCATGGTGTATATGTGCCACATTTTCTTTATTCAGTCTATCATTGATGGGCATTTGGGTTGATTCCAAGTCTTTGCTATTGTGAACAGTGACGCAATAAATATATGTGTGCGTGTGTCTTTATAGTAGAATGATTTATAATCCTTCAGGTATATACCCAATAATGGGATTGCTGGGTCAAATGGTATTTCTGGTTCTAGATCCTTTGGGAATCGCCACACTGTCTTCCACAATGGTTGAACTAATTTACACTCCCACCAACAGTGTAAAAGCATTTCTATTTCTCCACATCCTCTCCAGCATCTGTTGTTTCCTGACTTTTTAATGATCGCCATTCTAACTGGTGTGAGATGGTAGCTCATTGTGGTTTTGATTTGCATTTCCCTGATGACAAGTGATGATGAGCATTTTTTCTTGTGTCTGTTGGCTACATAAGTGTCTTCTTTTGAGAAGGGTCTGTTCATATCCTTCGCCTGCTTTTCGATGGGGTTGTTTTTTTTTCTTTCAATGTGCTTAAGTTCTTTGTAGATTCTGGATATTAGCCCTTTGTCAGATGGATAGATTGCAAAAATTTTCTCCCATTCTGTAGATTGCCTGTTCTCTCTGATGGTAGTTTCTTTCCCTGTGTAGAAGCTTTAATTTAATTAGATCCCATTTGTTAATTTTGGCTTTTGTTGTCATTGCTTTTTGGTGTTTTAGTCATGAAGTCTTTGCCCGTGCCTAGGTATTGAATGGTATTGCCTAGGTTTTCTTCTAATGTTTTTATGGTTTTAGGTCTTACATTTAAGCCTTTAATCCATCTTGAGTTAATTTTTCTATAAGGTGTAAGGAAGGGGTCCAGTTTCAGTTTTCTGCATATGACTAGCCAGTATTTTCAACACCATTTATTAAATAGGGAATCCTTTCCCCACTGCTCATTTTTGTCAGATTTGTCAAAGATCAGATGGTTGTAGACATGTGGCATTATTTCTGAGGACTTTGTTCTGTTTCATTGATCTATATATCTGTTTTGGTACCAGTACTATGCTGTTTTGGTTCTTGCAGTCTTGTAATACAGTGTTAAGTCAGGTAGCGTGATGCCTCTAGCTTTGTTCTTTTTGCTTAGGATTGTCTTGGCTATATGGGAGGATTTTTTGGTTCCATATGAAATTTAAGGTAGTTTTATCTGATTCTGTGAAGAAAGTCTATGGTAGTTTGATGAGGAAGGCATGGGATCTATAAATTACTTTGGGCAGTATGGCCATTTTTATGATACTGATTCTTCCTCTCCATGAGCATGAAATGTTTTTCCATTTGTTTGTGTCCTCTCTTATTTCCTTGAGCAGTGGTTTAGCTCTCCAGGAAGAGGTCCTTGTAACTTGTGTTCGTAGTTATTTATTTTATTTTCTTTACAGCAATTGTGAATGGCAGTTCACTCATGATTTGGCTTTCTGTTTGTCTATTATTGGTTTATAGGAATGCTTGTGATTTTTGCACATTGATTTTGTATCCTGAGACTTTGCTGAAGTTGCTTATCAGCTTAAGGAGATTTGGGGCTGAGACAATGGGGTTTTCCAAATATACAATCATATCATCTTCAAACAGAGACAACTTCCTCTCTTCATATTTGAATACCCTTTATTTCTTTCTCTTGCCTGATTGCCCTGGCCAGAGCATCCAATATTATGTTGAATAGAAGTGGTGAGAGAGGACATCCTTGTCTTGTGCTGGTTTTCAAAGGGAAGGCTTCCAGTTTTTGGCCATTCAGTATGATATTGGCTGTGGGTTTGTCATAAGTAGCTTTTATTATTTTGAGATAGGTTCCATCAATACCTAGTCTATTGAGAGTTTTTAGCATGAAGCGGTGTTGAATTTTATCGAAGGCCTTTTCTGCATCTATTGAGATAATTATGTGATTTTTGTCATTGGTTCTGTTTGTGATGGACTATGTTTATTGATTTGCGTATGTTGAACCAGCCTTGCATCCCAGGGACAAAGCTGACTTGATCATGGTGGATAAGCTTGTGGTGTGCTGCTGGATTCAGTCTGCCAGTATTTTATTGAGGATTTGTGCATCGATGTTCATCAGGGATATTGGCCTGAAATTTTCTTTTTTTTTGTTGTGTCTCTGCCGGGTTTGGGTATCAGGATGATGCTGACCTCATAAAATGAGTTAGGGAGGTGTCCCTCTTCTTCTATTGTTTGAAATAATTTCAGAAGGAATGGTATCAGCTCCTCTTTGTACCTCTGGTAGAATTCGGCTGTGAATCCGTCTGGTACTGGGCTTCTTTTGGTTGGTAGGCTATTAATTACTCCCTCAATTTCAGAACTTGTTATTGGTCTAGTCAGGGATTCGACTTCTTCCTGGTTTAGTCTTGGGAAGGTGCATGTGTCCAGGAATTTATCCATTTATTCTAGATTTTCTAGTTTATTTGCATAGAGGCGTTTATAGTATTGTCTAATGGTAGTTTGTATTTCTGTGGAATCAGTGGCGATATTCCCTTTATCATTTTTATTGTGATTCTTCTCTCTTTTCTTCTTTATTAGTCTGGCTAGCAGTCTATCTATTTTGTTAATCTTTTCAAAAAAACAGTTCCTGGATTCACTGATATTTTTGAAGGGTTTTTCATGTCTCTATCTCCTTCAGTTCTGCTCTGATCTTAGTTATTTCTTGTCTTCTGCTAGCTTTTGACTTTGTTTGCTCTTGCTTCTCTAGTTCTTTTTATTGTGATGTTATGGTGTCAATTTGAGATCTTTCCGGCTTTCTCCTGTGGGCATTAAATGCTATAAATTTCCCATTAAACACTGCTTTAGCTGTGTCCCAGAGATTCTGGAATGTTGGGTCTTTGTTCTTATTGGTTTCAAAGAACTTATTTATTTCAGCCTTAATTTTGTTATTTACCCAGTAGTCATTCAGGGGCAGGTTGTTCAGTTTCCATGTAGTTGTGTAGTTTTGAGTGAGTTTATTAATCCTGAGTTCTAATTTGATTGCACTGTGGTCTGAGGGACTGTTTGTTATGATTTCCATTCTTTTGGATTTGCTGAGGAGTGTTTTACTTCCAATTATGTGGTCAATTTTAGAACAAGTGCGATGTGGTGCTGAGAAGAATGCATATTCTGTTGATTTGGGGTGGAGAGTTCTTTAGATGTCTATTAGGTCCGCTTGGTCCAGAGCTGAGTTCAAGTCCTGAAAATCGTTGTTAATTTTCTGTCTCATTGATCTGTCCAATATTGACAGCAGGGTGTTAAAGTCTCCCACTATTATTGTGTGGGAGTGCAAGTCTCTTTATAGGTCTGTAAGAACTTGCTTTAAGAATCTGCATGCTCCTGTATTGGGTGCCTATATATTTAGGATGCTTAGCTCTTCTTGTTGCATTGACCCCTCTACCATTATCTAATACCCTTTTTTGTCTTTTTTGATCTTTGTTGGTTTAAAGTCTGTTTTATCAGAGACTAGGATTACAACCCTGCTTTTCTTTTTCTTTCCATTTGCTTGGTAAATATTCCTCCATCCCTTTATTTTGAGCCTATGTGTGTCTTTGCACATGAGATGTGTCTCCTTAATACAGAACACTGATGGCTCTTGACTCTTTATCCAATTTGCCACCCTCTATCTTTTAATTGGGGCATTTAGCCCTTTTAAATTTAAGGTTAATATTGTTATGTGTGAATTTGATCCTGTCATTATGATGCTAGCTGGTTATTTTGCCTGTTAGTTGATGCAGTTTCTTCATAGTGTCGATGGTCTTTACAATTTGGTATGCTTTTGCAGTGGCTGGTACAGGTTTTTCCTTTCCATATTTAGTGCTTTCTTCAGGAGCTCTTGTAAGGCAGGCCTTGTGGTGAAAATATCTCTCAGCATTTGCTTGTCTATAAAGGATTTTATTTCTCCTTTGCTTATGAAGCTTAGTTTGGCTGAATATGAAATTCTGGGCTGAAAATTCTTTTCATTAAGAATGTTGAATATTGGCTCCCACTCTCTCCTGGCTTGTAGAGTTTCTGCCGAGAGATCCGCTGTTAGTCTGATGGGCTTCCCTTTGTGGGTAACCCAACCTTTTTCTCTGGCTGATCTTAACATTTTTTTCTTCATTTCACCCTTGGTGAATCTGATGATTGTGTGTCTTTGGGTTTCTCATCTTGAGGAGTATCTTTGTGATGTTCTTTGTATTTCCTGAATTTGAATGTTGGCCTGTCTTGCTAGGCTGGAGAAGTTCTCCTGGATAATATCCTAAAGGGTGTTTTTCAGCTTGGTTTCATTCTCTCTGTCACTTTCAGGTACACCAATCAAACGTTGGTTTGATCTTTTCACATAGTCTCATATTTCTTGAAGGCTTTTTCATTCCTTTTCATCATTTTTTCTCTAATCTTGTCTTCACGCTTTATTTCATTAAGGTGATCTTCAATCTCTGATATCCTTTCTTCCACTTGATCGATTTGGCTATTGATACTTGTGTATAATTCACGAAGGTCTCTTGCTGTGTTTTTCAGCTCCATCAGGTCGTTTATGCTCTTTCCTAAACTGGTTATTCCAGTTAGCACTTCCTGTAACCTTTTTTCAAGTTTCTTAACTTGCTTGCATTGAGATAGAACATGCTCCTTTAGCTTGGAGGAGTTTGTTACTACACACCTTCTCAAGCCTACTTCTGTCAATTCATCAAACTCATTCTCCATCCCGTTTTGTTCCCTTGCTGGTGAGGGGTTGTGATCCTTTGGAGGAGAAGAGGCGTTCTGATTTTTGGAATTTTCAGCCTTTTGGTGCTGGTTTTTCCTCATCTTGGTGGACTTATCTAACTTTGGTCTTTGATGGTGGTGACCTTCAGATGGGGTTTTTGTGTGTATGTCCTTTTTGTTGATGATGATGCTATTTCTTTCCATTTGTTAGTTTTCCTTCTAACACTCTGTACCCTCTGCTGGAGGTCTGCTGGAGTTTGCTGGAGGTCCACTCCAGACCCTTTTTGTCTGGTTATTACCAGCGGAGGCTGCAGAACAGTAAAGATTGCTGCCTGTTCCTTCCCCTGGAAGCTTTTTTCCCTGAAGGGCACCTGCCAGATGCCAGTGGAGCTCTCCTCTGTGAGATGTCTCCCAGTCAAAAGGCATGGGGGACAGGGACCCACTTGAGGAGGCAGTCTGTCCCTTAGCAGAGCTCGAGCACTGTGCTGGGAGATCCATTGCTCTCTGCAGAGCCAGCAGGCAGGAAGGTTTAAGTTTGCTGAAGCTGCCCCCAACAGCCACCCCTTCCCGCAGGTGCTCTGTCCCAGGGAGATGGGAGTTTTATCTATAAGGCGCTTACTGGGGCTGTTGCCTTTCTTTCAGAGATGCCTTGCCCAGAGGGGTGGAATCTAGAGAGACAGTGTGGCTAGAGCGGCTTTGCCAAGCTGCAGTGGGCTCCACCCAGTTTGAATTTCCTGTCTGCTTTGTTTACACTGTGAGGGGAAAATCGTCTACTGAAGCCTTAGTAATGGTGGACGCCCCTCTCCCCATGAAGCTCGAGCATCCCAGGTTGGCTTCAGACTGCGGTGCTGGCAGCGAGAATTTCAAGTCAGTGGATCTTAGCTTGCTGGGCTCCATGGGGGTGGGTTCCATTCAGCAAGACCACTTGGCTTCCTGGTTTTGGCCCCCTTTCCAGAGGAGTAAACCGTTCTGTCTTGCGGTATTCCAGGTGCCACTGAGGTATGAAAATAAACTCCTGCAGCTAACTCAATGTCTGTCCAAATGGCCACCCAGTTTTATGCTTGAAACCCAGGGCCCTGGTGGTGTAGACACCCGAAGGAATCTGCTGGTCTGCAGTTTGCAAAGATTGTGGGAAAAGCATAGTATCTGAGCTGGAAGACACTCTTTCTCATGGCACAGTCTCTTACAGCTTCCCTTGGCTAGGGGACAGAGTTCCCCAACCCCTTGCACGTCCAAGGTGAGCCAACACCCCACCCTGCTTGGCTCACCCTCTGTGGGCTGCACCCACTGTCTAACCAGTCCCAATGAGTTAAGCTGGGTACCTCAGTTGCAAATGCAGAAATGACCCACCTTCTGTGTTGATCTCGCTGGGAGCTGCAGACTGGAGCTGTTCCTATTCAGCCATCTTGCCAGCCACCACATTATTTTTGATACTTACATATGTATACTCTTGATACTCTCCTACGAATTTGAATTTCCACATCTTCCCAAACCCAGCAGCAAAAGTGACCTTTTCTCATTAGAATTCCTGTGGCATTCACTTACACAACTATGCATTTAATGGCTACTTGTACCAAAATTCCTTTTAGTTTTTAGGTAAAATTTTAGTTTTACTCTTTATTTACCAGCTCATATGAAGCTCTTTGGAAATGAGGGCATTATATGGCCTTATTTCTTTGTCACTATAGCTGTGGATGTGCATAACATGCAGCAGATGCTTGATAAAATAATTGTTTTTGTACTCACTAATTGTTTAATTCACCTACACAAAAGGTTGTGGTTATATAGAATGATGCATAAGAGAAAGGGTATTAGTCATCTGTATGAACAAATATACTTTTAACTTTGTTCCAAATTATTTGTCACAGATATTTCTCATAATCTTTATTAACCAGGTGAATAGATCCATGTGAAATAAATTGAAGGCACACTTAGAAATTTTTACTTATATAGAAACATAGAATAAATTTACATATTCTATTTTATACATAATATAGAAAAAACTCTGAAATTGCTGTAAAAAGCCCTTTTTCTAGATAACTTCTGCCTCTCATAAGCTAGGGATTCAACTCATGTCACTGAGACTGCTTTATCATCGTTAGAAAAAAAAGGCTATATGTCCTGCCCTTTCTCATGGTTATTCTGAGAACAAATTAAATAATGAGTATTATAACACTTTGAAAATTGTCAAATATCTGTTAAACATCAACCAACATTTTTCCTTGTACTTGCTCTTCCACCATGTTCAATATTATCCTACATGTTCCTAATAATACACTTAAAAATTAGTTATATTTGTGTTCATAATATAGACAAATTATCAGAGAAGATGACATAAAAAATATACCATATTTGTGCATCTCATATCTTTAAGTTGACTATCCTATTGGTTCCAGTTGCTGGAAAAAGTAGTGTTATGAATTTCAAATCTTCCCTAACAACACAATTTCAAACGATAATAAATGAATCACTTCCAGGATTTTTCTCTGTGTTCAAAATTCTAAAAGGAGTCATAGGTGTTAGTAATTGTTTAAAAAATAAATAATCACCCAGACAGTGAAATTAAATACTTGCTATTCTGTTGAATTTTTTTTGTAGAAATGTTTCCAACAATTTAACAGATCTTCCACCTCTCTGGTTAGCTACTAATAACTAAATTGCTGTTTGCTAATAAAATAATTATGTTTTCTATATTTGAAAAAGAGGAAAATTATAATCATACTTTTACAAAGTAAAGAATTTCAGAATGCAACAAAAATAGTGTGTAACTTTTTAATTCTCCTTTTAAAAATGTTAACATTAGAAGGAATGGTATCTTGTAATGGAGAGTCCAGTCTGTAATTTCCAAACAGCTGTGGCTTCCTGAAAACTGACTTTCAAAAACTAGGTTATTAAATTGATCCAATTTTATTGGGGAAAAAAAAGGCCTAGCTAGCTCATATCTGGATTAGCACTTGCATGTCTTCTAATCTGTGGTGGGATGACCTCAGGACAGACATCTGTTTGGATGTCTTGGATGAGTTCACATACAACCATCTGTTCATGGAAGAGTAGCCTCCTCAAAATTGGTCAGAACCTTTGATAAACAGACACTGATGGCACAAATTTTTTTCACTGTTGATGTACTCTCCTATTACTTTACACTGAAATAAAAACAGGAAAAATGTTGTGTTCTAAGGTATATCAATTCATTTTAAAATAGCTAAAACAGTCTGAATCCTACTACAGTTTATCCCCAATATAAATGAAAGCCCCAAAAAGCAAACAATGTAAAGCTGATGTTAAAAGTTTGATTAAATATCATTTAGAAATATATAAAAATAACAAATATATCATTAACAAGCAAACTATTGATTATAAAATGGCACTAGTTGTTACATGTTAAAGAGAATGGGGCAGAAACTAAAAGAACAAGTATAGCATGATAACTCTGGTATATAATACTGTATTGTATACTTGAAAATTACTAAAAGTAGATTTTAATTGTTCTCATCACAAAAGATAAGTATGTAAAGTGATAGATATGTTAATTAGCTTGCTTTAATCTTTCACAGGTATACATATAACCAAAACATCACATTGTATACCATAATATACAAATTTTCCTTAGTCAATTAGAAATATTAATTTAAATAAATATATATTTTAAATAAGCTGAACTAGCTGTGATTGAGAAACAAAAACAACATAAGACCTACCATTTTTTCAATGGGCAATAATAAATATGAAGAATACAAATGACCCGCCACATGATCAGAATCATGAATATTTTAAATTTTCCATAGACGAATACAACCATAATAAACAGTATTTATTTTTTAAAAAGCAAATATTTTGTTAGAAATATGTCACTTTTGAGCTACTTGAAACAGCATTGGCCTACTGTTAAGCTGTGTCTCTAGTGCATTATTTTAGGGGCTTTCAATATGCTTAAAGAAACACTTGTGATAATCATTATATAAGTCACTATAGGTTATTTGTTTTGTATAAACACAAAACCTCAGTAGTTAACACAATAAATGTCATTTTTCTATGGTGAAGTTTTGTCTATTTGTCTTTATTGTTTTTGTACATTTTCTTTGCTCATACAAGCTCACTGCATGTCTAGGTAATTTGGTAAGTGAGCTGAATTCCATATTGTGGCTTCATCTCAACCCATCCTTGCATGATAACCACATATATATGTGAGCATATATATGTATACATACATACATATATATATAATATTCTCATTTAAATACATGTATGTACATATATATGCTCACATATATATGTGCTGATCTATGTATGCTATGTGTATATATGCATGTGTGTCTATATATTTGGAAGAAGGTCAGGCATTAACCAATGTGCCAACTTTTGGATGATCTTGAAAATTTTTTTTAGTTTTAGCATCTCTTATCTTCTGTCAATACCTTTTTTATTAGTCATAGTTAAGAAAGTAAAAAATAGATTAAGTTCTAATTCACTTTTGTCAGAACATTTTTCTCATACTATACACGACTTTCACCTTCTGGGAAAAGATATAAGTTAGGCTTTATGCCTTTTTAAGTTACTAAGATGTTTAAGCTCATATATCTTTTATAACTATGGCGATTGAAGTGTGGTGTTTGAAAGAAACAAAAAAAGGTTACTTTAAATTTGGTGATCAGGTTATCAGATTTGTGAGTTCTTAAATACATCTTTTATTTGCCAGGCACAGTACTAAGCATGAAGCTCTTGTTTCATTATGTGTCTTTCTAAATTATTTCTACAAAGAAAAAATTGTGATTCATTTAATTTTACTTCTTTTCAGGAAACTAATCTCCTAAAATAATGAGGCTCTTTCTATCCCCATATTATGCAGGGCCAGGTATTTTGGGGAAAAAAATGCACAGAAAAAAATACAGAAAACTGTAAGATTTAGATAATATCTAATGAATATGATCTTAACTATATAACTTCCATAATAGTTATATTACAGATAAGGAGATCAAAAACAAATGATAACAGTCTATCACATTCTTCATTTTATTTATAATAATAGGTACAGCTTTACTTTTTGGTGACTATTTAGATCTAATCTTCCTATGTAAGAAATGAAAATAAAGAGAAAACATTCTAAATTAACTAGTTTTGTTGTTCTTGAGATTGCTAATCCAAAATAAAACTTTGTCAAAATTGTACCATGGTGTTCTCATGTATCCATATAAAATACTAACCTAAATAATTTTAGCATAACTTATCTTTGCAAATATCTGTCAAATGGCAATTTTTGTTAATTCATCCATGTTTTTCTCTATTAAAAATGATCCTTAAATTTGAAATAATGAAAATTATCCACTTTTTACATCATCGTTTATACTTCTGGGTTTTATGAAGTAGATATTCTTAACACTTGAGGGACAGCAATAATTCTTCTTTGTCCTAACTCAGTTTCCTTAACTCTCCATCTTCTAAACTTTTCATACTTTTCTCATTAAATTCGAGAAAGCAAGATAGATTGATGAATAATTAGATATGTAGTTTTTTTTGCCCTTTTATATTCAATTCCAATGTAACTTTTTTTTTTCAGTTCTTACATCAGTCCCACACTAATAAATATCTGTAGATTCTTACTACTTGGTAGGGGAAACTCTCCGCACCGGTTTTCCTGTCATTTTGTTTCATTTTTTGTTTTTAATAAGTGCACTTAGTTATTCGAGATCTGTCAATTTTCAATATAGTTTTTTTGCATACATTTATCAAACTGTTTAAAAATCTAGATGGAAATTTGATTAATATTGCATTGAGTTTATTAGCATAATTTGTCATTTAGCTGCGCTATTTTAAATATTTATTCAGACCTTATTTCGTGTTCCTTAATAGAGATTTTACATATATAATATATAAAACAATATGTTTTTAATAATTTATATATGTGTGTGTGTATATATATGTGTGTATTTATATATATGCAGTGTGGAGTGTGCAGTGGCGCCATCTTGGCTTACTGCAACCTCCGCCTCCCGGGTTCAAGTGATTATCTTGCCTCAGCCTCCTCCCGAGTAGCTGGGATTACAGGCTCACGCCACTAGGTCTGGCTAATTTTTGTGTGTTTTAGTAGATACGGGATTTCCTCATGTTGGCCAAGCTGGTCTCAAACTCCTGACCTCAAGTGATCTGCCGGCCTAGGCCTCCCAAAGCGTTGGGATTACAGGAGTGAGCCACCGCTCCCGGCCGAGGATATAAATATTTTTATTAAGTACGTTTTCAAATTCTTTATATTTTCTGCTGTCACTATAAATGGTATCTTCATTTTTGCATGACTGTTTCTGTATTGAAACATAGCGAAATGCATACGTCCTAAGTGTATATTTGTTTCTACTTTGAAAAGCATAAACCTGTGTAATCCACACATGTATCAATATATAGACTGTTTTCTCTACCCGAGAAATCCTTCTCTTGCCTCATGCCAATCAGTTTCCATTTTTGCTGATGCACGTATTTTTCTCATCCTTGTCAATATAGATTGTTTCCCTATTCTAATACTTCGTCAAGGGAAGTTAAGCAGTATGTACTCTTATGTGCCTGACATCTTCCACTCAGTTTAATACTCTTGAGATTATCCATATTATTGTATCAATAGTCCATTCATGTTATTACTTAGTAGTATCTCATTGTATGACAAGGTCAGTTTGTTTATCTTCCTGTTGAAAGAAACATGGAGTGTTTCTACTTCTGAAAAATATAATTGAAGTAACGGAACATCTTGGTATAAGACTGTATGGACTTCTCCATTTTCTTCCTCCCTTCTTTCCTTCCATCCCTCTCTCCCTTTCTTACTCCCTCCCTCCCTTTCTCCCTCCTTTCATTCTTCCTTTTTTTTCTTTCTTATTTTCTTCCTTCCTCCTCACTTCCTCTTTTTGTCTTTCTATATTTCTTCCTCCTCTCCTTTCTTCTTTCTTCCTTCCTCACTTTCTCTCTTCCATCCTTCTTTCTTTCCTTTCTTTTTTTGATAAATATTTAGAAGCAAAATTGCTGAGTTATTGCATAAGTGAATGTTTAACCTCAAAATATTTTTTTCCAACAGTTAAAAAATAAGTTTGTGCCATTTTATTCCATCAGTAAGAAAATTCAGATGGCTTCACATTCTTATCAAATTTTGTGATTGCCAGATTTTTGTTTTAAATTTGTTTCTTTACTATTTCAGAAATTAAAAGTATGTAGTTACCTTTAAGAATTGCCACTGCTATACCCACAAATATTGGATTTTGTGTTTTTATTATTATTAAGTTAAAAATGTATTTTAAAATTTTTATTTTGATTGTTTTCTTTGCCTCTTGGATTACAAATGTGTTTTGTCTAATTTTTAGTTTTTTGAAGATTTTCTAAAATCTTAACATTTGATTAATAGTTGATTTATAATAATATACTTTTGGTGAACATGATCTGTATTATTTTGATTCTTTGAAATTTATAGACTCTTTTAAAAAATTATACACTCGGGGGTACATATGCCAGTTTGTTACATGGATATATTCCATAATGGTGAGGTTTGGGGTTCTAATTAATGTCTCCATCACCCAAATAGTGAACACTGTACTCAATAGATAATTTTTCATCCCTCACCCCTCACCCTTTTTGGATCCCCAGTGTCTATTATTTCTACCTTTATGTTCACGTGTACCCATTGTTTAACTTTCACTTACAAGTGAGAGCATGTGGTATTTGATTTTCCATTTCTGAGTTATCTCACTTAGGATAATGGCCTTCAGTTCCATCCATGTTGCTGCAAAAGACCTGATTTCATTCATTTTTTTGGCTGCATAGTATTCCATGATTTATATATGCCACATTTTCTTTATCCAATCATTCATTCATGGACACTTAAGTTGATTCCATGACTTTGCTATTTTGCATAGTGCTATAATAAACATATGAGTGCAGGTTTATTTTTTATAAAATAATTTTTCCCTTTGGGTAGATATCCATTAGTGGGATTGCTGGGTCAAATAATAGTTTTATTTGTAGCCCTTGAAAAATCTCCATAATGACTTCCATAAAGGTTGTACAAATTTACACTCCCATCAGCAGTGTATAGGCATTCTTTTTTCCCCACAGCCTCACAAACATCTGTTGTTTTTCACTTTTTAATAATAGCCATTCTGACTGTTGCAAGATGACATCCCATAGTAGTTTTAATTTTTGTTTCTCTGATGATTAGTGATATTGAGCCTTTTTATATGTTTGTTGGCTGCTTGTATGTCTTTTTTTGAGAAATGTCTGTTTATGTCCTTTGTGTACTTTTTAAGGTTATTTGTTTTCTTTTTCTTGTTGAGTCATATGACTTCCTTGCAGATTCTGGATATTAGTCCTTTGTGTCAAGTTTTGTTTTGGTCCTTGGTGAATGTTTTTTATAACAATTAGTATTTGCCTACAAAGAAACCTCCAAAGCATTATTGCCACATAGGCAAAACTTGTGTGTTTTTTCTTAAATAAAAGTTTTATATTGTTGAGATTAGATTTAGCTTAGGTTTAGACCAGAGTAGATTTAGATGAGATTTATACTGGCAATAATTTCCTAGGTATGTTTTCTTAGCTTCTCTGAAAGAGGCAACCTTTTCTCTGTGCTATATGATTTTTGAAGACATACTTAGATGTTTATCATTATTTTTGCTATATTATAAATTAAAACTGGACTCGATCATTTTACATGTTTAATTCTACGTATACTTAATTTTCATATCAGATTTTTATAAGCTACAATTAGTCTAGTTTCCACTACTCTTCAAATGTCTAAATTTCTTTCTCTCATTTTTTTCTCTTTTCAAGACAAGTTTAAAATGTTAGTTCAGTTTCTTGGCTGCTAAAAACTCATCATTAATTTTATTTCCCTCCTAATTTATAGCAAGCTATTAGCCTTCCTGTCTCATTCCCTTCAGCTACATTTGTTGCCTGTAGCTTTTATTTATGTCCTTCCTTATTTTCCTTTGCTTTTCAAGCTTTAATCAAATAAATGTGTGTGAACATGTATGTGTATATATATTGCATCTTATTACTTTTATTTGGTGCCAAACAATTAATGATTTTTGAGATTTTATATTTTTCTGACTTCATGTTGTCTTTTTATTTTAAATATTATTATATTTTATGATGTGGAATACAGCCATAAATTAAAAATTCCATCCTAACAGTGGCATAAAAGACATTCCCTCTGGAGGATAATACGTTCTCCCTTTCCATTTTGTTTCTCATCAAACACTGTAACAGAATTATAAAGCCACATTTTAAAAGATATATCTTAGAAGTTAACTCTGGATAGACTGTTATGGCAGTGATACTAGAGTGCCAAGAAAATTGGCAGATTGTTGGACAGGTAAACCAAAGTATCTACATAAGTAGCCTATGTAGAGGTGAGAAGCAAAGATAGTTGCTTATAGTTTTGGCATGATGTGTACTTGTAAATAACAATCTCATACCATAAACAATTAATATGCTTTTGTTGTTTTGTTTTTTCTAAGACAGTCTCCCTCTGTTGCCCAGCCTAGAGAGCGGTGGCGAGATCTCAGCTCACTGTAAGCTCTTTCTCCTGGATTCAAGTGATTCTCCTCCCTCAGCCTCCGGAGTAGCTGAGATTACAGGTGTGGGCCACCATGCCTGGCTAATTTTTGTATTTTTAGTAGAGACGGGGGTTTCACCATGTTGGCCAGGCTGGTCTCGAACTCCTAATCTCAAGTGATCCACCCACTTCAGTCTTTCAAAGTGCTGGGATTACAGTCATAAGCCACAGTGCCCAGCCTATTAATATGCTTTTCAATGACTGCTTATGAGTTGCTTTATTGTTTTGGTTAAAGTGAAAAGCAATTTTTATTCACGTCTTGCTTCAACATCACGGCATTTTTTCAATTTTCTGACTGATTGACAAGTAACACAAAGAATTTCTGAATGACAGCAATGATTACTAAGAAATCATATATACAAAATATTAACATTTATTTTCCAAATTTGCTTGAAAGAACATTAATTTATTAGATATCTTTTAAAAACCATTGTTTGATAATTCAATAGGAGGTAGTGGATAAGAAATTATATTTTATGAATTAGTTACTCAAATCTATACTGAATTTGAATATAATAGGATTGCGTTAGTGGATAAGGAAAGACCAATGCATACCCTACATTCCTCTTTGCTGAAAAACAGATTCCGTTTTCTATTAATTCTATGTAATTGTTATGCGAATGAGGAAACTACATCCTTCAAAATGTTTGCAAACCAGGAAACATCATATGTATATTCAAGTTAGAGGAAAAAGTGGAAAGAATAAGGGAATTTCTAGAAAAACAAAGACGCTCTGGGAGTGCAGTCATGAATTGAATTTGCCATCCTAAACAGCAGTACTTATGACTAAAAATTGTTTAAACATTTAAAAACTTTTAGAAGATATTTTAATCGAGAAAATAATGCTGCAATTTAGCAGGATTTCTGCAGATTTTACTAGAATTCTATTTGTGTGATATTTTCTTTGCCTTCTGTAGAAAAAAAAAAAAAAACAACAACTCTTCCATAAGAATTTTACCATTGAAAACTGGCAACTGTTGTTTCCTGACTTTTTAATGATTGCCATTCTAACTGGTGTGAGATGATATCTCATAGTGGTTTTGATTTGCATTTCTCTGATGGCCAGTGATGATGAGCATTTCTTCATGTGTTTTTTGGCTGCATAAATGTCTTCTTTTGAGAAGTGTCTGTTCATGTCCTTCGCCCACTTTTTGATGGGGTTGTTTGTTTTTTTCTTGTAAATTTGTTTGAGTTCATTGTAGATTCTGGATATTAGCCCTTTGTCAGATGAGTAGGTTGCGAAAATTTTCTCCCATGTTGTAGGTTGCCTGGTCACTCTGATGGTAGTTTCTTTTGCTGTGCAGAAGCTCTTTAGTTTAATTAGATCCCATTTGTCAATTTTGTCTTTTGTTGCCATTGCTTTTGGTGTTTTGGACATGAAGTCCTTGCCCACGCCTATGTCCTGAATGGTAATGCCTAGGTTTTCTTCTAGGGTTTTTATGGTTTTAGGTTTAACATTTAAATCTTTAATCCATCTTGAATTGATTTTTGTATAAGGTGTAAGGAATGCGGAGAAATAGGAACACTTTTACACTGTTGGTGGGACTGTAAACTAGTTCAACCATTGTGGAAGTCAGTGTGGCGATTCCTCAGGGATCTAGAACTAGAAATACCATTTGACCCAGCCATCCCATTACTGGGTATATACCCAAATGAGTATAAATCATGCTGCTATAAAGACACATGCACACGTATGTTTATTGCGGCACTATTCACAATAGCAAAGACTTGGAACCAACCCAAATGTCCAACAATGATAGACTGGATTAAGAAAATGTGGCACATATACACCATGGAATACTATGCAGCCATAAAAAATGATGAGTTCATATCCTTTGTAGGGACATGGATTAAATTGGAAACCATCATTCTCAGTAAACTATCGCAAGAACAAAAAACCAAGCACCGCATATTCTCACTCATAGGTGGGAATTGAACAATGAGATCACATGGACACAGGAAGGGGAATATCACACTCTGGGGACTGTGGTGGGGTCGGGGGACGGGGGAGGGATAGCATTGGGAGATATACCTAATGCTAGATGACACATTAGTGGGTGCAGCGCACCAGCATGGCACATGTATACATATGTAACTAACCTGCACAATGTGCACATGTACCCTAAAACTTAGAGTATAATAAAAAAAAAAAAAAAAAAAAGAAAACTGGCAACTGAATACTCAAACAGAGCAAACACAAACCCTATGGAATTGGGTAGTGGATATTTGGAAGGAATGTTTCTTTTAGCCAAGACCAAGTTTTGGAAACAAACTGACAACACTAACTGCCTTTTAATAAAAATCATTTCACTGCCTCAATATGCGTGGCAAACGGCTGCAAGTGTCAGGTTCAGATAAGCTGAAAGCAAGATGGCTGAAAGGTACATTTTCTAATCAACTTCCTGAATTATCTTTGACTCCTGGTATGGCCTCACATGTGACTTAATTATGAAGCATAACATGCAATATTTTCATAACAAAAAATGAAAATTGGTCTTTTAATTCTTTGGAAATGGTTCATGATGTTATCCTTGCCCTGTTACTTCAATGAATTTCGGATATATTCTTCCCCTTAAACTTTGTCTTCTGACTAAAAAGTAGCAGACACCAATTTTTGGTGACATCACTCTATTCTGTGTCCATTACGCACATTTTGCAATTTTTCAAAATTATGTACTTCAGTAGCTAACATATTTTTTTTTTCTTGAGGCCATAGTTCCGTAAAGTTTTTAAAATACATTTTATCTGGTACATGGCCAAAGTGGTTTACTTTTTTAAAAAATCTGGAGAGTAAAGACATAGAACTTCAAAATAACATGCAGAGGTGTGTTTATTAAGAGTATGATGGAAAAATATGGTTTAGATTATGTTTCTTTCCTGCTCTATATGGTAAAAATTGTAGAGGTTTCACATGTATTCTAATCTTTCTTTTTCCTTGTTCCATTTCATTCTATTCTTCCTTCTTTGGATCTTTCTTTCTCTTTCTGAAAGACATACTTAGACCAAGAAAAGACATAATATAGAATCTGTATTTCCAAAGCTGGACCTAGTACTGAGAAATTTATGCATAGAAAGATGACTAAGAGCATTTTAGGAAAAGGTATGAGTTCAGAATTTAAAAAGCTTGGCTGGTTCAAGAAACTAAAAGAAGGCCAGTATAAATGAGAGTTTTAACTGATAAAATTTTAGCCATTAAATTTTGATGTAACTGTAAATGATAAAATATGGAGAGGAGAAAAATGATACACAAGTAATTGAATTCCTCAGTGGATGTCAGGGGAGTGATTGAGAAGTAAATGGGTGAAGGCAGTTAAGAAGGGATGAGAATAGTTTAGCCCTGAGTAATGCACAGTAAAAAAGAAATTTTGATCTGATGGTTTCTGTGGTTGATTGTGGTCGTGTCTTTTAGGACACTAATGATCCATATGTGGGAACTGTAGTATACCACTTTACCGCCCAAACACTGGTATATGAAACAACAGAAATAGTTTCAGACTGATGGGGTTATAGGAGAAGTATTGCCCAATTGACAGCTGTTTTCCGTAAAAGCAAAGAAAGAAAATGTAATTTAAAATATTATAGATCTAGACATATAGAAAAGTTTACTATAATAATAATAAAGTAGTGAAAGGTATGAAGAAAGCAGTGAAAGATGGAGGATTGGATTGGACTGAGAAATGTTTAGAAAAAATATTTTAGGTTGGATTGAAGGGATGGTTCTTCTGTCAGGGACTGGGGTTGGCATAACTTTGAGGAAAAATGAACTAATTTTGCCAGTCTGAGATGATAAAGGATAAACGGGCCGATTGCTATGTCCCTAATAAATTCCCTCAGCTATAGCGGCATCTATATAGAGGCTCTTTAAAGCTTCATGATACTCATACACAGAAAATAACTTCTTAATGTTTTTTGTTTCCGAACTGGTTATTTCAGTGAAGGTTAAATGCTGATAAGTGTTGTTTATAACAATAAAAAAATCATAGAAATCAAAAGACTCAAAGCAATGGGTTTCTCATGATGTATATTCACAGTCTAAACAGGCAGTGTATTAATTTTCTAGGGCTGGCTTAACAAAATACTGAAGATTATGTGGATTAAACAATGTGTTTAATTTATCATAATTCTGGAGTCTGAAAATATGAGATCAAGGTGTTGGCAGGGCTGTTGGTGTTTTGTTTCTTCTTTACTTGGCTTGCAGATGGCCATCTTCTCACTGTCTCTTCACATGGTCATCTCTGTTTCTGCACGTGTGCCTGCTGTCTCTCTGTGTATCCAAATTTCCTGTTTCTATAAGGGCACCAGTGGCATTGGACTGGGACCCACCCTAAAGACCTCATTTTAACTTAAGCACTCCTTCAAAGACACCGTCTCCAAACATGGCCACACTCTGAGGCACTGGAGGTTACGACCTCAACATATGAATTTTGGGGAGAAGCAATTCAGCCTCAAACAGAAGGATGAGGTTGATATGATTCTATTTAACCGTCATTCCATATGGGTGCCTTTTATAACGGTAGAATTTTTTTTTTTTTTTTTTTGACGGAGTCTCGCTGTGTCACCAGGCTGGAGTGCAGTGGAGCGATCTTGGCTCACTCCGCCTCCCAGGTTCAACCCATTGTCCTGCCACAGCCTCCTCAGTAATTGGGACCACCAGCGCGCGCCACCACACCCAGCTAATTTTTGTGTATATATTTCTTTTTTTAGCAGGGGCGGGGTTTCACCATGTTAGCCAGGATGGTGTCCATCTCTTGACCTCGTGATCCGCCTGCCTGCGCCTCCCAAAGAGCTGGGATTACAGGCCTGAGCCACCGCGCCCGGCCGTACAGTTTGTATTCTAACACCAACTCATAAGGTAGGTGATGTGCAAAGACTGCAATATATCTAAGGAGGGTGCCACTATTGCAGTTGATATTTTGCTCTCTTAGCACTTCCAGAAAATGCAGCAGGAAGTATAGGCAACTTGCATAGACAGAATATGTGGTGTTTCATTTATTATAGCCAAGATAAAACTGTAAACAACTTCGAGAGTGTGTGTATATATAAATATACACATGTAATTCAACCTATCATAGTGTTAAAGAAAAATAGAACATAAAAAGGAAGTAAAATTTGAAGAAATGTAATATATATACAACAGAAATATCATCTTCACTGTATAATCGTAAATTATTTTTGTTTTATCATAATACAATATTGTGTTTACATTTAGTAGAGGGTAACATTTGGGCATAATTTCAACTCTGTGTAAAAATTCTAATACCACCTCACATCTCATGTTAAAATTTCTTATATAACATTATTTTTATTGCTTGGTACTTTAAAAACAATATCCATACTTTCAGGTAAAACTTAAAGGTAAAACAAGCAATGAAAATAGAACAATAATTTTAAAAAATCCTACCTGATCTCATCATCTATGTAAAACACTTTTCACCCAAAAGTTATTTTCTCTAAACTTTAAGTGATTTCAGCACACTCTTGGTTGCCTACTTACTATTTCTTTGAAGTTCACATATAAATCCATTTACCTTGAGTATAATAATCGATAATCAAAATGAATGACCTGAGTTGGGAACATAGAACCTTTGTAGCTCTGCATAGCCAGTCAAATTAAATTCCATCAGTACTAAAACAAACAAAAATAAGACTATTGGAACTAAATTCTTTCTTATTATTCACTAATTCATTTGTTCAAACCATGCTTGCCTTTCTTCTGCATGTTCCTTGTAATACTTCTTTCTTGCATATTCTACCATATTAGACTTTTGCAACTTTGAACTTCTTGTCTCCCCACTCACCCTTGCACCACACCAAGAATATAAAATCTGAATACGTTTTAAAAAATTATTCCTATTTTATTGCTCAACTAGAACATATTATCTCATTTTAGTCACAAAAGACTTGCACATATGTTGTATATACTCCAAAAAAAAAAAAAAAAGAAAAACTTTTAAGTTTTCCTGATTCTCATCACTCACAATCTAGGTAACAAATCAGTCTTCCTGACCAAAGATGGATATGTTGCCAGATATATGAATTATCTCCACTAGTTTTTCTGTAGTATTTACTTCTCGTGCAGGTATCAGTTGTGTGTCATATTACTTTCCTTTTGTTCTGTCTTCGACAGCTCTTAAAAATCATATTATTATATCTACCAAAGTATTTTTCATGTTTTGCTTTCCCTCCTTTTCTTTAATTTTATTTTCTAATACCTTTGGTGTTCTGCATGTAATTTTTATCTGCTTTCTTTTCACTGGAAACTTTTTCAGTTTTAGCACATATTTACCTTAAGAATTAAAATATACCACAATCCTGAATGGTAATTTAAGAGAAGCTTAAGATAAATTAATGATCAATTAATATGTGATTTAAGTCATTGGTATTGCTGTGAAATTATTACTGGTAAAAAACCAATGCAGCCAATGTTCATCAAAGACACTGATATTTTAAAAATTTAATTCAGATTACCCTTAAAATTGTGTGTTTATGTTCCAGGGTTCATAATAATATTTATATATGTTTTCTCAAATCAGCATTTAAGATTCATAAATACTTATAATTCAGTGAAATTTTTAATTAGGATTTTTAGGAGCTTTCCTATATTTTTCATTATCAATAAACAGTATGTCATTTAAGTATATAAGCCATTAAACATTAAACACTGGAGAGCTAACCAGTTTATTAAATCAGAATCTATTACAATTCCATACCAAATTCTAACAAACCCATCTACAATTGAGGATGAGGATTGGCTTAATTAAGATATTGACATGGGTGTTAAAATATAGCTATATTTTTATCTACACGTGTTGTTTTAGATTTTATTAGTCAAAATATGTTTTTTCTTTCTCTTCTGGGTTCTGTCCTGTCCCACTGATATAAGCCTTTACTATGCAACTTGCTTTAATGGAATGTGTGTGCTATTGGCCATTGGGAGTGTGAGCCATTTCCAAATACTGTATTTTATGTCATATGACCAGGTTTTTATTTATTTATTTTTCCTTTTCTTGGACACAAGTTTCATATGTTTGACCAAATAAAGGAGCTACTCTAAGTTGCAGACTATTTAGGTTTACATCGATTATTATTTGTCTCTATTTTAGCTTTATTTTTAATTGATGAATAATGATTGTATATATTTAATGGATATGATGTGAAGGCTTCAATACATTTATACATTGTGAAATAATCAAATCAGACCAATTACCATATTCATCACCTCAGCTATTTATCATTTCTTTGTGATGAGTAGATTCAAAATTCTTCCTTTTAGCTATTTTGAAATATAAAATAGATTATCATCAACTCTCATGACCATGCTGTGCAATAGAACACCAGAACTTACTCCTCCAATCTCACTGAAACTTTCCACCTGTTGACCAGTTTCTCCCCTTTCCCTGTCCACATCCTGCCCCCAGCCTCTGGTAACCATCATTCTACTCTCCACTTCTATGAGTTTGAATTTTTAAATTACACATATAATGAAATCATATAGTATTTGTCTCTCTTATTATTTAATTATCATAAATAATCCATATAGTTCAGAATTCATATACCTCATATAAATGCCAACATTAACAGTTTTATACAGTTTCACTCAACATAATATCCTCTAGGTTGACCTATGTTGTTTCAAATGACAGAATTTTCAGTTTTTTAAGGCTGAATATTCTGTATATATGCCACAGTTTCATATACATTGGAATGTGTATATATACACATTAGGTTTTTCCATATTTTGGCTATTGTGAATAATTCTGCAATGAACATAGGAGTGCAGACATCTCTTCAACAAGCTGATTTCAATTCCTTCAGGTATATACCCATTCATCAATAATTGATGAATGTAAAAAGTCATAGTAAATGGAAACTTTGCAGAAGGTGACTTTGAATATGTAGTTTGGCTGATCATTTTCCCACAAACTGCTTAAAACTGTTAATGTTGGCATTTATATGAGCTATATGAATTGTAAACTGTCTGGATTATTTAAGATAATTATATTTGAAAACATTTATAAAAATATTAAAAACAACATTTTGTTTGTGTTGATTAAACAAACTCTGTTACCTTTTCATCGGATTTTATTGTAATATATAATTAAAATTTGAGTTATTTCATAATTAATTCATCTTGTTAAATTAAAAATAGTGCTTGTTATATTGTTTTTCATAGTACTTACTCTTAATTTTAATGCCAGACCATCTCTTATGAGGAAGCATGAGTGAATAATGTTCTTGTGCTTTCTTGACTCTAGGGAATAAACCAGGGTTACAAGTGTTGCTGCCTCACCATGGACATCCCACAGGACAATCCACTGAACAAATAACCCTTTTGTGTAGATCCAGGATACTTTTCACTTCCTAAACATAAATCCCACCACATCTGTTCAACCAGCTCTGCTCCAGGATAAAAAAATATATATTGATGAATTTCCAGCCTTGTTTCATATTCTGTTGTTCCCGGCAGCAGATTTATTTTTTATAGTTGTAAACCGCCAAGTCATTTTTTGGTGCTGTCTTTTGTTTTATAAAGTCTTCCCTATAAAGACAAACTACAGAGCATTATCAAGATTTTCTGTTAAATTGTAAAGTTCTTTAGACTTAAATTTAAATTAAGATATATTCTTTAAGTACAAATGATATTTTTAAATTTATCTAAGGGCCTGGTGGAGTATGAAGACAAAAAGAAAGAAAACTCTTAAAGAGGGTCACCTTCACTGATATTGGCAAATCCTTGTGTTTTCTGTCTGAAAGATGATTCATGAATGTTTTGCATCACTTTCCTTTAGAGAAAGAGTGCATTCTTAAAGCATAAACAATACCTATTACAAAGCAGCTTCAGTTTTTTTGTACATTAAAATATATATATAATATTTGTATATATTGTTCTAAATCCCTTGCTCATTCTGAAAAAGTTTTTTTTTCTGACTTGTTTACAATGACTCTCTTTGTTTTTTTACTGAAATCAAGTTAGTACTATCTTCCAAATGACTAGTGTGTAGAGGGAAATTTATAGCACTAAATGCCCACAAGAGAAAGCAGGAAAGATCTAAAATTGACACCCTAACATCACAATTAAAAGAACTAGAGAAGCAAGAGCAAACACATTCAAAAGCTAGCAGAAGGCAAGAAATAACTAAGATCAGAGCAGAACTGAAGGAGATAGAGACACAAAAAACCCTTCAAAAAATCAATGAATCCAGGAGCTGGTTTTTTGAATAGATCAACAAAATTGATAGACCGCTAGCAAGATTAATAAAGAAGAAAAGAGAGAAGAATCAAATAGTTTAGAAGATTTTTTAACATTTAATATTATGTAGAATTTTTTACCTAAATATGATAAGTTTTTATTTAATCTCCAATGGCATCAATATAACATCTGAATTGAAAAATATGGTGTAGGCATCACCTCTTATATAATAAAGCCATCAGTGGGTATTAAATGTCACTGGACTAATAATGGCTAATTACTTAAAAAACTATTTCTCAATATTGGTTATCTAACATATACTTAAATACCTTTAAGAGACACCTCCAAATTATTATATGTAGCTTTGGCCTATTTTGATGAATTAGTAGTTGTTTCTTTCATGACTGAAAATATATCTTAGTAACTTCTTGATATTGATTCTAATGATTTTTATCCATCAATATCATATACAAAATGTATAAATTTTCCACTTGAAAATTCTTAAACTGTTTTTGAACATATAGTATATATCCCCTAGGCTTTTCTTTCTTAAGATTAAACATAATTTCATGTTTCAAACAAATACAATTTCCCTCGAAAAAACTTTAATCGGTTTATTTATAATTGTTATAAAGTTGAAGTGCTGAAGCTTATTCACTGAAACATATTGACTTGCATTAATGTTTTAGGTCCTTGAATATATGATAAGAATTCAAACACAGATATATATATATATATATATATAGAGAGAGAGAGAGAGAGAGAGAGAGAGAGAGAGAGAGAGAGTGAGAGAGAGAGAGAGAGAGAGCGCCTTTGGGGAGGGGCCCTGCCTTTTGCAGCATAAGCTCAACTACACTTTAAATACATATATACACATATATATATACACATATATATATATATATATACACACACATATATATGTAGATTTTCCACATTTCTTCCTTCCTGTACATTTATATGGGTGACCATGAGCAAACCAAAAACTTTCAGACGTTAGATTCTGAGCAAGGCTGTTGTTGTTCAAAAGATGACTTATTTGTAATTGTGTAGCTCTTTGGTTTGAGAGATATACTAATCTTAACATCCAGCTATCCATTTTGTCCTTTTCCACTGCCCTGCACACCTCTGCTGGGTGTCCACTGCTCTGCACACCTCATGGATTGATTATCCCTGCTGACCTGGGCACTTATATTTTCTTACTCTGAACTGATGACCAGGTAGGCAAAGCTGGGGACAGGAAAGGGTGCTATCAGAAAACTCCACTCATGGAGGCTTTCACTTTCTTCCTATGTTTCTTTACACCAAACTGCACTTTCCAACCACCACTACCACTACACACACACAGGTAAATTTTCTAATTCCTAAGTCAAGGTTTTGTGTGTGTGTCGTGTGTGTGTGTGTGTGTGTGTGTTTCTGTGAGAAGTCTGGTCTATTAAACTTCCTGGTCGAGTTGTGTGTAGAAGCTTATCAGCCTATGCTAATATGCCATCCTGTCTGGAACAACAACAAAAAAAGTGTAAAGTTATCTTTCTTTTCTAGGGGAAACCTCCCATGCTTGAATTTTCTTTAATTAATTTATTTCTAGGAAAGCTCTCCTTTGATGTTAACTTCACACATAAAAATCAATAACATAGATGAAATAATTCAGAATGTTCTTGGGTCAGAACAATGAATACAAGGGTATAGATGCTCAGAGAGCAGATAGAAATCATGGCAGGACATAAACGGATTTCAAAGGCCTGAGTGTGAGACACATAACACAATGTTGATATTTGGGGTGTAGGCTGCTCAAATGTATTTTCCAAGATGCTGAGTTTATTCATTAATTTTAAGGCAATATAGCTACTTAAAACTAGAGAATAGATTCATATTTGAGAATCAAGTCTTGTATTTTTCTTTTTGGTAAAGTCAGCAATATAATTTTCTTTAGTTATCAGAGCTTATGAATACGATTTGCTATTTTGGATGATAATTGTTTTGCGACTTGTCCAAAGGAGCTAGGGAAAGATAATTTGGATATGGGTTTGAAAGACTTTTTAATTAATTATGTTGACTATTCCACATATGCCTTATGGTTAAATTAATTTATTAATAATATTAAATTTCTACACATTTTAGAAACACTGGAAATAAACATTTTTGGCTAATAAAATAAGCATATGATTGTAAATAGTTTTCACACTAGATTATCTGCTCTGTGCCTTACTCGATATATCACTATTCTATCCCCAATTCCTAGCACGTAGTATGTACTCAATAAACACTTGTTAAATAAATGAAATGTTGATAATGAGTTAAGCCTATTATTAACTACATTTTTATTTTCAGATAGTGTTTTTTTCATATAGATCACTTATTCCATTTCAGATTATGGTGCTACTTCTGTTACCCAACTTAGACATAACTATTTGTTCTTTCATCATGAAACACATGGAAAAAATTTTAAAGACAATCCCGGCTGCTGGAAAACCACAGTAGAGTGAGGACTAGATTATATGAGGGAATTGATTTCATTTTAGTTTAATCTTATCCTGATATAGGAAGCTCATATAAACAAATATCTCTATTTCCCTTCAAGAAATAAATTTCCATTTGCAGCTGGTAAATTGTAATCAACATTGTTTTGCTGATGTGACTTCTGTTAGAATAAGTAATTTAAATGTTTCGTAAAGACCACCCACACATTAAAATACTATTTAACAAATACGCACATTTAGTTTGAAGTTAGTATGTAGCAATGCTTGAATACAAAGTGACAGATATTCTTAAAAATGGTATGCATGTTTGAAAATATTGTTAACTTGTATCTAGAAAGAGGCTATATTTTACATGTCTGTCAGCACATACTTTTAAAAAGGTATTTTTAAGAAAGGCCATTTTAACTGGCTTGAGAATGGCACATGTATACCTATGTAACAAACCTGCACATTCTGTACATGTATCCCAGAACTTAAAGTAAAATTTAAAAAAAATATATTTTGTGGGGATATTTGGGGGCTGCTGGTCCCCACAAAATTTCAGAATTTATATTTTATTCTAGTAGTAGCCAAAATACTTTTGATAAACTTTTTATTTTAAATGAAATTACAGTATTCATCAGATACCAGAGCATAAAATTCATTTAATTAGGGGATCTTTGATTAAAAGATCAGGGAGAAATGTTAAACTATTTTAAGCAACCCTTGTACTTAGCTTAATGAAATTTGGGTAGAGGATTTATTCATTTTATAGATGAGGAAACTGAGGTGCAGAAAGAGAAAAGTTTTACCATATTCCATTTTAATTTTCCCCATTCTTTCTGCTTTGGTCTATTTCTGGCCTGGTCTGGAAAAACAATGAAATTATCACTGATTGACTCCCCCTAAGAAGAAGAAAAAATAAACTGAAAAGTGTGGGGACTGGGGGGCAGATCCTTTTCTAAATAAAGTGTATATTCTTGCTTCAATTGGTTATACAAGAACCGACTGATAAAAACCGACTGTATTTTTCTTTTTTGTTTTTGTTTTTGTTTTTCTTTTTTTTTTTTTTTGAGACGGAGTCTCGCTCTGTTACCCAGGCTGGAGTGCAATGGTGTGATCTCGGCTCACTGCAACCTCTGCCTCCTGGGTTCAAGCAATTATCCTGCCTCAGCCCCCCGAGTAGCTGGGATTACAGATGTGCACCACCACGCCTGGCTAATTTTTTGTGTTTTAGTAGAGACACGGTTTCACCATGTTGGTCAAGATGGTCTCAATCTCCTAACCTCGTGATCCGCCCACCTCGGCCTCCCAAAGTGCTGGGATTATAGGCATGAGCCCCCATACGTGGCCAAATTGTATTTTTCAAAGTATTATGATTAGAATTTACTTTCATATGTTAAAAATATATATTTTAAGCTATTGATATAGAAAAATACTTTTTTAATACTAAGTCAACATTATTTGGAGACAAGCTACATACTACTATTAAGTGTCCCATAGCATCACTCCAAGAAAGAAGAGTAATCACCTTAATAAGTTTTACTTAAAAAAAAATTTCTTCAAGGAATCAGCATTATGTTCAAATATATTACTGTTGTGATTTCTGGAATTGTGGTCTCAAAAGAAAACCTTTGGTTGCTAGGCAAATAATAATGTAATACTTTTAAGTACAATTGTTCATATTACATTTCACACTTAAAAAGTTATAAATTTTTAAAAAATAAAAAAGTGTCAAGTATATTCTAATGATTTTGGAATTCTCCCTTTCAATAGAGATTATAAGCTAGGTTCTCTTAATAAAGAATTGGTTTTAGCATAACTAATAGAGCTTTTTAACAGGGAACCGTACTTGGCACCTAAACCCACAGGTATTGATTTTATACTTATTGAGTGAACTTAGAATAGGTATGTTTTAAAACTTCCACAAGTAAATAAGTCCTTCTGCAGGCCAGGATTGAAAATGAAGCTGTAAACAAACTCTGAAGAGCTGTCTTGATCACTTTGAAGTAGACATATGTACCCTCAAATAATAGAGACTCTCCTCCTTTACATCTCTTTTTATTTCTGTGCTCCCCAATTTATCCTTCTACAATTATTTCCTCCTAACTCTTTCTGAGAATGCAGAAGTGGCTGAGAGGCTCTTGCAAAAATCCAAAATATATAATGTGTTATTCTTTTTAAAGCAAGAGATTTTTGGAGAAACACGGGCCTCTTTTGAGGCTTGCCACACACCGAAAAATAAAATAACATAATAAAAACAATAAAGCAGGTGAATGTAGTTACTACTAAAACATTCACAGAGTACTGCAATTCTAGCTTCTTCAAGAAAAATAGTTGTCTACTCCACCTAATTATAATTTAGCATCTCAAGCTTTTCCTTAGGTCCTCAATATTATCTCACTTTTTACTTTAAGAGCAGTTGTGAAACAATTTTTTAGGCCAAAGTGATCTGTCCCTTTGCATGGCATGGATCAGCATCACAGAAAAATTATAGAAGGAAATACATTGCAATTTTCAGAAGACTGAGACATTCCTCCATACTCTTAAAAGTATTATGAAAATTGTAGAACATTATAGCTTCTTGTTCATTGGTCATTTCTGCTTGAATCTCCCAGGCACATCAACATTCATGGCCAAAATTGAATGCATTATATTTAGTACTAAACTGAAGTCCTCCTCTCACAATAAATAATTCTATTTTCACAGCTATTTCCAAAACTAATAACCTGGAGATCGCTTGTGATTTCTCTTTTGTCTTTGGTGACACTATTAAGACACTGAGTACTGACAATTTATTTCTGAAACATCTCACAAATTCATCTATAGTTATCTTTCTGATAAAGACAATGATCAGATTATCTGCTGCCTGAACTAGTACAACAAAATATTAAATGGCTTATCAAATTTGCACAGTGTAGTAGAATTTTCCCTTAAACCATGTCTGCTCTGCTTTAATTCATTCATTTGATTCCCAAGCCCTAAGAATAAAGATGCCTGACATATGCAGCCCTGAATCATGGAGGTTTGCCTTCTTTCCCGCATCGTCTCTTGCATTCTCCCAATCACACATTCAGTGCCCATAAACTCTGAACTTCAGATATACTGAACTATTTTGCCCATCAAAGTCACCGGCTATCTCTTATTTATAGGCTTTTGCACATGCAAGATTGTGTCCAAAAGCCAACCTCTCAACATTCATTCCCCCCGACTACAAGTCATTCTCCAGATTTTCCTTTTTTTCTGCGCAACCCTTATTTATCTTCCAAGTCTCCCCTTAAATAGCGGTTCTTCTGAGACACATTTCTGGCCCTGAGACTAAGTTAGTTCTTTTTTCATTATTATTTTTATTTTTTTTCTTCTGTTGCATCCGCTATTTCCCTTATAATAATAAGGTATAATACCTCACTACAAATACCTATTTTAGTTATCTTTTCATTGTACCCAAATTCTATGAGAATATGCCTGTGCCTACCTGTCACCTACTAAAGAAAATGAGTACCAAATGAATAATAATTTTTAAAATGGAATGAAATCCCATAGTTAACAAACTGTCCTAATTAGAAATGCCATTTGAAAGATTATCTTCAATAAGATAGGGACATTTTGTAAAATGAAATAAAACAAAATTACATTGGAAGAGGGATGTCTATTTGTAAGCATATCAGTGTTTTAATGTGCTTGCAGACACCCGGGATCATGCTACATCTTAAAATCTTTTCTTTTTTTTAAAAAAACTCAAGAGGTATGGAAGGCCTTTGAGTGGTACTTTTTATGTAATTCCTGTGACTAACAGATTTTTTATTAACATAATCACATTACTCTGAGACAAATAGTTGTGGAACACTGTGGAGCATAGAGATCAAGGGCCAGTCATTCAACGTTTAAATTGGTAGCACCTTAGAAAATTGTAGGAATGTGCTTTCATAATTAACAAAGAAATGAGGCCGGGCGCGGTGGCTCACGCCTGTAATCCCAGCACTTTGGGAGGCCGAGGCGGGCGGATCACGAGGTCAGGAGATCGAGACCATCCTGGCTAACACGGTGAAACCCCGTCTCTACTAAAAATACAAAAAATTAGCCGGGCGTGGTAGCGGGCGCCTGTAGTCCCAGCTACTCGGGAGGCTGAGGCAGGAGAATGGCGTGAACCCGGGAGGCGGAGCTTGCAGTGAGCCGAGATCGCGCCACTGCACTCCAGCCTGGGCGACAGAGCGAGACTCCGTCTCAAAAAAAAAAAAAAAAAAAAAAAAAAACCAAAAGAAATGAAAGAGTATAATAATGCCATGTATCAATTTTATTAGGACTAGATTTCAAGCTCAAGAGCATAAATTGAGTGCTAGGACAAGGAGTCCTTACCTTCTTTCAATTTTATGGGTTAACTGCTCAAATAATCTTGGACGTCATTTTTTCTTAATAGAATTCCATCAGCCTTATAATAGCTAGTAGATTTAGGTGCAAGATTCTAGCAAGATCATGGTTTTCTTCTTACAGTTTAGAGGCTGAACTTTTTTTTTCATTTGCTGCTTGTAACAATTCTCTGCCTGCCTTTTGGTATCACTTATTCGTCACTCAGGAATCAGTTTAAAAAGTTACTTCCTACGAAGTAACTTTCTAGGTTGTGTAGAAATTAGTCGATAATAAATCAGGAGACTAAGGGACAGGAATAAAATGTTTGGGAATAAAATGTATTCTAAGGTAAGTAGAATAACTACGGGTAGTCCTATTATTGTTGGGATAAAGAAAGAGATGAATAGATCTTCATTCATTTTAATTCTCCAGGGGTCTCCTGTTTCTGTGATTCAAAGTTTTTTAGTATTGGATTTGCCTGGTGAGTAAATTTGGGTTTTTCTTTTACGGCAAGTAGGATCAGCAGTGATATAATTATAGATAAAATAGAAATATGTAGATGAGTAGAGGTTTCCAGTTAACGCATCTCACTGGGGAGAGGTTTTTGGCTCTCAGTCTTTAAATTAAAAGGTTAATGCTAGTTAGCTTCACATCGATATTATAATATGAATGCTGACAAGTTTTTGAAGTGTTTTAGGCATACTATTTCAAGAATAATGGGTATAAAGCTATGGTTAGACCCGCAGATTTCTGTGCATTGGCCGTCGTAAAGTCTTGGTTGTGTAGATGTTAAGTTTGTTTTGTTTAAACATCCTGGAATTGGGTCTCTTTTCAGGCCTAATTATGATATAGCTCATGAATGTAAAACATTTGATGAAATTAGTATGTGAATTGATATTTCTATAGGGAGGACTATTCAATTGCCTACTTTGAGTAATCATAGCTGTGCTGGCTCTACATCTGTTGTAGGAATTACATATAGTCAAAATTTAGACTTCATAATCTGTATATTCATAGCTTCAGTATCATTGGTGGCATACACTTGACAGTAAGGGAGAGGTTTGTAATTTCATCTGTTACATGTAGAATATATAATGATGGGAGGGGCTTTCTTTATAGCCTCTTCCCTAAAATAAATAGTCTCCCTGTCTCATAGAATTTTCATATATGTATTTAAAACACTTATTGCAATATGTTACTAAACATTTATTGATTTTTCTCTCCTCCTTACTCTTCTATATGGGTCCACTAGCATAGGAATTATGACTTTATTCATTTTTTTCAATAGTATGTCCTCAGTATTTAATCTTATGTTTGAAACATAGTAGGCATTTAATACATATTTGTTTAATTATTTCACAAAAAATTCACAGATATGCACAAAGACATAGCTGGAAGGAATGAGGTTATTTTTGTATTATTGAATTATACTTTTTCTTGTTTATATGTAAAGTTTTTGGGACACATGAGAAATTTTGTTACATGTATATTATGTGTAGCAATCAAGTTAGGGTATTTAGGGTGTCCTCAACCCAAATACAGTATATTTTTGTTAAGTATAGTCACCGTACTCTGCTATCTAACACTGAGTTTATACTTTTCTTTTTAATGTATTTTTATTGTTGATGTTTTAAAAATCATTATATATTTCTATTGTGATTAAAACATTTTGATATTTTTATAAACTTTTAGTTTTAATGTGACAGTAAATATAAACTGGGCCTTGTTATGTACTAGACACTGTTAAGAGAGCTCAAAACGTAGTAATGTTTCTGCTTCATTTTACTAATTCATGAGAAGTATTTCTAAATGGTGCTTGTATTAAATTCTGTATCATATCTATAAGTTGTATTAGGAAAGCTTGTCTTTATAGTTTGATTTCTGTACAGTATGAATATAACAGAAACCTAAAGTTTTACATGATGACAGAAGTAAATCAAACTAGTGAATTATGTATATTTACCATGCTGATCACAACATTGTTGTAGAATGCAATTTTGAAGTCTGTGGCTAAGTTACTTAACATCTTCTGCCAATTTTTTTTAATTAACTAGTGTTTTTTAAGCTTTAAAACCACATCACATATTGTTGAAATTGAATCAATTATAATATGTATTAGCCATTATTTAACTTACATCAGCACTGTGACAGTAACAAAATACCAATAAAACTTTTATTTGCCCTATAATTAATCATTATGATTGACCTACTACATTTAAATGACTTTATGTGTATTAATGTTGTAGTAGCCATGACATTTACATCACCAGTGATATAATAGTAAAGCCCTTATTAAACAATTTTCCTTCATTAATTCGTTTACACCAATCATTTTGCCCAAAGTGGGTAAAAGGAGTGGATAGATACAGCTTATACTGATGAAGCAAGATGATTTTCTTTCTCCAAAGAAGATGTCAACATCTTGTGAATATTTTTCAAAGACACATTTAAAATGAATTCCAAATTATTTATCTGTTTTTGTAATCTATTGCTGCATAAAAATTATCTCAAACTTTTGTGGTTTAAAACAGTACCATTTGCTATCTCACAGTTTCTGTGAGCCACATATCAGGTGATGGCTTAAGTGTGTTCTCTACTTTGGATATTTAATGAGATACAATCAAGAAACCAGCCATATTTGCAGTTTTATATGAAGACTTGACCTGGAAGCTATCAGTTTCCAAGCTCTCTCACATGGCTGGTGGCTGGATTCACTTTCTCCAGGGTTGTTGGACATAGATTCTTGCTAAATGAAGCATTCATTCTGTAGGGCAGGTTACAACATAGTAACTTGCTTTATCAAAAAAATGGTAAGCTTGAAAATCCAAAGGAAGTGTATACCAGCCAAATCTGTATCACAGTTTTGTACAACCTAATACTGGTAATGATATCCCAGCATTCTAAGAATGTTGCTCCAAGCCATTCTCAAGAAAGAAATTACTAGCCCTGTTTAATACACAGTTGGAGGGTATTACACATGCATATGAATGCAAGGAAGTGGGGATTATTGGGAGCCACTTCAGAAGTTGCCTATTACAACATTGGTGCAAGAAGATAGCTCCTGTGATCACGTACACTCTGCCAAATTGCTTAAATTTGCCTAGATTTAAGTTTCAGCTCAATTATTTATTTTCCATGTAACTTTGGAAAGTTGTTAACACTATAATTTCCTCATTAAAAAAAGAATCACTAAACTTGTGGTAATAGCTACTTATCTCACAGGTTTTGCAAAAAGAATATAGTTTCTCAGTTTTGACACTAGCAACATTTTGGAGCAGAGATTTTTTTTTTTTTTTTTTTTTTGCAAGAGTTAGTCCTTTCTATGCATTGCAGGATGCTTAGTAGCAATCCTGGTTTCTACCCATTTTATCAGTAGCCAACTCCAATATTGACAAACAAAAAATGTTTCCATTGCAAATGTCCCCTGGGAGGTAACATCACTTCTAGTTGAAAACAACTGGATTAAATGACTTATTGTACATAAAGTTATTAAGACAGTTTATGTAAAAGCTGTATAATATTATTTTATAATATTATATCTGATTTTCAATTATTTTTACTCACTTAAGCACTTAAAGAAAGGGTAAAACATCCAGCAACAAAATTAAAACATCTGAGCTAGAGGTCAAATCAGATAGTTAAATGGAGCATAGTATGACATGCCCCAGGCAGCATGGTCTATTGAGAAACTCTCATGGGGATGTCTACCCAGTTAGTTTCCATAATGCTTAAAATTTGGGTGATTTCTGTTATTTACTTTATTTCCATTTATACTTTTGCTTTATAGGCACTTAGGACATCTTCTTCCAAAATACAAATAACTTTAAGAATAGGAATTATTGAGTGACTTTTAAATATTGTTTTATAACAATCTACTCAAGTTTGACTATGAAATACTTTCTTCATCTGTTCAAAGAATTTGAATAGTGTACTGAGGAACCATGAGAATCAGATAATTAAAGTCTAAGTTGAAGTTTGAAGATTTAAGTCATTGATTGTATAGGACAGAGACAGAAAGAGAGGGGCAATGAAAAGTTCTGAAACATGGTTATAAGAAATAATTTATGTCATCTTGAGGAAAAAGTGCTAGATGTAATTATAGACTTGTTTTATATTGCTTTTGAAGATAAATCCAACTTTATAAGATATTTTAATAAGGCATGTTTTTTAAGTTACTCAATTCAATCAAATGTCATAATGTTTGTGAAAGCTTTTCTTTTCAAAATTGGAATATATGCCTATGTAAGAGTTCATGTTAATGCAAATAGTGAAAATGTCACAGCGAAAGCAGTTTTTACCAGTAATTTATTGTGTAGGTGTAAGAATATGGTTATTAAGATTTACCAAATATGTGTTGCATCTGATATCTGTAATAAAATTGCCTTGCTTATTGAAATAGCCTAATACTGAAGCAGTGATACTTCTCTTCACGTCTAAAGTGAATAAAAGAGGAAAGAAGGTAAACAAATGCCTTTTGCTGGGGGCAGGTAATAAAACTGGTTACAAAATAATAAGCTTCCCAGACCCATCATCATGAAAATCACTACCAGACCTTGGCCATCTCTGCATAGATATGAGAGGTATTAAAAGGATGTCTATTTTACTTTCTGCCTTACTTACTTCAGAAAACACATGCTTTTGCTATAGTCAGTTATATGGATCTTTTTTTTATTTCTCATATTTTTAAACAAACTCTTAGCCTTCTTTTTTTTAATGGTCTTTCTCAGTATTTTCAGAATGCTTTAAATTCTTGATTTCATTTTTATTTGGTACTATCCCAGAAAAGTAGATTATATCTCAGAGCCCTTTTAAAAAATAATAATAATACTTTCCCTGCACCATAAAATTTTACTTGTTTGTTCATGTATTTAATTGATTCCAAATTATATTCAAAATGCTATGGTCAGTGCAGTGGAGAATATGAAGATTGGTGAGACACAGTTACTGCTCTCAAAAATTATGGAAGAAAGTATTTGTATACATTCCACCACATTATAAAGCAGAGTATAATTATTTGCTTGTTGTTTTTAAAAGGTGAAACAAGGTAGCACATCCATAGTACATCTGATTGGAGTGAGTACAGGAGGGAGGATTTTGCCTTTGAAATGGGCTGTACATAATAGTATTATTTAATCAGATAGAAATGAGATAATTGTAATTTCCAGCAAAATTATAAACACAAAGAAAGGTGTGTATGTGTTCAGGTAAGGTGAAGGCAGTGTAGTTATAATACATGAAAGGTTGGAAATGGCAAATTATAAGACTATGCTGAAAGACCATGAACATCAATAAAGAACAGTCTAAAGAGGAGGGAGGAGGAGCAAGACAGCCAATTGTTCCCCTTGCTGGAAAACCAAATTGAACAAGTAGCTACACAAGAAAGCAGCTTAATAAGAAACAAAAATCACGAAAAATCAGGTGAGCAATCACAGTGTTTGGTTTTAACATTGTAACAAGGAAAGAAACACTAAAACAGGTAGGAAAGAGTCTTGAATCTCTGACACCACCCTTCTGCCATCCTCCATCAGTAGTCACATGGCATGGAATGAGAATCTGTGCTTGGGGGAGGGAGAAAGTGAAGCCACTGGGTTACTTTGGGTTGGAACTCAGTGCTTCCCTGTCACAGTGGAAACAATACAAAACAGAAGTCAGCTAATGGCTACAGAGGGAGCATGTAGATAAACTGTAGCCAGAGGGGAATCATCTTTCCCAGGGTCAGAACCTGAGCTCTGGCCACACAACCAACACACAGGCTAAAACACTCTGGTGCCCTAAATTAACTTGAAGGGCAGTCTAGGCCATGAGGACTACACTTTCTGAGCAAGTCCTGGTGCTTTGCTGGGCTCAGAGTGAGTGGATTTGGGGTTCATGTTGCCTAGTGAAATACCATCTGGGTTGGCCAAAAGAGTGCATGTGTAATCCCCACCCAACCCCAGGCAGAACAGCTAGCAGCTCCAGGAGGGACTCCTTTCTTCTGCTTGAGGAGAGGAAACAGGTAAAGTTGACTTTTGTCTTGCAACTTGGATACCAACTCAGCTGCAGAAGAATAGGGTACTAAGGAGAGTCCCCATTCCAGATCCTAGCTCCCAGGCAATATTTCCAGACACATTCTGGGCCAGAAGGGAACCTGCTACCTTGAAGGGAAGGACTTCATTTTGGCAAGATTCATCACCTGCTAACTAAACAGCCCTTGGGCCTTGAATAAACATCAACAGTAACCAGGTAGTACTCTTTGCAGGCTTTGGGTGAGACCCAGTGCTGTACTGGCTGCAGGTGTGACCCAACACATTCTCAGGTGTCACTCCAGAAAATGAGGGCGTTTCAATAACACAAAGAAAGAATTCAGAATCCCATCAAACAAATTTAACAGAGATTGAAATGCTTTTTAAAATATCAAGCAGAACTTCTGTAACTATAAAATTCAGCTGACATACTGAAGAAGGCATCAGAGTCTCTCAACAAAAGAATTCATCAAGTAGAAGAGAGACTTGGTGAGCTTGAAGACAGGCTATTTGAAAATACACAGGAAGAAGAGACAATAGAAAAATAATGAAAAGAGTGAAGCACACCTTAAAGGACTGAAAATAGCTTCAAAAGAGGAAATCTAAGAGTTAGCCTTAAAGAAGAGGTAGAGAGATCAAGTTACAAAGTCTATTCAAAGAGATAAATACAGAGAACTGTCCAAACCTATAGAAAGATAGGAATTTTTAAATATAAGAAGTTTATAGAACATGAGGCAAATTTAACCCAAATAAGCCTACCTTAAGGCATATAATAATCAAAGTCACAAAGATTAAGGGTAAAGAAAGATTCCTCAAATAAGCAAGAGAAAAGAAACAAATGACATACAAAGGAGCTCTAATACAGATAGCAGCAGATTGCTCAGTGGAAATCTTTCAGGCTAGGAAAGAATGGCATGACATATTTAAAGTGCTGAAGGAAAAACCTTTTTCAAAGAGTAGTATATCCAGTGAAAATATCCTTCAACTATGAAGGTGAAACAAAGGCTTTCCCAGACAAACAATAACTGAGGATTTCATCGACACCAGACGTATCCAACAAGGAAAGCTAAAATAAGTTCTTCAAAGACGAAGAACTTTTCAAGACAAAGACAATATAATAACATTTAAAACAAACAACAAAAAGTTAAAAAGTGGGGAGATGCAGTTTAAGTATAGAGTTTGTTTGCTCTTTGCTTGCTTGTTTGCTTGTTGGTTTTTGCAACCAATGTTAAATTGTCATTAGTTTAAAATAATGGATATAGGATGCTACTTGTAAGCCTCATCGTAACTGAAATTTAAAAAACCTACAAAAGATATGCAGAAAACAAAGAACAAGAAATTAAAACATACCACCGACAGAAAATCACTTTGACAAAAAGGGAGGAAGAAAAGAAGAAAGGAAAAAAACGCAAAACAACCAGAAAACAAATAACAAAATGGTGGAAGTCTTTACCCATTAATAATTACATCAAATGTAAACTGACTAAATTCTCCAATCAAAAACCATAGAGTGGCTGAATGGATAAAGCAAAAAGGTTCAGCAATTTGTTGCCTATTAGAAGTATACATCACCTAGAAAGACACAGAGACTGAAAATAAATGGATGAAAAAAGATACTCCCTGCAAATATAAACCAAAAAAGCAATAGTACCTATAATTGTATCAGATGAAATATGCTTCAAGTTAAAAACTATTAAAAGAGACAAAGCAGGTCTATAATGATTAAAGGGTTAATTCAGCAAGCGGATAGAACAATTATAAATATACATGCACCCAACACTGGGGCACCCAGATATATAAAACAAATAGTATTAGAGCTAAAGAGAGATATAGACCCCAATACAAAAATAGCTGGAGACTTCCAACTCCCTAATTTGCATCAGACAACTCATCTAGACAGAAAATCAAAAAAGAAATATTAGACTTAATCTGCACTATAGAACATATAAACCTAATAGATATTTACAGATCATTTCATCAAGTGGCTGCAGAATACACATTCTTCTCCTCAGCACATGGATTATTGCTAAGAATAAATCATATCCTTTTTTATACCACAAAATAAGTCTTTAAACTTCTAAAAAATTGAAACAAATATCAGACATCTTCTATGACCAAAATGGAAAAATCTTGAAATCAATAACAACAGGAATTTTGGAAACTATACTAATACTTGGAAATTAAACTGTATGTTCCTGAATGACTAGTAGATCAGTAAGGAGATTAAGAAGGAAATTAAAAATATCTTGAAACAAATGAAAGTGGAAACATAACATACCAAAACCTATAGGATACACCAAAAGCAGTAGTAAGAGGAAAGTTTACAGCAATGAGCACATACATCAAAAAAGTAGAAAAAACTTCAAATAAACAACCCAATGATGTATCTTAAAGACTAGACAAGTAGAAACAAATCAAATGTAAAATTAGTAGAAGAAAATAAATAATAAAATTCAGAGCAGAAATAAATGAAATCGAAACACAAAACAAAAAAAAAAAAGAAAAAAATTAAAAAGAAAACTTTGTTTTTTGAAAAGATAGGCAAAACCCATAAACATTTAGCCAGGCTAATTAAGAAAAAAAAAAAAGCAGACTCAAATAAAATTAGAGCTGGAAAAGGAGACATTATAACTGATACCACAGAATTTCAAAGGATAATTAGAGGTAACTATAGGCAACTAAATGCCAATAAATTTAAAAACCTAGATGATATGAATAAACTTCCAGACACATACAACCTAGCAACATTGATGCATGAAGAAATCCAGAATCTGAATTGACCAGTAATAAGCAATGAGATCAAAGCTGTAATAAAAATTCTCCCAGCAAAGGAGAGCCTGGGACTCAATGGCTTTACTGCTAAATTTTGCCAAATATTTAAAGAAGAACTAATGAAAATCTTACTCAAAGTATTCCAAATATAGAGGAGAAGGAAATACTTCCATACTTATTCTATGAGGCTAGTATTACCCTGATACCAAAACCACAGAAAGGGACATCAAGAAAAGAGAATAAACTGTAGGCCAATATTCCTGATGAACATTGATCCAAAATGCTCAACATAGTACTAGCAAACCAAATTGAACAACATATTAAGAATATTATTAATCATGACCAGACGGGGTTTTCCCATGGATGCAAGGATGGTTCAACATACACAAATCATTCAATGTGATACATCGTATCAACAGAATTGAGGACAAAAAGCATATGATCATTTCAACTGATGCTTCAAAAGCATTTGATAAAATTAAACATTTTTAAATAATTAAAACTCCCCAAAAACTTGGTATAGAGGGAACATTACTCAACACAATAAAAGCCATATACAACTGATTCATAGCTGGTATCATATTAAATGGGGAAAAACTGATAGCCTTTCCTCTAAGATTTGGAAAAAGATAATAATGCCCACTTCCACCATTATTATTCCATATAATACTGGATGTTCTCACTAGAGCAACTGGACAAGAGAAAGAAATAAAGGGCATCCAAATTGGAAAGGGAAATTTCAAATTATCTTTGTTTGAAGATGATATAACCTTATATTTGGAAAAACCTAAAGAATCTGCAAGAAAATGATTAAAACTGATAAACAAATTCAATAAAGTTGCATGGTATGAAATCAAAATACACAAATATGTAGCATTTCTATATGCCATCAGTGAACCATCTGAAAAAGAAATCAAGAAGGTAATAAATACAAATGAAATAAAATACCTAGGAATTAACCAAAAACTGAAAGATCTGTATAATGAAAACCATAAAATATTTATGCAAAAAATTGAAGAGGACACAAAAAATTAAAGGTATTCCACGTTCATGGATTGGAAAAATCAGTATTGTTAAGATGTCTATACTACCCACAAAAATCTATAGATTGAAAGTAATCCCTATGAAAATGCCAATAACATTGTTTACAGAAACAGAAAACAGAATCCTAAAATTTGTATGTAACCACAAAACACCCAGAATAGCCAAAGCTATACTAAACAAAAATTACAAAACTAGAGGAATCACATTGTCTAACTTCAAATTATAATATAGAGATATCATAACCAAAACAGCATGATACTGGCATAAAAACAAACATAGACCAATGGGACAGAATACAGAACCCAGAAGCAAAGCCACACACCTACAGCAAACTCATTTTTTACAAAAGTGCCAAGAATATACATTTAGGAAGCTACAGTTTCTTCAATAAATGGTGCTGGGAAAACTGGATACCTATATGCAGAAGAATGAAATTAGACCCTTGTCTCTTGCCATATGAAAAAGTTAAATTAAAAGAGATTAAAGACTGATACCCAAGACCTCTAATATGAAATTACCACAAGAAAATAGTTGGAAACTCTCCAAGATATTGGCCTGGGCAAAGATTTCTTAAGTAATATCTCAGCAGCACAGGCAAGCAAAGCAAAAATGGACAAATAGGATCATATTAAGTTAAAAAGCATCTTCACAGCAAATGAAAAAATCAGTAAAGTGGAGAGACAACCAATAGAATGGGATGGGAGAAAATATTGGCAAACTATTCATCTGACAAGGGAATATGAACCAGAATATATTTTATAAGGAGCTCAAAAAACTCAATAGGAAAAAATCTAATAATCTAATTAAAAATTGGCAAAAAATCTGAATAGACGTTTCTCAAAAGAATGTAGACAAATGGCATCCGGTATATGAAAAGGTGCCCAGCATCACTGATCATCAGAAAATGCAAATCAAAACTATATGGAGATTTTATCTCACCCCAGTTAAAATGGTATATATCAAAAGACAGGGAATAAAAAATGCTGGTGAGGATGTGGAGAAAAGGAAATCCTTGTACACTGTTGGTGGGAATGTAAATTAGTACCACCCCTGTGGAACACAGTAGGAGGGTTCCTAAAAAATGTAAATATAGAACTGTGGTATGATCCGGCAATACCAATGTTAGGTATATATTCCCCAAAAAGAAAATCAGTATATCAAAGAGGTATCTGAACTTTCATATTTGTTGCAGCTCTGTTCACAATTACAAAGACTGGGAAGAAACCTAAGTGTCCATCAACAGATGAATGAATAAAGAAAATTTTGGATGTAAACCCAATGGAGCACTATTTGGCCATAAAAAAGAAAGATATCCTGTTATTTGCAGCAATATTGATGAAACTGCAGGTCATTATATTAAATGAAATAAGCCAGGCACAGCAAGACAAACTTTGCAGGTTCTCACTCATGTGTTAGAGCTAAAAATCAAAACAATGGAACTTATGGACATAAAGTTATGGGATTATTTATGGGATAAATATACACAACTGCTATGTACTAATAAAAATAAAAAATAAAAATAAACAGACCCTAAAAATCTGTTAGTTTTGTTTGCTGTGAAGCCAATATTTATTATTTGCTTTTAAACACAATTGAAATACCTCTTACTCTTTGTATTAGTTTCCTAGAGTTGCCACAACAACATACCATGAACTGGGTGGCTTAAAACAAGAAAAGTTTATTATCTTCTGGTTCTTAAGACTAGAAGTCTAGGTATTTCCAAGACCATGTTCTCTCTGAAGTTTTAAAAAATATTTCTTTCTTTCTTTATCCTATCTTTAGAAGGTCGCTGGTACTAATTGGGGTTTGTGGTGGCATACTTTCAATTCCTATCTATGTCTTCACATGGCCTTCCTTCCTGGGTGTCTGGGTATCTTTTTGCCTCTGTATCTGAGTTTTTCTTTCCTTTCGTTTTATGACATAAGTTATTGGATTTAGTTTGCACCCTTATTTAGTATGACTTATTCCTAACTTGATTACATCTAGGAAACATTCACAGGTACCTGGGATGAGAACTTCAACATATCTTTTTTGAGGAAACACAATTCAACTTACAACACTCTTTCAAAATGACTTTAAAGACAATACAACCTATCTACACACATAATTTTTAACATAAATATAATTCCCTAACAATACAAACTACTAAATACAAATACTTCATAAGAAAATAAATATGAATTTTAATGTGTTACAGTGTGGCCAAGCTAAATGATAAAATGAATACTTGCAATCCCAGATGGAATCACATGTGAAGACAATTTATTTTTTAATATTAGTGATCCAGTACCATAAAAACCATTACAATCAGAGGCCTGATTCTCATACAGAATCACTTTTGATAGAGTTCTGAATAAAATTAAACAGGATTTTTTTTCCTAATTCACAAGATACTTGGATTTTGAAATTGCATTTATAAAAAAATGTACAAAATTCATGTTGATATATTTATATATTTATAAAGTACATTTTTATACTCAGATTACAAACTTTTTGTTATATGAATAGAAGTTGAACATACAAAACTCATGGAAAATGCAAAATAATTATTTAATATTTGTGGCATTTCCTTGCCTAACAGGACACCATGCACTCTTGTCCCCATCCGCTAAAAGCCTAGAATGCCTCCACGTACACATTTTGTGAAAATATAAACTGTCTCACTCTTCCAGTTTATAAAAACATAGTTGAGGAGGCAGTATACAAATATATTTATGTGTCAGTTTATAGATTTTTATGTAAGCATTATCAAAACCACAATATCTCCATATATTTTATACTTATTGTGATAGTTAACTTATATCTTTCCATCACTTGAATTAGATATTTTTTGCCCTCAATTTACAGTTGGGAAAACTGAAATGTATAGAGATAAAAAGTGCATTTCTGTTATACTGGTAGTCATTTCAGGCACCATTTTGAATTAATGGAACATATTTGAGGATATGCTAGCTTGCAAGCAAATTCCAGAACACACCATATAGGAAGCCACCTAAGCAGGTTGTATGTAAAGCCAACTGATATCTCTGGTTCTATTCTCCATTCTTTCTTGATCCTAACTTTACAAAGAATGAGGATTCACATGAGTGTGGTATGAACTGCCAACATAAAACTTCTACACATGTGCTTGATTAATAATACAAAACAGAGAAAAGCCAGGTGTTGGAGCTCTGCTATTGCAGAACAGGTGGCACTATGCACATGGCAGATATATGAGAATTGAATTAATAGTATTTGTAATGTAGAGACAGAACTTTATTGTGATTAAAAAGTGTAATCGATGTGTATTACTGAAAAAAAACCTTTAAAGAAAAATGAAAGGACCAGTCTTCAATCACTACATTCTCTTTCTCAACTTCATCTTATTATAAAGTTATTTCAGATTTTATATTCCAATATGGAGAGTAAAGAAATCTGTGACATTGAGTTCACTAAAGACACTTCTTATAATGTCTCGGAAGCCTATTACTTTATAGCCTGAAAATACAGTAATAGAAATTTATTTTTGAGAAAGTTTAATTTATTAATTTTTTATATGAAAAAGTATGGCTTTGTTTAAGGATCTACAAGATTTCTGCTGCAAATGAAAAGACAATGCAATAAGAGCAAGAATAAAAAGTATTTATGCACATAAATATACATTACTTTTGCATTTTTAAGTTCAATGGCAGATTTGTTTGTTTGTTTTGCTTTTCCGGTTACTATTAGTTAGAGTTTCCCCTTAAGACAAAACAGAAATAGAACAGAAAACTAAATCCAAACATACACTTTGGGAGTTTTTTGGTGTTGACATACAAGAAACTGTCCTTTTAGACTTTTGATCCTTAGTTACCAGTAACACTTCCTGTAGTAAAAATTTGCCTTAGACATTCTTATTTACAGAAGCCTTAGTGCATTCAGAAAATGGTTTTGAATTTATAGTGTGAAGTAATTTGTTTACTAAGTAAATGAGGTTAAACTAATTAAACAGAAAGCTATTAATATTTTTTAATAAAAACAAAACTTCAGCAAATTTTCAACTTATTTCATACCACCATCAAATATTTAAAAGACCTTTAAATAGCCTGAAACATGATATTTATTAGCTCAGCCATCTGGTTAAACAAAATTTTTTAAAATTGTACCTAGAAATGTTTTATCTGATTAAGAAAGAATCTGTAAAGCAAACCACTCATGCTAACAAAGAGGTAGTTAAGAACTACACTAGTGTTAATGGAGTTCTCTGAGTGACACGTGTAGAATAGGAAGTGATAGGAGACCATAAACAAATGAATATGTCAGAGAGGACTGCGGAAACTAAGCAGGCTGCATAGAACTTGCAAAAGGCACCATAAAGCAGAAGCCCTACACCTATTATCCCCACTTAATAAATTTGTGACCTTAGATTCATTGAGAATTAATGAGCCCTTTTCTCTCATCTGGAAAAGGAAAAAAAAAAGCACAAAGTGATACAGTTAAAAATGTTTAAAAACTGAAAAAAAAATGATGGCAAGCAGGTTTTTTAAAACTTCAATATGCCAATATTTTATATTCGCCAGTCCAGAAACACGAGAGTAAAATTATTGACTACACACAATTTTAAATGTTTTATAGATAGCATGATTTTTTCCCTATTTTGGGGTAGATCTTTTGTAAAGAATGTATGAAAACATATGAGAACAACACCTTTCAAACAACCTGCCAAATCAGAAAAATTATCTTTAAGAAAATATTTATAGAGTCTTGGAATTATGTTATGTGCACAGTTTTCCAATCAGGCAAAGAAAGTTTTTGGCCTACTGCAGTTTAAGATACAGTTAGAAGTGCTCTGATTTCTAGGTGCATATAATCTAAAACTTAGATATAAAATGATACTTTTTCAGAGACTGAATGCTATGTGTGAATTTAAATACATTCTCTTAAGATCTGGAATTAGATATACATCATATCTCCCTAGATCCAACTTCAATTCCTTCATAAAACAAGCTCTCAAAGAACAAAAGACATGGGTAATTTAAGATTAGTCATGGATATTATCAATATGCAAGTCACCTAACTTCAAAATTGGGAATACAATAATATAGTCAAGGAGTCCTAGAAAAAAAATGCTTCTCTGTGTATAGTAGATGCCAAAATCCTGGTTCCAGAATTTTCTTTTGAGTGGTGACAGGATTAGCACCAGCTGAGGCATAATACAAGTAGAGATAAACTCTAAGAATTAGCATCCACTCCAGGGCTACAGCCTTGAAGGTCAGAGCTGAAGACTAGTTCCAGGTGGAAAATGGACAGAAAAACCAAGACTCAGATGTAAATCCAACAAGAAATATGGATTATATTGTATGTGAATCAGAGGTTGTACTATATTTGTAATTATATATCCATGATGGCATTCAGGGGTGCATTTTATTTCCAAGAACCAGGACAATAGGGTTGAGGCCAGGCAATTAAATCTCACTCATAGCTACAGTCTGGATATCAGGGATTCACAGAATCCATGTTCTTCCCTTGACATTAACTTTTTCATATGTGTCGTGCTACTGCCCATAAAGTTAATTAACCACATGGGTACCTCAAGTAGGAAATACATGCTATGAAAAAAAAATGACAGACAAGATATCAAAATAATATAATTCATTATGAATCTTCCTGACAGGGACCTTGGCACAAATAGACAAGTCAATTAATAAAGATGAAGTTTTGGGTTGTGTCATTCATAAAGGAGAAAAATAAGGGACATCTTATTTAGAATTATTATCTTAGAAATTCTGCAAATTGCTGCTTTGGGTTATTGAGTAGGAAAATATAAACAGAATAGCTGACACTTTCAACAGAATTTCCTATATTTTAATACATTTCATATTTTGATATGTAGTCATTGTGAGTAAATTTTAAAAATATGAACTTAAAAATAAGCATACTTTCAGAATCTATAGATATACACTGTTGTCATATTGTTATAAATATGCATTTATATATTAGATAAAATATTTAAATGGGATATTGATATAATTTAATTTGACCTTATCTCTACTGAATAAATTACTAATTCATGTCAATGCTACTACCTGCTAAACTTCCTTTGAGTCCTTTTTATATTATACTTTTCATTGCCATCCTTTATCACCTACCATTGAATATCTAGAAAACTACATTTTTAAACTGCTTTATCTGTATTTATGTGGTTTTTGTTGTTGTTTTTTCTTTTCAAGATAGTATTTCTCTACATGTAGTCAGAGTCCTTCTGAAAAACAAAGTTTATTTATGTAAAAATATAAATCAGTCCATGTCACTGTCCTGCTGAAGCACTTCAATCCTAGCTTTCAAATTTATCTGGAAAGACCCCTGAGGAGGTAAACTGCTCTTTATTTCTGTTCAGCCTCATCACAGGCACTACTTATGCCTCTCCCCATTTCTCCTGACCAACTCAATCTGTAATTTGTTTGAGTATGTCACTTCCGCTGAAGATTCTTCCATGTTGAAGCACATAGTTTAGGTTAGATTTAGCACCCATACTTGTCTGCCATGTTTGCTTTTGACCTTCCAGGCCAAGTGTAAACTTTCTTGAATAATAGAATGAAATGCATTTGGGAATAATGGAAATTTTTAAAATAGCAATAATAGCAATAAAATAGCAATAATAGCAATAAAAATAAAATAATTGTAATAGTATGTATCTGCTCCTTGTGCACATATTATTTCTTCTTCTTGGCATGTTCTTTTCCTCTGATATACTTGACTGACCCTTTATCCTCAAGTCTTCAACTTAAATGCCATTTCTTCAGAGCCCTTCCCTGGATCAGAAACCTAAAATCCATTACACAGTATTTTAAGAGAGTATCGCAGAGCATAGAGCATATCATTTGTAATATACATTTATTGCCTTGAATATTTGTTTCTTTCTATTTCTCCCACTATACAGTCCCTAAGAGCAGGAAGGTGATTCAGTTTATTTTCTCTCTGCTGTTCCTAGCAAAGTGCTGCACAGCATGAAATGGGTGCTCAGCAAACATCTGTTTAGTGAACGGCAGATAGTAAGAGTTTGTTTGTTTTTTATTTTGTTCTATTTGGCACCTGTTTTTATTTTATGTCTTGTCTTAGCAATAATAAATTTTTCTAACAGTATGACAATCCACAACTGTTTATACTGTTTCTGGTTTATGAAAGCAACAACTGGAAAAACATTGCTGGGGAAATATATTTTGATATCAATAGGATAAATGCAAAAATTTGGGATCTATTTAATTAGACATTGAAATCAAAGAAGTAACTTTTAAATTTCCTTTTTATAAGTAGAATACTGTTTGAGAATGAAATATATTTCTTATTTTTGAGACTGTGATATGACAGAACTCATGTGTCACTCAGGGTCATTTTATCCTAATATCATAGACAAACTGATTCTGGGTTATTCCTTTGTTGTCACTGTGATTGTGAATTAAAAAACACAAGTGGACATGAAGCTTTAAATCACCTGACCACTACTGGAAAACTGTAAATGTTCCTGCTTATTTGTGTAAAATAAAGATTACCTCAGACCTGTAGGCTAAATTTATTAGCATTTCAGTGAAAACCAGTATGCAAGGTGAGTAATGTCTCCTTCTAAGAGATTAGTAGATAATACATATTCCTTGGATAATGATAAGTATATCATTTCTAAGGCCACCTTCAAGGAAAACAGTGCAAGAAAAAACAGTTATGTCTGGCAGTTAACAAATGAATAATTTACTTATAATAATTTGAGAATTGTAGTCACACAGAATTTTTTTAAAGAACAGTAATGCCTATACACGTGTCATGAGAAATAAGTTTTATAAAATCAGTTTTAATAATGTTCCTGCAGAAGTACAAATAGGATTCAACAGTAGAAATGAATTAAAAATGTTCATCTATTATTAATACTGAATGTATAAACCCTATTAAGAAAAGAGCAGAAATAGTATAAGACACTATCGTACAGATATAGATATGTCAATAACTCTCAAATGATTGGTATATTCATCCATGCTTTATTAAAAATGCATGGCTATTTAATTCCTGACAAACTCAAATACGAACTCTGCATTCCAGAAAAGGAGATAAGCCATTTAATAATAGATTTTAGTTTATTTATTTAAATATAATTTGTCAGTGATACCTTTGTAGCAAAATACTTGTCACTGAAACTGGAAATTTGGCTAAGAATTTATTAAAAATGTATTGCTATTTCTTCTTAGAGGAATGTTTGCGTGATATGTATTTTAACATACTAGAGAGTAACAGAAAGCCAAAGCAGAGATATGGCCCGTGAAGTGCTATTGTGTAAATGGACACAGGCTTTGCTTTTGCACCACAGCAGCTTTCATTTGTAAAGGATTACTTTTCACATTTACTCAATTTTAAGGGATTTTAACCCTAAAATGTTGAGTTAATGTCCAGTTATGCTCACTGAATTATAAATGAGTTTACCTTATTTAGTCAATAGAGGGTGGAAATTAATGGGTGTGACTCTAGTGATCTAACTTCACGCAAAATTTGATATACAGAAACAGCAATAACAAAACAAGAGAAATTATTAAGTAAAATAATAAGCAAACACTGGGAAAGAGGTGAAGCAATAGGAAAACATTAGAATTTTCTGTGGTGAAACCACACTATGTATTTATAAGATTTTCCTTCATTTAAAAGATAATTTGGGCAGCTTCTTCTCCCCCATTACATGGAGATTTGTGTAGTAATTTATTGCTACTGCACAGAATATTTGGCCAAATATTTAGTGTCTTTTCTTTATATTACTGTCCTTAAATTTATTATATAAGAATAAAATGATTTTAATTATTTAAAGCCATACAGTATATTATAAATTACTAAGCTATTTTCCTATCTTGGAATATTGCTTAAATATCAATTATTATCATTATTATTTTTATTTTTGAGATAGGGTCTTGCTCTGCCACCCAGGCTGGAGTATAGTGGCATGATCAGGGCTCACTGCAGCATCAACCTCGTAGGCTCAAGTGATCCTCCCACTTTAGCCCTCAGAGTAGCTAGGACTACAGGTGTGCACCACACCCAGCTACTTTTTAAATTATTTGTACAGACAAATATTTTTAAATACTTACTAAAATCCTATTATATTTTGCGCTTTTTAAAGTACTAGACATACAATTGTGATACACATAAATATGAGCCTTATTTTGCTAGAGCTTACACTGTAAGAAGAGAAAGAAATTAAACACATATCAAACAAAAATAATAACAAACTGTTGCAATTTATCTAAGGAAAATATAAATAATATGAAAATTACAACAGGGATACCAAATTTGGATCGAGGTTCTTGGAATGCATGATTGAGAAATTCGTAATAATGTGAGATCTGAAGGATAAATAGAAAGTTATCAGCAAAGAGTCAGTGAAAGACATTGCAGTTTGAAGAAGCATCATATGTTTTCATCTCAGAAGTAAGAAAAAAAGTTTAATGGATTCAATGACCTGAAAGTAAGCTAACATGGATGGAAATGAATGAGTGAGGAAAGACTGATGCAGGAAGAGACTACAAAGTTTCCAGATCATGACAGAACTTGTAGGTGAAATGTGGAAATTCTTATTTTGTACTAAGATCAAATAATTTTAAGAAGGAAAATAATTTGAATTTACTTCCTTCCACTTTGTGAGTATAACTTAACTTCAGGAGAATAGAATAATAGGTAGTGTATTAAACAGTGAAGAGACAAATAGGAGGCATTAAAGGCAAGATATAATTGTAGATTAAATTAGAGAACTCACAATTGCAATGGAGAAACTTGGCTGAATTTGAGATACATTTTAATGTTAAATCAATATAACTTGGTAATTCACAGGTGCTTCATGAAGAGAGAAGAGCCAAAGGAGCCTGTACTTTATTTTCAACAATGGCTGGATGGTATCACCACATATTTATATTGGGAAGTTGAAATAAGAGAAAATTGATAAGAAAAATCATACATTGCATTTGTGATATATTTTGTCTCAGTTCCATTGATACATCCATGTGGAAAAATACCTAATATTTGATTGGAAACAGGACTAGAGCTCAGAAGAGTTTTGGACTCAATGTATATTATTAACCGGTGGTCAGAGTTTGTGTGTATTTTAACATATGGGAAAGATACCATAACTTACAGATGAGAGAGAGAGAGAGAGAGGAGAAAGAGAGAGAGAAAGAGAGAGCCTAAAGAGGGGACTGGCAAACTACAACTTGCTGGCCAAATCTGGGTGCTGTCTGCTTTTGTAAATGCAGTTTTATTGGAACACAGCCATGCCATTAACTTCTATAATATATACCGCTATTTTTATGTTATAAAGAGCAAATTGAGTAGTTTCATCAGAAACCATATGACCTGCAAACCCTAAAATATTTACTATCTGGACTGTTTAATTTTACTGAGCCTAAAATAAATACTTGAAGAATTTTGATACTGAATGTTTAGGTAGAGGAATATTAGACTAAAAGATAGGATAGAAGAGGAGAGGGAGAAAGAGAAAGACAAAAAGAGGAAGAGAGGGAGCAGCCTGCCTGACTTAAGACACACAGGACAGGCTTGCTGGGGAGGACACTGGCAATCCCCCATCACTCCTGGGTGTTGGGAATGTTGACTTTGTTCCAACCCAGCTTCCCGTCACGAAGGTCTGGCTGTCATATGGGGCCAGAAGGCGGTCCGGGGGAAACTGAGGGTAGCTGGCTGAGGCCACACCTCAAAGTTCTCCAAAGGCCCCTGGACTAACTTTAGTCCCTGATTGCCCATTAGGGTGTCAGTACTAGGACCTCCATCCAGTCTTTCCTATTGTTCTTCCTTTCTTATTTTCATGGCTATCATGGTTCCTATCTCTTCTTTATATACAATGTTAAATGTATATAATGTTATTGTAAACTACAGAAATATTACTGGGTAGAATGAGCATTTGGCTTAGTCATCAGGAGTGTAAATGAGAACAATGTGGTGTCTGTCTATTCTTAGAATCAAGGAGAATATAACAGTTGAGTTTTCTTTCCCCTGTTGGAGGAACCCACATGCATAGGGCAAGAGGCTTTTTTCCCTAGGCACCTTCCCCTCCCCTGCACTTAAGTTGTCCTTTTAGGAGGCACATTGTTGGGCTAGATCCCCAACTCCAGGGACTTCCTTCCTCTCCCTTGGTTGAGGAGGACCTGGTCCCACAGCTTTGCCTGCTTATGAAAGGGAAGCAACCGAAGGACTGCCCTGCTGGTTACTGGCTGCAATTTGGTGAGGGCCGCCTGGGACTAATTTAATCGGTTCATACACCCTCCTGAGACACCTTTTTCCCAAGCTTCAGTTTGAGGCCCTAGAAAGGAAAACTAGATCTGAGGGATACAAAGGCAAAAGACAGCATAAGTCTAGGGGCACAGCACAGGTGAGCATGACTAATTCCTGCCGATTAGGCTCTTCTGCTTCATGGAAGGAGGTCATGCTCACATTCATGGCTTAGATACGGTCTAGAGAACTTAAAGGTTATTGACAGTGGAAGGCTTAGGCACAGCTCAGGTGAGTGTGAATATTTCTGCCAGCTACGGCTTCCTGCTTCATGGGTCAAGGTCACATGTGCACCCATGGTTGCCACCTGCACAGGTCACCAGGACTCAGGAATATAAGGTTGGAAGAAAAACAGGGATGCCTTTTTTCTCTTCCTCATGTACCCCAGGTATTAGCTGGAAAGATAAAATAACAAAAGGATGCCTTTCTCCTTCTTTCCAGGTGGGTAACCAACCAACTTCAACCTGACTCCTCTCGAGTGCATCCTGAATCACTGGGACCCCTTTGACCCTCAGGCTAGAAAGAGAGAGGAAGAAAACTTTTTCATCCTCTGTCCTCTTTTCCAGATGTGTAACCAACACTCTTCAGCCTGCACCCCTCTAGAGTGTATCCTGAATCACTGTGACTACTTTGACTCTCAGACCCTGAAGAAAAAGTGCCTCATATTCCTTTGCACAATGGTGTGGCTGAATTATGTTATGCAGGAAGGAGAAGCTTAACCTCAGGAAGGAAGCATTTTTTTTTAATAATATTCTGTAGCTGGACCTTTTCTGGAAATGTGAGGGCAAGTGGCCTAAGGCCTCATTTGTGCAAGCCTTCTTTGTCTTGCAGGATAGTCCAGACCTTTGCCAATATTGTAGGATTGATTCAGCCTCCTAGCATCCACCTCAGGAAAGGCTGCAAGGGGCAATCTCGGGAACTAGGGAAACAAACCCCAGAGGTCCCTCCAGTTAAGGAATCAACTGCCTCTACACCTCTCTATCCAGGTGGTCTTCCAAGTTTACCTCATCCTAAAAAACATATTTTAGGCAGGTCCCAGTGTCACTCCTGCCCCTACAACAGATGCCTGGTGAATAGGGCCCCATTAAGGTCCAAGTCCCCTTTTCTCTACAGTTCTTAAGGAAAATTAAGGGGGATCTTGGCAAGTTTGCAGACGATCCTGAGAGGTGTATATAGAGGCTTTCCTGAATTTAACCCAGGTATTTGAACTCTCCTGGAATGATGTCATGTTGCTTGTGAATCAAACCCTGATTACTGCTGAAAGGCCACTCTAAAAACAGCAGATCATTTTGGGGATGACTTTTTGTATCTCATAAAGGGCCAAGGAAGGGGATGAAAGTTATGTGACTGGAAGAATAGCAATACCATTGGTGGGTCCTAAATGAGACCCCAATGATGAAATGGGAGAATGGAGGAAGAGACACCTTCAGGTATGCATACTGGAGGTCTTATGAAGGACTAGATTTAAGCCTTTCAATTATCCAAGCCATCCATGATAGGCCAGGGATTAGGTCAGAATCCCATTGTCTTCCTGGAAAGGCTAAGAAGGGCCTTGGTAAAGCCTACCTCTCTATCTGCTGATTCAGTCAAGGGACAGCTAATCCTAAAAGATAAGTTTATCACACAGACAGCCCCTGATATCAAGGGAAGCTACAGAAACAGGTTATAGAACAAAATAGTATGTTAGAGAATTTCCTGAAAGTAGCCACCTTGGTCTTTAATATAGGAACCAGGAGGAAGACCAAAAAAGAGAAAGAAGATACAAGGAAAAGGCAGAGGCTCTAATAACTTCCCTGCAGGCTCACAAACCTCAGAGTCTCTGAGACGCGTTTTTAGCTACTACAAATGTAGCAAGCCAGAGCACTTTATGAAGGACTGTCTGAACAGCAGGAGGAAGCTACTTTGACCCTGTCCAATTTGCAATGGGGGCCACTGGAGGGTGTACTGTACCCAGAAACGCAGGTCACTGGGTCTAGAGCCAGTCCCTCAAATGGTCCAGCAGGATTGATGGGTCATGGGGCTCCTCTCCCCAGCTCCAGTGGTCCAGACTACCATTAACATCCAGGAGCCCCAGGTGATTCTGGAACTCAAAGAGAGGAAGGTAGACCTCCTCCTGGACACAGGATCAGGCCATTCAGCTCTCCTCTCCAATCCAGGCTTTCCCTCCTCTCTTAGCATGACCATGAGGGGAGTCTTAGGAAAAACTTTAACCTGATATTTTCCCCAACCTCTTAGTTGTAGCTGGGGAGACCTCTTGTTTACTCCTGCCTTTACCAAGTCCTCCATGCCCATGCCACTATCTGGAAAGAGAGGGACTTCTTCACAGCCAGTGGGTCTTCCATTAATATCATTGGGAAATCAACAAAATATTATCCTCATTCTTCCTTCCATGGGAAGTGTCATTAACACATTGTTAAGGCCATGTAAAATAGCTGAGGAAAATAAATTGGCAGACAAAGCAGCTAAGTCTGTAAGGAGAGGGCCCCAGACTTCTGAACCAGTAGAGCCCCCTCAGATCTCGGAGGGCTTCATAAAAGAAATAAAACTTCAGCATTCTTCTGTGGAGATAAATGGGCTACCTCTTGGGGATATACCCTTCAGTCCTCAGGATGACTGCAATCAGGGGATGGCAAACTTCATTTACCAGCTTCCAGCCAATGGAAAGTTCTTAAAATCCTCCACCATGCCTTTCAACTAGGTAAGGATAAAACCTATCCTATGGCTGAAAGGTTGTTCTCAGGCAAAAATTTGCTAAAAATGGTCAAACAGGACATTAATGCTTGTAAGACTTGCCTGAAAAATAATCCCCTCAATCGATGGCTTCTTTTCCCCCAGAACACAAAAAAATGGGGGGTTACCTGGGGAAGTCTGGCAAATGGGTTTCACCCATATGCCAACACAAGGGGCATCCTGTACCTCCTAGTATGGGTAGATACCTTCACTAACTGGGTAGAAGCAATCTCATGCTAGACAGAGAAAGCCTCTGAGGTGATAAAAGTACTAATTATTGAGATAATTCTTCACTTTCGACTTCCTAAGTGCTCTCATAATGATCATAGTGATCATAGTGATAATGGCACCTCGTTCAAGGCAGCTGTCCCCCAGGGTTTCTCAAGGGCACTAGGCATACAATACCATCTTCATTGTGCTCGGAGACCACAATCCTCAGGGAAAGTTAAAAAAAAAAAAAAAAAAAGACAAATGCTATTATCAAAAAGCACCTTAGAAAACTGTCTCAAGAGACTAATCTCTCCCAGATTACTCTTCTCCTTATAGCCCTATATGTGTTAGCAACACCTCATGAAGCTGGGTTTAAGTCCCTTTGAAATGATGTGTGGATAGCCTTTTCTCACCAATGATTTCTTGCTAGACCAAGAAACTTCTGATTTAAACATATAATTTCTTTGGCCTGTTTCCAATATGAGCTGAAACAAATGTTGGATTCTCAATCCCATGAACTTTGTCCCTCTATTCAACCCAGCAGACTTAGTACTAGTAATGACACTTCCTTCACTTTCTTTTTCTCTAGGCTAGGAATAGGAGAGACTTTACACTCTACTTCTTCCTACTCCTATGGCAGTGAAGGTCACTGGAATAAATTGTTGGATTCATTATACCTGAGTTAAGGCCTGGGGAACTGACAAAATTTATTCCATTAACCCATGAGAGCACCTGAAGTATAGGCATGAAAAAATCAGGGACACCAAAGTAAAAATTAAAAAAGATAAGTACTAATAATTAACCCTCCACAGATATCCTATGCTTACTATTCTCACCTTTGTTCTGTTCCTCATCATAAGGCATCTTTGTCAAGGACCCCTTCCCAAGGTATTAAATACTCACCTAAACATCTATTTCTCTCTTAAAGTTTAATTGCCTGCATCCAAGATTAAATTTCTTCCACCAGAGTGAAACAGCTGTAGCCCATTTCAAACTTTAACCTCCTTGTAAAATTCGTTTCTTCTTGCCTAGAAACCATCAAAGTTCAAGCAATCATGCAACTGGAGCCTTGAATGATTGGCTCCCTTTTTACCTGGGACCCTTAGATATGCCTCTAAGAAAGATCTAACTGCCATTTATCCCCAAACAATACCCCCTGTCAGCATGAAGCAGTAAAGAGTGGTCATCAGCCCTATCCTAACAGCAGTTAGATGTAACACCTCAGAGGTGGGGGTTGATGGCAGCAGACACTCCAGATGGCCTGCCATTGCTATCATGCTGGCTGCATCAGGAAGGTGTGGCTGGGGCTGCATGCTCCATGGAGTTGGTTGGGGCTGGGAACAAGTGGAAGCCCCATCCCTCTGAGTTGGAGCAGGAGCTCCCTGAGTGCCATGGCAGCCATCCAAATTTAGCTGCAAACCTGTGCCTCCAGGTCTACGGAGTGGGCAGGAGCACTGCCCTCCTGGGCAGGACTGCAGCCACCCAAGTTGTGGCTGCAGATTCCAGGTTCCCTGTGCTCTTGGGGGGCCAGAAGCAGACAGAAGCCCCGCCTTCCCAGGCACAGCTGCAGCCACCCAAGCCATAGCTGCAGACCCACGAATCCCACTCCATGGAGTAGGCAGGAACCCCAACCCACCCCAGGTGCAGTTGCAGCTGCCCAAACCTTGGCTTCAGACTCAGGCATTCCTGCACTCTTGGGTGCCTGGGAAGGCCCCCCTGCCCTCACAAGCTCAGAAGTGCCTCCTCCTGCTGACTGGCTTCTGCCTGCTTTCGGAGTCTACTTTGATCTCAGAGCAAAGTCAGGGCTGAGCCTGGGGGCCATGAATGGCAGCAGGAGGCAGAGAGATTCCTGGATGGAAGACAGAGTGTCCCCAGTGAGGCCACACCTTCAGACCAGGGAGGGCCTGAAGGCTGGGGTCTAGGCTGCCAGTCTGATGGACCAGAGTGGGAATGTGTGGTGCATTTTCTGGGCCCACCCATGGCCACCCATGGACCAATTGGCACACACTTTCTTCTCTCTAAGGCTCATAAAATCCCCAGGCTCAGCCAGAGCTGAGCAGATGGTGGTACGACCAAGGACAGAGAGAAGCTACCCTCTCCAGAGCCTCCTCTCTGCTGAAGGCTGCAGACCTTTGAACAACCTGCCTGGAGAGAGGAACCACCCTTTCCAGGGCCTCCTCTCTGCTGAGAGCTGAACACTCACTGGGATGACCTACCATCAGAGAAGAGCCACCCACTCCAGACCTCCTCTCTGCTGAGATCTTAACACTCAATGGGATGGCCTGCCTACAGAGAGGATCTACTCATTGCAGATCTCCTCTGAGCTGTTCTAACACTCAGAAAAGGTCCTCTTCATTTGCTCACCCTCCACTTGTCTGTGTACCTTATTCTTCCTGCACACAAGAAAAGAATTTGGACAAAGTTGCCGTCAGCTACAGAGGTTTCCAGCCAGATAAGTGACACCCAAAAGATACCATGACAAAAGGATATGTACAGTAGAATATCATTCATATAAGACCTGAAAATACTGGAGGCCCAGCACAGTGGCTCATGCCTGTAAACCCAGCACTTTGGGAGGCTGAGTTTGGTTAATCTCTTGATGTCACGAATTTGAGACCAGCCTGGCCAACATGGTAAAACCCCATCTCTGCTAAAAATACAAAAATTAGCCTGGTGTGCTGGTGGGTGCCTGTAAACCCAGCTACTTGGGAAGCTGAGGAAGGAAAATCACTTGAACCCAGGAGGCAGAAGTTGCAGTGAGCCAAGAATGTGCCTTTACACTCCAGCCTGAGTGACAGAGTGAGACTCCAACTGAAAAAAAGAAAAAAAAGAAAAGAAAAGAAAAACAGTCTGGGTCTGGGAGCTCACACCTGTAATCCCAGCACTTTGGGAGGTGAAGGTGGGCAGATCACGAGGTCAGGACATCAAGACCATCCTGGCTAACATGGTGAAACCCCGTCTCTACTAAAAATGAAAAAGTTAGCCAGGCATGGTGGCAGGTGCCTGTAGTCCCAGCTACTTGGGAGGCTGAGGCAAGAGAATGGTGTGAACCTGGGAGGCGGAGCTTGCAGTGAGCTGAGATCATACCACTGCACACCAGCCTGAGCAACAGAGTGAGACTCTGTCAAAAAAAAGAAAAGAAAAAGCAAAAAGAAAATACTGGAAATAAGACTCTACATTGTTTTGGGAACATAACAATGACATAAAACCTGCCTAAGACTGAAGCACGCAGTATAAGAGAGTTTGACTTTGCTTTTTAAAATATCTGACCTTTGAAAAATAAAAATTATACAAGAATCAGAAGACCAGCAAATAGCAAAATAGGCAAAGGACTTGAACAGACACTTTATAAAATAAATATCCGCATGGCCAAGAAACATAGGAACAGGCATTAGGCAACATCACAGGGTCAGCAGGGAAATGCAAATGTTTTGAAATACAGGGGACATGGTGTGCAGCCTGCAATAAGCTTCCTGGTTTCTAGACTTGCCTCCCCTCCCTCAGGCTCACTTCTTTCTTCCCATGCTTGGATTCCCCTAAGGTGAGGTCTCAGGGGAGGGGGTCCTATGTGGGGACACTGAAGCCTGGTCTGATCGGGTAGAGGTGGACAGTGAAACTTGAAGAGGCTGAGGCAGCTTGCAGAGGGGTCCCACAAAGAAGCCTCATGTGCTCTAAGTTACGTCACTTACTGAAACCCATAGGCTGATTTGGCTGTGGTCTGAGTGCCCTCCAGGGCACCAAGGATATCCCCCATAACTCAGAAAAGAATTCCGTCTCCTCCAGGGTGGGGAGATCAGCAGCAGCCTGACTCCCAAAGGAGTCCTGCTTCCATGTAAGCACCTGGTCCTACCGAAAGGACTGTCCTGCACTGAGATCACACCAACCCAGGATCTGCTGACGCATCTACCTGCACCCACAACTGAAGCTGGTTCCACATATGGCCCAAGACAACTACTTCCACAAACACACCAGGATTTCCAAAGGAGAAGCAGGATTTCCAAAAGTGGGGAAGTAAAGGGAACCAAGTCTTGTTTAGCAAAGTGTTGGAGGGATGAGGGCAGGGGCTTAGAGGATGAGCCAGGAGAACCCCAGGAAACCTGAGGAATATTGGAAGATGGAGCAGAACTGCAGAACTTATGCACTTTTCACATGAGTTCCTACAAATTGATAAGCAGAAGATATAAAATCCAACAGAAAATTGTATAAAAATGATATATTAGAAATTAACAGAAAAAGATTATAATAGTGGTCAATAAATCCACAAAAAGATACTGAACTTTATTAGTAGGAGGAAACTCAAATTTGAAAAACAATAAGATAACATTTTTATCCAAGAGACTGGAAAAAATTATAGCGTCCCAACATTTATTGCTGGGTATATACCCAAAGGGATATAAATCAATTATAAAGACACATGCATGGGTATGTTCATTGCAGCACTATTCACAATGGCAAAGACATGGAATCAACTGAAATACCCATCAATGTATACAGCATGAAATACTACACAGACATGACAAAAACAAGATCACATCCTTTGCAAGAACACAGATGGAGCTGGAGGCCATTATCCTTAACAAACTAACACGGAAACAGAAAACCAATTACCACAATGCTGTCACTTATAAGTGGGAGCTAAACGGTGAACACACATGGACACATAGAGGGGAACAACACATGCTGGATCCTAATTTAACATAAAAGATAAATTAATGTAACTTAACTGTTAAATTAAGAGTAAATAAATAAAATAAAATATGGCCATACCAATTGGTGTAGGAATCTCACTTTGAGAATTTATTTCATAAAGATTTTTGCAAAAAAGGTCGGGTGCGGTGGTTCACACCTATAATCCCAGCACTTCAGGAGGCCAAGGTGGGCAGATGGCTTGAGCTCACGAGTTCAAGACCAGCCTTCACAACATGATGAAACCCCAGTTGGCTGGGTGTGTTGACTCATGCCTGTAATTCCAGCACTTTAGGAGGCCAAGGTGGGCAGATAACTTGAGATCAGGAGTTTGAGACCAGCCTGGCCAACATGGTGAAGCTCCATCTCTACTAAAAATACAAAATTAGCCAGGCGTGGTGGCACAGGACTGTGGTCCCAGCTACTTGGGAGACTGAGGCATGAGAATCGCTTCAACCAGGGGAGGAGAGGTTTCAGTGAGCTGAAGCCACTGCACTCCAGCCTGGGTGAAAGAGTGAGACTCTGTTTCAAAATAAATACTTACATACATACATACATACATACATACATACATACATACATACATACATACACCAAGAGAAATTACCAAGGGGTCTTTGTGCCTGCCTGTAGTCCCAGCTACTTAGCAGGCCGATGTGGGAGGATCACCTGAGCTCAGGCAGTACAGGCTGCAGTGAGCTATGATTCCACCACTGTACTCCAGCCTGGATGACTGAATGGGACCCTGTCTTACTCTATGTACAAATGTTTAATTAAGCATTTTGGTGGTAGAAACATCCTGGAAGCACACTATCAGCAGACCATCACTTGCACAACTTAAAGCCTGTGCATCTTTCAGACAGATATACAGCAAGAAGATAGTGGCACATGTGTGTAGGATGATTGAGAGGGTGCTTTCTGGCTTATGGATGACAGATCCCTATGGCAAGCCAAGAAGCAGCTATCACTGCACAGTGTGCATTGTGATCCATGCCATGTTTCAATACGAAGTCGCCTGTGCCTAGTATGGAGAGGCATGGGCTCCACAGAGGTGCTGGTCCGACCACACCTGCGTTACCTGCCTGGACCCTATATTCACTTCAGCATGACCCCTGGCAGATGGCATGCCAGGTGTTTGTAAAGTCAAGCCACAAACGATGCTCTTAATATTTACGTTAGTTTGTATAGACTTGTGTGATTATGGGGAAAGATGCAATATGAAAGGAGAACAGAGACAGCAGATATTATTTTTCTACCTTTTTTCTGGGTTAAGTAAACACATTTTATATTTGTAATTGGTGATATTTTAGCAAAAGAACTGTAGTATAAAATAAGTCTTAACAGAAGGGTTTATTTCAAAGGATTGAATACACAAAAAAAACCTTTGATGTAAAATGTTATCTTTATTATATTTGGACATTTACAAATGAGTGAAAATCAGCGAATAAAAGCCTACTTAATACAATACAAAATAAAATACAAAATACAAAAATTCATAATACAACTTTTATCAAACTCTGAAAAGATAGGAACTACCTCAACTTAAACATCTATGAGAAACTTACAGCAAACATCTTCATCAATGGTGAAACATTTAAAATAGTCCCATTAAAGCCAGGAGGAAGCCAAGGACGCTGCCATCAAATTACTGATTCCTTATTCAGGAGTTTCAGTGAGTCATGCACTCTCCTTGTTTCTGTTAAACCCCCCACACCTTTTGTTTGATTCAACAAATGTTCTTTCATCCCCTTTTTCTTCAGTATGTTTGAAATTTTACATTCTATTCCAATTCATTTAGTGGTTCCCAAAGGGTACCTACATTGAGACTTAAAAATGTGTCAGAGTCTAGAGTTTCATTTCTCTTCTATTCAGCCACTATATCATCTCCAGGCACTAGACAAGAACTTTAGCAACTTCTAGCTCCTTCTGAATTTTCCCATTCCCCACATGTCTATGTAAAAGTCTTCTGGAATTTTAATTCTAGGCCACCCATCTTTCCCCCAGAATCATACTTCTCTAGACTTAAGAATACAGTTTACTATTTTCCTTCCTTACTGACACTTGTTGCATCCCACTTCTTCCAGGTTGTCTGGTTTGGCTTTTTCCTGGCTGAAAAACGTGACTTGTACTTTCACTGTACATAAGAGTTCCATTCCAATCACCTTGTACAGAAAGGGGGTTTAGCAGCTTGTACATTATAAGTTGTGTACTCTAATTTCAGGAGAAGCTCAGGCTTCAGGTCCAGTCTGAGTAGGATTCTGCCTTTTCCTCCTTTTTCTATATGCCATTCCTCCCTTCATATGGCCGTGCCCTTGAGCTGAAACAGCCTGCCTCCTTCTCTCCCCAACAGTTTCTTTGATTGCTCATAGAACACTAGATTCAGAGTGATTTCCATCTTGAAGCTCTGAGGATATTGCACCATTGCTTTCCATAGTCATCCATGCTGTCAGGCAAAGTCTAATGTCACCTTAATTCTGATTTCCTTGTAGGGCTCAGCTCTCAGGTAGCTTTTGGAATGTTCTCTTCAACATACTTCATATTCTCAATGGGTGTTATTCTTGTTTCCTGCTCAGGATTCACAGATTTCTTCCACTGGGAGAAATGATTAGCCATGATTTCCTTGTATTTTGCTGTCATACACATATTCTGGCTCTCTCAGGAGAGCTCCATGTTAGATGACCTCCGGTCCGCAGGACGACTGTTCCATCACACTGTCCATCTCTCTCTTGCCTAAGCCCCTAGTTTTTACTGATTTGCTCCTCAGTCTTATCTATTCCGTGACTCATAACATTAACATAACTTTGGATTCCAACAATCTTCTTTTTCATACCAAGTATCTCAAATTCACTTTTAATATGAGCACAAGAAGATTGGGGAGCTGCTGGCTTATTTAAAAAAGCATTGAGGAACTCCGTGTATGTCTAACTTTGTCAGAAGTTACAAAGCTGAGACAAGAGGGGCATTGGAAGCAGATGGACTACTGTCAGCATCCTGGGAGGAGGGGGCGGATACTCCATTCTGACTACACAAGGTGAGGGCTCCGGTTGGGTTGGGAGGGGAGGAGTGGAGCAGAAGTGGGGCTGGGGGGAACGTCCAGGTGGAAGGAAGGGAGGCTGGGAACAACGTGGGTGGCAGATAGTGGTCAATACGCAATGTCGGTGAGGAACACTGGGACCCCTTGCACGTAGGTGCCCTGGGGGGTTTGAATGACTTGTAAAACCGCTGAGTCACCCAGAGCCCTAAACCCGATGCAGGGATAGAGGGTCAAGACGGGTTGCCAGTCAACAGCCTGAGGCCCAGGAGCAGCGGGCGGCTCCTGAAACCCCCGGAACATAACGTTTGAAATTAGTCATCCTGAACCGGGTTGGGAGAGGCAGGGAGGGAGGAAGGGGAGTGAAGAGAGTGTGCTGAGGCCCGGACTGGAAGGGAGCCCGGCACATTCTGGGAATGGACGGGAGGCCAAGTCCAGGCCCGGAGGTGGTGCGAGGTGGAGGCAGGGTCCGCGCAGGAGCTGGTCTTGTTCCAAGGCAGCGGAAAACCGTGGAACGGTGTCCGGCAGCGGGTTAACATTTCAGAAACGACCAGCCTGGCTGTGAAGGAGCGCCAACCCAGGGTCCGCAGAATAAGTCAGGAGAGGCAAGAAGGCTATTGCAGCCCTCGGGGTTGGGCGCAGGGTGCTGTTAGACTGAGACTCAGGGAGGTAGAGGAGGAGAAAGTTCCCTGGTGGGAGAGAAATTTCCAAGAGAAAGCGAGACCCAGTGTGGACAGCCCTTGAGGAAGAGACTGCGGCCTTGGTAGCCCGCCGGTTCATTCAGGCAGAGGTGGACCGAGAACCTGCTCTGAACGGGAAGTTGCGGAGCTTGGCTTGCGCACATCTGGTTGAAGGGGCTTTTGAACTGCCAAGTGAGGATGTCAAGTGGCCTTTTGTAAAAAGAGTCGAGCTCAGCGCGATGGCGACGGGGCTGGAGATGCGTGTGAGACCCACACCGCTGGCTTTTATTGCTGTGGGTGCACTCACGGGTGGAGGAAGACAGCGGGAAACACAGCAGGACGCTGGAGGGGATCCCACAGTGGGTTATTTGGTTGGTTTGCATCCTTGTGTCTTTTACAGAGACGGGTTCTCGCTCTGTAGCCCAGGCTGGAGTGCAGCGGTGCCATCTCGGCTCGCTGCGGCTACTTGGGGGGGGGGGGGGGGTGGGGCGGGGCTGAGATAGGAGAATCAGTTCAAGTGATTCTCCTGTCTCGGCCTCCGGAGTAGCTGGACTACAGGTGAGCGCCACCACATCGGGAATAATTTTCGGATTTTTTTGGAGAGACGAGGTTTCGCTATGTGCCCAGGCTTGTTTGGAAGGCCTGAGCTCAAGCCGTCCGTCCCGCTCAACCTCCCGAGTCGCTGGGACCCCAGGCGCAAGCCACCATGCCGGGCCAATTATTTTTTTGGGTTGTATTTCCTGTTGAAGTGAGGTTTTGCTATGCTTTCACCTCACATACCTTTTCTGTCCCAAGACCCCATCCAGGGTACCACCTTACAACTCGTCACGGTTCCCCTTGGCTGCGACGGTTTCTCACACTTGCCTTGTTTTTGATGACCCTGACACTTTGAATACTGATCAGATATATTGTGGGATGTCCTCTCCTGAAGTTCGTGTGATGTATTCCTTGTGATCTGACTGGAATTATATGTTTTTGTCAGGAAGATTGCAGCGGGAAAGCGCCATTCCCATCCCATCCTGTCTAGAGTACACACCATCAAGCCGGCTTATCACTGCTGCTATTAGTCCTGGTCACCGGGCTGGGGCAGTGTTGATTAGGTTTCTCCACCATAAAGTGATTTTCCCACCTCTTTCTCTACTGTGCTTTCTGGAAGTCGCTACCTGTAGCCTATACGTAAAGAAAAGGGAAGTTTTGCTTTATCTCCTTGCAGGGGAATAGCTACCTAAGTTCTGTGGAGTTCTCCTGTGTGGAGGATTTTCCCATTCTCCCCCACATGTTTGTTTATTTAATCACTTATTTATATCCGTATGGACTTATGGACACCTATTGTATGCTTTGGTTTACACTCCAGTACTTCGGGGGATGAATTATTTAATAATTGAACTAATTATTTTGTCAAATATTTTACTTAACTATTTAATTATTAATTATTTAGCTAATTACTTTGTTACTCAACGTTTCCAGCTTTGGCCACCGGGAGCTCCTTTAGTTGGCTTCCGTGTCCCTTTGTCAACCTCCCATCGCTGTGGCTTTTGGCTTTGTTTGGTTTTGGGCGGCTCCTTTCTCCCTGGCACCACAGGATGCTCCATGCTTATTTGCATATTCTCATCCTTATTGGGATTTCGTGTGCTCACTGACCGAACCCATAGATTCTTCTGTGAAGTTTCTCTTCAAAACTTTTATCTTTCTTATTGGGATAACTTCTCTCTCTCTTTTTTCCATTTTGAGACAAAGTTTTGCTCTTGTCACCCAGGCTGGAGTGCAATAGCATGATCTCGGATCACTGCAATGGCGCAGTCTGGGCTCACTGCAACCTCCGCCTCCTGGGCTCAAAGGATTCTCCCGCCTCAGCCTCCCGAGCAGCTGGGACTACAGTGGCCCACCACCATGCCTGGCTAATTTTCCTATTTTTATTAGGGCGAGACATGAGAATCGCTTCAGTCCCGGGAATGGAGTTCTCAGTGAGCCGAAGCCACCGCGCTCCAGCCTGGGTGAAAGAGTGAGAGTCTGTTTCAAAATAAATAAATAAATAAATGAACGAATAAATAAACCAGGAGGAATTACCAAGGGCTCTTGGTGCCTGCCTGCAGTCTGAGCTACTTGGCAACCTGATGTTGGAGGATCACCCGAGCTGAGGAGGCGCAGGCTGCGCTGAGCTGTGATTGCACCACTGCACTCCAGCCTGGATGACGGAATGAGACCCTGTCTTACTCCACGTACCAATGTTTAGTGAAGCATTCTGGTGGTAGAAATATCCTGGAAGTAGCGTATCAGCAGACCACCACCTGCATAATGTAAAAGCTGTGCATCTTTCCAGACAGATATACAGCAAGAAGATAGTGGCACATGTGCGTAGGATGACTGCAAGGGGGCTTTCTGGCTTATGGATGACAGACCCCAATGGCAAGCCAAGAAGCAGCTCCCACTGCACAGTGCTCATTGTGCTCCATGCCATGCTTCAATACGAAGTCGCCTGTTCCTAGTTTGGAGACGCACGGACTCCACAGAGGCTCTGGTCCTGACCACACCTGTGTTGCCTGCCTGGACCTTATAGTCACTTCAGCAGGACCCCTGGCGCATGGCACGCCAGGTGTTTGTAAAAGCGAGCCACAAACGATGCTCTCAATGTACACGTTTGTTGGTGTAGACTTGTGTGACTATGGGGAAAGATGCGATATGAATGGAGAACAGAGACTGGAGCCATTTTTCTACCTTCCTTTCTGCTTTTAGTAAACACATTTTGTATTTGCGATTTGTGAAAGTTTAGTGAAAGAACTGTTCTATAAAATAAGTCTGAAGAGAAAGGTTTATTTAGAAGGATTGAGTACACAAGAGAAAAATCTTTGATGTAAAAAGTTATCTGTATTTTATTTGGACGTTTACAAAGGAGTGAAAACCAGCCAACAACAGCCTACCTAATAAAATACAAAATACAAAAGTTCATAATACAACATTTATCAAACTCTGAAAAGATGGGAACTAACTCAACTTAAACATCTAAGAGACACCTACAGCCAACATCTTGGTTAATGGTGAAACATTCAAAATATTCCCATTAAAGCCAGGAGGAAGCCAAGGACACTGCCGTCAAATTACTGATTCCTGGTTTAGCGGTTCCAGTGAGTCATGCACTCTCCTTGCTTCCGTTAACCGCCCCCCCCCCCACCCCAACACCTTTTGTCTGATTCGTCACATGTCCTTTGATCCCCTTTTTCCTCAATCTGTTTGAAATTTTACCTTCTATTCCAATTCATTTAGTGGTTCCCAAAGGGTACCCACGTTGAGACTTAAAAATGTGTCAGTCTAGATTTTTATTGCTCTTATATTCAGCCAGTCTATCGTCTCCAGGCACTAGAGAAGCACTTTAGTAACTTCTAGCTCCTTCTGAGTTTTCGCATGTCCCACATGTCTATATGAGTGTCTTCTGGAATTTTAATTCTAGGTCATCAATCCTTTTTCCAGAATCGTACTTCTCTGGACTTAAGAATACAGTTTCCTAATTTCCATGCTTAGTGATCCTTGTTGCATCCCACTTCTTCCAGGTTGTCTGGGTTGGCTTCTTCTTGGCTGAAAAACGTGACGTGTACTTTCACTGTACATGACAGTTCCATTCCAATCGCCTTGTACAGAAAGGGTGTTTGGCAGCTTGCATGTTGTAAGTTGCGTACTCCAAGTTCAGGGGAAGCTCAGGCTTCAGGTCCAGTCGGGGGAGGAGTGGAGCAGAAGTGGGGCTGGGGGGAACGTCCAGGTGGAAGGAAGGGAGGCTGGGAACAACGTGGGTGGCAGATAGTGGTCAATACGCAATGTCGGTGAGGAACACTGGGACCCCTTGCACGTAGGTGCCCTGGGGGGTTTGAATGACTTGTAAAACCGCTGAGTCACCCAGAGCCCTAAACCCGATGCAGGGATAGAGGGTCAAGACGGGTTGCCAGTCAACAGCCTGAGGCCCAGGAGCAGCGGGCGGCTCCTGAAACCCCAGCTCAGGTTGCGCCACGTCGGGGCCAGGGCCTTCCTGCACAGTTCCAGGCGGAGGACCTGTTTCAGAAAGGGAGAAGGCTGCGGTCTCCGTGATTTCCGGTTCCCCCTGGTGGCCTGGCTCTCCATGGTGGTCCAGTTGGATGTGCACGTCCGGTGCCATCAAGCCTTCTGCCCCCTGTCTCTGGCCAGCGTCCCCGCGGGGCCCAGCCCTTCTGCCACGGCCTCGCCCTGGCCGCCGGCTTCCTCCCCGGCGCCGGCCTCTCTCTGCAGGAGGGGGTGACTCTGGGCGAGCTGGGGGCTGCCGTCTGAAGGGTTTCACGTAAGCGATGGGTTTTGCGGGTTGGGCTGGCTGTGCGGGCCCATCTGCTTCCACGGAGCCTTCAGGGTCCGCAACACAGCAGCCTGGCTCTGGAGGAGGCCCACCTGAGGCTAAAAGAGAAGCGGAGCGTGAGCAGAGAGAGACAGAAGGAACTTCACCCGTCAAGCAGTTATAGGATACTTTTACAAATAAATACTCAGAGAAAAGAGGGATTTCTGAAGTTAAAATTGTGAGAGAAGAAACAAAACTCTCCACGGAAGTTGGAGAAAGAAGTTGAGAAGGTCTCCCACAGAACAAAGCAAAAACCTAAAATGATGGAAAGAAGGATGAAATATAAGAGAATTAGAGGTATGCTGTGGCTGAGACATTTCACCAGAAAATTTCAGAGTGCTGAGGAAAAAGAGAAGATTCTAACAGATTCTAGAGAGCGGGAGACAGAGAAAGGAAAAGTCACATGGAAAGGGCTAGGATTCCACATGTCTCAAAAGTCAGACATCTCAAAAGCAGCAGTTCAGTCTAGAACATAACAGAAAATGTCTTCGAAATTTCAAGGGAAATGAATTTCCCACCTAAAATTTCCTGTCCAACCGAAGTTTCGCTGAAGAATCTGGGAGGGGAGAATGAAGATGTTTCAGACAAGCAAGATGTTAAAGAATTTCCTTTCAGTGGATGCTTTATTGTTATGCATCTGTCAAACTAGACAAGATTAAAAGATTTAGGACACTCAGCGTATGAAGGGAAAAGTTTTGGAGAACAACGTGGCAACAGCCGGAAAATTCCAACTCCTCCGGGAAAGAACAAGGTGGAAGTACCGGTTTATCATAGATCAAGACGTAGCGTGAGGACTCGCTCTGCTACGGAGAAACAGTAATACAAAACTAAACAGAAGGAAACAGCGACAACAACAGCAAATCTCAGATTTGGGAAATGGGATTACGGTTCGGAAGAGGGAAAGGAATTTCCCAGATGATGTGGAACCCGGGAGCTGACTTCCAACAAGCAGCCCAGGTTGAGGCAGGCTAGGAGAAGGTGAAACAGAGAATGCTTGATTGAGTTTGAGTGTCAACCATTGGGGAAGAATTGGGGAACAGACGAAATTAAAAAGAGAGGAGTGGCAGGCGTTTGATGTACCTTGATTAGGGGCCATGGAGCGAAGTCGCTTCGAAGGCCTTGGTTCCTCCATGAGCAATCGGCGGGAGGGGCTGGGGAGAAAAACAAGAGAGCAAGAACGGATTTAGGAAGACAGAGGTGACAAGGCAGGGGGATGGCCGTGGCCTTTCTAGGGGAATGAGGATTCTGTCCCCAACTGCACCCACCCGAGATCCGTCCACGCCTCCGGGACCCCCAGACACACACCTGATCTTCCCACAGCTGGCTCCGGAGATCTGAAAATTAGGAGACTCTTCGACGAAGAGAGGCCCGAGGAGTCGGAGGTGTCCACAGGTTCACCGCTGTAGCTCTGAGGTAGTCCACCCGCAGCCAGGGAGTCTGGAGGGAGCACGCAGCAGGTTCTGGCTCCGAGCCCAGCAGAAAGCCGACTGCTGGAGGCCGAGCGCCGTCCCTCTTATATGGCAGCAAGGCAGTCGCGTAAGGGACAGGCGTCGTCAGAGGGGGGCCGGCTGGGGCGGGCCTGGCTGGGCTTGCGAGGCGCATTGGGCCAGTCCCCTGCCAGTCAAATGGGGGCCCTTCTGAGATGCCGCCATTTCTAGACGTCCGTGGTTGATTGATTAATCTAATCATCGAGGAAAAAAAATTGCATAATGACCTCTGAGTGTCAGCACAATGAGGTGTGGTGCCCTGAAAGCGGCTGACAGGAAGATGCGATTAGCTTAGATCTGAGCATGGTCAAGGAAAGCATCCAAAGCGGGGATATCTGGGCTGAAATCTGGAACATAACGTTTGAAATTAGTCATCCTGAACCGGGTTGGGAGAGGCAGGGAGGGAGGAAGGGGAGTGAAGAGAGTGTGCTGAGGCCCGGACTGGAAGGGAGCCCGGCACATTCTGGGAATGGACGGGAGGCCAAGTCCAGGCCCGGAGGTGGTGCGAGGTGGAGGCAGGGTCCGCGCAGGAGCTGGTCTTGTTCCAAGGCAGCGGAAAACCGTGGAACGGTGTCCGGCAGCGGGTTAACATTTCAGAAACGACCAGCCTGGCTGTGAAGGAGCGCCAACCCAGGGTCCGCAGAATAAGTCAGGAGAGGCAAGAAGGCTATTGCAGCCCTCGGGGTTGGGCGCAGGGTGCTGTTAGACTGAGACTCAGGGAGGTAGAGGAGGAGAAAGTTCCCTGGTGGGAGAGAAATTTCCAAGAGAAAGCGAGACCCAGTGTGGACAGCCCTTGAGGAAGAGACTGCGGCCTTGGTAGCCCGCCGGTTCATTCAGGCAGAGGTGGACCGAGAACCTGCTCTGAACGGGAAGTTGCGGAGCTTGGCTTGCGCACATCTGGTTGAAGGGGCTTTTGAACTGCCAAGTGAGGATGTCAAGTGGCCTTTTGTAAAAAGAGTCGAGCTCAGCGCGATGGCGACGGGGCTGGAGATGCGTGTGAGACCCACACCGCTGGCTTTTATTGCTGTGGGTGCACTCACGGGTGGAGGAAGACAGCGGGAAACACAGCAGGACGCTGGAGGGGATCCCACAGTGGGTTATTTGGTTGGTTTGCATCCTTGTGTCTTTTACAGAGACGGGTTCTCGCTCTGTAGCCCAGGCTGGAGTGCAGCGGTGCCATCTCGGCTCGCTGCGGCTACTTGGGGGGGGGGGGGGGGGGGGGCTGAGATAGGAGAATCAGTTCAAGTGATTCTCCTGTCTCGGCCTCCGGAGTAGCTGGACTACAGGTGAGCGCCACCACATCGGGATAATTTTCGGATTTTTTTGGAGAGACGAGGTTTCGCTATGTGCCCAGGCTTGTTTGGAAGGCCTGAGCTCAAGCCGTCCGTCCCGCTCAACCTCCCGAGTCGCTGGGACCCCAGGCGCAAGCCACCATGCCGGGCCAATTATTTTTTTGGGTTGTATTTCCTGTTGAAGTGAGGTTTTGCTATGCTTTCACCTCACATACCTTTTCTGTCCCAAGACCCCATCCAGGGTACCACCTTACAACTCGTCACGGTTCCCCTTGGCTGCGACGGTTTCTCACACTTGCCTTGTTTTTGATGACCCTGACACTTTGAATACTGATCAGATATATTGTGGGATGTCCTCTCCTGAAGTTCGTGTGATGTATTCCTTGTGATCTGACTGGAATTATATGTTTTTGTCAGGAAGATTGCAGCGGGAAAGCGCCATTCCCATCCCATCCTGTCTAGAGTACACACCATCAAGCCGGCTTATCACTGCTGCTATTAGTCCTGGTCACCGGGCTGGGGCAGTGTTGATTAGGTTTCTCCACCATAAAGTGATTTTCCCACCTCTTTCTCTACTGTGCTTTCTGGAAGTCGCTACCTGTAGCCTATACGTAAAGAAAAGGGAAGTTTTGCTTTATCTCCTTGCAGGGGAATAGCTACCTAAGTTCTGTGGAGTTCTCCTGTGTGGAGGATTTTCCCATTCTCCCCCACATGTTTGTTTATTTAATCACTTATTTATATCCGTATGGACTTATGGACACCTATTGTATGCTTTGGTTTACACTCCAGTACTTCGGGGGATGAATTATTTAATAATTGAACTAATTATTTTGTCAAATATTTTACTTAACTATTTAATTATTAATTATTTAGCTAATTACTTTGTTACTCAACGTTTCCAGCTTTGGCCACCGGGAGCTCCTTTAGTTGGCTTCCGTGTCCCTTTGTCAACCTCCCATCGCTGTGGCTTTTGGCTTTGTTTGGTTTTGGGCGGCTCCTTTCTCCCTGGCACCACAGGATGCTCCATGCTTATTTGCATATTCTCATCCTTATTGGGATTTCGTGTGCTCACTGACCGAACCCATAGATTCTTCTGTGAAGTTTCTCTTCAAAACTTTTATCTTTCTTATTGGGATAACTTCTCTCTCTCTTTTTTCCATTTTGAGACAAAGTTTTGCTCTTGTCACCCAGGCTGGAGTGCAATAGCATGATCTCGGATCACTGCAATGGCGCAGTCTGGGCTCACTGCAACCTCCGCCTCCTGGGCTCAAAGGATTCTCCCGCCTCAGCCTCCCGAGCAGCTGGGACTACAGTGGCCCACCACCATGCCTGGCTAATTTTCCTATTTTTATTAGGGCGAGACATGAGAATCGCTTCAGTCCCGGGAATGGAGTTCTCAGTGAGCCGAAGCCACCGCGCTCCAGCCTGGGTGAAAGAGTGAGAGTCTGTTTCAAAATAAATAAATAAATAAATGAACGAATAAATAAACCAGGAGGAATTACCAAGGGCTCTTGGTGCCTGCCTGCAGTCTGAGCTACTTGGCAACCTGATGTTGGAGGATCACCCGAGCTGAGGAGGCGCAGGCTGCGCTGAGCTGTGATTGCACCACTGCACTCCAGCCTGGATGACGGAATGAGACCCTGTCTTACTCCACGTACCAATGTTTAGTGAAGCATTCTGGTGGTAGAAATATCCTGGAAGTAGCGTATCAGCAGACCACCACCTGCATAATGTAAAAGCTGTGCATCTTTCCAGACAGATATACAGCAAGAAGATAGTGGCACATGTGCGTAGGATGACTGCAAGGGGGCTTTCTGGCTTATGGATGACAGACCCCAATGGCAAGCCAAGAAGCAGCTCCCACTGCACAGTGCTCATTGTGCTCCATGCCATGCTTCAATACGAAGTCGCCTGTTCCTAGTTTGGAGACGCACGGACTCCACAGAGGCTCTGGTCCTGACCACACCTGTGTTGCCTGCCTGGACCTTATAGTCACTTCAGCAGGACCCCTGGCGCATGGCACGCCAGGTGTTTGTAAAAGCGAGCCACAAACGATGCTCTCAATGTACACGTTTGTTGGTGTAGACTTGTGTGACTATGGGGAAAGATGCGATATGAATGGAGAACAGAGACTGGAGCCATTTTTCTACCTTCCTTTCTGCTTTTAGTAAACACATTTTGTATTTGCGATTTGTGAAAGTTTAGTGAAAGAACTGTTCTATAAAATAAGTCTGAAGAGAAAGGTTTATTTAGAAGGATTGAGTACACAAGAGAAAAATCTTTGATGTAAAAAGTTATCTGTATTTTATTTGGACGTTTACAAAGGAGTGAAAACCAGCCAACAACAGCCTACCTAATAAAATACAAAATACAAAAGTTCATAATACAACATTTATCAAACTCTGAAAAGATGGGAACTAACTCAACTTAAACATCTAAGAGACACCTACAGCCAACATCTTGGTTAATGGTGAAACATTCAAAATATTCCCATTAAAGCCAGGAGGAAGCCAAGGACACTGCCGTCAAATTACTGATTCCTGGTTTAGCGGTTCCAGTGAGTCATGCACTCTCCTTGCTTCCGTTAACCGCCCCCCCCCCCACCCCAACACCTTTTGTCTGATTCGTCACATGTCCTTTGATCCCCTTTTTCCTCAATCTGTTTGAAATTTTACCTTCTATTCCAATTCATTTAGTGGTTCCCAAAGGGTACCCACGTTGAGACTTAAAAATGTGTCAGTCTAGATTTTTATTGCTCTTATATTCAGCCAGTCTATCGTCTCCAGGCACTAGAGAAGCACTTTAGTAACTTCTAGCTCCTTCTGAGTTTTCGCATGTCCCACATGTCTATATGAGTGTCTTCTGGAATTTTAATTCTAGGTCATCAATCCTTTTTCCAGAATCGTACTTCTCTGGACTTAAGAATACAGTTTCCTAATTTCCATGCTTAGTGATCCTTGTTGCATCCCACTTCTTCCAGGTTGTCTGGGTTGGCTTCTTCTTGGCTGAAAAACGTGACGTGTACTTTCACTGTACATGACAGTTCCATTCCAATCGCCTTGTACAGAAAGGGTGTTTGGCAGCTTGCATGTTGTAAGTTGCGTACTCCAAGTTCAGGGGAAGCTCAGGCTTCAGGTCCAGTCGGGGGAGGAGTGGAGCAGAAGTGGGGCTGGGGGGAACGTCCAGGTGGAAGGAAGGGAGGCTGGGAACAACGTGGGTGGCAGATAGTGGTCAATACGCAATGTCGGTGAGGAACACTGGGACCCCTTGCACGTAGGTGCCCTGGGGGGTTTGAATGACTTGTAAAACCGCTGAGTCACCCAGAGCCCTAAACCCGATGCAGGGATAGAGGGTCAAGACGGGTTGCCAGTCAACAGCCTGAGGCCCAGGAGCAGCGGGCGGCTCCTGAAACCCCAGCTCAGGTTGCGCCACGTCGGGGCCAGGGCCTTCCTGCACAGTTCCAGGCGGAGGACCTGTTTCAGAAAGGGAGAAGGCTGCGGTCTCCGTGATTTCCGGTTCCCCCTGGTGGCCTGGCTCTCCATGGTGGTCCAGTTGGATGTGCACGTCCGGTGCCATCAAGCCTTCTGCCCCCTGTCTCTGGCCAGCGTCCCCGCGGGGCCCAGCCCTTCTGCCACGGCCTCGCCCTGGCCGCCGGCTTCCTCCCCGGCGCCGGCCTCTCTCTGCAGGAGGGGGTGACTCTGGGCGAGCTGGGGGCTGCCGTCTGAAGGGTTTCACGTAAGCGATGGGTTTTGCGGGTTGGGCTGGCTGTGCGGGCCCATCTGCTTCCACGGAGCCTTCAGGGTCCGCAACACAGCAGCCTGGCTCTGGAGGAGGCCCACCTGAGGCTAAAAGAGAAGCGGAGCGTGAGCAGAGAGAGACAGAAGGAACTTCACCCGTCAAGCAGTTATAGGATACTTTTACAAATAAATACTCAGAGAAAAGAGGGATTTCTGAAGTTAAAATTGTGAGAGAAGAAACAAAACTCTCCACGGAAGTTGGAGAAAGAAGTTGAGAAGGTCTCCCACAGAACAAAGCAAAAACCTAAAATGATGGAAAGAAGGATGAAATATAAGAGAATTAGAGGTATGCTGTGGCTGAGACATTTCACCAGAAAATTTCAGAGTGCTGAGGAAAAAGAGAAGATTCTAACAGATTCTAGAGAGCGGGAGACAGAGAAAGGAAAAGTCACATGGAAAGGGCTAGGATTCCACATGTCTCAAAAGTCAGACATCTCAAAAGCAGCAGTTCAGTCTAGAACATAACAGAAAATGTCTTCGAAATTTCAAGGGAAATGAATTTCCCACCTAAAATTTCCTGTCCAACCGAAGTTTCGCTGAAGAATCTGGGAGGGGAGAATGAAGATGTTTCAGACAAGCAAGATGTTAAAGAATTTCCTTTCAGTGGATGCTTTATTGTTATGCATCTGTCAAACTAGACAAGATTAAAAGATTTAGGACACTCAGCGTATGAAGGGAAAAGTTTTGGAGAACAACGTGGCAACAGCCGGAAAATTCCAACTCCTCCGGGAAAGAACAAGGTGGAAGTACCGGTTTATCATAGATCAAGACGTAGCGTGAGGACTCGCTCTGCTACGGAGAAACAGTAATACAAAACTAAACAGAAGGAAACAGCGACAACAACAGCAAATCTCAGATTTGGGAAATGGGATTACGGTTCGGAAGAGGGAAAGGAATTTCCCAGATGATGTGGAACCCGGGAGCTGACTTCCAACAAGCAGCCCAGGTTGAGGCAGGCTAGGAGAAGGTGAAACAGAGAATGCTTGATTGAGTTTGAGTGTCAACCATTGGGGAAGAATTGGGGAACAGACGAAATTAAAAAGAGAGGAGTGGCAGGCGTTTGATGTACCTTGATTAGGGGCCATGGAGCGAAGTCGCTTCGAAGGCCTTGGTTCCTCCATGAGCAATCGGCGGGAGGGGCTGGGGAGAAAAACAAGAGAGCAAGAACGGATTTAGGAAGACAGAGGTGACAAGGCAGGGGGATGGCCGTGGCCTTTCTAGGGGAATGAGGATTCTGTCCCCAACTGCACCCACCCGAGATCCGTCCACGCCTCCGGGACCCCCAGACACACACCTGATCTTCCCACAGCTGGCTCCGGAGATCTGAAAATTAGGAGACTCTTCGACGAAGAGAGGCCCGAGGAGTCGGAGGTGTCCACAGGTTCACCGCTGTAGCTCTGAGGTAGTCCACCCGCAGCCAGGGAGTCTGGAGGGAGCACGCAGCAGGTTCTGGCTCCGAGCCCAGCAGAAAGCCGACTGCTGGAGGCCGAGCGCCGTCCCTCTTATATGGCAGCAAGGCAGTCGCGTAAGGGACAGGCGTCGTCAGAGGGGGGCCGGCTGGGGCGGGCCTGGCTGGGCTTGCGAGGCGCATTGGGCCAGTCCCCTGCCAGTCAAATGGGGGCCCTTCTGAGATGCCGCCATTTCTAGACGTCCGTGGTTGATTGATTAATCTAATCATCGAGGAAAAAAAATTGCATAATGACCTCTGAGTGTCAGCACAATGAGGTGTGGTGCCCTGAAAGCGGCTGACAGGAAGATGCGATTAGCTTAGATCTGAGCATGGTCAAGGAAAGCATCCAAAGCGGGGATATCTGGGCTGAAATCTGGAACATAACGTTTGAAATTAGTCATCCTGAACCGGGTTGGGAGAGGCAGGGAGGGAGGAAGGGGAGTGAAGAGAGTGTGCTGAGGCCCGGACTGGAAGGGAGCCCGGCACATTCTGGGAATGGACGGGAGGCCAAGTCCAGGCCCGGAGGTGGTGCGAGGTGGAGGCAGGGTCCGCGCAGGAGCTGGTCTTGTTCCAAGGCAGCGGAAAACCGTGGAACGGTGTCCGGCAGCGGGTTAACATTTCAGAAACGACCAGCCTGGCTGTGAAGGAGCGCCAACCCAGGGTCCGCAGAATAAGTCAGGAGAGGCAAGAAGGCTATTGCAGCCCTCGGGGTTGGGCGCAGGGTGCTGTTAGACTGAGACTCAGGGAGGTAGAGGAGGAGAAAGTTCCCTGGTGGGAGAGAAATTTCCAAGAGAAAGCGAGACCCAGTGTGGACAGCCCTTGAGGAAGAGACTGCGGCCTTGGTAGCCCGCCGGTTCATTCAGGCAGAGGTGGACCGAGAACCTGCTCTGAACGGGAAGTTGCGGAGCTTGGCTTGCGCACATCTGGTTGAAGGGGCTTTTGAACTGCCAAGTGAGGATGTCAAGTGGCCTTTTGTAAAAAGAGTCGAGCTCAGCGCGATGGCGACGGGGCTGGAGATGCGTGTGAGACCCACACCGCTGGCTTTTATTGCTGTGGGTGCACTCACGGGTGGAGGAAGACAGCGGGAAACACAGCAGGACGCTGGAGGGGATCCCACAGTGGGTTATTTGGTTGGTTTGCATCCTTGTGTCTTTTACAGAGACGGGTTCTCGCTCTGTAGCCCAGGCTGGAGTGCAGCGGTGCCATCTCGGCTCGCTGCGGCTACTTGGGGGGGGGGGGGGGGGGGGGGGGGGGCTGAGATAGGAGAATCAGTTCAAGTGATTCTCCTGTCTCGGCCTCCGGAGTAGCTGGACTACAGGTGAGCGCCACCACATCGGGATAATTTTCGGATTTTTTTGGAGAGACGAGGTTTCGCTATGTGCCCAGGCTTGTTTGGAAGGCCTGAGCTCAAGCCGTCCGTCCCGCTCAACCTCCCGAGTCGCTGGGACCCCAGGCGCAAGCCACCATGCCGGGCCAATTATTTTTTTGGGTTGTATTTCCTGTTGAAGTGAGGTTTTGCTATGCTTTCACCTCACATACCTTTTCTGTCCCAAGACCCCATCCAGGGTACCACCTTACAACTCGTCACGGTTCCCCTTGGCTGCGACGGTTTCTCACACTTGCCTTGTTTTTGATGACCCTGACACTTTGAATACTGATCAGATATATTGTGGGATGTCCTCTCCTGAAGTTCGTGTGATGTATTCCTTGTGATCTGACTGGAATTATATGTTTTTGTCAGGAAGATTGCAGCGGGAAAGCGCCATTCCCATCCCATCCTGTCTAGAGTACACACCATCAAGCCGGCTTATCACTGCTGCTATTAGTCCTGGTCACCGGGCTGGGGCAGTGTTGATTAGGTTTCTCCACCATAAAGTGATTTTCCCACCTCTTTCTCTACTGTGCTTTCTGGAAGTCGCTACCTGTAGCCTATACGTAAAGAAAAGGGAAGTTTTGCTTTATCTCCTTGCAGGGGAATAGCTACCTAAGTTCTGTGGAGTTCTCCTGTGTGGAGGATTTTCCCATTCTCCCCCACATGTTTGTTTATTTAATCACTTATTTATATCCGTATGGACTTATGGACACCTATTGTATGCTTTGGTTTACACTCCAGTACTTCGGGGGATGAATTATTTAATAATTGAACTAATTATTTTGTCAAATATTTTACTTAACTATTTAATTATTAATTATTTAGCTAATTACTTTGTTACTCAACGTTTCCAGCTTTGGCCACCGGGAGCTCCTTTAGTTGGCTTCCGTGTCCCTTTGTCAACCTCCCATCGCTGTGGCTTTTGGCTTTGTTTGGTTTTGGGCGGCTCCTTTCTCCCTGGCACCACAGGATGCTCCATGCTTATTTGCATATTCTCATCCTTATTGGGATTTCGTGTGCTCACTGACCGAACCCATAGATTCTTCTGTGAAGTTTCTCTTCAAAACTTTTATCTTTCTTATTGGGATAACTTCTCTCTCTCTTTTTTCCATTTTGAGACAAAGTTTTGCTCTTGTCACCCAGGCTGGAGTGCAATAGCATGATCTCGGATCACTGCAATGGCGCAGTCTGGGCTCACTGCAACCTCCGCC